>NT_167248.2:3363443-3987435 GCF_000001405.40 Homo sapiens
GGCCAGGATGGTCTCGATCTCTTGACCTTGTGATCCACCCACCTCGGCCTCCCAAAGTGCTAGAATTACAGGTGTGAGCCACCACACCCGGCCAGTGTTACTATTTTCTTAGTGTTTATACAGGTTTAGGTTATATGCCTACATGCAGTATGGCATTCACCAAAGTCTATCAGTAACTAATTTTGTTTCAACTAGAGGGTCAGAGGCAAAAAAATTCTTGCTAAGTCTGATTAAGCTGTGAGGGCCCCAGTACCTTCAAGGCCTGTTTACTGTGGTACCAGAGTGATTATTTCTATCTTATCTCCTTTACAGCTTGGTGCGGAGAGCTGCCTTAGATTCTCCAATGAATCTATTCAAACAGCTGCCTCTGTTACCTTGACTTGTCTCAGATATCGTCGACCCGAGACGAGTCCTGGCACTAGGAATGTAAGGCTGTCTCTGTTATTTTGACTTGCTCCAGCAAGGGAGAAGCCCATGCAAGGCTCTTACTCACCATGTGTTTCATTTCTAGCTTTGATGTCTGTACACCAATTCCCCTAGGTTTAACTATTTGCTCAATGTTAAGGCAATGCTGTGGAAATCTGTCTGTGTAACTGGGGTGCTATGCAGGCCTGTCTGTGTGACTGTCAGGGAGAATTGGCCTGCCACAAACTGACCCTTGACCATTGGGTTTAGAAACTTGGAGGTCATTTGTGACTCTGACATGTGGTTTAAGTAAAGTGGTGGGGATGAGAGCCTGATTGAGAGAAATTCAAGAGTGAATGAGAGGTGAGAAAGTAGAGGCAGTGAGAAGTTTTGTTAAGTGGAGAGAGAAGTGGAACACTGAGGGAGTGAGCTGGGTCAGGGAAGAGTTTTTAAATTTAAAAATAAATGCATTATTTTATACATATAAAATTATAATTTATATGCATAAATATATATGTATTACAAAGAATAATTTTGTGAACATCAGGCAGCTTATGAAGTAAAATCTTCCCATCAGGGCAAGGTGGCTCACACCTGTAATCCCAGCACTTTGGGAGGCTGAGGTGGGCGGATCACCTGAGGTCAGGAGTTGGAGACCAGCCTGGCTAACATGGTGAAATCCTGTCTCTACTAAAACATTAGCCAGGTGTGGTGGTGCGTGCCTATAATCCCAGCTACTTGGGAGGCTGAGGCAGGAGAATCGCTTGAACCCGGGAGGCGGAGGTTGCAGTGAGCTGAGATCGTGCCATTGCACTCCAGCCTGGGTGACAGAGGGAGACTCCATCTCAAAAAAAAAAAAAAAAAAAAAAGAAAGCAAAAACAAGAGGTAAAATCTTCCCCAGTATAGTTAAGGCTCCCTGAATTTCCCTTTCCAGATTGCTTTTCTGCCAAAGGGTAAGCACCATTCTCTGAATGTTGTGCTTTTACTACCTAGGTGAGTAGCGAAACAGTTTTTTTCTTTCTTTTCAGAGATGAAGTATAATTTTATAGCATGTTTGCATAATGATGGGAGTGTTGCAGTACAGAGGGGTAAACTGATTAAGTGAGAGAGAGAGAGATAGGGGATAATTTCAGGAATAACATCTCTGAGCAGGTGAGAGGGAACAGGATCCCGGGGTACAGATGAGGTGGCAGGTGGGTGCATGTCAGCTTCTCTGCGGTAGAGTTGCAGGTAGACTGGTGAATTTGGGGTGGGAACATGAGGAAGTTCCCTTCTGAAAGTTTCTGTTTTCTCACTGAAATAGGAAGAAAAGTCATCATCTTGTGAAGTTGTGGTCTCAGATTTGGGGAATGTGAACTGAGTAGGGAAAGGCGAGCTGGCATGCCACACTGAGGGCCCGCAGGAAGCAAGACCAGTCAGTATGACTGTGTGTTTCTCCCCAGCTGTTGAATGCAGGTGTGGAGCAGGCAGAGTGGGATTTGACCAGGGATAAAATGTGCCAGAGGAAGGGGGGCCAGGAGTACAGGGTGAGGGCTGAGAGGCGATTACCGTGTTGAACCTTGGAATCTAAACTGGGTAATGAGGAAAGTGAAGAATTGAGATCAAACAATGAAAAGTAAGTTAGTGGATGGGAGGCCCAGATGGGGTTGAAGAATTTTTGGGATAGGGGTACTGGGGAGCAACATGAAAAGACTGAGGATGAGATTTTAGAAGGGCAGTAGGTATTGGTGGCAACCAAGTTGAAGGTATGACATAGGGCGAGAGGGAAGCAGGGAGAAATAAATCACTGCAAGAGAAGGGCAGGGTGCTAGAGAATCTGCATGAACATTGAAAACAAAAATAATAAAACGGGGCCAGGCACTGTAGCTCATGCCTATAATCCCGGCACTTTGGGAGGCTGAGGCAGGCAGATTGTGTGAATTCAGGAGTTCGAGACTGTCCTGGGCAACACAGTGTGACCTCATCTCTATTAAATATCAAAGGCCAGAGGCCAGGCGCAGTGGTTTATGCCTGTAATCCCAGCACTTTGGAAGGCCGAGGCGGGTGGATCACGAGGTCAAGAGTTTGAGACCAGCCTGACCAATATGGTGAAACCCCATTTCTACTAAAAATACAAAAAATTAGCCGGGCATGGTGGCACACGCCGGTAATCCGAGCTACTCAGGAGGCTGAGGCAGGAGAATCGCTTGAACCTGGGAGGCAGAGGTTGCAGTGAGCTGAGATGGCACCATTGCACTCCAGCTTGGGCAACAAGAGCAAAATTCCGTCCAAAAAAAACAAAAACAAACGAACAAAAAAACAGGCCAGGGGCGGTGCCTCAAGCCTGTAATCCTAGCACTTTGGGAGGGTGAGGAGGGCGGATCACCAGGTCAGGAGATTGAGACCATCCTGGCTAACACGGTGAAACCCCGTCTCTACTAAAAATACAAAAACAAAATTAACTGGGCATGGTGGCGGGTGCCTGTAGTCCCAGCTACTTGGGAGGCTGAGGTGGGAGGCGGGAGAATGGCATGAACCCGGGAGGCAGAGCTTGCAGTGAGCCGAGATCGCACCACTGCACTCCAGGCTAGGCGACAGGGTGAGACTCTGTCTCAAAAAAAAAAAAAAAAAAACCCAAAATTTATCCGGGCGTGGTGGCAGGCGCCTGTAATCCTAGCTACTCAGAGGCTGAGGCAGAGAATTGCTTGAATCCAGGAGGCAAGGTTGCAGTGAGCTGAGATTGTGCCACTGCACTCCAGTCTGGGCGACAGAGCCAGACTCCATCTCAAAAAAAAAAAATAAAATAAAAATAAAAAAAATTAGCTGGGAGGATCACTTGAGACCGGGAGATCGAAGCTCAGTGAGCTATGATCCTGCTGCTGCACTCCAGCCTGGGTGACAGAGCGAGACCCTGCCTCAGAAAAAAAAGAAAAAAGAAAAAGAGGCTGGGCTCGGTGGCTCACGTGTGTAATCCCAGCACTTTGGGAGGCCGAGGTAGGCAGATAACCTAAGATCAGGAGTTCAAGACCAGCCTGGCCAACATGGTGAAACCCTGTCTCTAGTAAAAATACAAAAATTAGCTGGGCGTGGTGGCAGATGCCTGTAATCACACCTACTAAGGCTGAGGCAGGAGAATCTATTGAACTCAGGAGGCGGAGGTTGCAGTGAGACGAGATTGCGCCACTGCACTCCAGCCTGGGCGAGAAGAGCAAAACTCCATCTCAAAAATAAATAAATAAATAATAAAAAGAAGAAAATGAAATGAGCGGTGGAAGTAGAGTGATCAGGTGCTGAATCTTCCATTGTAGAGGGGGAATGATGACCCAGAATCTAATCATGGTTTTCCCCCATCTGTATGAGAGCACCCATACAGATGTTATGGGAGGGCAGAGCCTCTCCTAGAGGATGGAGTCTCTGTCAGTAGAGGTGCCACAGCCAAGGGTATCACCTGCAGAGGGAGGTGAGTCAGATAGGAAGAGGATCACATTGTAACTTTTTTTTTTTTTTGAGACGGAGTCTCGCCCTGTTGCCCAGGCTGGAGTGCAGTGGCACAATCTCGGCTCACTGCAAGCTCTGCCTCCGGGATTCACACCATTCTCTTGCCTCAGCCTCCCAAGTGGCTGGGACTACAGGTGCCTGCCACCACACCCAGCTAATTTTTTGTATTTTTAGTGGAAATGGGGTTTCACCGTGTTAGCCAGGATGGTCCTGATCTCCTGACCTCGTGATCCGCCCATCTCGGCCTCCCAAAGTGCTAGGATTACAGGAGTGAGCCACCGCGCCCGGCCACACATTGTAACATTTTATTTCCTCATGAGGGAGGAGTCTGGGTGAGGTTAAGAGATCTGAGATTAAGAAACAAACATTCCTAAGGAAAAGCAAAAGAAAGCTAAGTCATTTTTTATTCATCTCTCCCTTTGCCTGATTCCTTTCAATTCAATTGAGTTCAAAGATTGGTAGAGGAGGTTTTATCTGATGAGGATCTGAAAAACAGAGATAAGCCAGATTTGACTCTTGCCTTCAAGTAGCTCACAAGGTAAACTGTGTATGTCAAGATATCAGGTGGGAAGAGATGAGAAAATATGCAGATAACATGAATCTTAGATCTAGATACTTTTCTCCTAAAGAAAATTGCCCGGGTTGAAGTCATTTTTTGGCCTTTCCATTCTCCCTGGGTGGTCCTTAAAGTGTCTGTAAACCTGTGATTCCCAACCTTGGCTGCCCTTTGGAATCACCTGGTTATGTCTTAAATACTGATGCCAGAGTTCCACCCCCAGAGATTCTTTTTTGTTTGTTTTGAGATAGGGTCTCACTCTGTTGCCCAGGCTGGAGCACCGTGTTCTGATCACTGAAGCCTCTGCCCCTCAGGCCCAAGCAATCCTCCCGTCTCACCCTCCCAAGTAGCTAAGACTACAGGTGAGCCATGGGGCTCGGCTAAATTTTTTTTTTCTTTTTCTTTTTGAGACTGAGTGCCTCTCTGCCACCCAGGCTGGAGTGCAGTGGTGCAATCTGGGCTCACTGCAACCTCCGCCTCCTAGGTTCAAGCGATTCTTCTGCCTCAGCCTCCTGAGTAGCTGGGATTACAGGCATGTGCCACCATACCCGGCTGATTTTTGCAGTTTTAGTGGAGACGGGGTTTCACCACGTTGGCCAGGCTGGTCTTGAACGCCTGACCTCAGGTGATCCACCCACCTCGGCCTCCCAAAGTGCTGAGATTATATGTGTGAGCCACCGCGCTCGGCCTAGGCTAATTTTTTTTTTTTTTTTTTTTTTGAGACGGAGTCTCGCTCTGTTGCCCAGGCTGGAGTGCATGGCACGATCTCGGCTCACTGCAAGCTCCACCTCCCGGGTTCATGCCGTTCTCCTGCCTCAGCCTCCTGAGTAGCTGGGACTACAGGCACCTACCACCACACCCAGCTAATTTTTTTGTATTTTTAGTAGAGACGCGGTTTCACCATGTTAGCCAGGATGGTCTCGATCTGGCCTAGGCTAGTTTTTAAACTTTCTTGTAGAGATGGGGTCTCACCATATTGCCCAGGCTAGTCTCGAACTCCTGGGCTTAAACGATCCTCCTGCCTCGACTTCCCAGAGTGCTGAGATTACAGGTGTGAGCCACTGGCACTGAGCCCAGAGATTCTGATTTAATTGTTTTAGGATGCGACATGGGCTTTCAGATTTTTCAGTGCTCCCCAGTGGATTCTAATGTGTAACCTGGGGTAAGAACCGTTGCTCCAAGGAATGCCTGAAGCTCTGTTTGGAAACCCACTGCTTTAATCTAACCCAGAGGAAAGAGAGACACCTTTTTGCTACAGTGAGGGATGAATTGATCCGGACTTTGAAAGATATTGTAAATAAAATTTGACCAAGTAGAGAGGCAGATGTCAAGAGGGGGAGAACATCATGAGCAAGAGCCTAGATGTGGTCTAAAGCCTCTGAAATTTGTGACAAGCTGCAAACAATTTGGTTTATAATAGGCAGAGATTTGGGAAGGAGGTCTAAGATTTGGGAACAGCTGGGCAAATACCTGGAGGTGGGAATGATGAGTAATTCAGTATGGTTAGAAATTAGAATGAACAGAGAAGCTGGATGATTTTAAATTATGGAAGGTGTTAAAGGCCAGATTAAAATTTTGTAAATAATTGAGTAGGCAATAGGGAACCTTGAAGGGCTTTTGAGCAGTGGAGTTATGAAAGTGTGTTTAGGGAGGCTGATCTGACAATAGTGTGGAGGGAGACTTGAGGTAGGGAGAAGTAGGAAGTAGGGAGACCTGTTGGGAAAGCTGATGCAATAATCCTAATGAGGTAATTTTTCCAGCAAGGGCTGGGGAAAAATTACAGATTCAAAAGACATTGTGGTGGCAGAACTGACTAGGCTTGAGAGCACACCAAAAATAAGGCAGGAGGGAGAGGGAGGAGGCGGCAAATTTCTAGATAAGGAAGAGTGATTGGGAAAATGGTCTATTAACAGAGACAGGGAAGCAGGTTTTCTGTGGCATTTCATCAGTTTGTTTTGGAATGTGTTGATTTTAGAGGACCAACAAGCATCTTCCATGTGGCTATGATCTTCAGGCACTGGAAAAAACGTCTGCATGTAAAATACAGGTTGGAAAAGCATTTGATTAGCTGAGTTGAGTGAATGAGCTTTTCAAAGGAAAGTCTCAGAGAAGGAAAAAAAATCAGAGATGGACACTTAGGGGAAGGGAGGAGAAAAAGCAAGGAGGGAAGGCAGAGGCGGAATGGTTAGAGGTCTGTGTGTGTGTCGGGGGAAGGGAGGTAATACGTTCTTGAACCTGGGTATGTGGGGAATTCAGGGTCAAGGGACAAACATGGGAGGGCTTAGAGAGGCAGAATACTGTGAAAATGCCATTGATTTGGGATCTGGGTAATTGGTTGCCATTTGAGAGGGAGGTTTCAGGAGAATAGGGTGTGGATGCATATTCCAATAAGTCAAGAAATAGTGGGTATGAAAAAAAGACAGATACAGACATATCTCTGATAGCAATATTCCGCACCCCCCTGCCCCTTTTTTTTTGAGATGGAGTTTCGCTCTTGTTGCCCAGGCTGGAGTGCAATGACTTGATCTTGGCTCACTGCAACCTCCGCCTCCCAAGTTCAAGCGATTCTCCTGCCTCAGCCTTCCAAGTAGCTGGGACTGCAGGTGCCCGTCACCATGCCCGGCTAATTTATTATTTTTAGTACAGATGGGGTTTCACCATGTTGGCCAGGCTGGTCCCGAACTCCTGACCTCAAGTGATCCGCCTGCCTTGGCCTCCCAAAGTGCTGGAATTACAGGTGTTAGCCACCGTGCCCAGCCGTGAATTCTGTTTTTCAAGAAGTTTGGTAAGGTAGGCACATTAAATGCGAAACATCCAAGGGCGAACCCATGATATTCACACCTCACCCCACCCTCCTCCCACATCTCCTATCACATTTCCTATCTCAGTGCATGGCTTCCCTTCTAGATTGTAAGCTCCATGAGGTCAGGGGTCACACCTGCTGTCTGGGTGGATGTCTCACCAGCATCCAGCATGGAGTCTGCATGTTGCATAAATGCATAAATTAGGTTAGGACCCTGTCCTGTGGGTGTACAACCAAAGACCCAAGCCCACTGCTGGCAGCATCCCCTAATCACCACTCCCCTCAGAAAAGAGGCCTATTGGTTGACCTCAGGATAGGAGAGGGCAACTAGTCCCAGGGAGACTTGAGAGGCCATTGACCTCCTCCCTGGGCTCCCACAGCAATCTGCTCTCTTTGCCTTTCCTATACCCCCTACAGTCCAGCATGTGGGGCTCTAATCCAAGTTATCTGCCACCCTCCAGCCCACAGTCAGGAACAGCTATGGGCAGCTGGCATCTCTTCTTGGCCCCCATCACTCTATCCTTGACCAGCTTCTTCACCATGGTCTGCCCTCTCTGTTCTCTTGTCTTCCTGGAGTTCTGGGGATAGTAGGGAATGGAAAAGGGGTACTGGGGAAATAAAGCCTCACTAAGAAAATAAAGCCTCACTGAGAATGGACCCCAAGGTCTTCCTTGGTGGATTCCCAGGGAGCTCCCCTCCGTCCCCCATATTCACGTGTCTCTCTGGCGATCTGGGAATCTGTGTCCCTCACGTTAGTCTCTGTCGGGTTTTCTTTTTTTTTCCTTGGAAGAGGAGATGAAGGGAAGTGAAAGGCGGAATCAAAAGTGGGGAGGGTCTTTGCGGGGCCGCAGTCTTTGGAATTGCGGGCGATAAATCAACTAAGTCTCTTTAATATTGTCTTTCAGAAGTTCACACACACTCACACACAGATCAGAACAAGGCGGGGCCGCCGAGGGGAGCGGGGAGCGGGGACTTGGGAGGTCCATAGCCTGGATTCCCTTCTGCCCGGCTGCCCAGGGGCTGGGATGGGTGGAAGGGAGTATTTACAGAGCGTTTACAGGCAGGTTTCTTATCCCAGGGAGAAGGGTCCTACACCAGGAACTTCCCAAATGTCCTTAAAAAAAGCAAAAGGAAAGGTTCTGGGATTAGCAAGAAAATAGGCAGATACCTGGGTGGAGGAGGGACAAAAATGTACTTGCAAAAAACAGGAGTGTGGGGGCCTTACTACCCCAGGGCTCGGTCCTTTTGCCGGAAGAAAGGGAGGGGTCTGTCCGTCTGTGGGCGAGGCCTGGAGCCACAAACCCAATCACTGGACTGAATCACCCCGCGGAGAAGAAAAGAAGGCGGAGCCTGCCGACCTGGAGGCGGGGTTTTGTCAGAGCTGGGGCGGTGCTTATAGAGGAGGCGGGGTTTTAGGGACCAAACCGAGGTTGCTCGGTTGGGGGCGCTACACTTTGAGGGTGAGGGGGCCTGGAGCGACTGAGGGTCCGGCGTTTGGCCGGGATCCCGGAAAGCGGCGTCCCTGGGGGTGTGGGTTTTGGAGGGGTTCCTGAGGAACTGGATTCCGAGCTTGCTCGCAAGGCGAGACGTTCCGTGGAGGCGGAGTTTACGATGTATCCAAGTCTGACGGCCCCAGAAACGGGTGTGCAGGGCGCCCATTGGGTCCGCGGTATGACTGCAGAAAGAGCCTGGGAGATCGAGGGGCGCAGAGTGGGGCCGGACCAGGGGCGTTTTTAGGGATCCCAGTAGTTCTCGTGGTGCTGCGCGGCGATGATGATGACTACGGTGAGGATGGTACAGAGCACCATGGCCGCGATGCCCACGGCCAGGGAGATGAAGGAGAAGTTCCGGGCCTCGCGTGAAGCGATCTCGGCCGACACCATGTCTCCGCGGGCCAAGGCCGTGCGCACCTACGGAGGAGGGGTGGGGGAAGGAGGTCAAAGAGCTGCGGCCTCGTTCGAACGCCTCAGCCTTTCTCTAAGATGGTCCCCAGAACGCCCAGAACTCCCTGTCCCCGCCCCCAAACCGAGTATGCCCCTGCCCCCTACCTGCACGGCCTTGAAGATGGCAATGATGCCAGTAGGCCAGAAGCAACAGATGGTGGTCAGCACCGCGATGGGCATGTAGTCGTGTGGCGGGCGCCTCGGCTCCAGTAGGGCCAGCCCTGGGCCCTGGGGCGGCGGGGGGAGAGTGGAGGTCACTCCTGTTCCCCCCGGGGTCCCGCCTGCATATGGCTGTGGAAGGAAATTTGGGGGGCAGGGGCATCACTCTGACCCTCTCCCAGCCTACCAGCGTTGGGCGGCTGGCAGAGTGGCTTTAAAAGCACAATTTTTACCTATGGCTTCTCAAAATAAAGCACCCATTACCCTTCCAGGACACCCATAAATTCCACCTAAGCCCCTCTCCTCCCTTCCTTGCTTCATTAACCACCATATTCTTGGGCTTTCTACATTCTCTCCCGCAAGGTATGGTCCCACTGGGGCTGTCCTGGCCTCAGGTCAGACCTTCTTTCTTCCCTCCAGACACCTACCAGGCCTCCCCTACCCCCTTAGTCCCAGGCTTCTCCCACATCCCTCTTGGTTCCCAGCTTCCATTCCCCCCGTCCCCCGCCAGGCGGTTTCCTACTTTCAGACCTCCTCTGAACCTCTAGGCTCCGATCCCCCTCCCAGGCCCTGACTCTGGGCACCAGTAGACTCCTACTCCCGTGTCTCTCCCTAGTCCTTCCTGTCTCAGGCTCCCTTCTTTCTAGGGCTTGTCCCGGGAACACTACCTGTTCCCTGCCCTTGTTCCTCTATCCTACCAGCCCCCAGCGTATCCCCAATTTCAAGTCCTGTATCGCGTCCCCCTCTTTCCCATGTCCCTGTCTGCCCGGCACTCACCGTGCCCACCGGGTAGACCGGCACGTAAGCAGTGCAAGGCTGCAGCTGCAGGGGGTATCCGGGCGCTACGTAGCCCCCCAGCGGCAGCGTGCCCACAGTCCCCGCGTGCGTGGGCACCACGAAGCCAGGGGCCTGGGCAGTCTGGGCTGGCGCCGGCGGGGGCGGGGCGGCGGCAGCGGGCGGCGGCGGGGGAAGTGGGCCCTCGAAGCGAGTCTCCTGCAGGTAAGGGTCGGGTGGCATGCGGGGCAAGGTAGCGCAGCCGGGTGGGGGTGCCCCGGCAGCAGGGCCGGGAGGGGCGTGGTGGGGGGGCCTCGGCAGCGTGGCAGAGGAGGAGGGACCGCGCTGAGCGGTGGCCGCGGAAGAGGCCAGGCCCCCTGCCCCTAAGCGCGGGAGGGTGGCGGTGCCAGACTGATGGTAGTGGTGGTGGTGGTGATGGTGTGAGGAAGGGGCTGCCTGTGGCGGTGGGGCTGGGGGTTCGGCTGGAGGCTGAGGGGCATTGTAGGGCGGCGGAGAAGTGTGAGGGACTGAGTCTGGGAGTCCTGGGGGAGGTGAGTGGAGGAGAGTATAAGAGGAAAGATGACACAGTGATGAGTTGAGGAGGGGGTAAGGGGAAACACAGCCGGTCAGGGATGGAGAAAGATAATGGGAGAGACACATAGAGAGAGACGGGTGAGAAACCATCTCTAATTTGAGGGGCAAGAGAGGGGCTGTATCTAGGCCATCTGCCCCCCTCCTTCTTCCTTCCAATCTAGTTTTGAGGTCACAACTCTGGTCTGCTTCTTTTCTGTCTTTTTCATCACCATGCACCCAGCTCTCACCTGCAGACCTAATCCCCTCTCCTTTGCTATAGCTGCCTTTGGGCTGGCCTATCCGAGCTAGTCCTGTGTGTGCGTATGCGTAGACATGCAACCCTGTGTTAATATGTGCTCAATTCAACAGTTGTATAAACACATGTGGGATGACATGTGTTCCACTCTGCTGTTCCTTCAGTGGGGGGAGGAGTGCCCCAGCCTCTGTGAGAATCTCGGGACCTCTTTTAGGGCAGATTAAGAAGAGCCCTCTGGATTTTGCTCCCTTGACAACCCCCATCTGGTCATGTCTCCATATTTCCTCACAGGATGTCTCCATGCCAGCCAGTGATTGTCCATCTGTCACTCCCAATGATGCCATCCCTGCAAAACCTGGCTGTACCTCCTTCACCCTCTCAACCTACCCCCCTGACCATGTTGTTGGCAAGGGGCAGAGGCTGCCACTGGAAAGAGGAAAGGAAGAGAAAGGGGGAGACAGAAAGAGGAGGGGGACTGGGGGAGTGTTGAGAGCTGGAGAGAAGGGGAATGAAATAGAACCACAGCTGAGGAGGGGTAAGGGAGGGGGTTGGGGCAAGGGGGACGGAGAGTCTGGAGACAGTGGAGGGGGTGGGAGGTTTTGTTATTGTTTTTACCTGACTTTTCGGATGACATGCCTGCGGTCTCGCTGGGACAGGGTCCCTGCAGCCGGAGTGGGGGTCCTCGGCCGGTGCTGGAGTCTGGGTGCTGGATGGCGCAGCCGGCAGCAGCGCAGAGATGGAGAGATGAAGGCAGCGGCGGGGGGGGGGCGGGGGGGGCGGGCGGAGGGAGAGCGGGGAGGGGGGGAGCTTAAAGGGACCGAGGCGAGGGAGGGGGAGCGCTTCAGATGTTTCCCACTCGGTCTCTCTCTGCTCTCGGACCACCTCTCTCCTCCTCTTACCCCGGCATTCAAGCCCCCAGTTTGGGCTCCTTTGGAGTTGTCATGGAAACACGGAGGCTAGACCAGGCGAGGCGGGTGGGACTAAGGAAAGGAAGGAAGGAGAACTCTCTGGAGTCTCCCCCACCAAGACTCAGTGATTGTATTGTGGGAGGAAGTGAACAGGTTCTCAGTGGAGTTAATAACCCAGGTGCCTCCAGAGGCAGGTCGTCTCCCCCTCTTAGCTCCCTGCAAGGTGCCAGGGTCTTCTCCCAAATCCTTGGCCCCAGTTTCCTCCTCTTTAGAAGAGATAAATACTTGTGTGTGAGAGAGAATTGTGCAGAGTTCAGAACTGCGATGGTCTGAAAAGTTCCCAGGGTTTGGTGAACCTACCAACCTAGCAGTAAAGAGGGAGGCCCAGGTCTGTAAATCAGGGGGAGCTGGGCCTTGGAGGGAAAAGGGAGAGAGAGTTTGGGCGGTGTGCATACATACCTTCTTCGTCCAGGACTAAGGAGCTGAAGCTCTTTTGGAGGGGGTAGGGGGTATGACTTAACTGCTCATTTCTGGCAGCTCTGTTGGTAATGTGTGCTTGTTCCCCCACTTTCCCTTTGCTTTTGAGGCTGCTTAGAGTCTCTGGGCTGGTCAATGTTCAGATCCATTCCCTAAACCCCCCTACTCCCACCCACCACCTCCCACCAAGACGCATCTCCAGCTCCTGAGTCGACCTGCAGTACAGCGTTATTAGTCTTTTTATTTGCTTATTGCATCTTGGGAGCGCGTGGGTGGGTGAAGGGAGCGAGGATAGGAAGTCTATGGAGATTTACACCAGTTTTTTTTTTTTTTAAACAAAAACACAGCCAGATAATCATTATTCTTCCCTTACGTCCCCCCAGCCCCCACCTGGGGCAGTCGCTCTCCCGGCTGCGTCCCTTTTCGTCCATGTCCTAGCAGAGACTACAGAGCAGTACAGAGGCTCTCGCTGAAACCAGTCCCAGGCTCCACAGAGTCAGATCACGGCTTCACACCAGTCGTTCTGGTCACTTAGGCGTTCGCGTGAGCGCTCAACCCCTTACCGCCACCTCATCGTCACTCTACACCATTCTGAGCGCAAAAATGTTTTGATTGAGACAAATTTAGACCAAGCAATGACCTTGTAAACAGAGAGAGGGGCTCAGACATGCTGAGAAATCCTTATCTCTAGAGAAACGTCTTTAAATGCTAAGTAAAAGCCCTAGCAAGTAAAAGCCCTGAGGCACTAGGGTGTCGGTTAGGGGTCACAGGCGGAGAGGTGGGGCGCCTGGGGGTTTCGGTAGGGAGCCACCCACAGATAACTCAGACAGCCAGATTCTGGGGGTCGTTCAGGTTGAAAGACTGGTCGAAATTACGCGGGCATGAGTCAGCGCATCCCTACGCGCCCTCCGCCCCTTGAGGGTGGGTCGCTTATAGGGAGGGGAGTAGAGTAGGGCAGGAGAAACTGGGCCAGGCTGCACTTAGCTCAAGGGGCCTCGAGGACTCTCTGCGTCTCTGGAGACAAGGGCACTACACGCACTTCAGAATGAAGAGTTGTAAGTCGCTGACCTGGGGCGGACTGGAGGGTGGGGTGGGGTGGGTGTTGAGGGGCACGCCCGGGCTGGCATCAGCCCTCCAGGCCACCCTGCCACTCACCCAGCACACGGCAAAATGCAGAGGACTACCTTTCCCTGGTCCGCCCCCTGGCCGCCCCTTGGGGAATGCAAACTTCGTGTTCTGCTGCGGAGCCAGACGCCTGTATTGGGAAGTGGGGAGAATCAAGGCGGGGAAATCGGACTTTTGGGTCGCTGGGGGCAACGAAGCCTGGAGAGGCCTTCTTTCCATTCCCAGAATATGTTTGCTGCTTTTTCCTCTCCCCACTGGCCTAAATGGATCGCTCCGCCTGTTTCCTCCCCAGCACCTAGGGCGCAATGGAATATTCCATTGCCCCTCCTGTCCTGGGTCTGTGTTGCGGGGAACGCTCGCGCGGTTGCCAGAGAAAGCCCCGGACGTGACGGATTTGCGCGACCCCAAGCAGCCCGCCCTTCCCCCTCCCATCCGTCATTCCCCTGCGCTCTCTTTCCTCACCCTTCCCCCCGCCACCGTGGGTTCCAGACTTGGGATAAGTAAACAGCGGGTGGAGCGAGGCCTACGGACCCAGGCCAGGTGGGAGTCTGCACTCTTCAAGGGGCCTGGGCTGCTGCTCACGGGTATTAAAGAACTCCGCGTTGTTCATGGCTGAGGCGATGCATTAGGAAGATCCTGGACCTAGAGAACAAGTCCCCCGAACGCTGAGTTGGAGGCGGGACTTCGGGTGCGCGTTGGTGCGTCAACGTGGTGGGGGGGTGTGTTTGTAGGGAGAGGGCTGGAGTAAGTTAAAAGTAGGCTATTTTGTGACACGGACCTGGTGTGGGAGCGAGAGGAGGTGGCTTGATTGCCGGGCGTCTGTTCCGAGGGAGGAGGGTGTTGCCATCTCCCTCACATGCCCTTATCACCCCTTTCTCAGGCGGGAGCATGCTGGGGCTCTGGGGGCAGCGGCTCCCCGCGGCGTGGGTCCTGCTTCTGTTGCCTTTCCTGCCGCTGCTGCTGCTTGCAGCCCCCGCGCCCCACCGCGCGTCCTACAAGCCGGTCATCGTGGTGCATGGGCTCTTCGACAGCTCGTACAGCTTCCGCCACCTGCTGGAATACATCAATGAGGTCTGGCAGGGGACACCTGGGTGCAGGGCGTTAGAGGCGTCTACTGTGGCAGGGGAGGGAGAGCGGGGAACTGAAAGCCACCCCTCTGGGCCTGCCCAGTTCCTCAGGGAGCTGGTGCTGGCGTGGGGGAGAGTTGGGGGACGGGATCCCTGGTTCTAGCAGGGTACAATAGACCTGTGGACGCGGGCCAGGGGGTGGCGTGTGGGAGCTTCTTAGCCTATCCCCGGTGGCTGCATTGCCCCCTTCCCACAGACACACCCCGGGACTGTGGTGACAGTGCTCGATCTCTTCGATGGGAGAGAGAGCTTGCGACCCCTGTGGGAACAGGTGCAAGGGTTCCGAGAGGCTGTGGTCCCCATCATGGCAAAGGCCCCTCAAGGGGTGCATCTCATCTGCTACTCGCAGGGTAGGCGACTCCCCTGCCCCTAACTCCTAAGCCCTATCTGAGGCTTGATCCTTATCTGAGGGACACTTCCTAGCGTCCCTTTTTCTGAACCACATTGCTCCAGGCACAACCCTGGTACCTGAGCCCTTCCTTTCTGACTTCCCTCAGCACCTGGGTCTCATCTCTGTCTTGAATGGGAGGGAGGCTCCCTACACTGCTGCCCTTTTGCTTCCTGTTACCCATGGTTCTTGGACATAAGGGCTAATGGGGCAGGTAAAAACATCCTAGAACTAGAGGCAGGAGGCCCAGCATCTAATTCGGGCTCAGTCACTTATATGATGTGTGACCTTTTGGCACAGGGTGTGCCTGCCTTCTGTAAGCCTCAGTCTCCTTTGTGTACAGTGTGTGTCTGTGTGTGTCTCTGTGTGTGTGTGTGTGTGTGTGTGTGTGTGTGTGTGGTGGGGGTGGGGGGTGCTGCTGGCTTTGCTGTCCTTAAGTGCCTGCCCAATGTGGTGTTCTGCTTACAGGGGGCCTTGTGTGCCGGGCTCTGCTTTCTGTCATGGATGATCACAACGTGGATTCTTTCATCTCCCTCTCCTCTCCACAGATGGGACAGTATGGAGGTGAGTGGGCACTAGACTCCATAGAATGCCCTGAGTTTTGGGGGAACAGAGGTTTATGGTCACTTAGCATTGCCATTCGCTTGCCAGACACGGACTACTTGAAGTGGCTGTTCCCCACCTCCATGCGGTCTAACCTCTATCGGATCTGCTATAGCCCCTGGGGCCAGGAATTCTCCATCTGCAACTACTGGCATGGTGAGTGGGGATGCTGAACTGGGGCTTCCATGGATCAGGTCAGTTGCTTCCACCTCTGCTACAACCAATAGCAGTGATGACAATAAAGATAACTTACATTTATTGAGTTATTTGAACAGGCTCTGTTCAGAATTTTTTTTTTTTTTGAGACGGAGTCTTGTTCTGTTGCCCAGGCTGGAGTGCAGTGCACCATCTCGGCTCACTGCAACCTCCGCCTCCCAGGTTCAAGTGATCCTCCTGCCTCAGTCCCCCTAGTAGCTGGGATTACAGGCAGGCGCCATCATGCCCGGCTAAGTTTTGTATTTTAAGTAGAGATGGAGTTTCGCCATGTTGGCCAGGCTGGTCTCGAACTCCTGACCTCAGGTGATCCACTCGCCTCGGCCTCCCAAAGTGCTGGGATTACAGGTGTGAACCATTGCACCTGGCCCAGAATGTTTTAAGTGTGTCACCTTATTGCCTTAGAAGGTTTAGTCTGATGTGGGAGTCAGCAAACCTTGTCTATAAAGGGCCAGAGAGTAAATATTTTTGACTTTGTAGGACATATAGTCTGTTTCACAACTCCTCAATTCTGCTGTTGTAGTGTGAAAGCAGCCATGTACCATATGTGAATGAATGTGCCTGTGTTCCAGTAAAACTTCATTTACAAAAACAAGTAGCAGGCTGGATTTGGTCCTTTGGTCACAGTTTGCCAACCTCTAGACCAGACCATGGGGCCAGAATACTTGGGTTTGAATCTTGACCCTATTGGGTGCCTTTGGGCAAGTTACTTAACCATTCTGTTACTCAGATTTCCTTATCTGTAAAATATTATAGCATGTACTTCACCAGGTGGTTGTAAGGATTAAATAAATAAATGAATGCAATGTACTTTGAATAGTACCTGGCTCATATAGTAGATACTAGATAGAAGTACTTGCTATTGCCAGGTGTGGTGGCTCACACCTGTAATCCCAATATCTTGGCAGGGGGAGGTGGGCGCATCACCTGAGGTCGGGTTCGAGACCAGCCTGGCCAACATGGTGAAACCCCATCTCTACTAAAAATACAAAAAAAATTTAGCTGAATGTGGGCACACGCTTGTAATCCCAGCTACTCAGGATGCTGAGTCAGGAGAATTGCTTGAACCCGGGAGGCAGATGTTGCAGTGAGCGGAGATCCTGCCACTGCACTTCAGCCTGGGTGACGGAGTGAGATTTCATCTAAAAAAAAAAAAGTACTTGTTACTATGTTTACGGTTGTTATCACTACTATTATTATTTTGAGATGGAGTCTCACTGTGTCTCCCAGGATGGAGTGCAGTGGTGCAGTCTCGGCTCACTGTAACCTCCACCTCCTGGGTTCAAGTGATTCCAGCGCCCCGAGTAACTGGGATTACAGGCATGCACCACCACGCCTGGCTAACTTTTGTATTTTTAGTAGAGACAGGGTTTCGCCATGTTAGCCAGGCTGGTCTCAAACTCCCGACTTCAAGTGATCCACCTGCCTCTACCTCCCAAAGTGCTGGGATTACAGGTGTGAGCCACCGCACCTGGCCTACATTATCACTACTATTTTATTACTATCCACCTTGACTATTGCTGCAGCTTCCTTATTGGGCTTTTCACCACCAGTCTTGCCTCCCTTTTCTGCTTCTTTTTCTAACTGCTGTTTGTACCCAGATCCCCACCACGATGACTTGTACCTCAATGCCAGCAGCTTCCTGGCCCTGATCAATGGGGAAAGAGACCATCCCAATGCCACAGGTGAGAATTCAGGCTCCTACCTGTGTTGCTTTTTCTGCTTCTTTGACTCCCTATGTCTCCCTCTCCAACCTGGCCTGACCCCTGTGGCTGACTCAGCCTCTCTTCTTCCCATCCTACAGTATGGCGGAAGAACTTTCTGCGTGTGGGCCACCTGGTGCTGATTGGGGGCCCTGATGATGGTGTTATTACTCCCTGGCAGTCCAGGTAATAAGGGATTTTGTGGCCTGAAGATTGGCTAAAGACATCCCCCAACCCCAGTTGGTCTTTATCTCATGCCTAAACTGGCCTGCTCCTTCCACTGTTCAGTTAGTGCTCCTCCCCCCATTCATCATGTCACCCAAGACCAAAACCTGGGAGTCATATCCCAACCCCTTGTATCAAGCCAGTCACTAAGTCCTGCTGACTCTTCTCCTCTCCATCCCTATCACCCCCTCCCCCACTTTATAAAAACTTTTAATTTTGAAATTCTTATAGATTCATAGGAAATTGCAAAGATAGTATAGCGAGGCCCTTCACCCAGCTTCCCCCAGTGGTTGCATCCTATGTAATTATAGCACAGTATCAAAACCAGGAAATTCACATTGGTTCAATGTGTGTGTGTAGTTTTATACCATTTTATCACATTTCCTACCACCTCTTTACTTACCTGGACTATTATAACAGCCTCCAGCTTTGTCCCCTCCATCCTATTCCTTAGAAAAAAATCCATGGCTCCATGGTACTATGTGCTTGCCTGTGTTATAGGTCACCATGTGTGATCTGTAATGTCACCTGAGCTACTTGAATTGCTCAACAAATATTTATTCAACATTATGGGCGCAGGCTTGTTCTGGGCCCTAGGGATGCAGTGGTAAATAAAAGAGAAGTCCCTAATGTTATGTAGCTTATATTCTAGTTTGTAAGATAGCTGATACATACATACAAATATATATGTCAGGTAATAAGGCAGGGGAAAGGATTAGAGGATGTCCGGGGCCTAGTTTCAATAGTGGCCGAAGAAGTCCTCCTGGAAAAGTCACCATTCAATTAGAGACTGAAGGAAGTGAAGGAGGGAGTTGTGCTCTGGGTGGAAGAACCCCCCAGGGAGAAGGTCTGGCACCTGCAGAGGCCCTGAAGCACGTGTGAGCAATAAGGAGGCCAGCATGGCTAGTGCACAAGGAGCTGGGGAGAGGACAGGAGAGGAGCTAAAAGTGGTAGCAGGGGACCAGGCATGTCAAACCTTAGCAGGTCAAGGTAAGGCCCTTGATATTTTTTTTTCTTTTTTTTGTGATAAAATATACATAACATAAAATTGCCATTTTAACCATTTAAAAATGTACAGTTTTGTGGCATTAAGTATACTCACATCATTGTAAAACCATCACCCATCAGCACCATCCATCTCCAGAACTTCTTTTTCCCCAAACTGAAACCGTATACCCATTAAAAAATAGACTGGGTGTGGTGGCTCACGCCTGTAATCCCAGCACTTTGGGAGGCCGAGGCAGTGGATCACCTGAGGTCGGGAGTTCGAGACTAGCCCGACCAACATGGAGAAACCCTGTCTGTACTAAAAATACAAAACTAGCTGGGTGTGGTGATGCATGCATGTAATCCCAGCTACTTGGGAGGCTGAGGCAGGAGAATCGCTTGAACCTGGGAGGCAGAGGTTGCAGTGAGCTGAGATTGCGCCATTGCACTCCAGCCTGGGCAACAAGAGCGAAACTCCATCTCAAAAAAAAAAAAAAAAAAAAAATATATATATATATATATATATATCCTCATCCCTATTTCCCGACAGTCCCGGTAACCAGGCTTTTGATTTTTTTTTTTAAATTCTGAGTGAGATGGGAAGGCACTGGACAGTTTTCAGTGAAGGCAGGACATCTCTTAAAATATTGTAATAATATAATAGTAAGTGATGAGTTTTATGTACATCATGTCATTTCACATCTACCACAACCCTATGAATGACAGTGATAGCTCATGGTTATATAACATTTTTAATGTTCCAAGTCACTGTTTCTTCCTTTTTTTTTTTTTTGAGACAGAGTTTTGTTCTTGTCGCCCAGGCTAGAGTGTAATAGCACAATCTCGGCTCACTGCAACCTCCGCCTCCTGGGTTCAAGCCATTCTCCTGCCTCACCTCCCAAGTGGCTGGGACTACAGGTGCCCACCACCATGCCTGGCTAATTTTTAGTATTTCTGGTAGAGACGGGGTTTCACTGTGTTAGCCAGGATGGTCTCGATCTCCTGACCTTGTGATCCGCCTGCTTCGGCCTCCCAAAGTGTTGGGATTACAGGCGTGAGCCACTGCGCCTGGCCAATATATATCTCTCTCTATATATAGATAGATATATATTTTTTGAGTTGGAGTCTTCGCTCGGTCGCCCAGGCTGGAGTGCAGTGGCGTGATCTCGGCTCACTGCAAGCTCTGCCTCCCAGGTTCACGCCATTCTCCTGCCTCAGCCTCCTGAGTCGCTGGGACTACAGGCACCCGCCACCACGCCCGGCTAATTTTTTTGTATTTTTAGTAGAGACGGGGTTTCACTGTGTTAGCCAGGATGGTTTCGATCTCCTGACCTCGTGATCCACCCGCCTCGGCCTCCCAAAGTGCTAGGATTATAGGCGTGAGCCCACGCACCCGGCCTTGCCTGGCCAATATTTTTTAATTAAAAGATTTTAACTCCATCTGGCTGGGTGCGGTGGCTCACGCCTATAATCCCAGCACTTTGGGAAGCCGAGGCGGGTGGATCACCTGAGGTCAGGAGTTCGAGAACAGCTGGCTAACATTGAGAAACCCCATCTCTACTAAAAATACAAAAATTAGTGGGCCTGGTGGCGCACGCCTGTAGTTCCAGCTACTCAGGAGGCTGAGGCAGGAGAACTTGAAACCAGGAGGCGGAGGTTGCAATGAGCCGATAGGGTGCCACTGCACTCCAGCCTGGGTGACAGAGCAAGGCTCTGTCTCAAAAAAAAAAGAAAAAAAGGATTTTAAGACCTTTCTATTTTGAAATAATTTCATACTTAAGAAAAGTTTGCGCCTGTAATCCTAGCACTTTGGGAGGCCGAGGCATGAGCCCAGGGGTTTGAGACCAGCCTGGGCAACATGGCAAAACCCTGTCTTTACCTAAAATACAAAAATTAGCTGGGCGTGGTGGTGTGCCCTTGTAGTCCCAGCTACTTGGGAGGCTGAGGTACGAGAATTGCTTGAGCCTAGGAGGCCAAGGCTGCAGTGAGCCGAGATCTCACCATTGCACTCCTGCCTGGGTGACAGAGTAAGACCCTGTCTCAAAAAAAAAAAAAAAAGTTACCAAAATAGCAAAAAGCAGTCATTTATACTCCTCACCTAGATTTCGCAAATGTTAACATTTTGTCATGTTTACATTAATATCTTTTTTCTCTAAATATATATACATTTATTTATATACGTTAATGTTATATTTAAATATAAACATAGATTCAAATTTTCCTGAATATGCGCTCACAGATTATTCAAATTTTTCCAACTGTCCTTACAGAAAAAAATATACAGTGGAAGATCCAAATCAGGATCTTGAGTTGCATGATCTTGTTACGTCTCTTTAGTATCTTTTTGTTTGTTTGTTTGTTTGAGTTGGAGTTTCACTCTTGTTGCCCAGGCTGGAGTGCAATGGCAAATCTCGGCCCACTGCAACCTCCGCCTGCCAGGTTCAAGTGATTCTCCTGTCTTAGCCTCCTGAGTAGCTGGGATTATAGGCGCCCACCACCATGCCCAACTAATTTTGTATTTTTAGTAGAGACGGGGTTTCTCCATGTTGGCCAGGCTGGTCTTGAACTCCTGACCTCAGGTGATCCACCCTCCTTGGTCTCCCAAAGTGCTGGGATTACAGGCATGAGCCACCACACCTGGCCTCTTTTTTTTTTTTTTTTGAGACAAAGTCTCACTCTGTCGCCAGGCTGGAGTGCAGTGGCGCCATCCCGGCTCACTGCAACCTTTGCGTCCCAGAATCAAGCAATTCTCCTGCCTCTGCCTCCTGAGTAGCTGGGATTACAGGCGCCCACCACGCCCAGCTAATTTTGTATTTTTAGTAGAGACAGGGTTTCTCCGTGTTGGCCAGGCTGGTCTCGAATTCCTGACCTCAGATGATCCACCCTCCTCGGCCTCCCAAAGTGCTGGGATTACAGGCTTGAGCCACCACGCCCAGCTAATTTTGTATTTTTAGTAGAGATGGGGTTTCACCACGTTGGCCAGGCTGGTCTTGAACTCCCGACCTCAGGTGATCCGCCGGCCTTGGCCTCCCAAAGTGCTGGGATTACAGGTGTGAGCCACCTCGCCCGGCCAGTAATGCATTTTTGATGGGGTTTCTACAGAAGTGAGGTCGTATCTTCAGTGTATCACCTCATGAAGTACATTATATCCAGTAAGGTAGTTTTGAGTGTCCTCCCTGCTACCTGTCTCCCCAGTAGGCCTTGGGTTCCTTTGGGACCTTAGCCCACCTTGATTTCTTCCTTTCTTTTTTCCTTTTCTTTTTTCTTTCCTTTTTCCTTTCCTTTCCTTTTTGAGATGGGGTCCCGCTCTGTCACCCAGGCTGAAGTGCAGTGGTGCGATCTCGACTCAATGCAACCTCCACCTCCCGGGTTCAAGTAATTATCCTGCCTCAGCCTCTTGGGTAGCTGGGCTTGCAGGCATCTGCCACCATGCCCAGCTAATTTTTGTATTTTTAGTAGAGATGGGGTTTCACCATTTTGGTCAGGCTGGTCTTGAACTCCTGGCCTCAGGTGATTTGCCCTCCTTGGCCTCCCAAAGTGCTGCAATTACAGGCGTGTGCCACTGCGCCCGGCCAGATTTTCTCCAGCTCTTCTGATAACCTCCCCCCAAATCTCTTTGTAGCTTCTTTGGTTTCTATGATGCAAATGAGACCGTCCTGGAGATGGAGGAGCAACTGGTGAGCCCCCTGGGATTACTTCCCCTTCTAGCCGCTGTCCCACCTTATTCCAGAGCCCTCTCTGTGACTCCTGAGCTGAAGGGTTCACCCTGTGGGGAGGAGGTCCAGGATCCCAGCAGTAACTCACTTTGTCTCTCCTTGTGTCTCTCTTCCATGCTTCCACGCCCCTTCGACCACCTTGAAGGTTTATCTGCGGGATTCTTTTGGGTTGAAGACTCTATTGGCCCGGGGGGCCATAGTGAGGTGTCCAATGGCCGGTATCTCCCACACAGCCTGGCACTCCAACCGTACCCTTTATGAGACCTGCATTGAACCTTGGCTCTCCTGAGGATATATTCAGGGGTCCCCAGGAACTCCTCGGTCCAGAGACCAAGTGGTGGCCTTGGAAAGCAGATGTCAGGCTTTGGTGTGCCTGTGACCACCTCATTGCTCCCATATTATCCCCCATTTTTAGTAGAGACGGGGTTTTAGTAGAGACTTGGCCTCCCAGAACCCCCTTCCTCTGCTCCTCCATGAATGACAATTCCAGGCCTCCCCTACCTCATGTCCTCTCATTTGGGGGATTGCTCCGTGCTGTCCCTTTCTCTCAAGGCCGAAGTTGGGAAGTGAGAAACCATGTTTTTAACTTGTGGCTGCTTTTGCTGCTGCTGCTCCTCCGTATCTGGCTGTATGGGTGGAGAACCCACCCCCTGCCCACCACAGGGGTCTCCTTCCAGGCCACTCAGGACATTTTTAGCTTCTCTCCTCCCCATGTTCCCTTTTTTCTCTAAAGTCCCCTGACATCAGCCCTCCCAACTCCTAAGAGGGACTACCCATGAGAGTGGGGTTCTGAGGCTCCCCTATGGGGACAGTTCCGTTCTTGAAGTGTCAGTGTTGGGGAATATCTGTGGCCTATGAGGCCCATCTCAGGTTTGGGGATCCCCCAGTCCCTATGATCAGTGTTGGAGTACCCCCCTGGGAGAGCCTAGTTTCTTTGAGGCCCCAGGCCCTCTTTTAACTACCTTTGAATAGGTGTTATCCCTGTATTTATGGAAATAAAGTTCCATTTCCTCAGTGTGACTTGGCTCATTTCCAGGTGGAGGGGACCTGGCTCCCCAAGGAGGGTGGGGGCGGAGCCTGAGGCCTGGGTGCCCAGATGCCTGGTCTAGGGTGGGGACCCCCTTGGTGTTTCCGCTCTCTCTCAATGCCCATTCTTTGTGGGTTCCTGGTTCTCTGCGGGTTCTTTCCTGCTGAAGACAATTCTCTTCCTCTCCCAGTCCCCAAGACTGGGGGGTTAAGCTCAGGGCTCCAGTGGTTTGGGCCTCAGCCTCATGGGTGGAATGCGCCTGCCACCCCCAGGCTAGACGAGGGGGCAGAGGGTCAGGGTGGGCATTCGTTGTGCCGCTTTTGAGCTTTGTGGGCCAGAGCTGGGTGTAGGGCTGGACAATGAGCCTCCTCTTCCTTGAAAGAAGGAATTTTGGCTGAGACAATAGGGCCCTGTCTGTTCTGGCATGGGGGGTGGTGGCTGACTCAATTCTGTTCCCCCTAAGCCCTAACAAATGTCATGAAGAGAGGGGGGCAGTTTTCCCCTTGGTGCCCTGGGCTGCCCCCCTGCCCCTTTGTGACGACTTGCCCTTCTAGCTTTCCTCAGCTGATCTTGCTTTTTCTCCCATAACCTGAACTGCTTTGTTCCCTGCAGCTGGTTCTCTCCCTGCCCCCTAACTCTCCCCTAGTCTGTTTTGGGTTCAAGGGGGTACTGGTGGTGTTACAGAGCTCATAGCTTCTGATCTGGGGAGTCCAGAAATAGGGGCCTCAGAGGGTTGGAAAGATACTTCTAGGGAGCCCTTTGCTGGGGTGGGGATGAGGGTAGTGGGACTTGACCCTACTGAGCTGACCCTGCTGGAGCTAAGGAGGAGGCTTGTGGGAGGGGGCAGGAATGGGAGGACTCTCTGGCCCAGCCCCTCCTCTCCTTCTTAGCCTGCCAGGCCCACCCACCAGTCTGAGCTGCTTCTGCTGAGGCTGGTCTGCTTGAAGCCTCCCAGGAGAAAGAAGCCAGGTGGGAATGGAGAGAGAGAGGAAGGCAAGTGGGGAGAGAATTTCAAATGGGGAAAGAGTGGGGTTTACTCAGAGCCTTAGGGTGGGCATGAGTTGCGGGGTGTTTTGTTGGAGCAAGGGATGTGCATTTAGGGCGTTATGTGACGGTGTGGGTATATGAGGGGAGTAGCAGTGTGTGAAAGGTGTGGAGTTTCCAGGTGCTTGGTTTGTGTGTACGGTGTGAAGGTATATAGCTAGGGGTTTTTTTTGTTTGTTTGTTTTGTTTGTTTTTTTGAGACGGAGTCTTGCTCTGTCGCCCAGGCTAGAGTGCAGTGGCATGATCTTGGTTCACTGCAACCTCTGCCTCCAGGGTTCAAGGGATTCTCCTGCCTCAGCTTCCCGAGTAGCTGGGATTACAGGCGTCCACCACTGCGCCTGGCTAATTTTTTGTATTTTTTAGTAGAGATGGGGTTTCACCATCTTGGCCAGGCTGGTCTCGAACTCCTGACCTCATGATCCACCCACCTCAGCCTCCCAAAGTGCTGGGATTACAGGTGTGAGCCACCGCGCCCAACCAGCTAGGGTTTTGAAGGTATGAAGTTATAAGAGGGCATGTTAAAGACAGGAGGGTTGGCCAGGCATGGTGGCTCACACCTGTAATCCCAGCACTTTGGGAGGCCAAGGCAGGCGGATCACCTGAAGTCGGGAGTTCGAGACCAGCCTGACCAACATGGAGAAACCCCGTCTCTACTAAAAATACAAAACAAAATTAGCCGGGCGTGGTGGCAGGCGCCTGTAGTCCCAGCTACTCGGGAGGCTGAGGCAGGAGAATGGCATGAACCCGGGAGGCGGAGCTTGCAGCAAGCCGAGATCGCACCACTGCACTCCAGCCAGGGTGACAGCGAGACTCCGTCTCAAAAAACAACAACAAAAAAAAAACCAAAAAAAAAAAACCCTAGCTATATACCCTCACACCCTACAAAACAAAACAAAACAAAATTAGCCAGGCGTGGTGGCGCATGCCTGTAATCCCAGCTATTTGGGAGGCTGAGGCAGGAGAATCACTTGAACCTGGGGGGCGGAGGTCGTGCGGTGAGGCAAGAACATGCCATTGCATTCCAGCCTGGGTAGTAAGAGCGAAACTCCTTCTCAAAAACAAAAACAAAAAAAAACCCAAAAAAAGACAGGAGGGTCATAAGGGGAGGGTTGACTGTGTGTCCCTCCAGGTTGTGCAGAGGGGATTAGAAGTAAGTAGGTTAGAGGGGAGGTGGAGGGAGTGTGCTGGGGTGTGAGCTTTTATGATGCTGAAAGGATCATGATATGCTAAGGACAGGATAGTGTTGGGTTGTACACACAGGTGTAGGCAATCCTGGTGGCTAGTATGTAAAAGTGAATGTCCTGACTCCCTTAGAGGGTACCTGCAGAGTGCCCTTGGAGGGACTAGTGCTGGAGAAATTAATAGGAGAGGGGACGGGCATCCATTAACCTTTTCTTGCCTGCAGCCTGTAGGGTCCAGCGTCAAAGCGAATCATGGGGTCCAGGGCTGAGCTGTGCACTCTCTTAGGCGGATTCTCCTTCCTCCTGCTACTGATACCAGGCGAGGGGGCCAAGGGTGGATCCCTCAGAGAGAGGTGACAACAGAGGGGGTAGGGCCCGGGGTGAGCTCTTCTCAGGAGCCTTCTGCTGGGGGTGGGGCTTCACAGGAGGCAAAACATAACTGTAAGTTTAGAATGGGGGTGAGAGGCTGTCATCTGGAGGGAGAGCGGGGGGCCTCAGTAGCCTCTTGAGGGAAGTGGGACTCCTGGCTCCCCAGGGCCTGGCCTACTCAATCTCTCCCACCTCATCCTCTGGCATGGACGCAGTCAGGGAGTCTGCTCCAAGCAGACACTGGTGGTCCCGCTCCACTACAACGAGTCCTACAGCCAACCAGTGTACAAGCCCTACCTGACCTTGTGCGCTGGGAGGCGCATCTGCAGCACTTACAGGTGAGGGATGGGGAGATGGGACCCCAAGAACCCCAACTAGGACCCGTACTCAGGGTCCTGAGCCGGGCGCTGTGTTCCAGGACCATGTACCGCGTTATGTGGCGGGAGGTGAGGCGGGAGGTTCAGCAGACCCATGCAGTGTGCTGCCAGGGCTGGAAGAAGCGGCACCCGGGGGCGCTCACCTGTGAAGGTGAGGCTGGGTCTTCCGGGCCTTGCGGGAGGCGCGCCCCACGGAGCTGGGGAGCTGGGTCGTCGGTTTGAGTCTGAACCCCACTTCCTCTGTCCTCAGCCATCTGCGCCAAGCCTTGCCTGAACGGAGGCGTCTGCGTTAGGCCTGACCAGTGCGAGTGCGCCCCCGGCTGGGGAGGGAAGCACTGTCATGTGGGTGAGTCAGCTTGTCCTCCCCACCTACCCAGGTGCTTGCCCCCGCCCCCTCTCTCAGCCCCTTCCTTTTTTCGGTAACTAGACGTGGATGAATGTAGGACCAGCATCACCCTCTGCTCGCACCATTGTTTTAATACGGCAGGCAGCTTCACCTGCGGCTGCCCCCATGACCTAGTGCTAGGCGTGGACGGGCGCACCTGCATGGAGGGGTCCCCAGAGCCCCCAACCAGTGCCAGCATACTCAGCGTGGCCGGTGAGTGGGCAGGAGTACGGGCCACCCGAGGGACTCGGGACGGGCGTCCGGGCTCGGGTAGTGGTCACACTCTTGGTCTCCTTTGTCCCTAGTTCGGGAGGCGGAAAAAGATGAGCGCGCTCTGAAGCAGGAGATTCACGAGCTGCGAGGGCGCCTGGAGCGGCTGGAGCAGGTGAGCCAAGCCTGCTGGGTGGGGCGAGGCCAGACGTCACTGTCAATACCCTGAGGCATCTCTTCCTTTCTAGTGGGCCGGTCAGGCTGGGGCCTGGGTCAGAGCGGTGCTGCCCGTGCCGCCTGAAGAGCTGCAGCCAGAACAGGTGGCTGAGCTGTGGGGCCGGGGTGACCGGATCGAATCTCTCAGCGACCAGGTGCTGCTGCTGGAGGAGAGGCTAGGTGCCTGTGAGTCCTCACACTCCTCCCGCCTTGACTTCTATTCCCCAACTTTCCCCAAGACCCCTCTCCATTCAGGCATTCCCTCTTTCCTCCAAGCCCCTCTCCAACATTCACTATCCTCATGCCTCTCCACTTTACCATCGTTCTCTTCTGAAATCCTGTCCCCAGCCCAACAGTTTCACTTATTGTTTGGTGAGAGTGGCAGTGTAGTCCACTCCAGGCTGACCACAGCCACTGTGTCTGCCATGTCATTAACCAGGCTCCTGTGAGGACAACAGCCTGGGCCTCGGCGTCAATCATCGATAAGAAGCCTCTACAGCACCCCTGCCCCCTAATTTATACAGAAACCGGACCCACTAATCCTCTGGGATTGGCCGACTGTGAGCTGCAGATAAGGCTATCAGCCACCAAAGAGCAATGAACAATGGAAACTTCAGAGAGCTGAAGAAACGGGGAGGCCTGTGTTCTTGGCCTGCCCCTGAGTCTTCTGGCTGGGGGCAGGTTGCCTGGGCAAGAACTGCTTCTTCAATTCCTTAACAAATGCAACCACCAACACCCAGATCTCTCTCTCTCTTTATTTTCAGTTTTTTTGCTGTTATCCAGATAATTAATAAAAACCAACCACGCAAAACTGGGTCCCACCCTCTCCTTTTGCTCCCAGCCTACCTCCCCAGTTGTGGGAACAGGTCTGGAGTGAGAGGCAGGGAGTGGCTAATGCCACCAGGAAGAAATGAAAACTGGCTCAGAGAGGGGGAAGCCTCAACAGAAAAAGAAATAAATTAAAAGCCCTCCTATCCCCTCCAGCCAGGGTTCGTTCCTTTCCCCAACTCCCCAGGGGGCAGAAGTGAGTGCAGCACCTGATGTCTGCTTCTTCCCCTTGTGTCTGGTGAGATGGTGCAGCAGGGCTGCAGGGGGCTGGGTGGGGTCATGTCCACTGAAGAACTGTACTATGGGGACAGAAAACCAGAAATGTGGAGACTGAACTGGTATCCCAGAGAGTGCACGACCCTGGGCATCTGGGCAAGGGCAGGCATGAGACCTCTGAATTAGAAGGGTCCAGCCCCCACTGACAGGAGGCTACACTGGGAGGGAAGGTGAAGGTGCTGAGGAAAGCTCCCAGGATGAGCCTGGGAGTGCTTCAGGTATCAGCTTCCAGCCAGAGGGCGAGAAGTCCTCCTCACAAATGGATGAGTCCATTGAATCCATGGACTTTGGAGTGGGGGGGATTTGTTCCAAAGAATGGATGAGTCCACTGGCCAATGTGGGGTAGAGGGGTAGAGAAGACCACATAGGAAGAGACTCCACTGGGGATGGAATGTTCCCCTCCCTTGTGTAGGCTGAGTCACTGGAGATGAGGGGGAGGCAACTGTCCCACAGACAAGACAGTAGGAGGTGGGGGTCAAGAGTGGAGACTGCACCGAGGCAAGAGTCCATGGATGGGGCCAAGAGGGGGCAGGAGTGGCGCTGTATCCACATTCACTTCAGAAGTTGAAGATTCCAAAGAGGAGAATAAGTGGGGAGAGGGGAGACAAGGAAGAGGGTTTGGCCCTGCTTCAGGGCCCACTGGGTGGGTAGGTGTGGGGAGGAAGATGGGGACAGATGGGAGGAGAGCTCAGAGCCAGGGTTCACCCACCGCCCCCAGGCTTCTTCAGATAGTCACCACCACCCCGGCCATCAGTGGAGATTTCCCGGAAAACAGTGAGCATGGAGTGCCGGACTCTGTCAGCCAGAGCTGGGACGTCATCTGGTGTCAGCCCTTCCGTGGGCACTGGGGGCAGCACCCGCACCTGACATTGTCCTGGGGCAAGGGGAGCACCATCATGGCCTGTCCACCCAGGTCTTTGCCCACAGGTGGGGCCCAGCTTCCGAGTGATACTCTTCCTCAACCTTTCAGTTCTCTTCCCCCAACCCTGGACAACCATCCCTGGGCTTGCCAGCTGCCACTTCTGAGGCCCTTCTCCTATACAAAGCCTTCTCCAATCCCCAGTTCAGACATCTCCTCAGCACCCCTCCAGCCCCCCTCCTCTGGGTTTGGCATTTACTGCTGAATGAGTGTTATTCATTACAGCTTTGTGCACACAGGCCTTATCTTTCCTGTTAAGATTAGTAACAGCCTCTCTTGGTGGGACCAAGTGCTACCCATCTGGCAGGGTATGGTGGGTGCTTAGTAAAGACTTATTGGCTGATGTGGGGTTAGACTAGATGACTGTGTAGACATCTCATGGCTCTGACACTGAATGATCCCCCTGCCTCACAGGGATGTCCTCCCAGCCTCTCCGGACACACCCTACCCCAGAACTGCTCAAAGCCCTCACCCGAGGTGAAGCGACGCTCCTTCTTGCAGTAGAAGTCTTGGTAGGAGGACATGACTATGGGGACAATGGGAACCTGGGGAAGGGTTAAAGCAGGTCAGTCCACAGCTCTCTTCAGAGACTCCTACAATAAGCCCCTGCCCAGAGATGAGGGAATGGTGGGGGTTGGCAGCTGAGTAGCAGAACGAAGAGCAGTAGTCACCTGGGCCTGCACTGCAAGATGGAAGGCGCCACGTTTGAAGGGCAGCATGGAGCCATTGTGGTTTCTCGTTCCCTCAGGAAACACCCAGACCCTCACCTGGGGGAGAAAGAGGGTCAAAGAAGACAAATACATATGGAGGAGTCAGAATAGGTGTGATGTTATAATGGGACCTTTGAGGCCCACTGGCCCTGCATATCAGTTTATTTACAACTGTTCTACTCTGTATCCCTCCAATCCCCCATTTCCCCAGGATGACTCACGTCCTGGGTGAGCAGGGTCTGGGCGACCTCAGACATGACACTGATGGCATCCCCCGTGCGCTTCCGGTCGATGAAGATGACTCCTGCCAGCCAGCAGGCCAGCCCGGCAGAGCCAGCCCACAGTAGCTCGCGCTTGGCAATGGGCACACAGCGGCCTGGCAGTACCTCCATCATCCCTTGGGCAGGGTGGGAGTGGGTGAGGATCGGGGTGGAGGCAGAGTGTCACAGAAGGCAACCCACCTCACCCAGCTCATCACCCTCTGGTAGGGACTGGAGGTGAAGGAGGAGACTAGGCAGGGAGGGGGGCCCCAAGTGAAGGAAAGGGTGACCAAAAGTATATGTACCCTGCTTATGAGGGCAGTTCTACCCAGGGAATGAAGGCCTGAGTGGGAGGCAAGGGGGCAATGTCCCAGAGGAAGGGGAATTGAGGATCTCTAGGAGAAGATATTCTAGGGAAGGTTTCAGGAGGGGAGGCATGGCTGGGGGAGGTGTGCCCTGTGGTGGGGTCTCACCAAGCAGATCGAGAGAGCTCTGGTGGTTGGAGACAACAACATAGGGCTGCGAGGGAGGGAAGTGGTGAGCCCCTCGCACCTCCACTCGGATCCCGTACAGGTATTTGATGTGGAGCAGCATTAGACGCAAGATCCTGTGGGGTCATGGCAAGGGGTCCCAGTGGGATCCATTGATGTCCATCTGCATGCCTCAGCTCCCCCCACCTTACTGTCTTTCTGACCACCTTTGCAGTCCTCTCCCCATTCCCTGTCTCTGGTCTCTCTCAGTCTTTTCTACACACACCATGCCCCCTTCCCCCAATCCACTACTCACTTTGTACCCTTAGGTTCCCTCATTGCCCAAGACCCCTTGCCCCTCACTTCATGTTCTCGACGTTGCGTCCTCGCACGGCACACACAGGGATGGCGAGCACAGCCAGGAAGAGGATCCAGCCATTGTAGAAGGCCATCTTGAAGAAGTACTTGGCACTGGGGCTGCAGAACCACAGGGTGGGCAGCAGGAAGAGCAGCAGCAGGAAGAGCAGCAGCAGCAGCATCCATGCCCCTGGCCACAAATCCATTCTGGCCACCTGCAGGGGATGGGGCAAGGGACAATCAGCCTGGTTTCTGGAGGAGAGTGGGGTAGGCAAGGCACAGAAGGCAGGGCTGGGGGCTGGTGCTATGAGGACAAGGGCCTGAGACACAAACTGGGGCAGGGGTCTCATTGAAACCTTCCCAGGAAGGCTCTCTAGGATGAGGGTGGTGGAGAAAGAGCTCAGGACTGCTCTCCCACCACTCTTCCCAAAGGCTCCGGATATATTCAGACAAGAGACACAAGACACAGACATCTACAATTCACAGATACCTGATAATAAATGACAACAAGAATAATAGCTAACACTTGTAGCTGGTAAGGGTCTTATAATGGTCTATACTTGTGCTGTCCGAGAAAGTAGCCACCACCTACATGTGGCTACTTGAAATGCAGCTAGTCTGAACTGAGATGTGCTGGAAATGTAAAATACACATCAGATTTCAAAGACTGAATAAAAAACAAAATGTGAGATATCCATTACTAATCTTTTATGCTGACTACATTTTGAAATTATAATCTTGGGCCGGGCGCAGTGGCTCACGCCTGTAATCCCAGCACTTTGGGAAGCCGAGGTGGGCAGATCACGAGGTCAGGAGTTCAGGACCAGCCTGACCAACATGGTGAAACCCCGTCTCTACTAAAAATACAAAAATTAGCCGGGCCTGTTGGCGCATGCCTTTAATCCCAGCTACTCGGGAGGCTGAGGCAGGAGAATCGCTTGAATCCGGGAGGCGGAGGTTGCAGTGAGCCAAGATCACGCCACTGCACTCTAGCCTGGGCAATGGAGTGAGACTCCATTTCCAAAAAAAAAAAAAGAAATTATAATCTTTTGGATGTTATCAGATTCAAGAAAATATATTACTAAAATTAATTTCACTCTTTTTGCCTTGTAAAAATGTGGCTACCATAAAAAAATTACATTGTGGCTTGCATTATATTTCTGTAGAACAGTACTGGTCTATACATTAAGTTAAACTCTTAAAATGATGCATATGATAGTCTAGAAAGTACTATTACTATTTACATTTTATAGGAAATAGGCCCAGGGAGGCTAAATAACTTACCTGAGGTCATACAGCTCCTAAACAGCAGTTTCTAGGTTAAATCTAAGCCGCCTGTGTTCCTAACCACTCCATTACGCTGACACTGGTATGTATTGCATATATATATACGAACACAGCACACAGCATATATGGTGATTGTGACAGAACACTCACAGCCATATACCCAAGGGCCAAATGGCAAGATTAAAAGTTCGTGTCACTAATGCCAACAGACACACAGTCATACAAAGACTAACATGTTCACACATAGACACAAATTTATAATTACACCCAGTGACAGATAAAAGAATGTAAATGCATAACTAGAAAAATCCCTCTCCACCCAGGCAGCTCCCCTATTCCTAGGTAAACTTATGGACATACCTGGAATAGCTACAAAGACCAATCCTACCTCCAGACAGGCAAACGAATCCTACTACCCTTTCCCTTCCTTCTAGTGACACTTTGCGTGGGCAGGTACAGTGTGTGAGGCCTCACCAAGTGAAAAAAGGAGGGAATGGAGTAAAGGTGACCTAACAGCACTTGCCCTGGGAGAGGAAAGGGCTCAAGAGGAAGAGAGGCAGGAACACAGAACCTGTGTTCTAGGTTCTTCCTCCTTCCTCCACTCTGCCCCAGTGTTGGGGGCAGGGTAACAATTCACAAAAAGGGTGTTCAGGCAAATACCTGTCATTCCTACTGAGGCCACAGGCACTGTCTTCCCATGATGGGAAGGGCTATGCTCAAAGGTAAGCCTATTGCCAAGCGAGAAGGTAACAGGCAATAGAGGAAACAGGAGACCCTGCCAGTTGGAATACCGTAGGCTTTCTGAGCTGCTCCATCCCACTGCCCCTACAAGTTCAGAACAGCATCATTTCTCCCCTGAACTATGTGGAGTAGGCTCCCAACTCCCTCCAATCCATCTTCCACGTAGCAACCACAGAGATTTTTCTGTTAGCACAGATTTTTCTGAAACACAGAGCATTTCCCTGTCTTGCCTAAAGGCTCTTCTTGATAAGTTGACTTCTGCTTACATCTTCGACCACATCCTCACAAAACTCTTTGTTCCAGTCAAACTGATTCACTTCAGTTCCTCAGACACCATGATCTTTCATGCTTCCCCACCTTGAACATGCTGTTCCCTTTGGCTGGAATGCCTGTCTCTTCTCCTGCCTCACACAGCTCAGTGTCACCTTTTGGAGGGCTGCCTGAACCCCTCCAGGCCTGTGCTTTCCTTACACTTTTATCTTGATCAGCGGGTCTCGAAGTATAGAAATGCAAATTATTAGACTTCACCCCAGATCTACTGAATCAGAAATTCTGGGCATTAGGTCCAGCAATCTGTTTTTCTTTTTCTCACTCTGTCACTCAGGCTGGTTTTGAACTCCTGGACTCACGCGATCCTCCTGCCTCAGCCTTCCAAACTGTTGGGATTACAGGTGTGAGCCATCGTGGCTGGCTAGCAATCTGTATTTCAACAAGCCCTCTGGTGAGTCTGATGTGCGCCTGAATTTAAGAACCACTGATCTTGACAACACACTATGTGTTGACTGGCATTTTTGTTTCCCTCCTTAGGCTGTAAGCAGCTTAAGGACAGGGACTCTGTCTTATCTCCAGTGCCAGGACAATAGGAGATGGAGTAGGTGCTCAATAAACACTTGCTGAACAGATTCTAAGGCTGTATACCCACCCATAGAGCCACAGTTAATGACAGAGATGGCGGTTCTGATCACAAATTAGATAGTTATCCTCTTGAGTAGAAGTGACTACTAAAAGAAGTCACTGAGAAAGTAACGAACACACCAAGCCTAATGGTAACCGACTCTGAATAGATACATGCAATACATAGCCATAATGAAGGCAGAGTAACAATAATCAGGAAGAGGTCATCTCACAAGAGAAATGTACCGAATGGGATCAAGATGCCACAGGGAAAGATGCTGCTCTCATCAAATGTGTGCCAACAGTGCAAAGAATGGAGGATAATGTCCATAAATAAATACCAACAATGGGGTTCACAGCAGGATTGACCCTGTGACATGCATTGAGCTCATGGACACAGACTGTACACAGCCACTGGAAAGATAATGTTTGTGTAGAGAGGTATGGGCCAGGGAGGTCACCAAGGTAAGGCATGCAGGGATGGTTCTTTGCAGACCTGGAGACCCAGTTACCTTCTTCTCTTAACACTTGATATTAAGTGACCCTCTTTGGAGAACAAAAGTCCAAGGATTTAGAAATGCAATGGAGGGCCAAATTTAATGAGCATACGGCTCACAAAATATACTGATGACAAATTTATAACACACATTCTATGGTCCTGTTACATCAGTGTATCATGCAAAGGCGCATACACATGTGTTCTGTGAACTGTGACTGGGAAAACACAGCAAACAGGCCAATTCAGTCAGACATCAGAGTGTGGGGTATTCAGCCAAGCCATGGGATCCCACACATGAAGACTACTGCAAATGGTAGGACCATGGACATGTCAGCCAAAGCAAAATAAGGTATATAACCTTCACATGCTGAAATAAACATGCCAAAACATAAAATGTGCAAGTAACATGAAATTATAGAACAGGTGCAATATATGAAAACTCACACACATGCGGTACTTAAAACATGTCAAAACTGGATGTGAGACATGGACACAAGAATGAAGAATGGGCAATTCTGATAGAAAATAACACACCATTTCTACACAGCCTATGGATAGCATTGGGACAACCTAGTTGCACACAAGCCATTAAACATGTCAAAGGCACACAGACTCAATGTAGAAAACATGGCTCCCATAAGGCATTTGTGTGTCAGTAAGGGTCTAGCAGTGTGGAAGGCCACTGAGAAACAAGAGGTCCTGTGCCTAGATGGAAACAGAGGCACCTAAGGGTATTCCTAAGAGGCAAATTCTGCTGGCCTTCTCCCCTCATGACCCTTCAAGAGTCATGTGGGGTCAAAGGGCAAGAAAAGGAATTGGGGAAGGTGTAGGGAATTCCCTCTCCAGGATTCCCTGTGCACGCTCCCAGTCCCAAATTCACAAGGGTTTCCATTTCTCCTCCCTCCCAGGTCTCTTCCATCCTTCCTCCCTCTCAGGTCCCCTCTCCTATCCCCAGCAACCCTCTTCCCAGTCGGCCCCTCTCCTTTCCCCAGCAACCCTCTCCCCCAGTCGGCCCTCCCAGACCCAATCTCTCCCCTTCCCCTCATCCTAGTCGCTTTCAGCACCCTCTTCCCTCCTCCTCCCATCCCTTTCCCGCCCACACCTCAGAGGGGTAGGGGGCCTGGGGGGCTGGCCCCCTCCCCAGCCAGGCTGCGGCAGCGGTGGTGGCGGATGGCTGTGTCTCTGTCTCTGTCGGGGTGTCGGTGCCAAGGGGGCGACGGGATTTGGGGGTGTCCTAGCCCCGGCCGATGGAGGGGAGGTGGGAGTGGGAGGTTGGGCCCATAGCGGTAGGAATGGTGGGGGGCTGTCCCCCCAGCACCCTCCCTCCCTCCCTTTCTGCTGTCTCTCTGAGGGCTGGGGCTGCTGCCGCCGCTATTCCCCCGCCACCCCTCCCCAACGCCTGCTGGTTTCCGGGGCCGGCCAGGAAGTGGAGGGCGGTGATGGGCAGCCTGTTTTGCCAATCGTCTCCCAGAAACTCTGGCATCTCCTCCCCACATCTACCAGTGTCCTCTTGCGAGCCCCGCCCCAGGGCTCTCCCTCGGTCTTTGCCCCCATCTCTGGCTCCAGCTGCATCTTTTTTTTCTCTAACTCCCTTTCAGCTCTGGATCCCCTGGTGCTGTATTCCTCCTTCCGCACATTCCTTCCTTTATTCTCCATCAGCTCTCTTTTAACTGCCACTTTTACTTGGTCTCTTTTTTTCTCAACTCCGGTTATCTGCTGCTTATTCCCCCCAACTATTCTTAAGGACCCCTTTTCCCGTACCCATTCAATTCTAAACATTTATCAAGCATCTACCTACCATATGACAAGCATTAAGTTCACCTCTCTTCTTTTTCTCTCCAGGACTCCATCTCACTCCATCTCACTCTCCAGTCCTCTGGTCTGGTTTCCTTTGCCCTTTGTCCCTCACTATCTCCCAGCAGTCCAGCTCCCCCCTCCACCTGCCTTCTCTGGCCTTTAAAGAGAAGAGATCTCTTTGGCCTTATCCCTGACCCTTTCCTTTTCCATGCTCTTTTACCTCTGTACCTTTTCTTTCCTACTTCCTTCGTATCAGTCTCCTTACTTGCCCAAGCTGAGACAACCCCTTCTCACAACATACAATATGGGTACATCTTTTCTTCCAATGGAAATTTGGCTTCAGGGGTGCTTTCTAGAAAAATAAAAAGTGAGGAAGAATGCCGATTCCTCTGGAATGCGCGTGCCTCCTTAATTTGGTAGCCATGTATCTAGTTTTCCACCCCCTCTTCTCTTCCTCCACTCCCATTATCCCTTTACTAGGATCATTCCATCACTTCACTCTCCTTCATTTCCACCTTTCCCTCTCAATATCTTCCTTCCTAAACCTCAAGCTTCCTGAATCCTCATCTGCCCCAGTCCTTCTTTACGCAACTGCTAACTTCTCATCTTTCCTTACTCTTGAGTCACATGGGATCTTTTATCAAGGTCCCCCCTCTAGCCACACCTTTACCCTGCATTAGTTTACATGCCCTCGGGAAGAGGATTGGTAGTGGGAGGACTGTTACCTAATTCTGCTCCTTTAGTCACAGTGAGGGTCAGTGATTGTAGGAAAAGCCCAAACTCCCCGGGGTCCAACCTGGGAAGAAGACCCTATTTCTGATGGGCAAATTATAAAGAGGAAAGGGCGGGTCTAGCCTCCGCGGGTCTCCTTAAAAGGGGCGGGCTTTGTCCCTTTTGCACCACTCACAAAGGGGTTGAGCCCAGAGCTTTCCTGCTCTGAAGGTTTAAAACGGAGTTGAAGTCAATCCTGTTCTACTCTGTGTACAACATTAAGAAAGGGGTGGGCCTTTAGTTCAGTTTTGCTCTGTAAATCACCTAATATGGGGAGGGCTGAGTCGTCCAGCCGAATGAGTTGGGTTAACACCAGCGCCGCAGATCGATGTTCCCACTATCCAAACGTCGGGCTAATCCCAGTTCTGCTCCCTTAACTAAAAGGGAGGGGCAGACCCAAGTTCTGCTCTCTACGTCACCAAAGGAGGTTGGAGCCATTTTGAACCCTGCGACCCTAGTGTTTTCCCTCTTTTCCTAGCTCTTCGCCGTCTTTCCCGATGTCGGCCAATCAGGGGAAAAGGAAAAGGCCCAATCAGCAGAAAGTCCACAGCTGAAGGACCCGGATGAAGCGAGCCTAGGACTTTGAAGTGCAAGCCTCGCCAATTGTAGAGCAGTCACCATGGCGACAAGATAGGGGTGAAGAGGTGGAACAAGAGAAGGTTAAACCCTCACAGGATTGGCCCACCCCCGTCCCGCCGCGTGCTGCGCAGGCGCGTTTTACCTAACCACCATTTTCCGTCAAGTTTTAGCCAATGAGTTGATTTGGAGCCATACGCTCCAAAGTCCAATAGCAATCCGGACATTCTCTAAAAGAGGAAGCGAAGGAAAGAAAGGGGCTTATAGTGGGCGAGGTCTATAGGTAGTCCCGAGCAAATTGCTTATGGCTTTGGTTATGACTGACAACTACTCAGACGAATAAAGCCCTCCTTGGCCAGGCGACAGCGTGTAGCGAGTTATTACCAATCCCTTGGCATTGCACATTGACTTAGACCGTATCAGCCAATAGCCATTGTGCGAAGGCAGGACTGCACTAACCTTTTCCCGCCCCTACCCTTTGGGCCAATCCTTTCTTTTGAATTCTTTGTGACTGGCAGGCATTCAGACCAATAGTGATTAGGAAACCTTGAAGCCTGCCCAACGATCGTGGGCAGGAGGTGGTTTCTGGTTTGTTGGGGCGTGTGTATGTGTATTTGGGGGGACTGAAGGGTACGTGGGGCGAAACAAAACCGGCCATGGCAGCAGCGGAGGAGGAGGACGGGGGCCCCGAAGGGCCAAATCGCGAGCGGGGCGGGGCGGGCGCGACCTTCGAATGTAATATATGTTTGGAGACTGCTCGGGAAGCTGTGGTCAGTGTGTGTGGCCACCTGTACTGGTGAGAATCGAGGAGGGGGGCGGGAGGTGGTGGGTCTCGCTTATATACTGGAGAGGCTAGGAGCGAATAATCATACAGTCATACAGATAATCGGAGGGCACGTTCCCATAGGTGAAGCCCGACAGGAGACATAAGACTTTGCTGGTATGTGTGGGTGGGAGTATAACGGTCGAGATCTGTGGAAAGAAAGGTCTTAGGAACCAGGAGCTGAGGCACGTGATGTGCTGAGAAGAGAAGGTGGGGCGGGGAGTGGCAGGACAATGTGAGACCCGAGCCACCTTACCCCAGAGAAGTGAGGGGTCTTAGCTGTGCAGGTGGAAACAAGTGAGACACAAAGGTTAAGGGAGGCACGCATCAGTTGAGTCGGGGAGAACCAGGAAATATGGATCACATTCAGATGAGATCTGGGAGGGGGCTGGTATAAGGGCACTGTGGAGAGGCAGACTTGAAAGGTTAAAGGGTCATAAAGATAGGGACATTATTGAGCTTGAAAGTGAGTAATGGGGGAATGTGCTAGTAAAGGGGTTTGGTTTGGAGTGATGGGGTTGGGGTTGAAAAGAGGAGACCCAGAAAGAGGTGGCTGAAGGAAATTAGAAATTAACTTGAAAGGCAGAAAAGAGAGGGCACGAAAATTTGTATGTGTTTGTTGGGGAGAGGAGAAAGGAGAGGGTTGAGTGTGTTGAGGATGGACAGAGCTTTAGGTGTTGGAAGATCAGACAAGCAGGAAGGCTAACTAAGTTGGCTGGCATGGTAGAGGTTGCAGAAAATCTGAAAAGCAACAGCAGGTTGCTTGGGAAGAGGGGTTAGATGGGATTCTGCGAAGTCTAGGGTCTGTGTCTCTCTTTTCTGTAGCTAGTTTGACCTTTTTTTTTTTTTCTCCCCCATCCAGTTGGCCATGTCTTCATCAGGTGCGTACTCAGGAGATGAAGAGGGAAATGGGGAGGTCTGAGGAGCTGTAAGACCCTCTTGTATACTGGAAACCACCTTTTTTCTCCCCAGTGGCTGGAGACACGGCCAGAACGGCAAGAGTGTCCAGTATGTAAAGCTGGGATCAGCAGAGAGAAGGTTGTCCCGCTTTATGGGCGAGGGAGCCAGAAGCCCCAGGATCCCAGGTGAGAGACTGGAGGTGTTGCTTAGGGAAGATTGAAGGCTTCTGCCCTTGGAAAACGGTGTGGAAGATGGGAGGAGAAAAATCCCTGTTAACTTTCTCTCTCCACTTCCTCAGATTAAAAACTCCACCCCGCCCCCAGGGCCAGAGACCAGCTCCGGAGAGCAGAGGGGTGAGTCTTCTTGTCCAGTTGTGTCCCTTCCTTGACAGATTTGCCGGCTTCCCGTCTGACTTTTTCTGCCTCCCTAGGGATTCCAGCCATTTGGTGATACCGGGGGCTTCCACTTCTCATTTGGTGTTGGTGCTTTTCCCTTTGGCTTTTTCACCACCGTCTTCAATGCCCATGAGCCTTTCCGCCGGGGTACAGGTAAGAGTCACACTCAGCTCCCATCAGGGAGCCCTGTGAATCCCCTCAGGCCCCCTCCCAGCCTAGGAGCATATGCTTCCACAGCTTTCCTCTCTCCCACAGGTGTGGATCTGGGACAGGGTCACCCAGCCTCCAGCTGGCAGGATTCCCTCTTCCTGTTTCTCGCCATCTTCTTCTTTTTTTGGCTGCTCAGTATTTGAGCTATGTCTGCTTCCTGCCCACCTCCAGCCAGAGAAGAATCAGTATTGAGGGTCCCTGCTGACCCTTCCGTACTCCTGGACCCCCTTGACCCCTCTATTTCTGTTGGCTAAGGCCAGCCCTGGACATTGTCCAGGAAGGCCTGGGGAGGAGGAGTGAAGTCTGTGCATAGATGGGAGAGCCTTCTGCTCAGAGGCTCACTCAGTAACGTTGTTTAATTCTCTGCCCTGGGGAAGGAGGATGGATTGAGAGAATGTCTTTCTCCTCTCCTAAGTCTTTGCTTTCCCTGATTTCTTGATTTGATCTTCAAAGGTGGGCAAAGTTCCCTCTGACTCTTCCCCCACTCCCCATCTTACTGATTTAATTTAATTTTTCACTCCCCAGAGTCTAATATGGATTCTGACTCTTAAGTGCTTCCGCCCCCTCACTACCTCCTTTAATACAAATTCAATAAAAAAGGTGAAATATATTGATGGGATCTCTTCCCAAGTTCGCCCCCACCCCCGACAGAAGCATCTTCTCCCCAACTTGAGTAGATGTTTGGTATAGTATGGTGAAGTATGGGGGTGAGTCCCTTTCCTTCAGGGCCCTCAAGGGTATAGGGGTGAGGTTGTGTCTCATACACACACACAGACACACAAGAGCAAGATGTGTCAGGTGTTTAATCATCATTGTGGGGGGCTCTGGTTGTAGAAGAAAGCTTGGCAAGGTGGGGTTATACAGGAGAGAGATTATACAGGAGAGAGTTGGTCTGAGGCCAGAACAGTTCAAGGGAAAAAGAAAAGGGAGCTGATGGATGGGATCTGTCTGTGGGCCCCTCAAGGCCCTCCAGTACTACTCTCGCCTGCCTCAGGTTCCTCCGACTGATTCAGTTCTGCACGCTCCTCCTCTTCCTCCTGGTTTTCTGGGGCCTTCCTGAGGAGAAAGATTGGGGGGAATGCGGCACGTTGTCGTTCCACCCCCCGACCCCTCTTCGCTTGCTGCCTGGAAGCCCTAGGTCTGAGGGGTCTGGCTTTCTCCACTCACCTCTCCTCTCCTCGGCGTTGCCGCCTTTGCCACAAGATGACCCCAATGAGCAGGGCGGCTGTCCCCAGGCCTCCCAGGATCCCCAGGGCCAGGGCTAGAGTTCCCAGCCCTGATCCTCCCACAGAGCCTGTACGGAGACAGGGAAAATTGAGAGCACAGCCACCACCACTCACCATTCCTTTCTTGTTGACCATCCCCCCAGTCACATGTGTTGGGGGCTATCTTCTGCTTCCCTGACTTTATCAAACCCCTCACCTGCAGTTGGCCCCTCCTCGCCTGGTTCTGGAAGACAAAGTTGGATCCAGTCAGAAAGGAAGACTTCGGGTTGAGAGAGGGTTATTTAGTGGGAGCCCCAGTGGAGTCTTTCCCTTTCTTTTTTTTTTTGAGATGGAGTTTCACTTTTGTTGCCCAGGCTGGCATGCAATGGTGCGATCTTGGCTCATCGCAATCTATGCCTCCTGGGTTCAAGCAATTCTCCTGCCTCAGCCTCTCAAGTAGCTGGCCTCCCAGGTAGCTGGGATTACAGGCATGTGCCACCATGCCTGGCTAATTTTGTATTTTTAGTAGAAATGGGGTTTCTCCATGTTGGTCAGGCTGGTCTCGAACTCCCTACCTCAGGTGATCTGCCCGCCTCAGCCTCCCAAAGTGTTGGGATTACAGGCGTGAGCCACCGCGCCCAGCCGTCTGTTCCTTTTTTTAGCTCAGAGGGAAGAAGGGAGAGGCTTGGCTGCTCTCTTGGCAGAATTTGGGTGGGGCAGGGGAGGCTTGGGTGTGGGTGCATGGAGGGAGAGGTGGGGTGGCTGTTAGGGATAAGGCCAGAATGGGGCAGGAAATTAGAGCCTGTGCTGTCCTGCACCCTAGTCCCAGGGTCTGTAGGGCTTGGGGAGAGGTCTCACCGATGATGCTGATGCTGACAGCACGGCTTTCCTGGGGCCCGTGGCTGGAATGGGTGGCCACACAGCTGTAGGTTCCCTGGTCCTGAGGCCCTATCTCAGGGAGGATCAGCACAGGGCTGGGGGGAAGGGGCAAGGGCACACCCTGGTGGGGGAAGGGGAGAGGAGACTATTTCAAAACCCTTGTCTTTTTGTCTCCATATCTTCAGATACCCTCTCTTCCTCCTCAGCTCCTAGCCTGCCTTTCCCTCGTTAGCCCTCTGCCCTCCCTGTTGATAGTTATGGTTCACCCTACCTCCCAGCCCCTCTCTCCAGGTCACTCACATCCTTCATCCAGTGGATTTGAGGAGAGGGCTGGGCAGGGACTTCACAGGTCAGGGTTACGGTTCCACCAGGAGCTACTGCTCCACCTTCTGGCTCCACCACCAATTGGACCTCCTCCAGAGGCACAGGCTCTGGGAGTTGGAAGGGTTTTGAGGTGGAGAGTTACACTTGTGAGTGATCCCAGTGGCCATGGGCTTGACTCCCTCTTTCCCTAAGGGTCAGACTTCCAGAACGTGCTCACGTGAGCTTGGGGCCCTCCCCACCTATGCTCACCCCAGACACGGGGCTGGATGGGGGCTGTGCGCAAGGCCCGGTGTCGGGGAAGGCCTGGGCTGAAGCTACAGGAGAAGGTGGGACGGGGATCTCCTCCCCGGGCTGGGGTCACCATTAGCTCCGACTGCAGTGTGAAGAGCCCTGTCTCAGGGTGTCTCCTGGTCTGTTCCTTCACAGATACTCCTATGATGGGAGGATAAGACAAATTATCCCAGGGTGGGTGTGGGAGTGAGATCAGGGAGAAGGCAGCTTGGGGGGCACCTTAGGACTCACCCTTCTCATTAGGCACCAGGGGCTTCCCATCCAAGTGCCAGCTAAGAGTCCCTGCAGGGTAGCTTCCCTCTGACACACATGTCCCCACCTGGGGAAAGAGTGGTGACCTCAGAATCCTTTGAAAATGAGAGATGCCACACACCCACACCCACACACACTCGCCTCCTGTTCACAGGGCCGTTTTCTACTTCTCCTGCTTTCTTCCACTACCTTATTGGGAACACCAGCCGTGAGTTCAGAGGCAGAATCTACAATTTCTGGCTTCCCAGGAATCTCTGAAGGAGGAAAAATCCAGTCAGAGGCTGTAATTGTGAAGGTTCTCAAACTCTGTGTGTGGAAATGAGGCCAGTGGAAGTCAGAGGCCCTCATGGGCCAAGGCTGGGGTTGAAGGCTTTTTCTTAGGTAAGAGGGAGGCCTTGGAGAAGACCCTGGAATTCTTACGGTAGACACGGACTCGGTAGTTGGACTTGGTCTCCTTTCCATTCCTGTTCATTGCCTGGCACCGGAAAATCCCCTCATCCTGGATCCCGACAGCCGGAAGGAAGAGGGAGCCGTTGGGAAGGACACGAGCCACACTGTCCCAGGGGCCTCCTCCCTGGGGAGACAGGACCTTCCAAGCTTCTGTCCGGCCTGTGTTCTAGAAGCAGAGAAGCAGGGCCTAAACAGTGCAAGGCCTTTGGGAAAGGACTGTGAGGCAGAGTGACGGGGATCCAAATCATTGCTGGTCTCCCTGGAAGTTGGGAGGCTGCAACAGGAGCCCCGCTTACCAGTTTCCATTCCAGCCGCTGGGGTGGTTTCTTGGGGGCCCCCTTACACTTCAGCACCAGTGGCTCGCCAATCCGGGCTGTGATGTTTTGAGCACCTACTACTGCCCCTGGGAGATAGCACCATGGTAGAGGGGTAGGAAGGGAATGAGGGCTAACAAAATTTGGACAGGGTGGGTGAGGGACCTTGAAAGGCACTTCCTCGGGTTCTGGGAAAAGTTCTAGGACGACTGGGGTGTGGGGTTAAAGTGCTTTCTGCAGGGAGGGTCAGTGGGGTTGAGGGAGTGGCTCACCCCACAGACTGAGGACCAGCACCCAGGCTCCAACTGCTGTTCCGGCTGCCATCCTGCTTCCTTCCAGGGTCCTGGCTCTGTCTGCCCCTCTCCCTGCTGTGGCCTCCGCCCTAGGTGGGGCCTGCACCCTCTCTCCAGCCCCCATCTTTCAGTCGTCTTGTCACAGGGAATGCTAGGAATTCATGCCTTTGGGACAAGAGTCCTTCAGGTACTAGAGAAATAATTATCACCCCACCCCTGGGTACTACCAGCCTCTGGGTACAGTCACTTCCCTGGGGGATGGGGAGTGTACCCTCTAGGGTCTCATTCCCTCAGAGCCCCCGATCCTATTTATTCCATCAGTCCATCAGGGCTGCCTGGTGACCCACTGGAGCCCCATCTTGATTGCGCAAAGTTGCATCAATAGGGTTCAGGCCAGACTGTTGTCTGCAAGGGTGCAATTGGGCCTGCATCATGAAGGCAAGGCTGGGGAACAGGAGAGAAACCTGTTTGGAACTTCGTGAAAGAAAATCATTTTTTTTCTGGGGTTTCTCATGTTTTTTGAAAAAAATTCTCAACTAAACCCAGGGAAAAAAGAAATTTCTTTATTTAAAACTGCATTTTGTTTTTTTTCTGTGAAACTACACAAGTTTACAAGTGAGGAGAGAACTGCCCCCGGCCCATGCCTCCCACCCCCCCACCCATCACACTTCCAACCTGTCCCCAGTCCTGCCCGGATCTTTAATGGGAGGGGTTCCCCACTCTGACAGTCTTGTAAAATCCTGAGAATGTCTGAGGGGATCAGATGGTAGCTAGTTCAGGGCTGAGGATGGGACAGTGTTGATGTTACTTTTCCCCCACATCTGGCTTTTTGCAACCTCCTCCCTCTCCCTACCCCTTGATTTTGGTGTGACAAAAAGATACCTCATTTATGGGGAAATTGAGGAAGATACATATACAAGCACCCCAACCCATATTTAACATATTTGGCAATAACTCCCTTCCCATTCTTCCCCCTCCAATTTTCAAATAGTAGTTTTTTAAAAAATTAAAGACATGTCACTCACAGGGGAAGATGGCATCTTCAATTTCCTCAAAATTACTGAGTCCAGCCCTGCCCAAGGGTTGTGGGAAGAAGGGGGATGAGAGGCCAGCAGGGCAAGCCCTTCACTGCCTCCACATCAAATGCGGCAGAAACCTGCCTGCATGAACAAAGAACACCTAAGGGATTTTAGGGGGCAAAGCTTGGTGCCCTGTAAAATTTACTTCCTGATGGACAGGCCTGGAGCCAGGGGGGCCTCTTTACCAGTTCTGTTTGTCCCCCTTTCTCTTACCAGAACCCCTTTGGCTATCACCCCTAATATGGGAAAGTAAGAAATAAAAAAAAAAGACAAGAAATCAACATATTTATAAAAAAAAAAACAAGCTACTTCCCCAAACTAAATTAAAAATTAAGAACCACCACCACCACCACCAACAACAACAACAAAAACAACAACAACAACAAAAAAAACAGATGGATCCCAGGGTTTCTTTTTCTTTCTTTAAAAAAAAAAAAGTTCAACCCCAAAGCCCAGTCAATAATTCCCTAAAGTAGCAGAAACTCCCTCCGAGGTAGATATCTGAGTCAGACACTCTCGTCCACCGAGCGATTCTATTGGTTTAAGATGAGCTGCGTATGAGGTAAGTAAGCCGTCCGGAGGGGCGGGGGTGGGGATGCATGGGGGCGTGGCCCATGTCCTCTGTCCAGAAGTCATGTCCCCATTTTTGGCATCTCTGATTGGGCAGGGCTGGCGTCTCCACAGATTCCAGAGCATACAAGTGGGGTGGGGAAGGGAAAGTGGGGGAGCCCAGGAGAGAAACAGAATAGTTGCAAGTGGGAGTATGTGTGTGTGAGGTGTGGGAGAGGGAGAGAGAAAGACAGAGGAGAAAAAGGGGTCTGAGAAATAGGTTTCTCGGTATGTGTATGTTTCTGTGTAAGAAAGAAAGCGAGAGAGGAAAAAGATGGAAAAAAGGGAGAGACAGACCCCACACTCCCCTTAGAGGCCCCATTCTTCCTGCCATGTAATTAGCACCCCCAGCACAGAGAGTCTCGTTAGGGAGGGGATGACCCCATTGGCCCTTCTCTGTCTTGTGCTTCTCCTGTATTGGGGTTTGTCCTCTGGAAGCCTGCGTCCTCTTCAAGTCGCCTTGTGAGAGCCCCCACCCCTGTGACCCTGAGGGGCAAGATCAGTTGGAGGTATCAGAGTGAACACTCCCTGGTCCCTCCGTTGGGGATGTCACTGAAGAGGGGGTCACAGCCTCTTGCCAGCTGCCATTTGCCTGAAAGGAGAGACAGAGTACAGAAAACAGAGAAAGCCCTGGGAACCCTGTGTGGGCACAACATTACTAGGGAAAATGCCCCTCTGTCCTGTGAGAACTGGACAGAGAGGAGCTTCAGGATCCACTCACCCTCATTTCCCGTGGGCTGTACATCTGGCCTCCCCCGAGGTTATCCCCATAGCCCCCTGGCCCCATCGAGTGTCGGAGTGATTCCACCTGCAGGCAGCAGAGGAAGGTATGACAGTGAAGAGAAGCCTCAGAGGAAAGAGGTCTTGTATCCTAAAGTAGAGGAAATGGAGTTGGGGAAAGCCCTATTCGAGAGGAGATGGGCATCTGACCTGGGAAGCAGAATAGGAATCTCCGTTGAGCCCAGGCATCCCCAGAAACATGTCTCCAGATCCTGAGAGATTGAAAGAGCCGCCAGAGCCTTGTGGGGGCAGAGAGGGAAGAGTGTAATAGAGCCCGTGATGGTAGAGGATGAACCACAACTCTCAACTCTTGTGGGGACATGCTACTATACTCCAATTATCCACAAAATAACATTCCAACACACAGAAAGAGCAGGCTGTTCCTTGGCCACCCGTGGGAAGAAAGGCAGAACTAAGATCACTGGAATGGCCTCTGTCCCCTGACATCTCCAGCCTATCTCAGCTCGGTCCCTCTCACCCCAAAAGGCCCCCTCTCTGCTATGATCCTGCCTAGATAGGAAGTGGGAACAAAAGCAGGAAGTGTGCAAAACAGTCAGCCGGGGTGACAGTGGGATCCACCTGCAGAGGAAGGGGGTGTCGGGGAGCTGGTGCGGCTGTGGCCCCCCTGGGTGACTGACACGGCGGTCTTGACAGCATAGATGTTTGCCTCCTCTTGGAACTTTCCGATGTTTTTCTTATAGCGAATCCTCTTGTTGCCAAACCAGTTGGAGACCTGTGGGGCAGAAAGGAGGGTCAGGTAGAAACATTTGCCTCTGAAGTCCTTCACTGAATAAGATGTGAGTGACAGCATTTTTTTTTTTTTTGCTTCCTGGTCTCACTATGCTGTTGCCCAGGCTGGTCTCCAATTCAAGTGATCCTCCCACTTCAGCCTCCCTAGTAGCTGGGATTACAGGAACACACCACTGCACCTAGCTGAGATGCGTGCACTTTGCCTGACAACTCCTCCCGCAACCTCCATAATACCTGAGACACGGTGATGCCACACTTCTTGGCAAGCTCCTCCTTGGCCTCCTCACTAGGATATGGGTTACTCAGGTGGGAGTAGAAATACTCATTTAGGACCTCAGTGGCCTGTTTGCTGAAGTTACGGCGCTTTCGTCTACAGAGGAGGGAGAAGAGCAGTGAGGAGGATGTTGATGTCCTGGCAGGGCTGTCACATGGCATGACCCCAGAGTCACCATTGTCATGGAGTACCATGTTGTGCAGCATGGCAGCTCAGGGTCTTGGAGAGGAATGGGAAGGAGCCCAGTGCTGGGGGCCAGCCTGGGGTCCCTGGGCCCACCTGGCATCCAGGAAACGGGAGCGCAGGATCATCACAGCCTCGCAGGTGCTCTGCTTCAGCTGCATCTGGATGGCGCTGAACTTTCGATGGATGATGCTCACCATGCGTTCCATCTCTTTGGGGGCCACGGGCCTGGTGCGGCTCTGCTCCCTCAGCAGGTTCATGACATGGGTCGTGAACTCATTACATGCCTGTAGTGGGGGCCAGTGGGCTGGTGAGGAGGAGCCCTTTGACCATGGGATTCCCCTGCAAGAGCCCTTCCCTCCACCCACCCAAGCCTCCTCTCCTTACCTGCTCATACTTCTCCAGCTCCGAGTGGTATATGTGACGGATCTGGGCAAGTTTGCTGCGATAGTCCGAGTGTTCGATGGAGTTGTCAGGGGACACACCACCACCAGAGGCTGCAGCGGCTGCAGCTGCTGCTGCTGAGCCGCCCCCTTTCTCGGGCCCAGCCACACCCTCTGCCAGAAGCATGTTGTCCAAGCGCATCAGCTGTGGGTCCACCGGCTCCTCCTCCTGGGAGCTCCGAATGCTGAGGCCTAGCATGCAGGCGAGTGGACTTAGGGACCCAGAGACCCCAATACCCAGTGCTCAGTCCTCCTGGTGCTTCCTGGAGAGCCAAGTTCCCAGGCTTTGGTTCCTTCCCCAGTCCCCCTGACTCCTTACTTTCCTCAGGGCCCCAAGTTGTCACACTCTAGCCCTATAATGAACAGGGTTCTGTTCCCAGAGTTGAGCAATCCGGGGGGGGGCCCACATACCAGTTTTCTCCTTGATTTCACACAGGACGCTAAAGAGAGCAGGCTTCATTCGGTGGCAGTTTAGGGCGTGTTTCCTTGGGAGGAGTGGGAGTGGGGAAAGAGAAAAGTTGAGGAGCTAGAGAAACAGAGCAGGGGGCCTGAGAACAAGGAGGGAGGAGGGTCAGTCTGCGGAGGGAGGAAGCGGATTGGGGGTGGAATGAGTTGGGGGTGGAATGAGGAGTTCTTGGGAAAAGATCAGCTCCCAGAGCATGGGGAAGCTCCTCAGCTTCAGGGAGACACAGGGAAGATGCAGGCAGCAGGTTAAAGGCTGCGGGCTTTGGGAGATGGTCTAGAAAGGTAGGAGGAGGAATCTGGGAGTGGATGGAGAAAGGAAAGTGACTTGGTAGGTTTCAGAGGGAGAGAGACAGAGGCTGGGGTTGAGAAGAGTCAGAGTTTGAGGTGGCAGAGTGGGGCTGGGGGTGCCGAGCTAACTGGGGAGATCAGTGTAGGGTGTGTGAAGGGGTCCTGGGGCTGAGCAGGTGGGAGGCTTTGATGCACCTAGTGTCTGGCTGAGCAGTGGAGAGGAGCTTTAGGGGCTCTGGAGAGGGTGTGGAGGTCTCCACATCTGGAGAGAATGAGGGGGCTGGGTGGAGAGTTAGGGGAGAAGATAACGTAGCCCAAGAACAGTTTCTTAGTCTGGGAGCCAGAGGGGGCTCCCGGGGATGGGGCTGTTCCAGGAGACTGCAGGGGTCGGCAAAAGGTTAGGAGTGGGGAGCCGGGCCACCGGGGGTTCCCTCTGTGAAGGTTTCAGGGCCTGGGGGTGAAGGGAGGTTTGAGAGGGATCACTTTTCTATGGGCTCCCAGGAATAAGGAGAGAAGAGAGCTGTTGGATCCTGGAGAGGGCCCTGGAGTTGGGGGGGGCTCCCAGAAGATTCAGAACATGTGAACGGGGTTTGCTGGGTCTGTGTGGGGTCCCGGAGTGGGGGCACTCACTTGGCCTGGGCCTCGTCCAGGCTCTGGTCGGTGATGGTCATTATCTGCTGCAGAATGTCCCCGATGTCTTGCTTCCCTCGGCCTCCCGGGACCCCCCCGCTACCCCCACCGGGGTCTCCGCCACCGGGAGGCTCGCCAGGGCCCCCAGGCTCCCCACTCACCAATCCTAGGCCCCCCCGGCCCCCGCCTGGAGGGGGCGGCCCCAGTAGCCGTTCGTCCATAGCTGGGGGGGGGCCCTGAGGCCCCCTCCCTGCTCCGCCCCTCCCCCCGCCTGGTTACTTCTCCCCCCAAACTCGCTGGGGCCGCTGCTCCCTCCGCCCCAACCCCCGCCCGTCTGCCCCCGGCTCCCGGCTCCCCCGGGGGTTCACCCCGGCACTGAAGGGAGACCTGGGATACCGGCTGGGCCCCCCACAGGAGACCCCGGCCCCCGGCGGCGGAGAAAATGGAGCCGGAGAGAGAGAGGAGGCCCAAGCGGGGGTGTGTGTGAGAGAGAGGGAGGAGGGAGGAGGGAGAAGGGGGGGGAGCGAGGGAGGGAGGCTGGGGGAGGGGAGCCGGAGAGGAAGAGGAGGGGAGAAGAGAGGAGGAACAGGGAGGAGCTGGGGGCGGAGAGAGAGACACAGAAACAGAGGAACTGAGACCTAGTGGAGGAGGGGAGAGGGAAGAGGGGATGAGGGGAGGAGACGGGCCATCTGAAAGATATGGGAAAGCCCCCTGGCTGGACTTCCGCGGCCTAGGAGTGGGGCTGTGTTGGCGGCTGGGGGCGTCTGTCACCTGGGTCCTGAATCAGGGATCTAAGCGATGTGGACTCAGGCCGCTGGAATGCCTGGGTTCACCGGCAGCTCAGTTCATATTTCTTGTTCTAATGACTCCCCTCCCTGTTCTACTTAATTAAAACCGAAGAGGGGGGCTGGGGGAGATAATTAGGGAGGTCTCCAGCCGCTGCTTAATGAGCCAGTAATTAACCAGCCGGGGAGGGGAGCTGGCCTCTGGCCAGACTGGGGAGAGAAAAGGCCTCTGGCCTCACCTTCCTACCTTTCACCCCGCCTGGGCCCCCCAGATACCAGTCTGCAGTCCAGAGGGGAATTATATTTATTCACACAACCAAAACATCAGACAGACTCAGCAGCAGTGGGGAGGGAGGGTGGGCAGGGCTGAAGGTCCATTCACAGCCCGTAAACCCCTCAGTCTCAGGGATCGGGGGTGCTGGTAGTGGGACTGGGAGAATAGTCTTAATCTCTCAGGTGCCCACCCACCTTCCCTTCTTACTGGGAGGAAGGGTAGAGCTGTCTCTCAGGTTATAACCTCTCAGGTGGAGGCCTGAGCCCTCAGACCCTACTGCCTAGTAGCTTGACAACTGGTGGTGTCCCCACAAGTTAGGGAAAAGACTCCCAGCCACTCCTTGAGATGGGTGCCTGGGATCCCCCTTACTGCCTCAAGCTCCCATGGACCTGTGGGCGGGGAGTTAAATCCCTGTTCCATCTCGCCTGTTCCCAGAGTTTGAGGACTTTCACCCTGTCCAGTTCCCAGGGAAGGTGATGTGGGAGATGAATATTGAGATTTGTGCCGTGTCTTTCAGTCTCTGGTACCCCTGCCAAGCAAGAGTTGAGGGCATGCAATGGGCTGCCCAGCTTTGAGACCAGTGGCAAGGAAGGGCTGGTTGGGGCTCAAGTCTCAGCAGGTGTGTGTGGGGGGCCGGGACCTTTGCTCCTCCATTCGACCCCCACCCTGAACTCTCAGCAGCAACTCCAGGAGCTCTTGCCCCCCTGGAGGGAGGGGAGGCTCTGACCGCTGGGCTTCCATCCGCTGGCACTGGAGGAGTGGAGGGAGAGGGAGAGCTTTGGTGAGGGTCTGAGAGGAGGAGGTTCTTGAGAGGATCAAGGGTTGGTATGGGGAGGCATATAGGAAACCTGTGAAGGCGATGGGGTGCCTAGGGAGAAACAGGAGTAGAGCCCCAAAGAGAACAGGGGCCAAGAGACCAGGAGGCCTGGGTTTGCCTCCTGGGGGGATGTCTTACCTGGTGACTGAGGATAGTGCTGTAAAGCTGTTCTCTGTCCTCGAGAGGACGGAGTGGGGCAGGGGCTAGGCTTGAGGGGTTTTGGGGGGTGTAGAAGGTGGCCCTCTGCTCCTCCAGGCGGCGGGACTGGGCTTCAGCCACCAGGTCCAGAAGGAGTTCAGTCTGCAGGGAGAGCAGGGAGGCCGAGCGGGGTCCCAGGGCTGGGGAGAGGGGTGTGGAGGGCTCAGAGACCCAGAGAGGTTGGCAGACAGGAGCCGTGGGGGAGTGTGGACAGGGTGACGTGATTAGGGACTTTGGATCAGAGGAGAGGGGGTGCAATGGGGAATCCCAAGGGGAGTCTGGAGGAGGTGGGGAGAGGGCCCACAATGGAGTGGGCCTTGGTAATGGGGTCAGGATGTGGGCACTAGGGTCGGGGCTCTCCCTGGGTGGGTAGGGGTACCTGTGTGGCGGGTCCCTGGAGGAGGAGGGGATGGAGGAGCAGATCGCCAAGGCCGAGTGGTGGAGTTTGGAGGGGGCCAGCCTTCCTCATCCTGAGGGGGGCCCTGATGCCAAAATATGTCCATTCTAGTCAAGCAGTGGTGGTTGAAGCGGGAGGAGTGGACAGGGGGCTAGGCCAGTGGCCCGTTTCCTCTCTGTGTGTCTCTGTTCCTGCCTCAGTTTGCCCAAGCCTTTCAAGGCCCCTGTGTCCCTACATTTCTGCCCCAGGTCCTCTCACCTCCCTTCTTTCCCAGTGTCAGCCTCCCCAACCCCGTGCCCAGCTCACCTGCTCACCATCCTCTTCTTCCTGGGGTCTCTCAGCCTCCATCCCCTAGAGGGGAGAAACTGGTGGGGGAGGGGTGGCTGGGATTTGGGAGGAGGGCTGGAACCTTGGGTTCCTGAGGGGAGTGGGGGCTGGAAGGGGTGGGGGTGAGCTGGGGGCTGGATGCCTGGGTACTGAGCAGGAAGCTGGGTTCCTGGTCAGCCCCCCCACGGGCCCCGCCCATCCCTGTCAACTTCCTCCATTCTCTTCCCACCCAAACAGCTTGTTCAGTCTCTCTCGCCCCAGGGCAGCACTGAGACTGGGAAAAACTCCTCCAGCTGCAGGAGTGGAGGGGGCTCATGGTGGGGAAGGACTCCTGGCGGTCTCATCTCCAGAGCCTCAGTAGTCCCCTAATCCCTGGCTCTGCTCCCTCCACCCCACCTCCTCTTCTGCTCTTTCTGTCAACACAGGAACTAGCTACACAGGAAGTGGTTTCACTCCTCAGAATCCCCCTCCCCCCAGCCAGGTCCCTTCCCTCCCTAAGATAGACCCTGGTGTAGGATTTGGCCCTCCCGATCTTCCCTCTTACTTACCGGGACTGGGAGGGGCATGGTTCCAGTGGGAAGTGGAGGATTCAGATCCAGGGATGTGGAGCTCTCAAATATATACATAAAACCCTAGCACCGGGTCCAACACATAGTAAGTATTCAATATATATGTATTGAATAATCATCCCTGACCTCTAGGTATTTAAAATCTATTCAGGAGATGGCCGGCTGCGGTGGCTCACACCTGTAATCCTAGCACTTTGGGAGGCTGAGGCGGGTGGATTGCCTGAGCTCAGGAGTTGGAGACCAGCCTGGGGAACATGGTGAAACCCCATCTTTACTAAAATACAAAAAATTAGCTGGGCGTGGCCACATGCGCCTGTAATCCCAGCTACTCAGGAGGTTGAGGCAGGAGAATTGCTTGAACCCGGGAGGCGGAGGTTGCGGTGAACTGAGATTGTGCCACTGCGCTCCAGCCTAGGTGACAGAGCGAGACTCCGTCTCCAAAATAAAATAAAATAAAAAATACACTCTATTCAGGAGACAAGATGTGTACCAAATAGAGTACGGGAAGGGTTCATTTTGGAAACTTATAGTTTAGTGCAGACAAGGGGCAGGGGAAAGTTTATTTTGGGCATAAGAGATATAGATATGGAACAATGAGAGGCTGAGGTAGGAAGATTGCTTGAGCCCAGGAGGTTGTGGCTGCAGTGAGCCATTTGTGCCACTGCACTCCAGGCTGGGCAACAGAGCAATACCCTGTTTCAGAAAAAGAAAGAAATGAAATGAAATTGAAAAGGGAGAGGACTACCTCTCTGGCTTGGTCTTTGATCAATGCTAATCAGGCTGGTTGGCATCAAGGAAGGAGCAGGGCAGACAACCATTTGGTACCTCTAAATGGCAACCTGTCATGTTAGGGAGTTTATAGCTGAGTGATTTGGAATGTGAAATGTGATGAAGAGATCTGGTCCTGCCGCTTATTCCTTGCAATCTTGGGCAGATCTCTGTGCCTCAATTTCTGAGTGAAATAGGGTTTTAATAGCACCTACTTCATAGGGTTGATGTATTAATAATGTAATGAAGCACTTGATGCATAGTGAATACTTAATAAACTGTAGATATTATTGGCTTTCAAAATGCCTCATGACTCCATGTTTCAAACCTAGCAACATATTGCTGCAAGGTGGACAAAGTTTCAAGATACTCTCTCCATCTACTTGACTTGTGGCCTTAGGAATCTCCTAAGTGGCCATAAGTAAAAGCCCTAGGATGAGGGACAAAGTGTGTGCATCATCTAGTGCAGTGGTCTCCTACCTTTTTGGCACCAGGGAAGAGTTTCGTGGAAGACAATTATTCCATGGTCGGTGGCGACGGAGGGCTGGTTTCAGGATGAAACTGTTCCACCCCAGATCATTAGGCATTAGATTCCCGTAAGAAGCGAGAAACTTAGATCCCTTGCATGCACAGTTCACAATAGGGTTCGAGTTCCTATGAGAATTTAATGCTTATGCTGATCTGACAGGAGGTGGAGCTTGGGCAGTAATGCTTGCTCACCTCCTGCTGTGTGGCCCAGTTCCTAAGAGGCCATGGACCAGTACCAGTCTGTGGCCCAAGGGTTGGGGACCCCTGACCTAGTGTGTGCGGTTTCTCCCTTGGCTACTAGATTCTTGCTTTCAGATAATACCCTAAATTATCATAGGGCCCCTAAATATACTTATTCTTGCTTTTAAACTATACTTACATCCTCCATCCAATCCAAATGCTGAGCCAAAAGCACAAAATGCTGACATTATGCAGTCACTCCCATCTTTTTTCCCATTCTTCTCCCCAATTCCTCCAAAAAAAGGTAACACTTCAAATCAGCTTTATTATGGGTGACAGATTTAGGGTTCTTAAATAGCGATAGCAGTGGCTAGAAGAAGCGCTTCATCCCCACAGTGGAGTTCTTTGTTGTGAGGGGAGGGAATGCAAGGAGTCATCAGCGGGGGTGGCCCTTGGCCACTTTTCAGCACCTACACAGTGCCTGGCACATAGTAGGTGCCCAATAAATATTTGTCAGCCATTTGTGGGCAGTGGGGACAATGGATCATAGGGGCACCCTTTGGAAACCATATATAGGAAAGAACATCTTACATCCCATATGCCTGCAATTCTTGGTTCCAACTTAGGGGTATTTCCACTCCACTCTGCCCTCCTGTGGCCTGTCTTATTTTCTGGAGGAGGACTGGGCCTGCCTCATCCTAGCATCTTAAACCCTCTTTCCAGAGCTGCAGCTTCTCCACGTGGAAGATGTCTGCTCTGGTGGGCATACATTCATTTTAGGAGAGAAACTAAACTCACAACCCTTCATTTTGGGGGATCCATCTTAAAACCAGGAAGGCCTTCCAGCCTGCCTTTTAATGGGTAATCATTTTTGGAATTCCTCCCTACCATGTATTCTTCTATTTTTTACCCTCTCCTCCTTGGTTTATGGGCATTTCTTGGAGGGCTGGGGGACCACAGTCAAGTTGAGGTGATCCCCGCTCCGGGGACGGAGTAAGGCAAGGAGGCGGGATCGGAATGTTGGAGGCAGAACCGCAAGCTCCCAGGGCCACCCAATCACAGGGCCAGTCATCCGTTGAGACCCTGCCTCCGCGCCCGGCAGCCACTCCGTATCTTCCTCGCATTATCGCAGGGTTGGGCCGAGGCCCGCGCATGCCTGCAGAAAACCTACGGCCGCGAGGGGTCGGGCCTCCTCCTGCTCCTACTCCCGAGAGGCTCCGGCAATGAGAATAGGCCCCGCCCCCCCGCGCAGCCAAGTCTACGGACCAAGTCCGAGCCTGCAGACAAGCTCCGCCCCCACGAGGGCCTGCTCCGGCTGACAGCGTCCGGCAGCGCGGCAGAGCCCCGCCCCCATGCGGGGGCACGCTTACTGACACCGTCCGTGCGCGCGGGAAGGGCCCAGCCTCGCGGCCCGGCGTGGCTTTGTGACGGGCCTCTGGTGGCCCAGCCCCTTCCAGCAGCGTCAGCAGATCCCAGTGGTTACGTTGGTGAGCGACGTCCGCCGGCGCTAGCCCAGCCTGGTCCCGCAGCTCTCGGGCTGCCCCCAGCCCCAGCAGTAGCTGGGCTACTTCCACCGCTCCTTCCCGCGCCGCCAGGAATAGCGGCGTCTGCTCCTGTACAGAAGAGCCAGGGCCGATATCAGGGAAGGCCACGCCCACAGGACTGGGCCTTTCTGCCTTCACTTGCGCGACCACTGGCCCCTATCCCTTCAGGCTTTGCGGGTTACCGCACTTTCCATCTCTCGTGCGCCTGACTGTTTTGTGGGAAGCCCTCTGTCCCATCTAACCCTGTTGTCCTGGGCATCTTTATCGGCTCCGGCCTGGAGAAGCGAGCGGGCGGCTCGGGCGTTGTTCACGGCAGCAGCCCAGTGCAGCGCAGTTTTCCCTAGGGGACGACGTGGGAGGTTGTTACCCCAGTTGGGGGCCAGACGCCTGGGTTCCGGTTTCCCACGGGTTCTGGCCTTGGGGGAAGGGCTATTCGGGCCGGCTGGTCCCTCAAAGGCGGGAAGCGTTGCCCAGGAGACCACCGGCCTGCAGGAAGTGTTGCCCTGGTGACGTCACCAGTGCGCGGGAGGGACAATGGGGCATTGTTCTGGGGTCGGTGAGACCGGGAGACAGTCTCCCCCCACGAGATTCCCCCCCCTTTCCACAGACACTGTGTTCCATGCCAGTTCCCCAGTAAGCTGGAGCGGAGGGCCAGTGTGGTGTTGAGGGTGGGAGTTGGGGGGGGAAACTCACGCGGCCCGTACTTCCACCGCATCTCAGATTGACCGCCGTAACAGCAGGATGAGAGGGAATGCCCCTCTGCTGCACCTATATTTTGCACGCTATCTCCCACCCCATCTGCTCAACTCTCTATAGCATACATCACCCCTTCCTCTACATACCCCATTTATCTCTGGCCCCCACGTCTGCTTGGGCTGCAATCAGTTCTTCAACCAGGTCTTCCACCGCCAGCCTGGCAGCCAGCATCAAGGGTGTGGTCCCGTCCTCTGTGCGAGCGTCCACTGCAGTTTGTCTGCTACGGAGCAGAAGCTGGGGAGACAGAGGGCCAGTGACCCCTGGGGTACCTTGGACTGCCAACTCGAGTTCCTTACACTATTAACCCCACTCGCAATCCATATTCAGCCATCCTCCGCAGTTTCCCTGTCAGGTTCCCAATCACACCAATTTCCTCCTTGTCAAACTCTAGGGGATGCTTCTGTCCAGCTTTACTTGTAAGCTCGCCCCATTCCCTGTAGGGACCTCAGTGTGTGCTAACCTGGCAGACCTCCCGAGCATCAGCAGCCACAGCAGCATGAAGGGGTGTGCGCCCTGCCCGGTCTGGCTGGTTGGGGTTGGCTCCAGCCTCAAGGAGGCGGCGGGCAGCGGTTGGCCGGGAGAATCGGGCAGCCAGGTGCAGGGGGGTCTCCCCAGTGCCCACGGTGTGAGCCTGGGGACAGGCCCCTCCATCCAGCAGAGGTTCCCAGGGCTCAGGACATCCCAACCATGCCCCTTGGAAGGTCCCGGACTGTACTTCCCCACAGCAAACTGCTGACATCAGGGGTGTCACCCCATCTGTTGGTAAGACAGAGTAATGGGTCAATCTAAAGGACACAACAAGGGGGAAGGGACAACATGTAAGCTCAGAGAGAATCAAAACCTGAGGTGTTGGGAAGCTAAGTTCTGGCTCTGTGTGGCTTTAGCCAAGTGACTTTTCTGCTTTTCTCTGACTTCAGTTTCTTCCTCTGTAAAAGGAACCTGCAGCTTAATTCTCTGACATTCCAGGGCAGTGGTTTTCTCTTTTTTTTTTTTTTTTTTCTGAGACGGAGTCTCGCCCTGTCACCCAGGCTGGAGTGCAGTGGCGCGATCTCGGCTCACTGCAAGCTCCTCCTCCCAGGTTCACGCCATTCTCCTGCCTTAGCCTCCAGAGCAGCTGGGACTACAGGCTCCCGCCACCACGCCCGGCTAATTTTTTGTATTTTTAGTAGAGACGGGGTTTCACTGTGTTAGCCAGGATGGTCTCGATCTCCTGACCTTGTGATCCACCCGCCTTGGCCTCCCAAAGTGCTGGGATTACAGGCGTGAGCCACCACGCCCGGCCTAGCAGTGGTTTTCTCAAACGAGTCTGGATCAGATTCACCTGAAGGGCTTGTTAAAACAGATTGCCTAACATTTTAAATTCCTGAGTCAGTAGCTCTGTAGTGGAGCCCAATAATTTGCATTTCTGACAAATTCCCAGGTGATGCTGATTTTGCTGTCTGAGGACCACACTTTGAGAATCATTGTTCTAAGGCACTCAGTCTAAAATTATTTCCTCTAGTTCTGATATTAAAGGACTCTCTGATTCTAATAGGGTCAAAGGACTTTTTTTTTTTTTCTTGGTCTGGGTTGACTCACATACCAGGTCCACGGGTGTCCAGGTCAGGGGCTTCCATCTCAGATTCCTGGGGAGGAGTTAGCATGGCTGCCTGAGGGAGCGCCCCACAGCCACCACTCAGAGACCAGAGCTGGCACGTGGAGGGTGGGCCTGTTTCTTCAGCCTTTGGGTAACAGCAAGGATCAGTGAAGGTTGATTTGCCCTTTCATCCCTTCCATCACCTCCAGACCATTCTTGCCCCAGCCCTTTCACCTGGCCCACCTCCTCTCCCTCCTCAGGGCCTGAGCACATCACAACTCCATCCTCATCAACTTCTGCCTTTGGCTTCAGTGCCCTGGAAAGGAATGGGTGGGTAGAGGTTACACGGAATTATGACCATCAGGGTCTCCAAAATTTCCAGCAGGCTTCCCACCCCTCTCTCCTTCCCCTATCTTTGACTTCTGCAATAGTATTTCTTATCTTTTCTGATTGTAAATATCGCCATAGGAGAGACTCCCCTTCCTGAGCCTGGGTTTCTCCTCATTCTCACTTGAGACCAATGCTGTCCTCGCCTAGTGGGGGCCGGCGTCGGTGGGGAGCTGACTGAGTCCGAGGCCGTCGAGTGAAACCAGGGGGCAGCCAGAGAGCTCCATGCTCTCGGCGTCGACGCCGGATGAGCTGGAGGACGAGAAGAGCCCCTAGGGCCAGGAGAATCACCCCGGCCACTGGGGAGCACAGCACAGGCCAGGGAAGCTGGTTGGCAGGGGGTGCTGGTGGGAGAGACAGAGTCACAAAGAGAGGCCACTCCTGGTGAGACTGATTACTATTGGGAGACCTTTGGACAAGTTTAGTAGCCTGTCTTTGCCTCGGTTTCCTTATCTGCAAAATGGGGATGATAATATAGATTGAGGTTGGGCACAGTGGCTCATGCCTGTAATCCCAGCACTTTGGGAAGCTGAGGCAGGTGGATCATATGAGGCCAGGAGTTCGAGACCAGCCTGGCCAACATGGCAAAACCCCCTCTCTACTAAAAATATAAAAATTAGTGGCTGGGTGTAGTGGCTTACTCCTATAATCTCAGCACTTTGGGAGGCTGAGGCGGGTGGATCATGAGGTCAGGAGATCGAGACCATCCTGGCTAACATGGTGAAACCCTGTCTCTACTAAAAATACAAAAAATTAGCCAGGTGTGGTGGCGGGCACCTGTAGTCCCAGCTACTTGGGAGGCTGAGGCAGGAGAATGGCGTGAACTTGGGAGGTGGAGCTTGCAGTGAGCCGAGATCGCGCCACTGCACTCCGGCCTGGGCGACAAGGCAAGACTCTGTCTCAAACAAAACAAAACAAAACAAAACAAAAACAAAAAAAATTATCAGGGCATGGTGGCATGCCATTGTAATTCCAGCTACTCAGTAGTCTGAAGCAAGAGAATTGCTTAAACCCAGGAGGCAGAGGTTGCAGTGAGCTGAGATGGCGTCACTGTACTCCAGTGTGGCTGACAGAGTAAGACTGTCTCAGAAAACAAACACACAAAAAAAGGCTGAGTATCCATAACCCCAATCCCAAATCTGAAATGTTCCAAAGTCTGAAACTTTTAGAGTACCAACATAACGCTCAAAGGAAATGCTCATTGTAGCATTTGGATGTTGTATTAGGGATGCTGAACCAGTAAGTATAATGCAAATATTCCAAAATAAATCCGAAATCTGAAACACTTTTGTTCCCAAGCATTTCAGATAAGGGATACTCAACCAGCAGTACGTGCCTCATGGGGTTGTGGGGGAGGATTAAATGAGGTAACAATGTAAAATGCTTAGAGTAAGGCACAAAGTACGATATAGCAGTTATTTTTCTTTTTTTTTTTTTGAGATGGAGTCTCCCTCTGTCGCCCAGGCTGGAGTGCAGTGGCGCGATCTCGGCTCACTGCAAGCTCCACCTCCCAGGTTCACGCCATTCTCCTGCCTCAGCCTCCTGAGTAGCTGAGACTACAAGCACCCGCCACCACAGCCGGCTAATTTTTTTATTTTTAGTAGAGACAGGGTTTCACCGCATTAGCCAGGATGGTCTCAATCTCCTGACCTCGTGATCCACCTGCCTTGGTCTCCCAACGTGCTGGGATTATAGGCATGAGCCACTGCGCCCAGCCTATTATTCTTTCATGTACTATGAATTGTCTGATACAAAGACTATTAGGTATTCTCAGTCTGGTAGAGAAGATAAACCATCCCTTTGTTGGAGGGCTATGACAGAGGTTAGGATAATGTGCTTAGGGAAATAAGGAAGGAGACTGTAGAACAAATGGGCCAGTGGGAGATTCAGTTAGAGAAAGCGGGGTTAGGGAAAGTAAGTCCCCACAAAGAACATTTTCAGTCTCAGCTGTCCTGTTTGATTCAGCCTCCATTGCCTGTTGCTAGCATGAGAGCTGGCCTGGGAACAGAGGTCAGAGAAAGTGGCAAGGGGTCACCTACCGGTCCCTGCATGAGGGTGGACAGCCAGCAGTGGTCCAGGCAGCAGGGGCTCCAGGGCTCCCACTGCAGCCATCGCAGCAAGGAAGCGGAGTAGAAGCCCAGGGTCCCAGGGACAGCGGGATGCCGGGTGGTCAGGGCCACAGCGGGACAAATCCACACCCATGACCACCACAAACCTGTAGAGGAGGCACCTCAGAGACCTCTGTATTGGTCCCTGGCTCCCTTTCCTCCCTCTGCCCTCTTAAAAAAACTGGTGTCTGGCCCTTCCCTCCACCTAGCTTCTTACCCAGCACTGAGGGAGTCGGTCTCCTTGCCCAGGGGCTGCGTTTGAGGGGCTGCTCTCTCCTGATAGGTGGGGTCCCGAGTTCCTCCTAGCTTTTCTTCAGCCCGGGCCCCAGGATAGGGGTACACCATGTCCCTGCCATCACGATCCTTCCTTACCCAGAGTCCTACCCTCAGAGTCAGGGACAGCACCCGGGCCAGGGCAAACAGCTGCTGGTCTAGGGCTGGGGGGCTCAGTACCACCAGCAGGGCCAGGGAGGGCCCCCACTCTGGGTCCCCATCTTCAGGCCTGCAGTCACCTCCATCCCAGCCACACTCTGCAGTGTTGCAGCCTTTCTCACAGTGCCCGTTGTGGAAGTGATCATGGCAGTACTGGTCATAGGCTGGACTGTGGGGTAAGGAGAGGGGGACTCAGGACCTCCCTAAAACCTGACTCTTTTCTTCACCCTAGAAAGAATTCCCCATATTTTGTGCCCTCTAGGGCTTTGGTTGCTAAGTGGGGGCAGCTGTGGAGCAATGAGCTTAGTCAAGTCCTGGATGGTAGTCCAGACACCCCAATGTCTGCTAACACCCCTGTCTCCCTAGACTGTCCCCTCTCTGTACCCTCCCAAGCTCTCCTCTGTTTCTAAAGGAGAGTCCCAGGCCCTTTTCCCTCTGTGAGGTGCTGACTGCTAGGGGAAATACTCCATGGCAGCAAGGCTTAGGGAAGGAGGCTTGAGACCTGAGTTCCTTCAACTCTTAGAGAGGAGCCCAAAGGCCACGCCCCACATTAAATACTGATGCCACCCCATTACCCTAGGTTGGAGTCCAGAGTCTTCGACCCCTGTTTAGTGATGGTTATTAGGGTGGAAACTCCCTGGAGCCCAAGGCTGTGGCCACACTGTAACTCAGAGCCATCTACGTCCTTCCTCCTCCTCTCACCCACCCCTCTCCTTCCCTGGCTCCAGTGGATTTCAGGCTCACGTGCAGGCTGGAGGGGTCTCACAGTCGTAGCCATCAAACAGACACTCTTCAGAGTCACACTGTGGGTGGCACTGCCCGTCCCGGAAGAGAAGCCAGCACCGAGAGTGGGAGGGGCAGCCCTTCCAGGGGTCTGGGACTCCCAGAGAGCAGTCCCCTCCATCCCAGTTTCCTCCCGGGCCACTGCAGCCAGCATCGCAGGCCCCATCTCCACTTCTGCCCTCACACCCCTTGGCTCCGGGTTTCTGACACCGGGGCCCTGGAGAGCTGTGAGGGCAGGAGCATCGAAAGCCTGGGCCCCCCAAGCCCGTGGTCTCTGAGCAGCTGCCATTGTATAGGCATGGGGAGGGAGGGCCACAGCCTTTAGGAGCTGGTGGGGTCAGGCAGTCAGGACCCCCATAGCCACTGAGGCAGGCACAGCGTGGTGGGAAGCCTGGCTTAGGGGAGGGCAGACACAGGCCTCCGTGGTGGCAGTGATGGAAGCCGCAGGAAGGGGCCCTGTGGCTGCAGGTGGGGCCTTCAAAACCCTGTGGAGGGGAGGGGAGATATTGGAGATGGAACTTGCATTATTCTTCCCGCTCTCCATCAAGCAAACTCTTGGGTTAAGACGGTGCAGAGGGTCCTAGATTCTCATATCTAAAAGGCGCCTCAGAGAGCATCAAGTTAATCATTTTGTGGATGTTGAAACCATGTCCTGTGGTAATTTCACACAATGACATATTACATTCTGTTGAAAATGGATGAAGCACAGCTGTGTGCAACAACCTGATGGACTGTGGCATTACAGTGCAAGTCCTAGAAGACTAAACAGTTAATAGAATGCTATTATATTATTATTATTATTATTTTTGAGACAGAGTTTCGCTCTTGTTGTCCAGGCTGGAGTGCAATGGTGCAATCTCAGCTCATTGCAACCTCTGCCTCCCGGGTTCAAGCAATTCTCCTGCCTCAGCCTTCCCAATAGCTGGGATTACAGCCATGCACCACCACGCCCAGCTAATTTGTATTTTTAGTAGAGACAGGGTTTCTCCATGTTTGTCAGGCTGGTCTCGAATGCCCGACCTCAGGTGATCCGCCTGCCTCGGCCTCCCAAAGTGCTGGGATTACAGGCGTGAGCCACTGTGCCCGGCCGGCTGTTATATTATTATCTTACTCCTTAGAAATAGGATCATATGTCTTCCTCTTCCTCTGGAGAGGGAACAGGATACAGGAGGAGGACTTAAGTAGATGTAAGTTATTATTAATATTGAAATTCTTGGGTTAGGTTCATGGGTGTTACATTGTTAGAATAATAAAATAAAAGAAGACCAGGCATAAACCAATGTCAGTGTATCAGGAACCAAAGCTTAAGATTAGTCTAATTCCATGCATCTGAGGTCCATAAATACATATACAAACACACACAGAGTTAAAATAACCTATCTGAGGCCACCCACCACGCAGCTTGAGCTTGGGGAGCTCCTGACCTTCCCTTAGGCAACGCCTGTGATTTTTGAAAATTCCATTCATGCTATCAACTGATCCTGCCTTGCCTTTGACTGCTTCTGAGAGACACTTCCCACTGTGAGCTTGGCATGGCTTTTTCCAATAATTTCCACATCAGTGCTCACCCACAGTCCCTTCTGGGATTCCAACTGAGGTATTCTTGCCTTGTCAGCATAGGGGGCAACAGAGAAGGCAGATTTGTGGTCACTTGCCTTGGGGCAGTGGCAGATGAAACCCAGGGGTGATCCTGCTGTGGCCTCACAGGTCCCTCCATGAAAGCAGGGTTGGCTGTGGCAGGGGTCTATCTCCACCTCACACCACTGGCCTGTAATTATGGGGGAGATTAGATGTCACACACTGCATCAGTCACTGCCTCCATCCTAGCTCATTCCTGGATGTTGGCCCAGTGCTAGATGTGCAGGTGAAGGGATCCTGGGGCATCTTTTCTGGGCGGGGGTGGGCGTGGAGGCAGGGGATGGACCAGGTGACGGCTGCCGCATGGGTGGAGACTATCTGGCTCTCCATGGTCTGCTTGGCTGTGCTCCAGACACACTTGTGCCCCTTGTCTTGGGGCCTCACCTGTGTGTCCAGGCAGACACTGGCAGTAGAAGGCATTGGCCAGAGAGTGGCAGGCTGCAGTGCCTGTGGGGTGGCAGGGCTGGTCCAGACACTCGTCCACGTCTCCCTCACAGCGTAGCCCCACAAAGCCTGGAGGGCAGGCACAGTGGAAGCCTCCAGGTTTGGGAGTACAGGTTCCATGGTTGTGACAGGGTTGGGACTGACAAGCATCGAGTTCCTTTGAGCAGTTCTGTCCATCGTAGCCTGGGGCACACTGCAGACAAAGAGGATTAGACAGGGAACCAGTGGATGAGCCCAACCCAGCACTACAAGGGACCCAGCTCAAGATAGTCTGTCCAGTCCCCCACCTTCCAGCTCAACAGCATCACTCAACTCACCATCCATCATGGCCATGTGTCACAATCCTTCTATCTCAACTCCCCATGAGACACAATTGTTGGCGACACACAACTCAAACTTCCCCAGTCCCAAACAATCTCTATGACACACTGCCACCAAACACAGCACCATTTTTGGTAAAACCTTCCTCCCCTGCTAAATACCTACCAGGCTCTCTCATACTTTATTAATTCATAAGCATCTATTGAGTGCCTACTTTGTGTCAGGCACCGTTTTAGGCACTAGGAATACAAAGAAAGTTAGAACCCATTCCTATTTCCTGGAAGCTCTCAGTCAACCAGAGGAAAGAAATGACTAGCATTTATTGCATGATTTATATACATAACCTAAAAATCCCCCTAATGACATTTTATTTGGGTTATCTCATTCGATTTTTACTTTGCACGTAAGGAAGCTGAGTCTCTGAAAGGTTAGTGACTTGTGCAAGTCAAATAGCTATAGGTGGCAGAGCTGGGAATCAATGAAGGTCTGTGACTCCAAACCAATGCTCTTAACCATTTTCTGCTTCTTCATGCCACTCAGCTAGTGAGAGAAGGGTCATTGGCAAGATCTGTACCACGTGCTGGCTTCTTGCAAGAGGAAAGAGAGTGTGCAAGAGTACAGTACCAGGAAGGCAGGCTTCAAAGAGAGAAAAGGGAATTCACAGAGAATCCAAGGAGTGGTCAGAGAGCTGGAAGGAACAGGTGATGGGGGTGTTTTGGAGGAGGGAGCTTCATAAAAGAAGAAGTAAATAGCCGGGTGCGGTGGCTCACGCCTGTAATCCCAGCACTTTGGTAGGCTGAGGTGGGCAGATCACGAGGTCAGGAGTTCGAGACCAGCCTGGCCAATATGGTGAAACTCCATCTCTACTATAAATACAAAAATTAGCCGGGCATGGTGGCATGTCCCTGTAGTCCCAGCTACTCAGGAGGCTGAGGCAGGAGAATCGCTTGAACCCGGGAGGCGGAGGTTGCAGTGAACCGAGATCGCGCCACTGTACTCTAGCCGGGGCAACAGAGTGAGATGCTGTCTCAAAAAAAAAAAAAAAAAAAAAAAAAAGAATAAGTAAAGCTGAGTAATGGGTGCCCAGAGGTTTACTACTGATCAGTATACTGCTTTTGTTTATGTTTGAAAATGTTCATAATAAAAGGTTAAAAAATAAAATAAAAAAGTGAAAAAAGAGGGTAGGTTAGGGTATCTGTCTTGAGCCTTCTATCAAAAGTTGTGGTTCTGGCCGGGCACGGTGGCTCACGCCTGTAATCCCAGCAGTTTGGGAGGTCAAGGCGGGTGGATCACTTGAGGTCAGGATTTTGAGACCAGCCTGGCCAACATGGTGAAACCCCATCTCTACTAAAAATACACACATACACAAAATTAGCTAGGTGTGGTGGCAGGCACCTGTAATCCCAGCTACTGGGGAGGCTGAGGCAGGTGAATTGCTTGAGCCCGGGAGGTAGAGGTTGCAGTGAGCTGAGATTGCACCACTACATTCCAGCCTGAGTGACAGAGCAAGACTCTGTCTCAAAAAAAAAAAGCTGTGGTTCTATATCTCAAAATAATAAAAGCCATATATGACAAACCCACAGCTAACATCATATTGAATGGGGAAAAGTTGAAAGCCTTTCCTCTAAGATCTGGAACAAGACAAGGATGCTCACTTTCACTATTTTTATTCAAGGTAATACTGGAAGTCCTGGCCAGAGCAATTAGGCAGGAGAAAGAAATAAAGGGCATCCAAATTGCAAAAGAAGAACTCAAATTATCCATGTTCACAGATGACATAATCCTATATTTAGAAAAACCTAAAGAAAACACTGGTTATAAACAAATTCAGTAAAGCTGTAGGATACAAAATCAATGTAGAAAAAGTAGTAGCATTTCTATACGCTAACAGCAAACAATCAGAAAAAGAAATCAAGAAAGCAATCCCATTTATAATAGTTACAAAAAATAAAAACAAATGAATAAATTTAACCAAAGAAGTGAAAGAGTACTGCAATGACAGCTATAAAACATTGATGAAATAAATTGAAGAGGACACAAAAAAATGGAAAGATATCCTGTGTTCATGGATTGGAAGAATGAATACTGCTAAAATGTCTGTGCTTACCAAAGTGATCTACAGAGTCATGCAACCCCTATGAAAATACCAATAATATTCTTTACAGAAATAGAAAAAACAACCCTAAAATTTATCTGAACTGTAAAAGACCCAAATAGCCAAAGCAGTCCTGAGCAAAAAGAACAAAGCTAGAGGTACCACACTACCTAACTTAAAAATATACTATAAAGCTATAGTAACCAAAACAGCATGGTGCTGGCATAAAAAACAGACACATAGACCAATGGAATGTAATAGAGAGCCCAGAAAAACAAGTCCAAACATTTAACAGCCAACTTACTTTCTTTTTTCTTTTCTTTCCTTTTTTTTTTTTTGAGATGGAGTCTTGCTCTGTTGCCAGGCTGGAGTGCAATGGCACGATCTGGCTCACTGCAACCTCCACCTCCTGGGTTCAAGCGATTCTCCTGCCTCAGCCTCCTGAGTAGCTGGGATTACAGGTGCGCACCACCATGCCTGGCTAATTTTTGTATTTTTAGTAGAGACGGGGGTTTCACTATGTTGGTCAGGCTGGTCTCGAACTCCTGACCTTGTGATCTGCCCGCCTTGGTCTCCCAAAATGCTGGGATTACAGGCATGAGCCACCACTCCCGGCCAGCCAACTTACTTTCAACAAAGGCACCAAGTACACACACTGGGGAAAGGACACTCTCTTCAATAAATTGTGCTGGGAAAACTGGATATCCATATGCAGAAGAAACTAAACCTAGGCCGGGCGGGGTGGCTCACGCCTGTAATCCCAGCACTTTGGGAGGCGGAGGTGGGTGGATCACCTGAGGTCAGGAGTTTGAAACCAGCCTGACCAATATGGTGAAACCCCATCTCTACTAAAATTACAAAAATTAGCCGGGCGTAGTGGTGTGCACCTGTAGTTCCAGCTACTCAGGAGGCTGAGGCAGGAGAATCAGTTGAACTTGGGAGGTGGAGGTTGCAGTGAGCTGAGATCATACCACTGCACTCCAGACTGGGCAACAGGGCAACAGAGCAAGACTCTATCCCCCCCCCCAAAAAAAAAGAAAAAAAGAAACTAAATCTCTATCTGTCATCATATACAAAATAGATTAAAGCCTTACATGTACAGCTGGAAACTTGAAGCCACTAAAAAAAAAATTCAGCCGGGCACGGTGGGTCACACCTGTAATCCTCAAACACAAGGTCAGGAGTTTGAGACCAGCCTGGCCAACATGGTGAAACCCCGTCTCTACTAAAAATACAAAAAAATAGCTGGGCGTGGTGGTGGGCACCTGTAAATTCCAGCTATTTGGGAGGCTAAGGCAGGAGAATCGCTTGAACCCAGGAGGCAAAGGTTGCAGTGAGTCAAATTTGCGCCACTGCACTCCAGCCCAGGCGACGGTGCAAGACTCCTTCTCAAAAAAAAAAAAAAAAAAATCATTTGGGAAATGCTTCAAGACATTGGTCTGGGCAAAAGTTTTTTGGGTAAGACCTCAACAGCCAGGCAACAAAGGCAACAACAGACAAATGTGATTACATCAAGCTAAAAAGTGTCTGTGCAGCAAAGGAAACAATTAATGGAGTGAAGAGGCAACCTACAGAATAGAAGAAAATATTTGCAAACTGTCTGACAAGGGATTAATAATCAGAACGTATAAGGAACTCAACAGCAAACACCACCACTACCACCACCGACAAATAATGTGGTTTAAAAAATGAGCAAATTATCTGAACAGACATTTCTCAAAAGAAGACATACAAATGGCCAACAGGTATATGGATGCAAATCAGGGAAATGTAAATCAAAACCACAATGAGATATCATCTCACACCAGTTAAAGTGGCTGTTATTGAAAACACAAGGGCCAAGTGTGGTGGCCCATGCCTGTAATCCCAGCACTTTCAGAGGTTGAGGCGGGAAGATCATTTGAGGTCAGGAGTTCGAGACCATCCTGGCCAACATGGTGAAACCCCATCTCTACTAAAAATACAAAAAATTAGCCAAGCATGGTGGTCCACGCCTGTGATCCCAGTTACTTGGGAGGCTGAAGTACAAGAATCGCTTGAATCTGGGAGGCAGAGGTTGCAGTGAGCTGAGATCAAGTCACTGTGATCCAGCCTGGGCAACACAGCAAGACTCTGTCTCAGAAAAGGAAAAAAAATGCAAAAAATAGCAGATGCTGGCAAGGATGCAGAGAAAGGGGAACCCTCATACACTGTTGGTGGGAATGTAAACTAACACAGCCAGTATGGAGAAAAGTATGGAAGTTTCTCAAAAATTAAAAATAGATCTACCATGTGATCAATCTACTGTTCATTACATATCCAAAGGAAATCAGTATCTTGAAGAGATATCTGCATCCCCATATTTATTGCAGCACTGTTCACAATAGCTAACATATGGAATTAACTGAAGTGCCATCAACAAATGAATGGAAAAAAGAAACTGTGTCATATAGACACAATGGAATATTATTCAGCCAGAAAAAGAATGAAATCCTATCATTTTCAGCAACATGGATGAAACTGAAGGACATTATGTTAAGTGAAATAAGCCAGGCACGGAAAGACAAATATTGCATGTCTCTCACCTTCACCTTTGTGCCACTGCCTTAGTTAGTCCTGACCTTTCTTGCATTCCAGGTAGATACTTGCATCAGCCTCCTATTGCATGTGTAATATTGCTCCTCACTCATATGTGGGAGCTAAAAAAGTTAGTCTCATGGAAGTAGGGTAGAATGATGGTTACCAGAGGTTAGAAAGGGTGGCAGGGAGGGGGAGATGAAGAGAGGTTGGTTAATGGATACAAAATTATGGTCATATAGAAGGAATAAGTTCTAGTGTTAGATAGCAGAGAAGGATGGTGATAGTTAACAATTTGTATTTCAAAATAACTAGAAGAGAAGATTTGAAATGTTCTCAACACAAAGAAATGATGTTTGAGATGATAGATATCCCAATTACCCTGATTTGATCATGATACATTGTATGCATGTATCAAAATATCACATGTGTCCAGGTGCGGTGGCTCATACCTGTAATCTTATCACTTTGGCAGGCTGAGCGGGTGGATCACTTTAGGTCAGGAGTTCTGAGACCAGCCTGCCCAACATGGTGAAACCCCATCTCTACTAAAAATACAAAAATTAGCCAGGCGTGGTGGCGCGTTCCTGTAATCCCAGCTACTCGGGAGGCTGAGACATGAGAACTGCTTGAACCTGGGAGGCGGGGGTTTCAGTGAGCCAAGATTATGCCACTGCCCTTCAGCCTGGGGGATAGAGCGACTCTGTCTCCAAAAACGAGAGAGAAAAAAAAAAAGAAACCAAAAAACTCACATGTACCCCATAGATACGTATGACTACCGTTTGTCAATAACAAAAGAAAATAAAATGGCAACCACACACACAAAAAAGTTGTGGTTCTGAGCATATGAATCAGGCTGCTTAGACTTGAATGCCAGCTTTGCCTCTCCTGGCTTAGTGACCTGGACCACAAAGAAGAGGCCCTAATCCAGCGTGGGGAGAAGTTAGGGACATCTTCCTGAAGAAGATGCCTCCTGAACACCAGCCTGTGGAAGAGGGGTTGGGAAGGCCATTCCAGGTAGTGTCAATAGCAGGGATAAAGGCTGAGAGGCAAGAATCAGTATGGGGTACGTGGCAAAGTCAGCAGCAGTTTCATGTTGCTGGAGCAGAGAGTAGAAGGGTGGGATGGGGAGAGCTGAGGCCTGAGAGGCAGGCAGGGCTGGGTCATGCAGGCCTTGGACTTTATTCAGAATGAGGCGGGCAGCCTCCGAAGGTTCAGCAGGGGAGAGACAGGTCAACTGGACATTTTCAGTAGAGTACCCTGGCCACGGGGTAAAGGCTGAACCTATAGAAGGACAAGTGTGGAGGCAGAGACTGTAGTTAGGAGGCTGATGCAAGTATCTATCTGGAACGCAACAAAGGTCAGGACTCAGGCAGTGGGACAAAGGGTGAAGGTGAAAGCACAGACTTGAGAAAACTTCAGGAGATAAAGTGGCATGACTTTGTGGTTAGTTGGGTGTGTGGGGTTAAAAAAAATAAAAGGAGGTGAAATGGATACATTGGGTCTTCCCTCAGTCACTACTGTCTCTCCCATCCAGCCCACCCTTGTCTTTCCTCCCCCTTCTCCTGCAGACCCTCTCACCTGGCAGAGATACCCACTGGGCTGGGCCATGCAGGTGGCCCCGTTCTGGCAAGGCCTGGACTCACATGGGTTCACGTGATCCTGGCACAGGCTGCCTTGGAATCCAGGGGGGCAGTGGCAGAAATAGGAGGGGCCGCTGTCGACACAGAGGCCTCCATTGTGGCAAAGGGAAGAGACGTCTATGCCTGGGGAGAGAGACAAACAGGGATATACAAAGATAAGTGGGGGGCCGGGCGCCATGGCTTACGCCTGTAATCCCAGCACTTTGGGAGGCCGAGGCAGGTGGATCACCAGGTTAGGAGTGTGAGACCAGCCTGGCAAACATGGGGAAACCCCGTCTCTACTAAAAATACAAAAAATTGGTCGGGCGTTGTGGCAGGCACCTGTAATCCCAGCTACTTGGGAGGCTGAGGCAGGAGAATCACTTGAACCTGGGCAGCGCAGGTTGTAGTGAGCCAAAATCGTGCCATTGCACTCCAGCCTGGGCTATAGGGCAAGACTCCATCTCAAACAAACAAACAAACAAACAAACAAACAGAAACGGTAAATGGGGATGTGGCCGGGCGTGGTGGCTCACACCTGTAATTCCAGCACTTTGGGAGGCTGAGACGGGTGGATCACTGAGGTTAGGAGTTCGAGACCAGTCTGGCCAACATAATGAAACCCCATCTCTACTAAAAATACAAAAAAAAAAAAATTAGCTGGGCATGGTGGCACACGAATCCCAGCTACTTGGGAAGCTGAGGCAGGAGAATCACTTGAACCTAGGAGGTGAAGGTTGCAGTGAGCCGAGATCGTGCCACTGCACTCCACCCTGGGTGACAGACTGGGACTCCATCTCAAAAATAAATAAATAAATAAATAAATAAATAAATAAATAAATAAATAAGGTATGTGAGGAGGAGGAAGGGTGTATTCAGGGCCCAATCTCTGGGTGTAGAGGCCTTTACCTTGGGGACCACTAACATTCCTGGGTGGAGACTGGTCTGGGCCCAAGGAGTTAATAACTCCTGGCACTGAAGAAATTAGACCATCGAGTTTTACCTCTCTCCTCACCCTTTCTGCCAGAATATTGGAGACATACCCCTAAAGCTTATCATAATGTTAAAGCAACTGTTTTCTTGGCTTAAAGCAAGGCTTGAGCAAGAAATAATTCAAGGTATGCCTCAAGTGAGGACAAGTGGCTTAAGTCTGTCCCCTGAGTTCTGCATTCCTTTAATGTTCTCTCCCTGTGATTCCCATCAGCTATCCCTTAACTCCATCATAATCTCTTTCCCGAGCTCTTCTCATATCAAACCTTATTTTAGTGTTCTTTTACAAAGAGGGTGGCGTGACATCGAAGTGAGTGGGGTGGGGTGAAATGCGTTGAGTGTAGCTGGATTAAGTGTGGTCCACTCTGCCTGGGTTATGATGATCAGGACAGAGTTGAGTTGCTCCACGTTGAGTCATGTCCCTCATGGTTGGGTTAAACTGGAATCCTGTGGAATGGGCTGGTTGGTGTTGCTTGAATTGCGTTAAATGAGGTAACAGGAATTGTGTTAGGCTTCTCTGATTGCACAATTCAACACCTCTGCAATCAAGAACTGATTTGTCTGTGTGGTTTTGATTCTCAGGTGGTTGTTTTGGCCAAAAGCTGTGTGGAAGCCCACAGGAACGGGGCAGGTGAGAACACCCATATTTTCTTCATTTGCTCTCCAGTCAGTGCCGGCGTTGGTTACCTTGGCTCAGTGCAGCCTTCTGGCAGGAGGACAGTGGAAGGTTGCAGAGAGGCCCGGTCCATCCCTGGAGGCACAAGCAGTGGAAGGAGGGCCCAGTCTGGAGGCAGTGGGAATTGCGTGGGCAGGGCTTCTGGGCACATAAGTCCATCAGAGTCTGAGGGGTGGGAGGGAGCGTGAGGCAGGACATAGCATCAGATTCTCAGCCCAGAGATGGTCCTCTGCCCACTCCAGCTCCTCGAAATCCCTTACTTCAAAAACCTTCTCCTGAATGGCCTGGGACCAGGTGACCCTCCCTGGTTTCCCTCCCAGCCACTTCCCTCCTCAGCACGCCTGACTTCAATGGCCCTCACCTGGCAGCTGCCTCCGGTGTAGACAGTGGGGCAGAGGCAGCGGGGACCCTGAGGGCTGTCCTGGCAGGTTGCCCTATTCCTACAGGGGCTGAACAAGACAGAGACAGGGCATGATAGGAAGAAGTTCGGGCAACAAGGGGAAGGTAGTGTGTGATATTGTCGGGAGGCAACCACAGGGAGGTGGCAAGCCAGGAGGGAAGGCGGAACGAGGTGTGGGGTGGGAGGCAGCCTGGAACCCAGGGGGAGATGAGAGGAGGGGTGGGAAGGCTGAGGGGTTTTCTCCCTTCTAGGGGTCTTTGGGCCCTGCTCACCTGTCTGCACAGCTGGGGCGGAGCTTTCCCTCACAGCGCGGGCCCTGGAAGCCCATGGCACAGAGGCAGGAGAAGGTGCCAGGCCTGTTCACACAGGTACCCCCATTGAAGCACGGGGCTGGAGAGAGGAGGCTGTGAGGGTTTGGGTTCCTTGCCTGTAACCTGGCCTGTGACCTCAGTCACACTGTACATAGGACATACACCCCCCACCCCCATCAAAACGACAGCTCACTGCCATCCAATTAATTTTTATTTATATGATATTTTATTGTTTTTAGATAGGGTCTTGCTCTGTTACCCAGGCAGTGGTGCCATCAGAGCTCACTGCAGTCTTAACCTTCTGGGCTCAAGTCATCCTCCCACCTTAGCCTCCCAAGTATTTGAGACTACAGGCCTTAGCCACTGTGTGCCCAGCTAATTTAGAGATGGAGTTTCATTATGTTTCCCAGGCTGGTCTGTTCAATTAAATTTTAAAAAATATGACACAAGCATACCCTCCTTAGTTCTTCCATTCTCCTGTGGACCCCAGCCCCATGACACAGTGGGCACTCACCAGACACACAGTAGTCAGTGCTGGTTTGGCACTGGGGCCCTGTGTGGCTTGGAGGGCAGGTGCAGTAGTAGCCTCCAGGGCTAGGGTTGCAGGAGCCGCCATTGAGACATGGCCCTGAGTGACAAGCTGTCATCTCCTCACTACAGGTGGGTCCTGAAGGAAACAGGTGGGGGCTGAGAAAGGGTGTCCTCCTTCCCTCCCTCCGCTCTCCTTCTCTTTCCTCTTCCTTCCCTTCCTCATCCCCAACCCTATTATTCTTTCCCATCAACCTCCGTTCTCACCACCTCCCACACATCACCCGTGTCCCCTGCAGTCCAGTTCTCCTTAGTGGTGACTGAGACTCAGGGCCCGTGGTCGCCTGCCTTACCCTTGACATAGGGGGTGACCAGCACAGGGTGTATATGGTTTAGGGAGGGTCTCACCTGTGTAGCCTGTAGGGCAGGTGCAGTTGTAGCCAGAGGGCTGGGGGTAGCAGGTCCCCCCATGGGCACAGGGTGCAGAGATGCAGCCCCCTAGCTCTGCCTCACACTCTGGCCCCGTCCAACCCACGTCACACACACATGAGGATCTGGTTGTAAAGAGAAAGGGGAGGGTTTTTCTCTTCTCCTACTGCTTATGTTCCCCTCCCTGCTGCCTGGACCCCTATGACTTCCTCTTCTTTTGGCCCTGAGATTCTGGCCTCTTTCTTCAGTGACTTTGCTCTCAGCACCGCCCCCATCCTCCCCAACACCTGCTCATTTTCTCCAACTAGATATATGCATCTATATATCTAGTTGGAGATATATATATATATATATACACACATATATATTCTTTCTGTAACTTACTTATTTTCTGTCTTTCTTTAGAATGAAAGCTCTACGAGAGCAGTTGCTTTATCTCTTTTGCTTTGTGTTTCCCCCAGGGCCTGGAACAGTAGCCACACAAAGTAGGTGCTCAGCAGATTTTTTTTTTTTTTGAGACGGAGTCTTGCTCTGTCACCCAGGCTGGAGTGCAGTGGCATGATCTTGGCTGACTGCAACCTCCGCCTCTTGGGTTCAAGTGATCCTTCCGCTTCAGCCTCCCAAGTAGCTGGGATTACAGGTGCGCCACCATGCCCAGCTAATTTTTGCATTTTTAGTAGCTACAGGGTTTCACCATGTTGGCCAGGCTGATGTTGAACTGCTGATCTCAGGTGATCCGCCCACCTCGGCCTCCCAAAGTGCTGGGATTACCGGCATGAGACCGTAATCAGCACTGCGCCTGGCCTCAGCAGATATTTTTCTAATGAATGATTAATTCGCCCTGGGATTTAGTGCTCTTCTTTCTGCTCTGACCCCCTGGTCCTCTGTTTCCACCAGTTTTTGTGGACTCTCTTCTCCTTGGATAACACTTACCAGTTGAGCCCTCCCACTGCCTTGCCCTAAGAACTTTGCCATCTCCTTCCTTTTCCCCATTGGTCATTTCTCACAGACCTACATCTCACTGGCTGTCTTCTCCTGTCCTAGCGAAGGGAGCCCAAAGGAGGGGGCAGATGGGGAGGGTCTGGAAGATGTTACCTCTGGCAGTGCCCGTGGTGGCAGGTGCAGTTGTCCTCAGGTGGGGCACAGCCAGGGCTTCCATCAGGACAGAGGCAGTTGGCCTTGTCTTTCTGGTCCTTACATATCTGCTTGGGCTGGCACAGGTTGGGAGCACACAGGGGAACCTCACAGAGCTGGCCTGGGGTGGGAAGATGGGTCAAAAAGAAAACAGCTCCTCCACATCCTTCATTGGGCCAAAGCCACATCCTTCATTGGGCCAAAGCCACTTCTTATGCTTGCCTTACTCACTCCCTATGAACCCATGAACCTGTCCTTCAATGGGTCCCTATTGCCTTTAAGATATTGTTTAACTTTCTCAGAATGATATGCAGAGTCCTGCAGGACATGACATTTGTACAACAGCTGTGTTTCTCATCTTTGCCTTGCTGTACCCTTAACTCTGACTTTCTTACAGTTCCTTAAATGGGGTGGGCTTTTCTTCCATCTGTGTCTTTGCACATGCAGTTATCTCCAGCTAAAACACACTATCTGGCACTCTATTTAGACAGACTCCTGACCATCCATCTTTCTATCTTTCTCTCTTTCCTCATTTCCTCCTTTCCTTCCTTTCCTTCCCTTCTCTCCTTCCTTCCTTCTTTCCTTCCTTCCTTCCTTCTTTTTTTTTTGAGATGGAATCTTGCTCTGTCACCCAGGCTGGAGTGCAGTGGAGTGATCTCAGCTCACTGCAACCACTGCTTCCCAGGTTCAAGCGATTCTCTTGCCTCAGCCTCCCCAATAGCTGGGATTGCAGGCGCCCGCCACCACGCCTGGCTAATTTTTGTATTTTTTTTTTTTTTTGAGGTGGAGTCTTACTCTGCCACCCAGGCTGGAGTGCAGTGGCGTGATCTCAGCTCACTGCAAGCTCCGCCTCCCGGGTTCACGCCATTCTCCTGCCTCAGCCTCTGGAGTAGCTGGGACTATAGGCGCCCGCCACCACGCCCGGTTATTTTTTTGTATTTTTAGTTGAGATGGGGTTTCACCGTGTTAGCCAGGATAGTGTCGATCTCCTGACCTCATGATCCACCCGCCTCGGCCTCCCAAAGTGTAATTTTTGTATTTTTAATAGAGACGAGGTTTCACCATGTTGGCCAGGCTGATCTCGAACTCCTAATCTCGGGTGATCCACCCGCCTCGGCTTCCCGAAGTGCTGGGACTATAGGCGTGAGCCACCACGCCCAGCCTCTGCTTATCTTTCAAGACTCATCTCAGCCATCACCTCCTCCATTTTTAGTCTGGGTTGGCTGGTCCTCTGTGCTCTTGTAATATCCTGCACGTTTTTCTCTCAGAGCACCTCTGTGGGCTATGATCAACAGGAGACTTGTTGGTCTCTCTGTATTAGACTTAAAGTCACATGAAGATGGCAACTGTCTTACTCAGATTTGCCTCCGTATCTGGCATAGTAGGCAGTTGGTAAGTGCTTGCTAAATAAGCAAGTGAATGCCTTTTCTTTGAGCCCCGTCCTCTGCTCCCAAGCCGCAATCACACCATTTACACTGGGCCCATGTGGGCCCTACGGTAACCCCTGCCCTTGTCCCCATGGTTGTACAATTGTGCAGGTTTTACACTAAATAACTTTAAAGGATACCATTCTCATTCTATTCTCACATCCCAACCATCAAACACCCACCAATGAACTCTGCCCCAACCCAAATGGAATAAAATATTCTGCCAGTTCTTTCCAATGCCTCCCCTGTGAACCTGTGAAACCAGAGGGGCAGAGGCAAAAGAAGGCTCCTGGAAGATCAAGGCAGCTGGCTCCAACGGGACATGGGTCACTCAGGCACTCATCCACCTCTGTTTGACAGCGTGGCCCTTCAAAGCCTGTGGCACAGCAGGAAGGTCAGGGACCTGCACGGATGTCTGCCTCCTGCTCCCGCTGTCCCCCACAGTGTGTGCCCCAGTTTACCTGGGAGACACTTGCAGTGGAAGGCTCCAGGCTGGTCCTGGCACTGCCCACCATTGGCACAGGGAGAGCTTCTGCACTCATCGATATCCTCCTCACATCGGGTGCCGGAGAATCCTGGTGGGGCGGAAGTGGGTGGGGAGAGGAGGCCAAGGTCATCGAGGGAGGCACAGCATGGCGCCTTCCCTTGCCAGGAAAGGTGAACTTGCAGAGCTTCCCAGAGAAGACACCTGGGGCAGGTGAGCGTGGGGTGACAGGAGATGATGCAGAAAAGGTGAAGCTCAGCCACCTGCCAGCTGTGTGACTTTGGGCAAGCTGGTCAACCCTCTAGGCCCCAGTTTCCTGTTCTGTGTAAAAGGGGAATAATAATGGAACCTACCTCATGGTACTGTTAAAAAGATTAAATGACATAACGCCTGAAAAGTACTCAGCCAAATGGCTAGCCTGGAGTAAGTGGTGAATAAGTGTAGTTATTATAATAGCAGGGGACAGAGGAGTGTCCGGTGAGGCTGGAGAAGAAAGGCTTGGGGCAGCTTTTGCTGGGTTTATGATGAGAGTGCCAAGACCAGCCTGGGACCTCAACATGCATACACAGAGGCTGTGCAGGAGGACTGGAAAGGAGGGATCTTTGGGTGATTTGGTAGGACAGAGATGAGAATGGGCAAGTAAGCAAGGGAAGATTTGGGGATGTAAGAGTAGAGATTTTGGGGAGCAAAGACAGATTTGGAGGACTCCTTGGCTTGGCTAGAGAGAGCTTCAAGTGGCCTTGGGTGATTGCTGAGCCTGAACTCTGCAGGTTCAGAGGCCTGGGGTCTGAGGGTGGCCAGAGAGGCATCTGTACTCACCAGGCAGGCAGATGCACTGGAAGCCGTTGAGCAGGTCATGGCAATCCGCGTGGTTCAGGCAGGGAGCTGAGGCACACTCGTTGGTCTCCACCTCACAGAGCTGCCCTTCTAAGCCTGGGGACATGGGGACCATGAGGGCTGTGGCTCAGCCAGGTCTGCCTGGGAGACCTGTGTTCTAGAATCGGCCCTGCTCCTGACTTGCCCCACTCAGGCGGTCCTCCCCCGAGGTGCTGTCTGCATGGGGTTGAATAAGATGAACCCTGAGGCCCTGCTGCTTCGCAGTGTGTGGCCCTGCTCCTTGAGGTGTGAAAGGCCAGGGAACAGGGTGCTTGCTGGGGACCTGCGGGAGGACTACAAGGCTTTCTGGTGGCCATTCCTGTGTATACAGAGGGCGGGGCTCACCAGGGCAGGCTGATCAGCCTGGAGGACCTCAAGGTACAAATAGGAACAAATTGGCTTGGAGAATGAGTCCCGCTTCTTGTTCTCCCTGGGTGGGCCTCCATGCTAGGGAGAACAGAGATCCCAAAGTGGAGGAATTTGAAGTGCATCTGGGAAGCTTGTTGCTCCTATATTTGTTCCGTTGCTTTGGGTTCATCCTGGTCTCCACTGTTTCATCCTGAATTGAGGTGGGATCAACCTCTGGACCTTGGCTTCCTTTCTTTTCTTGCCTGAGGAGTCTGCTTCTGAAGCTCCTTGATATCTACAATGTTGTCCCTTGGGTTACCGAACCGTTTTCTCTTATTTCTCTATGATTGTCTGTTGGGTGACCTGAGCCAGTATCTTTGGGTGCCGCTCAGTTTAGAAAGTCAATATGGGGTAGTGGTTATAATTGTTGAAGCCCTTGGTTTGAATCTCAGCTCTGCCACTTGCTAGCTGGGTGACCTTGGACAAGTCACTTAAACTCTCTGTGCCTCAGTTTCTTCAGTTATAAAATGGGCAGTGCTGACCTCATAGGGTTATTGTAATAAGTAGATGAGACAATGCCTGTAAGATGCTCAGACAGTACCTGGCATAAAGTTGGCGATTATTTTTCTGATTTCATTCAACTCCTTGATGTTGGCTCTGTTGCTGTCTCCCTGGGGCGACTTTTCCCCCTTAAAACTAGCCTGGAGGTGGGTGCTGTCTTGCAGCAATTTTTTTCTTGTTGTACCAAATTTTCCTGTTGTATCACAGGGCTTTTGGGATTTTAAGGGATTACCTTGAATCTCTACATGGGAGAGTTTCTATAATCAGAGGGAGCATTCTGGGTTGACCTGAGCAAAGGCTGCAGCACAGAAAGTTTATGAACTGCTCTTCTACCCTCTCTTGCTGGGCTGCTGTGTACAGTGGACCAGGTTGTGCAGCCTCTATGATGACTATGAAATGAATGGCAGCTTCCCCCCAAGTTGAGGAATGCATAACCTCACTACCATCTGTGGTAACCCCTCTCCTAGGGGTCTTGGGTGTCCCTGAGTTTTCGTCTGGGGGTAGAGAGAGAAGCATCTGTGGTAACTTACGCCAATTGGCCTGAAGCTGTCCTTACTCTGGAGGGGGCATTCCTAGTGGGTTCAGGACTAGTTCCCTGTTTTCCCCACCCAAGGCCCCATCCAGCTGATACCTGGCGGGCAGAGGCAGTGGAAGGTGGCAAGTAGGTCCAGACAGGTGCTTCCTGGGTGGCAGGGCTGGGAGAGGCACTCATTGTGATCAGCCTCACAACGGGAGCCTGTGTAGCCAGGTGGACAGAGGCAGTTGAAGGAGCCAGGAGTGTTGAGGCAGGAACCGCCATGTTCACAGGGACTTGGGCCTTGCTGGGCTGGGAGGAGAGAAGAGCTGGGAGTCCACAGGGGTCAGGGCAGGAAGGGCAAGGAGGTGAGACTGTCAGGGAAGGTGTGGGGGCCTGCGTGTGGCAGACGAGACCAAATTGGGGAAGGGGCTTGTGTCTTTAAGATGGAAAGGAAATAAGGGACCAAACTCATGGGGACTGAGGGGCTGAACATTGGAGAGAGGGTCATGTAGGCAAGAGATGCCAAATCTGGGCAAATTCAAGGAAAAAGATGTTTGGTTTTTTAATTGGAAAAGCAATCTGCCCTTTTCTGTCTTCAGTGCAGAGGCCTGTCTGAGGCTCAGAGAGGCTCTGAAGTGGGAGTGGCCTCACCCATCAGACACTCGTCCAGGTCCTGGTGGCAGGTGGGCCCCGAATAGCCAGGCTGACACAGGCAGAGTGTGGAGCCTGTGAGGGGGTTGGTGCTGCATTGGGCATCCCCATGGCACGGCTGGCTCAGACACATGTCTTCCAAGTGGCACAGGAGTCCTGGAGGGGTAAGAGGGGGTGAGGCTCTCAAAGGCCACTTGAAGCTCCTAGCAGTCCTCCTGGTGCTTCTCTCACCCTCCTTCTCTACCTCCCACCTCCTGATACCCTCTACCCCCATACCTGTGCGTCCAGGTGGGCAGAGGCAGGAGAAAGAGCCCACCCGGTCAATGCAGGTGGATCCCGGGGCACAGGTGGCAGCAATACAGTCATCCAGGTTCTCCTCACAGCTTGTGCCGCCCCAGCCACTCACACACACGCAGTGAAAGCTACCAGCAGAGTTCTGGCAGGTGCCCCCGTTTCTGCAGTGAGGGGGACCCTGGGTCTCACACTCATCCACATCTTCGGAGCAGTCCCAGCCTGCAGGGGGTTGGGGAGGGGACGAGGGCTAAGGCTGGGAGCCCTATGAGTAGGGGAGGCCAGGGGCCAACTCTCTGGGCCATGGGTGTCATGGATGTGGCTTAAACAACTCACCTGTCCAGGTTTCTGGGCAGAGGCAGGTGTAGGTGTCCAGCCCATCCTGGCAAGTGCCCCCATTCTGACACTGGTGGCTGACACAGTTGTCTGGATTCACCTCACAGTCTGGGCCTATGAAACCTGACAGGGTCATGGATCAGCTGTGGGAGGAGGCTCCAACGGAGACATCCTGCCCTGCCCAGAGAGAGGGGCGGCCGGAGAGCCCCTGTGAGGACACACCTGGGGGACAGAGGCAGAGGTGAAAGGTGGAGTCTTTCTCTGGCATCAGCTGGCAGGTGCCCCCATTCGAACAGCCCCTAGGAGGGCAGGGTCCTGCCCGCAGCTCACAACGTGGACCCTCCTGCCCCACAGGGCAGAGGCACTGGAAGGAGCCCAGGGTGTTATGGCAGGAGGTGCCTTTGGGGCAGGGTCCTGGGTCCTGGAAGCACTCGTTGACATCACGTTCACAGGCATGGCCCTCGAAGCCCGGTGGGCAGTGGCACTGGATCTGGGGGTATGTGGCCAGACACACCCCTCCATTAACACATGGGTTGGCTGAACAGAAGTCCCGAAGCTGGCACTGCTCACCTGAGGCAGAGGACAGAGGGAGCCGTTTCTAGCATTGTACGAATTCTAGCCCATCTGAGGTTACCCAGTGCTCACTCTGGATTATCTCTGGGTCTCATTTTCATATTTCCTTCCCTTTATTACCATACTTTCTTTGCTCTGTTCCATCACCCCTGCTCTGAGCGATGTCATGGCTTGGGAGGGTTTATCTGGAGTGACCATATCTTCTAAAGTGATGATGAGAGTATTGCAAATTGGCCTTGCCTGAGAAAATCTGGGACGTGGGTGATCTTGGGGGAGGTGAAAAGCACCCCACGTCTGCAGGCAGGAGACTCAGGTGGCACCATGCTGTGCCACAACTGGTTGTATACCCTTGGGTGAGCCACTTTGCCTTTCTGATCCTCATTTCCTAATCTTTAAGTGGGTTTAGGCACCTGGAGACTCACTTCACAGTCCATGTGCACCAGTGGTAATGGCGGCAGCAGTGGAGGTGCCAGGTGCTGAGCTGAGCAAGCATCTCCTGAGCATCGGCCCCTTCTGTCCTCTCAGCAACCTTATGAAGTGTGACCATTACTCTCCCTGTTTGTCAGCTGACAACTGAACACCAGAAAGCTAAAATATCTTATATGAGGTCATGTAGCTGATCAGTGGCAGAGCTAGCATTTGGATCCAGGGGCTGGTGCAGAGCCCCTAGAATGAAGCACTAAGCTTGCCCCAGGGTTACACCCCTCCTCCTGGGGCGGCCCCCAATCCACTCTCTGGGTCACATCCTTCCCTTCCCGGTGCCCCTCCCACCACTGCAGTCTTCCCAGGTGATATAATGGCTCCCTCCACTCAGAATGGGAGCCATTCAGATGCTCAGAATGCAAAAGTCTGGAGGACCCCTGGTATGCAGAGCAATGACCCTCTTCTAGCTGCTAGGCAATGGGGAGATTAAAGGGGCTAGGACAGGCATCAGGATGGTGCACAAAGGGGGCTCATGGCACCCTTAATTTGGAAATATTTTAACATTTTAGCAATCAGTACAACCATGCTGGTGAATGTTGGTTGTGGGTAAGTGGATTGCCAAGAATTGGCATGTTGATTCTCATGGCTTCTGTCTTCAAAGGGCTTGCAGTTTCTCAGGCTCCAGTTCTATCTTCCCCACCCACAGCCTAGCCCATTGCTCCTGCCTGTCCCCTCCTGGCTGCCCCCAGCAGCGCTTACCTGTCCATCCAGGCATGCAGGAGCACTGTGGGCGGCCCGAGGCCTGGATGTGGCAGCGGCCCCTTTTGGAACAGAAGGAGGGAGGACAAGGGTCTTCAAGCTTGGCCTGGCATCTCTCACCAGTGAAGCCAGGGAGGCAAGTGCACAAGAAGCTGGGTGTCAATGGAGAGGGAGAGCTGGGGAGCCCTAGGGGAGCAGGAAGCAGGGCTTGGCAGCTGCCTCCATTTTGGCAGAGCTGGGCGTTCTGGCAGGGGTCAGGAAACTGGCACGTCTCACCCAGGAAGCCAGGGGCACACCTGGGCAGGGGAGGAGAGGAAAACTCACATCACTGGTCCCTCTTCCTATTCTTGCCCACTCCCTCCTCTGCCTTCATTTGTTTCCCTTCATCTCCTTCACTTCCTCTCTTTCTTCTTTGGTCTCACTTCCTCACCTCTCCCCCCCTGCTCTCCCTCCCCCTTTCTCTCCAGTCTCCCACTCCTGCAAGGCACACTCACTGGCAGGTCCCTTGTCCCAGAGACAGGCTCAGGCAGGTGCCTCCATTGGCACAGGGTTCTGGGAAACTCCCACACAGCAGCCCTGAGGGAGGAGAGGCAGGCGCAATGGAAGCCCTGGGTGCTGTGCCTCCACCTTTCCTCTTCTAGGTGCTCCTGAGAGACCTGCCCACAGCAGCTCCCACAGGTACTCTAAACCACCTCTTCTTCACATCTGTCCCCACTCTCCACATGGTACCCAGCCCCAGCCCCAGTGCCCTCCGTCCCAGTTACTAATCCCTACCCCCCTTTCCTGTTTATTCTCTGGCCTCCCAAGTCCAGCCTCGGACTCCATCTCTCAGAAGCAAGACAACAGGGGTCAGAAGAGGGGCGGAGGTGGCTCCCGGGAGGTGAATGGCTGAGACTTCGAAGAGATTTCCTCCCGGAAAGGCCGAGCATTGAGCCATCCGGGGGGTGGGGACAGCTGGACTAAGAAAGGGCTTAGTAGGCCTGACCTTTCATGTCCCCATCTCCTGCTTCCCTCTCATCTCCTCCCCAAGCAGGTGGTCAGTGTGTTCCCTCTTCCCCTCTTCCCTATGGCTGCAAGAGTCCTCCAGTGCCAGTGCTGACGAGGTTCTTCCTGGAGGTGGGCACCCTCTCACCCATCCCCCAGCAGTCACCACCCCTGGCACCAGGCCCAAAGCAGCTCCATGGGCAGAGCCGTCTTTCCCTGGAGGCCGTCTCTATTTGGGCAGTGAGAATCTCCTCCATCCAGCATCCCTCACACGGCCTGGGGCTTGGCCCTCTTCCCCCACCCCACTGATCATCCTCCTAAGGGAGCTGGGTCCCCTCACCTCACCCACGCCATGCCTCACCTCTGGGTCTGACCACTGAGACACATAGCAGCAGCAGCAGCAGCAGCAGCAGCAGCAGTGAAGGGGGCTGCATTCCACAGCCCCTTCTCCAAGCCCCGGTCCCTGTCCCTCTTCAGGCAGGGACCCTCAGAGCTCTCACTGGGGCAGGAGCCACCTCCTCTGCTCCCACTGCCCCTCTTCTTCCTCCTCGGCCTGCTGCAAGCCTCACGTCTGAGCTGTTTCCTGAGTCACACAATGTCCTGGACACCCTAGTAATGGGGGGCGGAGGAAGAGTGGAGGAACACTAGGGGGGATGAAGGAGGGGCCTTCTGTCCCTGACAACCCCTGGGGAAGTAGGGGGAAGTAGGACGGTGTGCCTGGAGGGCAGGTGATAGGAGGGGAGAAGGAATCTCGGAACCCCCTGGGCAGTCCCAGCCCTGCTGTTTGTTGATCTGGTCTCTCCTTTCTAGGGATGAGAATTGCAAGGTGGCTGCCGTGTGCCCCAGGAGGGGCAGGACCTGGAAACAGGTATTGGGTGGTTACAGAGTTCTGTATTCCTCCTCCCAGGAGAGGATGCTTAATTTGCCAGGTTATTACAGATGCTTCTCAGAGAACCTGCAACTTGTCATAATTTGAAACCACTCACCTTGGCTAAAGGAACCCAGGGGCTTCTGGGCCTTATCTTGGCTCTTGCCAGGACTTATTTTTCTCCTTCTGGCGAATGGGCAAGATGCTGGCCGGTTTTGGGGAAATCTTGGTCTTCCTGTTGTAGGGGAATGTTAAGACTGTCATTATCAGTGATAAATGAACATAGTCTACCCTAAGTTTTGCAGTCTGAATTGTCTGTAACAAACACTGAATTTGGGTAGTTTTCACTTCCTCCATCTCTGCCTCCCTCCGCTGTCAAGGTCCTTGGGATGCAGGGAATGCCAGTCAGAATGCAAAATTGGAGTCAATAAAATCACAAAAGAGAATTCTTTGCCTCAGAATGCTCATCCTACCTTCCTGAGTCAACCCAGGACAACTTTGGGGTCAACCACACACTGAGTTCCTTTAGTAGCACAGGGAACTGAGAGTCCAGGGTGGCAGAAGGTGTCAGTGGCAGCTGTGCTCTCCCTGGTGTTGAGGCACTCATGGCTGCTGCTGGTGCACCTGAGAGCCTTCCCCTACCGGGGAATATACTTCACCAGCACCACTTTCTTCCTTTTTTTAGCTTTTTATTTTAAAATACTTTTAATCTCATGGGAAAGGGGCAAAAATACTAAAAAGAATTCCAGGATACCCTTCACTCAGATTCATCCACTAATATCATTTGACCACATTTACTTTATCATTATTTCTCTATAAATACACATTTGTATTTTTTACTGAACCATTTGAGAGTAAGTTGCATACAAGATACCCTTTACCCTTAAATCCATCAGTGCAAATTTTCTAAGAACAAAACATTCTTTTACATAATATAGTACAATTATCCAAATCAGGAAACTTAGACCGATGTAATACTATGATCTAATTGACAGTCCAAATTCAGGTCCTGCCAATTGCCCCATAATGTCCTTCATGACAATTTTTTCCTTTGGTCTAGGATCTCATTTGGCATCCTGCGTTGCATTTAGCTGTCGAGTCTTTTTAGTTTCCTTTAATATGAGTACAGTACCTTAAATGTACTTTGCCTTTCATTATATTGACTTTTTTTTTTTTTTTTTTTTTGAGACAGTCCAGGCTGGATTGCAGTGGCACGACCTTGGCTCACTGCAACCTCCACCGCCTGGGTTCAAGCAATTCTCGTGCCTCAGCCTCCTGAGTAGCTGGGATTACAGGCGCCCACCACCACGCCCGGCTGACTTTTTGTATTTTAGTAGAGACAGGGTTTCACCATGGTGCCCAGGCTGGTCTCAAACTCCTGAGCTTAGGCAATCCACCCATCTTGGCCTCCCAAAGTGCTGGGATTATAGGCGTGAGCCACCGCACCTGGCCGATACTGGCATTTTTAAGCATACAGGACAGTTGTTTTGTAGACTGTTCCTAAATTTGAGTATGTCTGGTGTTTATGCATTTTTGGGCACGAGTACCAGTGTATCACATTTGGAAGCCCGTGAGCCAGCATCATTTATAATGGTCACCCAGTATTCTACTAGTTCATTTAAACCAATTTCCTATTATAGCATGTTTAGGTGGGTCTCAATTTGCTTTCTGTTTTTTTAGAGACAGGGTCTTGCTCTGTCACTCAGGCTGGAGTGCAGTGGCACGCACATAGCTCACTATAACCTTGAATTCCTGGGCTCACGGCAACCTCCTTCCTCGGCCTCCCAAAGCTCTGGGATTACAGGTGTTTACCACCACACCTGGCCTTCAATTTTTAAACATATAATAAACTGAGCTGTGGTAAATATTCTTTTTTTTCTTTTTCTTCTTCTTTTTTTTTTTTTTTGAGATGGAGTCTCACTCTGTTGTCCAGGATGGAGGGCAGTGGTGTGATCTCGGTTCACGGCAACCTCTGCTTCCTGGGTTCAAGCTACTCCTGCCTCAGCCTCCTGAGTAGCTGGGATTACAGGCACATGCCTGGCTGATTTTTGTATTTTTAGTAGAGACGGGGTTTCATCATGTTATCCAGGCTGGTCTCGAACTCCTGACCTCAGGTAATCTGCCCACCTCTTTCGGCCTCCCAAAGTGCTAGGATTATAGGTGTGAGCCACTGCGCCCAGACCTTCGGTAAATATCCTTGAATTTACATATTTGCATGGCTAATTATTGCCTTAGGCTAAATTCTAGAAGTGAAACCCCTGAGTGAAAGGGTGAAGACATAGACTTGTTTTAAAGCTCTTGGTCTCTATGTGTTGCCAAGCCATTCTCCAGAAAGCAGTGAGGCCTTTCTACTCCAGTTAGTAGTGTCTGCCTGTGTCCTTACTCTCGCCAACCCTCCACATTAGAATCCTCGCCACTTTGATAGATGAAATGGTCTCTTATTGCTCCTTTAAACTGCACATTTGTTGTTAAGTGTCAACATTCTTTTTAACTGTTTAATGGCTATTCGTGTTTCCTGTCCATGCTTTTGTGAGTTTCCTGTCCATGCTTTTGTCCCATTGTCCTATTGGTGTCATTGTCATTTTCCCATCACCTTCCTTAGTTGAGGAGGCAACTGTGGGTATGGGGAAGAGGAACCCTAGTGTAAAAGTCCCTGCTTTTGTACTCTCTGGTTTGCTGACTGGGGATTTGGTGCTGGTGAGTAGTGAAAGGAAAATAGGAAGAGACAACAGGTTTCTCATGGAACCGCGAAGACCTTGGTGGAAAGAACTGAACTCACCATTTCTGCAATGTTGACAATCTAACACCATTTGTGGAAAGGGAGGCTGGGGCACTAGGCTGGAGCTTGAGAAAAAGGAGAAATTGCAACGGAGACAGAGAAGTGGTTAGGTGGAAGGGAACCAGAAGTGTGGTGGGCAGAAGCTGAGTTTAAAGACAGTGTCAGGAAGCTGCCTGCCCACTTCTTGCTTTATCCTGCTTAAGGTAAGGCAGTGTGCACCTGCTCAGGCATTATGAGCTATGCTTGGGTCCCAGATACTTTTCCTGGCCTCTAAGACCTTACAGCCCAAAGCAGTATTGATGCTCCCCCAAGAGCTTGTTTCTCCTTCCCAATGGCTTCCCAAGGGTTGATACTGACCAGGGTGGTACCATCATCACTACAGTGAACTGCAGCATGCCAGGGATACAGATAGTTCCCTCTGGGAAATGACCCTTTTTCCTACTATATTTCATCAAATAGAGATTCATTTTATTAAAGGGATTTTCTTTCATTGTATACCCCCTGAGAAGGATAAACCTGTCAGTCATTCACACTTCAGTCATAGGGACTTGTGACCTTAAAAGGTGAACTCCGAGGTTGGCCCTGATAATGTGTCCAAACACAAAGAAGGCAATAGGCCACTGTAGCCATAGAGATAAGCAAGAGTGCCAGGTGCAGCGGTGGCTCATGCCTGTACTCCCAGCACTTTGGGAGGCCAAGGTGGGAGAATCACTTGATCCCAGGAGTTCAAGATCAGCCTGGGCAACATAGGGAAACCCCATCCCTATGAAAAAATACAAAAATTAGCAGGCCGTGGTGATGCACACCTGTTGCCCCAGCTACTTGGGAGGCTGATGTGGGAGGATCACTTGAGCCCAGGAGGTTGAGGCTGCAACGAGCCATAATCATGCCACTGCAATCCAGCCAGGGTGACAAGGTGAGACCAGAGTGAGAAAAAAAAAAAAAAGAAATAAGCAAGAGTAATCCACTCTTGGAGATTATTTGTAAATATATGGTTCGGGAGATATGGAGCCCCCCGTTGCCCCAGGCCCCTCCCTCTCTGCCTCCCTGTTGGTTACTCTTCATCTCTCCAACCTCTTACCATTGTAGTGTCCATGGTTATTCCCTGGGCCTCTTCTAGTTTTCTGTCTCCCTAGGTGATCTCATCCAGTCTCCTGGCTCCCTACCAGATTCAGATACCATCTATGAAGACCACCTTTGTGCTGATGACTCTCAAGATCATACACTTCCCGGAACTCCAGACTTGTACTTCCAAGTACAAGTACCACAAACTTAACATGTCCAGAACTGACCTGATCTTCTCCCTTAACCTTCTCTTCCTTCCTGATAGAATTGAGTTTTGCAGTTCTATTCTTTCCATTGTTTAGGCCCAAATCCTTGAAGATATTGCTGACTCCTCTCTTTTTCTCATACTCCACATCCAAACTGTCTTAAATCCTGTGGACTCTACCTTCAAAATATGTATATCCAGGCCGGGCGCGGTGGCTCACGCCTGTAATCCCAGCACTTTGGGAGGCCGAGGCGGGTGGATCATGAGGTCAGGAGATCGAGACCATCCTGGCTAACAAGGTGAAACCCCGTCTCTACTAAAAATACAAAAAATTAGCCGGGCGCGGTGGCGGGCGCCTGTGGTCCCAGCTACTCGGGAGGCTGAGGCAGGAGAATGGCGTGAACCCGGGAAGCGGAGCTTGCAGTGAGCCGAGATTGCACCACTGCAGTCCACAGTCCAGCCTGGGCGACAGAGCGAGACTCTGTCTCAAAAAAAAAAAAAAAAAAAAAAAAATGTATATCCAGAATCTGAGCACTTCTCATCTCTTCTCATCCCTATTGCCAATATCCTAGTCCAAGCCTATGTCATCTCTTGCATCTCCTAACTTGTCTTCCTGCTGCTGTCCTTGCTCTCCTTGTCCATATCTCTACACAGCAGCCAAAGTGAGTCAGTTGAAATACAAGTTAGACCACCTCACTCCTCTGCTCAAAAGTCTCCAATCGCTTCTCCACTCACTCAGAGTAAAGCTAACTTTTCTACAGGGCCTGCAAGGCTCTGCACAAGGCCTTTCCCTCTCAATCTCTTTCTCTCTCTCTCTTTTTTTTTTTGTTGAGACGCAGTCTTGCTCTGTGGCCCAGGCTGGAGTGCAGTGGTGCAATCTCGGCTCACTGCAACCTCCGCCTCCCGGGTTCAAGCGATTCTCCTGCCTCAGCCTCCTGAGTAGCTGGGACTACAGGTGCGTGCCACCACGCCGGGCTATTTTTTTGTATTTTTAGTAGAGATAGGGTTTCACCGTGTTAGCCAGGATGGTCTCGATCTCCTAACCTACCTGCCTCGGCCTCCCAAAGTGCTGGGATTACAGGCATGAGCCACTGCCCCCCAGCCAAGGCCCTTCCCTCTCTAACCTCATCTTTGATTACTTCTCACCATCCAGCCCCATTAGCTTCCTGCTGTTCTTGAAACAGGCACATTCACACCTTAGAGCCTTGTTCTTCTCACTGCCTGAACTGCTTCCTTCCCCAGCTGTCTTCGTGGCTCTGTCCCTCATCTCAAAAGGCGCCTAATCAAGGCCTTCCTTGGCTACCCCATTTCAAAACTGGAAGCCTTCTCTCATGTTCCCCACCCCCATTGGCTTTTCTCCTTATTATTTCTCACCATCTAACTAACATATATTTAATTTATATTTCTTATTTACTGACTGCCAATTCCACAAAGTCAAGGATTTTTGTCTTTTTCATTTACTTGTTTTTGGACTTGACCATGCCTCAGTGTGTGGAGCAGGACCTCAACTCAGCGTGCACTGTCTCACTTAAAATACCCCCAGGAGGAGGATACCATTACCTCCACCCACAGTGAGATGTGGAGCTCAGAGAAGTTGAGTCACTTGTACAAGTTCATATAGCTACTAAGTGTGTTTCAGATGTGAGTTATTCACATCCAAACCCATGTTCTTTCTACCCTGAGGCGCCATCTGTCTTAGTAGGGTTTATTTTTTGTCATTTAAAAAACTAATGTGGGCATGGCTGGGAAACAAGTTTCTGCTTCGATTACATCAGAAACTACAGATCCAGACATTCTCTTATGCCTTTGCTGACATTCAGTGCAGCATTCAGTAAGTACTGATGCATGTCATTTGCTTATTTACTTATCAATTCATTTACACAGTATTTATTGAACACAGTCTTTATACCCCGCAATGTTTTAGGCCCTGAATTTATGGTCTTGAACAAAATAGACAGATACCAAGTAAATATGAAATATAATATCAGATAGCGATAAGGAGTATGAGATGATATAAGGCAGGGTGAGGGGAGAGAGAACTTGGGGGCTACTTTAGATTGGGAGGTTGGTCGGGTGCGGTGGCTCACACCTGTAATCCCAGCACTTTGGGTGGTGGAGGTGGGATCATCTGAGGTCAGGAGTTTGAGACTAGCCTAGCCAACATGGTGAAACCGTGTCTCTACCAAAAATGCAAAAATCAGCCAGGCATAGTGGCACACGCCTGTAGTCTCAGCTACTCCAGAGGCTGAGGCAGGAGAACCACTTGAACCTGGGAGGTGGAGGTTGCACTGAGCTGAAATTAAGCCATTGCACTCCAGCGTGGGTGACAGAGCAAGACTCCGCCTCAGGCCGGGCGTGGTGGCTCACACCTGTAATCCCAGCACTTTGGGAGACCAAGGCAGGTGGATCACCTGAGGTCAGGAGTTTGAGACCAGCCTGACCAATATGGTGAAACCCCATCTCTACTAAAAATACAAAAATTAGCCGGGCATAGTGGTGCACGCCTGTAGTCCCAGCTACTCGGGAGATTGAGACAGGAGAATCGCTTGAACCCGGGAGGTAGAGGTTGCAGTGAGCTGAGATCGTGCCACTGCACTCCAACCTGGGTGACAGAGTGAGACTCTGTCTCAAAAAAAAAAAAAAAAAAAAAAAGACTGAGAGGTCAATAAGAGATGGCACCTGTAGTTTCAAAAATAAGTACCAAATTAAACTGCTCATCACCACACCCCTACCATCTCTAATTAGGAGTATTGTGATAGCATCCTACCTGGCACCCTTGCTTCCAACTTGCCCCCAACTGTTGGCCCAGGCCATTCTCGATGTGGTGACCAGTGAGAGATGATTGGGGCATGGTGAGTCTGATTTGGAATATATTTTAAAACTAGAGTGGGTATAGTTTGACTGAATAAGGGGTACACAGGTTGGGTCTCCAGGAAGTGGACTTTGAGATTTAACACGGAGCTGGGATGGCCCTTCAGAGCCATCCCCAACTGGGGCAAGGGAGCTGGGTTTTTGCCCCCCACATTAATCAGTCACGGAAGGTGGGTTGCCCCTAGAAAGAGTGTGACCTTGGGGAAGCAATTATCTTCAGTCCACAAAGAGGGCTGAGAGGTGAGGGCTGTCCTTGAGCAGAAGACTTGGGTAACACTGTCAACTAACTAAGTCTAACGGACATCTATAAAACACTCTGCTAAACAATAGCAGGATATACCATTTTTCTCAAGTGTACATGGAACGTTCTCCAGGATAGGCCATATGCTAGGCCATAAAACACGTCTCAATAATTTTAAAAGGACTGAAATAATACAAAGATGTTCTCTGATCACAATAGAATTAAATTAGAAATCAACAACAACAGGAAATTTGAGAAAATTACAAGTGTGTGAAAATTAAACAGCATGCTTCTAAACAACCAATGGGTGGAAGAAGAAATCACAAGGAAAACCAGAAAATATTTCAAGCTGAATGAAAATTGAAACAGAACATATCAGAATTAATTTTTGACATGTAGCTAAAGCTATGCTTAGAGGGGATTTATAGCTTGTAATTCCTATATTACCTCATACCATACACAAAAAACCAACTTAAAATTGATCATAGACCTAAATGTAAGTGCAAAACTATAAAACTATTAGAAAAAGGCCTAAAAGTAGATATTCATGATGTTGGGCTAGGCAATGATTTCTTACATATGATACTTTCTTACATCTACACAAGCAATAAAATAGTATTTTGTTTTTGGAGACAGGGTCCTGGTATGTCACCCAGTCTGGAGTGCCATGGTGCAATCATAGTTCACTGCAGCCTCAACTCCCGGGCTCAAGTGATCCTCCTGCCTCAGCTTCCTGGATAGCTGGGACTACAGATGCATACAACCACGCTTGGTTAATTGTTAAATTTTTTTTTTTTTTTTTTTGGTGTGGAGACAGGGTCTCACTATATTGCCCATGCTTCAGATAAAATATTGATAATTGGATTTCATCAAAATTGAAAACTTTTGTACTCCAAAAGGCACCATCAAGAAAGTGAAGGCTGGGTGTGGTGGCTTACACCTGTAATCCTAGCACTTTGAGAGGCCGAGGCAGGTGGATCACTTGGGGCCAAGAGTTTGAGACCAGCCTGGCCAACATGGTGAAACCCTGTCTCTAAAAAATGCAAAAATTAGCCGGGCATGGTGGTGCATGCATGTAGTCCCAGCTACTTGGGAGGCTGAGGCAGGATAATTTCTTAAACCTGGGAGTTGGAAGTTGTGGTGAGCCGAAATCATGCCACTGCACTCCCGCCTGGGTGATAGAGCAAGACTCTGTCTCAAAAAAAAAAAAAAAAAAAAAAAAGAAAGTGGAAATTGCCTTCATTAAGGAAAAAAACAAACATAAAAATAACAGCAACCATAAGAAAGTGAAAAGATAAACAAAAGCAATAGAATGAGATCAAGTATTTGCAAATCATTTATCAGATAAGGGACTTGTATCTAGAATATAAAAAGAACTTTTATAACTCAATAATAACAATAAAAAATGGGCAAGAGATTTGAATAGACATTTCACCAAAGAAGATATATAAATGGCCATCAAATACATGAAAACATACTGTTTGGGGTTCACTTAGCTTCTTGCATCAATCAGTTAATATCTTTTGCCAAATTTGGGAGTTTTTCAGGCATTGTTTCTTTGAGTACATTTTCCTGCTCCATTCTCTCTCTCTTCTTCTTAAATGCTGATGACAGAACGTTAGTTAGCTCTTTTGTTACAGTCCCATAAATGAACCTCTGTTCATTTTTTTCAGTCTATTTTTCTCCGTTGTCCAGATTGAGTAATTTCTCTTCTACCTTCAAGTTCGCTGAATCTTTCCTCTGTCCTCTCCAATCTGCTGTTAAGCCAATCTATTGAGTCTTCAATTTTCATGATTATATTTCTAAGTTCTAAAATTTCTATTTGATTCTTCTTCTTCTTCTTTTTTTTTTTTTTTGGAGATGGAGTTTCACTGTTTTTGCCCAAGCTGAAGTGCAATGGTATGATCTTGGCTCACTGCAACCTCTGCCTCCCAGGTTCAAGTGATTCTCCTGCCTCAGCCTCCAAAGTAGCTGGAATTACAGGCATCTGCCACCATGCCTGGCTAACTTTTTGTATTTTTAGTAGAGACAGGGTTTCACCATGTTGGCCAGGATGGTCTTGATCTCTTGACCTCATGATCCGCCCACCTCCGCCTCTCAAAGTGCTGGGATTACAGGTGTGAGCCACCTCACCTGGCCTGATTCTTCTTTATATCTTCCATTTCTTTGCCAAAATTTCTGGTTTTCATTTGTTTCAAGAGAGTTTGTAATTGCTTGTTAAATGTTGTTTTTTTTTTTTCCTTTTCTTTTTGAGACAAGGTCTTGCTCTGTTGCCCAGGCTGAAATGCAATCATGGCTCACTGCAGCCTTGACCTCCTAGGCTCAAGTGATCCTCCCACCTCAGCCTTCAAGTAGCTGGTACCACAAGTACACACCACCATGTCTGGCTAATTAAAAACATTTTTTTTTTCCAAGGGGCTGGGACCACAAGTACACACTACCATTCCTGGGTAATTATTATTATTATTATTATTATTATTATTATTTTGTTGTTGTTTTTTGTAGAGACAGCATTTCCCTATGTTGCTGGTCATGAACTCCTGGGCTCAAGTGATCCTCCCACCAGGCATGAGCCACTGCACTTGGCTGTAATGCTTTTTTTTTTTTTGAGACAGAGTCTCACTCGGTTGCCCAGGCTGGAGTGCAGCAGTGCAATCTTGGCTCACTGCAACCTCCACCTCCCAGGTTCAAGTGATTCTCCTGCCTCAGTCTCTCGAATAGCTGGGATTATAGGCATCTGCCACCATGTCTGGCTAATTTTTGTATTTTTAGTAGAGATGGGGTTTTGCCATGTTGGCCAGGCTGGTTTTGAACTCCTGACCTCAAGTGATCTGCCTACCTCGGCCTCCCAGAATGCTGGGATTACAGATGTGAGCCAATGTGCCTGGGCTGTGAAGCTTTTTTTTTTTTTTTTTTTTTTTTGAGATAGAGTGTTGCTCTGTCGCCCAGGTTGGAGTGCAATGGCATGATCTCAGCTTACTGCAACCTCTGCCTCCGGGTTCAGGTGATTCTCCTGCCTCAGCATCCCTAGTAGCTGGGATTACAGGCATGCACCACCATGCCCAGCTAATATTTGTATGTTTAGTGGAGACGGGGTTTCGCCATGTTGGTCAGGCTGGTCTCGAACTCCTGACCTTGAGTGATCCACCCGCCTTGGCCTCCCAAAGTGCTGGGATTACAGGAGTGAGCCAATGTGCCTGGCCTGTAAAGCATTTTTAATACTTGTTTTAAAATACTTGCTTGCTTTAAATATGCATCAGGTGATTCCAACATTTAAGTCAACTTGGGTGTTGATGTCTGTTAATTGTCTTTTCTTATTCAAGATTTTCCCGATTCTTGGTATGACAAGTGATTTTCGCTTGCATCCTGCACATTTTGGATTGTATGTTATGAGACTGGATCTTATTTAAGTCTGTTTTAGTGATCATCCTTTGACACCGCACTAGTTGAGCAAAGAGGGTGCTGCCTCACTGCTGTCAGGTTGGGGGAGAGGCCCAGGTTCCTCACTTGGCCTCTGTGAACACTTGAGGGAGCCGTGCTCCTTGTTATTGCTAGGTGTGGATGGGGGTTCAGGCTTCCCACTAGGTCTCTGCTGACACACCCTGGCTGAGAGAGTAAGAAGCACCTCATTCCTGTTCCCCACGGGGTCTCCAGTGACACTGGTTGTGATGGAGGGGGATTTCATACCACCAGGCGGGGCTGAGAGTCCCAGCTTCCTACTTGCTGGGGAGGGGTGCCTCAGCTGGGTGGGAGTTGATGGCTAAACTCCCCACTCATCCTTTATTGGCAGATATGGGGGTGAGAGTGTTTTTTTTTTTTTTTTTGCCTGAAATAGAGTAGTCATTGTCTAAAAGTTTTGTCTTTCCAGGATGTTCCTTTGTTGGTCCTTTGGCCAGAGACTTTCCGGGATTTTTTTCATCTTCCTGTTGGAGTTTCCTGGTTGCTGGCTTTTCCAGCACCCAGTCTTGTATATATGAGGCAAAAGCCAAACCCAGGGAACTCACCACTATATTGTTTTTTCAGGTCTTGAGATTCCTAGCCAGTCTGCCTTCTCTGCATCTTTCAGGATCTTCTTATGTTTGTTTTATATATACCATCCAGGATTGTAGCTGTATTTAGCAGGAGGAATCAGAAGAGCATCTACGTCATCTTGTCTTGGAGCTTGAAGGCAGCTGGTTAAGTCCTTAAAACATTCAACACAGATTTTCCATATGACTCAGCAATTGGGTTCCTAGGTATCTACCTAAGAAAAATGAAAGCAGGCCGGGTGTGGTGGCTCATGCCTGTAATCCCAGGAATTTGGGAGGCCGAGGTGGGCGGATCACCTGAGGTCAGGAGTTTGAGACCAGCCTGACCAACATGGAGAAACCCCATCTCTACTAAAAATACAAAAATTAGCTGGGCATGGTGGTGCATGCCTGTAATCCCAGCTACTTGGGAGGCTGAGGCAGGAGAATCACTTGAACCCAGGAGGCGGAGGTTGCGGTGAGCTGAGATTGCGCTGTTGCACTCCAGCATGGGCAACAAGAGCAAAACTCTGTCTCAAAAAAAAAAAAAAAAAAAAAGAAAGAAAAATGAAAGCGTATTGTCCACACAAATACTTGTATAAGAATTCATAGCAGTGTTATTCACAATAGGTATGAAGTAAAAACAACCAAATATCCATTGATCAGTGAATTGGTGAACAAAATATGGTGTGTCCCTTTGGGAGGCTGAGGCAGGTGCATCACTTGAGGTCAGGAGTTTGAGACCAGGCTGGCCAACATGGTGAAACCCCGTCTCTACTAAAAATACAAAAAATTTAGCTGGGCATGGTGGTGCACCCCTGTAATCCCAGTTACTTGGGAGGCTGAGGCAGAAGAATTGCTTGAACCTGGGAGGCAGAGGTTGCAGTGAGCTGAGATCACACCACTGCACTCCAGCCTGGGTGACAGAACAAGACTCTATCTCAAAAAAAAAAAAAAAAAAAAAAAAGGTGTGTCCATACAATGGAATACTATTCAGCAATAAAAATGAATGAAATATGGATACATGCTGCAAAATGAATGAACCTCAAAAACATTATGCTAAGTGAAAGAAGCTAGACTCAAAAGGCTGCAGGAATCCACTTACATGAAATGTCTAAAATAGGCAAATCTATAGAGACAGAAAGATTAGTGATTGTCTAGGGCTCAGGTTTGGAATGGGGGCTAAGTGCAAAGGAATATGAAATTTCTTTTTGGTGTGATGGAAATGTTTCAAAATTAGATTGTGGTGATAGTTTTACAACTCTATAAATATACTAAAATCATTGAATTGTACACTTAAAATGGATGATTTTTTTTTCTTTGAGATGGAGTCTCGATCTGTTGCCCAGGCTAGAGTGCAGTGGTGCCATCTTGGCTCACTGCAATCTCCACCTCCCAGGTTCAAGCAATTCTCTTGCCTCAGCCTCCCGAGTAGCTGAGATTACAGGGGGCCACCACTACACCTGGCTAATTTTTGTATTTTTAGTAGAGACGGGGTTTCACCGTGTTGGCCAGGCTGGTCTCGAACTCCTGACCTCAAGTGATCCATCCACCTCGGCCTCCCAAAGTGCTGGGATTACAGCTGTGAGCCACTGCGCCCGACCAAAGTGGGTGAATTTTATGGTATGTAAATTATGCCTCAGTAAATCTGTGAGAGGAGAGGAGGTAGAGACATTTTGTGTTGTAGAATTTCTTAAGGAATTTTGCTGTCAAGAGCTACAGAGAAAGTATGTCTAGCGAGACAGTATATGAGGTCATGAGAAATTTTAAAAAACTCATTATTCCAGAAAATTCATACACATAAATAGAGATAATGAAAAAGAACTCCCATATACCCGTGACCCAGATGCAATAATCATTAATTCAGGACCACTGATGCCTGTAATCCTAGCACTTTGGGAGGCTGAGGCAGGTGGATCACCTGAGGTCAGGAGTTCAAGACCAGCCTGGCCAACGTGGTGAAACCCCGTCTCTAATAAAAAATACAAAAATTAGCCGGACATGGTGGTGCATGCCTGTAATTCCAGCTACTAGGGTGGCTGAGGCAGGAGAATCACTTGAACTCAAAAGGCGGAGGTTGCAGTGAGTCAAAATGGCATCACTGCACTCCAGCCTGGGCAACAGAGCGAGACACTGTCTAAAGAAAAAAAAAATTCAGGACCACTCTGGTTCCATCTCTACTCCCAACCTCCATACCAGATTATTTTAGAACAAATCCCAGATATGATATGATATGATATGACATGATATGATATGATATTGTATCATTTCTATCACAAATATTTCAGTATCCTAAAAGATAAGAACTCTTAAATAATATAACCATTTTGCTAGTATTATTTCTGAAAAGTTTACATAATTTCTTAATATTATCAAATATGCAATGTTTAGTTTTCCCAAATTCTCCATTAAATATATATACAGTTTGAATCAATATCAAAACAATATCCGTGCATTGTATTCAGTTGATATGTGTCTTAAGTCTCTCTTTCTCTTCTTTGAAGTGGAATTCACATTTTAGAACAGTTTTAGATTTATAGAGAAACTGAGAGGATAGTACAGAGTATTCCCATGTGCCCTCCCTGGATTCAGTGTCCCTTATTAATAACATCTTACGTGAGTGTGGGTATATGTGTTATAATTAATGAATCAATATTGATAAATTGGTCGGGCATGGTGGCTCACGCCTGTAATCCCAGCACTTCGGGAGGCTGAGGTGGGCAGATCACCTGAGGCCAGGAGTTTGAGACCAGCCTGGCCAACATGGTGAAACCCTGTCTCTACTAAAAATACAAAAATTAGCCAGGCGTGGTGGAGCACACCTGTAATTCCAGCTACTTGGGAGGCTGAGGCAGGAGAATCACTTGAACCTGGGAAGTGGAGGCTGCAGTAAGCTGAGATCATGCCACTGCACTCCAGCCTGGGCAACAGAGCAAGACTCTGTCTCAAAAAAAAAAAAAAGATAAATTATTATTAAAGTCCATACTTCATTCATTCAGATTGTCTTAGTTTTCACCTGGTGTCTTTTTGTCTGTTCCAGGATTCCATATTTCTTTTCCTTTTTTTTTTGAGACGAAATTTTGCTCTTGTTGCCCAGGCTGGATTGCAATGGTGTGATCTTGGCTCACTGCAACCTCCGCCTCCTAGTTTCATGCAATTCTCCTGCTTCAGCCTCCCGAGTACCTGGGACTACAGGTGCCCACCACCATGCCCGGCTAATTTTTTTGTATTTTGAGTAGAGACGGGGTTTCCCCATGTTGGACAGGCTGGTCTCGAACTCCTGGCCTCAAGTGATCTGCCCGCCTCGGCCTCCCAAAGTGCTGGATTGCAAGCGTGAGCCACCACGCCTGGCCTTCCAGGATACCATATTTCATGTATTTGTCATGTCTCTTTGGGCCCTCTTGGTTGTGACAGTTTTGCCAGTGTTCCTTGTTTTTGGTGACCTTGATAGTTTTGAGGTGTACTAGTCAGGTGTTATGCAGGCTGCCCCTCTTTTGGAATTTGTTTGGTGATTTTCTCATGGTTAGACTTGGAGCTTAAGTCTCTTTAAATCTTTTTTTACCCCCTTGACATTTATTTGTTGAAGAAATGGCTTGTTTCCTATAGAACTTTCCACATTCTGAATTTTGCTAATTGAATCACTGTACCATTTACCATATTCCTCTGCCTCCCCCATTTTCTTCTTAAACTGGTAGTTAGATTTAAAGACTTTATATGATTCATGATCTATTTTCTGGCAAGGCTACGTCATAGGTGGTATTGTGCTGTGTTTCTATCAGGAGGCATAGAATTCTAGTTGGTAGCCATGATGAGCATTGCTAGATCCATTATTTTCTTAGGGATTATAAAATGCAGATATTCTAAGTCTATTATTCTGTCTAAACTGATTTCATTTATACAGATTATGTCCCATCTACTATTTTGACATGACTTATTTAGGAAAGGCAGATTGATGCCATTCTTTCCCCTTTATTTAGCAGCTTTCAGAATAATGAGTTTGTTCTCTAGCATCTGCCAAAGGTAACCAATGACCCTTTATTTAGTATCACTATGAGTCAGTTGATTTTAATGTGTTTTAATCCGTTGCTATCACTATTTTTACTGAGGCTCCATTTATGCCATATTTGGGCAGTGCGAGCCTCAAGTTGATAAAATACTAATATCTTTGATGCCTTTCTTGTTTTCTGGTGATAAGATGTTCAGGCTCATCTTGTACATAAGCTGCTATATGTTTCTTTTTAGAGGAAATGGTACTAGGAGACCTCAGTTTGGGTGCTGAGGAAGGTTTGTATTTATTCATTTTTTATTTTCTAAGATAGGAGGAATAACATATTTGCTTGCTGATGGGAGTGAGCCACTGCAGAGGGAAAGGCGGTGTGCAGGAGATGGGGTATTGCTGGAGGAATGGCCCTGAGTAGGTGAGAGGCAGTGGGGTCTAGTGCCCAAGTGGAGGAGTTGGTTGTTAGTTGAAAGTGAGGAAGATGAGCTGAGCACATTGGCTCATGCCAGTAATCCCAACATTTTGGGAGGCTGAGGAGGGTGGATCACCTGAGTCAGGAGTTTGAGACCAGCCTGGGCAACATGGTGAAATCTCGTCTCTACTAAAAATACAAAATTAGCCGGGTGTGGTGGCGCATGCCTGTAATCCTAGCTAATTGGGAGGCCGAAGCAGGAGAATCACTTGAACCCAGGAGGCAGAGGTTGCGGTGAGCCGAGATTGCGCCATTGCACTCCAGCCTGGGCCATACAGTGAGACTCTGTCTCAAAAAAAAAAAAAAAAAAAAAAAAAGAAAGTGAGGAGGATGGAGGCTGTGTAATGAAATACAAGAAAGTGTGAAATAGTTGCCTTGAAATTCTGTGAGTGAGTGGCCAGGAAAATGCCGTATACTTCTTTTTCTTTTCTTTACTCTAATTCCATCACAGGTTATCTGCTGGGTGTTTCTAATGGCCAACTTGAAGTTTGTAAATGTTTGATGAGCATGGTTGAGTATTTTTATCCAATCACTTCAGCTGCTTGGATGCAGGCATGGAGTCGGTGGGAAGTTGGAGGTAGCCAGAGCTAGGCTTTTGACAGGCAGGCATGATGGAGGGAATGAGGGAAATAGGAGTTGAGATGCAAGATAGCTCTTACAACAATGCTTCATGAAACCTAAGCGGGATAAGGTTGGGAGGGCACAGGATCTCATAATGTCAGGGTCAAAGGGGTTGGAGGTCTGGAGAAGTGAAAATATTGTTTGATCTTTGGAGGTGGACACTAGAGGGAGTGATCTGCAAGGACAGGAAGGGGGATACTTAAAACTGAGATTATGGAGAGGTTTCAGGTACAGGTACAGGTAATGACAAGTCTAGGTATGACTGTGGAGTGAGTGGCTGCAGTAGGGGGAGGACAAGATCACTGGAGGTGAGAAGGTCAAAAGGTCAAGGTGAGAGGCCAGGGTGTTGGGTGGAGTGTCTTGGTTGATAGAGAAGCCACAAAGAATGGTAGCAGGAGTGGGATGAAGAGAAAGACAGTGACCCAGGGACTGAAAATTTTAGTGAATTGTGAAGAGTGAGGAGTGACTGGAAGGCTGTTAAATGCTGGCAACAGGAGCAGCTGAGGGTGACGTTGGAGGCCACATGTACTGCAAAGCAGCTAAGGCCCTGCATTACTCTTGACCACCAGAGAAAAGTTCATGTATTCATTCATTTATTCAAGCAGTAAGTCAACCAAGCTTGACTATCTACCCTGTGCTTAGCAAAACCCTCCCTGCCCTCACAGAATGTATATGTATTCATTACAAAATTGTCCTTATAAAGTCAGGACATCTTCAGGACACTTCCAGTTAATCAGACACCCCCGTCAATCCTTCTAGTTAACTGACAGTTTTTTTGGTTGTTTGTTTAGCAGTGAATTTTAATGAATAAAACATCTGGGATTAAAACTCTTTTTTTTCCTCCACTTTTTGAGATAGGGTCTTGCTGTGTTGCCCAGGCTGGAGTGCAGTGGTGCGATCTTGGCTCACTGCAACCTCTGCCTCCCAGGTTCAAGCGATTCTCCTGCCCTAGCCTCCCAAGTAGCTGGGACTATAGGTGCACACCACCACACCTGACCAATTTTTGTATTTTTAGTAGAGATGGGGTTTTGTTAGGTTGGCCAGGCTAGTCTTGAACTCCTGACCTCAAGTGATCTGCCCGCCTTGGCCTCCCAAAGTGCTGGGATTACAGGCATGAGCCACTGTGCTCAGCCATATTAAAACTCCTGTGTAATAAATTCGCAGATATGGAAATCCTTCATTTTCCACAAAAAAACCCCATCCTGTGTAGATACCAGGTGACCTCATCACAAGAGTCAAAATGAAAGTGCTGTCAGCGTGGTGAGAGAGGTGGTGATGTCAGATCACCTGTGGAAGTGAAAGGACCTTGGAGTTGAAAGGAATCTTCAGGATGGTCTTGCCTCTGGCTTTCAAACTTTTTCTTTTCATCATGTCAAATGTAGAGGAATTTTGTCCATCAAACTCATATCTAGAATCCCAAAATAGAGAAGAGATATAGGATCAGTGCTCTGGCTGAGTCTTTCCCCTCCTGAGACCCCACCCCTACCCAGAGTGACCCTTCAAGGTTGCCATGGGATGTAGGATGCTGGGGAACACAGCCTGGAACCGTTCACTTGGTCCCATTTCTTCTTTTACTGAGGCCCAGAGGGGAGACGCGACCTGCCCAAGGTGACACAGGCTTGGGACCCATGCCCAGTGTCCTGCTTGCTGGTCAGGAGTGGCTGAGGAAAGCAGAGCAGGGGTGAGGTGGGAGGAAAGGGCAGGGCCGCACTGCCTTGGTTCTGGAGCCCTCGCTGATAGCCTTGGGCCTTTTTCACTTGTTTTTCTAACTTTGGGGACAAAAGATTTTCTTTCTTTCTTTCCTTCTTTCCTTCCTTCCTTCCTTCCTTCCTTCTTTCCTTCCTTCCTTCTTTCTTTCCTTCCTTCCTTCCTTCTTTCCTTCCTTCTTTCCTTCCTTCCTTCCTTCCTTCCTTCCTTCCTTCCTTCCTTCCTTCCTTCTTTCCTTCCTTCCTTCCTTCCTTCCTTCTTTCTTTCTTTCCTTCTTTCGCAACAAAGGCATGATAAGAAATTTTTTGGTGGGTAGAGCAGAAGAGTATATAATAGTGAAAAAAACACTTAGCTTAGGAGTTTGACACAGTGTGATGTTGGTCAGACTAGCTAACCTCTCTGAGCCTCACTCAGTTCCTTCATCTGTAAAGAGGTTGGGGCTGGCGTGGGTGAGTGGGTGGGTGCTGGATGAAGAGGGAAGGAGATGGACAGGAGGCACCTGGCGGACTTGGCCAGTGTCAGCTGCCGTCCTAGGAGACTCTGGGCTGGGGCGGCATTACTGGTTATCCCTTTCCTGGGGAGGTTGACAATTAACCCTGGAAACAGTCTTTAAAATTTTTACTGGACACATATAATTATGGATTGACAATCTTCCATTTTAAATTTAGAAACTACAGGCGAAAGTTAAAGATATCACAAATGAGTTTTTTATTTTTATTTTTTCATGACAAGGAAATTAGTTGTGTGCTGGGGTCTAGTATGGGGAAAGAATCTATTAAAATATATTTAAAAAGGTAAATCCAAAAATTTATAATTACAAGAGTGAATGACAAGATGATTGTCAATAAAATTAAATAAGCAAAACAACTGCTTGCCCTTTAGAAAATGTATCCAAGCTCCAGGGATCCAAAATGTTTATGAATCTGTGGATGTCTGTGTGTGTGTATGTGCGTGTATATTTTTTTGTCGTTGTTGTTTCTCTGCCTCTCTCGCCAAACTATATGGAGCCCTGGCTAAGGATAGAGGACTGTCAGATGTGTTTTCAGGGGAATCGCTGTTTTCTTCACATCAGGGGGAAGTTCTTAGGCAGCTGAAAGCGGGGGCTCAGGTGGGCATGGGGGGGTGGGAGGGCTGAGGTTTAGGATGGGAGGGTGGGTGAGAGCTAGTAAGGGTGGGTGGGGCACTGGGGGTGGGCAGCGGGTACTTGGCTAGGGGTTCAGGACCTGTCTCAGGGCTGCTGTCCAGGGGGGTGGAGGAAGGGGTAGTGAAGGGGTCAGAGCACTCAAGATGCGCAGTGTAGGCAGGGGACAGGCTGCGGTGTGTGAAGAGGGTAGCCTGAGGTGGTGAGACTTGCTGATCACCCAGCTGGGCTGCCTTGGTCTACTCACAACTGGTCTTCCCTGTGTGTTTGGTAAACACCAAAGGAGGTAAACTCTCCAATCCTGGCCTGTGCTGATGGTGAGGCGGGAGAAGGCTTCCCTGGGTCCCAGGTCCCCAACCTGGCACAGTCATGGGTCAAGGGCTGCCTGTTCCTCACCTGCCTTCCTCACGGGGCTTCTGAGCCTAGCCTTGCTTCGGGCATTAGGAGAGTCTGCCTGGAAGGCTCTCTGGCCCCCAATGCCCTGCCCTCCAAGGCTCCCAGTCTAGGTGGGAGAGACATACAGAACAAATAGCATCGTGGGGGTGGTGGGAGGTGGTGTGAACATGTCTCCTGCAAGCTCTGGGAAGAAGCTGTGGCCACACAATGGAATGTCTCCAGCCCTGACCTCTCCTTGGAACTCAGACCTTTCTGCCTCTCTCGCCAAACTATACGGAGCACCTGGTAAGGATAGAGGACTGTCGGATGTGTTTTCAGTGGAATCACTGTTTTCTTCACATTCTTCACATCAGCCACCTCCTCCACTCCCCACCAGGATGTCAACTGAAACATGTCTCAGTCCAAATTCTTTATTCCCTGCTTCTGCAGCTATTCCCTCCCTCCCCGCAATCCTGGCACAGCGTATTGCTTAGGCTGGACTACGCTGTGAATGTGTCTCCCAAAATTCATGTGTTGGAAATTTAATTCCCATGCAACTGTTGGAAGGTGGGGCCTTTTGGGAGGGCCTTTTGGCAGAGCCGGCACGAATGGATTAATGTCATTATAAGAGGACTTGATGGAAAGAGTTCATCCCTTTTGCCCTTCCACTCCCTGCCACGTGAGGACACAGTGTTCCTCCCCTCCAGAGGATGAAGCAACAGATGCCACATTGGAAGCAGAGAACAGCCCTCACCAGGCAGTAGTGCCTTGATCTCAGGTTTTCTGGCCTCTAGAACTGTGAGAAAAGACATTTCTTTTCTTTTCTTTTTCTTTTTTTTTTTTTTTAAGACAGAGTCTTACTCTGTTGCCCAGGCTGGAGTGTAGTGGCATGATCTTGGCTCACTGCAACCTCCGCCTTCCGGGTTCAAGCGATTTCCGGCTAATTTTTGTATTTTTAGTAGGGACGGGGTTTCACCATGTTGGCCAGGCTGGTCTCAAACTCTTGACCTCAAGTGATCCGCCCGCTTCAGCCTCCCAAAGTGCTAGGATTACAGGCATGAGCCACCGCGCCCGCCTCGTTTTGCTATTCTTCAACTTCGCATGTTTGGATTGCTACAGCTTGAGGTCTTTAGTGTCTGGTTTCCTTCGCTCCCTTCCACGGTTCTAAGATTGTTTTCTGCATCCTCCGTACCCCTCCCTCGGTGTCTTCCTGCTGGGAACTGCTCTTTCTGTCTGCCACGTGGTGGCCACAAGGGGGCAGCAGAGGCTGAGGAAAATCTGGTGAGACCAGGTTGGGGGCCTTTTCCCGGGCCCACGAGTTACTCCCCCCCGCCCACGGAGCACCTTCTGTCCGGGCGCCTCCCAGGCCGCTGCTACTTCTTGGTTCTGCTTCCTTTTCTGAGACCCGCTGCTTTAGAGAAGATTTCTGGAGCAGAGATTTGGAGCAAGGATCTCCAAACTCTTTTGATCACACACTCCATTCAGTAATAATATATTTTGAACATGCAGCTAACAAACATGTGCAAACATAATGCAGGTTGAAAGAACAAACGCAAATCACATTAAAAGGGCATAAGATTAAAGATTTTATAATAGTTCTAATATGTTCTCTGCCTTCTTTCCTGTCTCTCCAGATCCCTGGAGGACCCCTAGGGCTGGTGCCCCTAATCTGGTGGCCCCCTGTTTAGAGCTCAACTGAGCTTTGATGTAGACCTGGCCCCTGTTAGGGTTTGGCCACACGACCTGTGACCCTGGGCAGGTTTCCTCAGATCATCGAGGCTCTGTCTCTCAGCTGTAAAGTGAGGACAGTAAGGACCATCTCATGGTATTAAGCTAAAACATTCACGGAAATAAATATGTAATGCTCAGAGTAAGATGCCACCTAGTGAACAGTGGGCCTGAGTATTTGGTGGTGGTCATTAGAGAGCAGAGGCGCTGGCCTCAGGGTTCAGCCCACAGTTCTGCCTGTGGAGAGGAGACTCAGTGACAAGAGAGAAAAAAGTGTCCGACATCCTGGGGACTGAGAATCTGCCTCTCAGGGTTGGACAGGGCAGGGCCTCTTCTGCCTCCAGCACCCCAGGCCTCTCTCCTCTGATTCTATCAGGGACGGAGGCCAAGGTTGGAGACCCCTAGGCCTTTTCACCTAACTTGGTTTTCAAATTCCTCCCACTAGGACTTGCCTGTTTCAGCCTTAACCATGGTTGGGCCTGACCTACACGGGATTGAGAGGGTCAGTAAATTCGTCCCCACCACTGACTGGGTCACCTACCTGGGCAGTACACATGCTGCTCTCGGCAACTGTTTCTTCTCCTGACACTTATGATTTTATATACAAATTGTTGGAAGTTATGTCGTAATATAGTCCTTTTGGTAAGAGTATATATGGTCAAGGATACTGTGACTGAATTTGAAGAGTAAATAATACAGCTCTGTATTGAGCTATATAATGACTAGGGCTCTCTTTATTTTGGGGACAGAGTGAGAACTTCTTCACTTATAAGGTGGCTTTGTCTTGATTGGTGAAAATAGAGAATTATTTCATTGTTGTATAAAAGTTCAGGCCAGGCACGGTGGCTCATGCCTGTAATCCCAGCACCTTGGGAGGCCAAGGCAGGCAGATCACCTGAGGTCGGGAGTTCCAGACCAGCCTGGCCAACATAGCAAAACCCCATTTCTACTAAAAATACAAAAATTAGCTGGGTGTGATGGTGGGTGCCTGTAATCCCAGCTACTCGGGAGGCTGAGGCAGGAGAATCGCTTGAACCCAGGAGGCAGAGGTTGCAGTGAGCTGAGATTGTGCCGCTGCACTCTGGCCTGAGTGACAGGGCAAGACTCTGTCTCAAAAAAAAAAAAAAAGTTCAAATATGTGTAATATGAAAACTGTGCAGCCAAAGGTGTGACTGGTGCTCAATATTATTTTATTGCATCTTTGTTCCAAATCCACTCCATCTTTGTCCTGCCTTGTGGTTCTGGAGCTGGACCCTATACACATTTCTTCTTTGCCATTGGGCACAACGTTAGACTTTGACAGTAAATTGCACTGGAAGGAATACTGCAAGACATAGCAGAGAAAACAGCTTCATTCTAGTTCTGGTACTTTTTTTTGAGATGGAGTCTCACTCTGTCACTCAGGCTGGAGTGCAGTGGCGTGATCTCGGCTCACTGAAACCTCTGCCTCCCAGGTTCAAACGATTTTCCTACCTCAGCCTCCTGAGTAGCTGGGATTACAGGTGCACACCACCACACCTGGCTAATTTTGTATTTTTAGTAGAGACAGGGTTTCACCATGTTGGCCAGGCTGGTCTCGAACTCCTGACCTCAGGTGATCTGCCTGCCTTGGCCTCCCAAAGTGCTAGGATTACAGGCGGGAGCCACCGCGCCTGGCCTGCCAGGCTTTCTTAATATGCCCTACCACCATGAAACTTATATTGGGGAGGAGACTCAGATAGGGGCCAATGGGGGCAAGTTTGAGCCTTGCCAGGTTGATACTTGGGCACTGAGCAGAGTGACTAGTGTCTGTGTTTTGACATGTGTGTATAACTCCTGTTGGAATGGGAAACGTTAATTTATTTCCCCCACACAACCTGTTGGGCTGCCTCTTGCAAAACTGGGGCCTTTTGCCTTTGGTTCCATGAAAAGAAAAGGAATGTTTTTCTTTTGTAAAGTGGCTTGGCCCCCACAGCTATGGTGCAGCAAGCAGGGTCATCAAAAGCCACTCTGCTCTTCTGGAAGCAGCTGAGAAAGGGAAGCCATAAACCTGACAAGCTGGTAAAAAGCTAATTTCTTACCAGCTAGCCTCTGGCCTTTCTCTCTCTGTGCAAATGAGTTGAGTGAACAATAAAAGTCACTGTTTGTCTCCTCTGCAAAGTTTTGATTAATAGGGAAGAAGATTTGTGTGACTAGTCTTAGGTTGTAGTGAATCTTGTGTACTTTTGCTACTTTGAACTATAAATATTTGTATTGTTTGGCCCCTTCTCAGAAATCACCTTTTTTGCCATCTTCCTTTGTCTTTGCCTTTTTGTGTCGTTCTGTCATGGAGAAGGATACCATAGGATAGAACACAGGCCTAGGATCCCTGTAAGCCTGCTGTTCAAGCCAGCCCTGCAGACTGGTCGGTTACAAACTTTGCTGCAGGTCCTTGGAACAAAAACTGGATGAGATTTCCCTGGTCTTGTTTTATGTGGTTGAGAGCTTGACTTTGTAACCATGTAGGGGTACTCTCTCTCTTGATCTCTGCCATCTGGAGGATGGAAATTCTTGGGTTCAAGTCAGGTGGCTGGTCTGAGAGGACTGGGAGTCTGAGACACATTAGCATACTCTTCGTCCTGAATGTGTCGAGCCCTTAGGTGAGTTTTGTCTTAAAACGTCCCATCTCTGCTGGTTGGATTTATTAGGACAAAAAAACAGTCCTATCTCTACAGGACTTTTGTTGTATTTTGCTATCTTAAACCCATTTCCAAGAGGGAATACTTGGGGATGCCTCCTCTAGGAATACTTCTTGCTGCTTATATGGCAAAAACCTGGAAAATTACCATCTGCAATTTAAAAAAGGTGTTTGAGTCTCTATTGGAACTAAGTACACCATTGAAAGAAAAAGGATTTTAGAGATCTCTTATCTAAAACAATTGAAGGAAGGTTAAACAGTAGTGTCGTGGGTAGCCTTAAAAATTCTCTTGAGCAGTTAAAATCATTCGCAAGCTTGAAAATGACTGCTCTAGATTCTTTCTGGGAAGAGCACTGGCAACCACCCTATGCTGTAGCACAGTAGCTAAATCTCTGCCCTTTCACTATGGTGGCCTGGGATCACTTCCCAGCTTAGGGAATGCGTCCTTTCTGGTTTTGTATTTGTGGGACTTTTTGCCATTCATTGATGGACAGCTTCTGATTTCCTGTCTTGAATTTTCCTTGCTCTGAGATACCTTTGGGGTGATTCTAGATCTTGTAAAAAACTGCTTGGCATCTCTTTGGAGATACCTTGTGCATCTGTGGTTAAGTCATAACCCTAGTTAAGGCTCATTGGTTTCAGGTGGGAGGTTATCCTTGGTAGAGAGTTCAAAAGCCAGAAATATCAGCTGTTTGTTCCAGCTAAAAACTGGTAATAAGAGATCTGAAAGAATTTTCTTCAAGAGCTCTATAGTTAAAAGTCAACTTAATTAAAACTGATGTAGAATATATGTGTACAGATATTGTTTTAAAGCCTCTGCTCTCTCTCTGTAAAAACATCTTAAGCAACTGAATTCTGTCTGCTTAAATTTTAATCTTGGTATGTAAAAGCTAGGAAAGAAATATACTTTTAGAGATGGCTATTGACGTTGTTTACAGTGAATAGTTATTACTACAGGGTGGTACTGCTTTTTTTTTGCACATTTAGATAAGAAAAGCATGCTTTCGGGCACCTAGAAGGTATGGAATGAGGGTTAAGACTCCCATGGAGCATTAAGTGATTACAGAATAGGCTGATTGCTATAGGGTTGCCCACCAGCCTCAGGGGAATGTCCTTGCAGTGAAGTGCACCGTAAAAGCATTGCACTGTCTTGTCCTGCGGTGTTCTCCTCTCTTGAGGACCCAGGATTCAGTGTAAAAGTTGGATCCTTAACTTTGGAGATCTATTTTGCCTTCCAGCTGTGCCTGCTTATTAGGCCATAGAAACTGCATGCTTTCCTGGCCCTGTTCCTTAAAGGGCTCCACCCTAAAGCCAGTAATTCAATTAAGAAACTAACATCTTTAAAAAAATTTCAGTGGGCAAGTGTGTCTGTTTTCCTAACCATCTTTTTTCTTTTTCTTCTTTTGAGACAGGGTCTTGCTCTGTCACCCAGGCTGGAATGCAGTGGTGAGAACATAGCTTACTGCAGCCTTGACCTCCTGGGCTCAAGTGATCCTCCCAGCTCAGCCTCCCCAGCAGCTGAGACCACTACGCCCAGCTAATTTTTGTATGTTTTTGTAGAGATGGGGTCTTGCCATGTTGTCCAGGCTGGTCTTGAGCTCTTGGGCTCAAGTAATCCTCCTGCCTTGACCTCTCTAAGTGCTGGGATTACAGGCATGAGCCACCACACACAGCTTCCTGGCCATCTTAACTGAACTTTTACTCATACCATTTTTCCTTGGTTTAAATAAAATATGAATTTTCTATTTCATTTCACTTAAGAATTGTGCCTTTAGAAATGCAGATTTGGAGTGGCATAGCTGACAATTATTTAGGGCAGGGAACAGGTAATCAAGAGAAGGTCCAAAATGAGGAAGAGAAACTTTAAAAACTGGCACATGAAGAATCTTACAAATCTATAAAATCTGCTTCTGTGTGTTTGTATGTCTGTGTGTTTATACATATCATGTGTTTGTGATATTTTCACTACCAAAATATATGAAAAAGCTGTAATTAATGGCTTTTAGAAAAATAAGCACTTAAATATTTTATCAGAGAAATATATATATGTATATATATATACATATATATATGTGTATATATATATACATATATATGTATATATATATACATATATATGTATATATATACATATATATATATATATACATATATATGTATATATATATACATATATATATGTGTATATATATATATACATATATATATTTTAATACAGAGTCTCGCTCTGTTGTCAAGCTGGAGTGCAATGGCGCAATCTCGGCTCACTGCAACCTCCACTTCCCGGGTTCAAACAATTCTCCTGTCTCAGCCTCCTGAGTAGCTGAGACTACAGGTACACGCCACCATGCCCAGCTAATTTTTGTATTTTTAGTAGGGCCAGGGTTTCACCTTGTTGGCCAGGATGGTCTTGATCTCTTGACCTCGTGATCTGCCCACCTCGGCCTTCCAAAGTGCTGGGATTATAGGTGTAAGCCACTGTGCCAGGCCGAGAAATAGAAATTTTAAGGCCTTTTAGTTCATGTGACTTCAGTGATCTTTGGTAAATAAAGATGGTTTTAAAGATTATTAATAAAATCAAATAACATCTTCAAAATGTATGCATTTGGTCTAAATTAGTCAAAGGTTTTGCAAGGCTACATCAAGGATGCAGTTATATTATTGGGCCTAAGCCATAGGGTGAAAGATATGGCCCAGGTAGAGAGTGAGAGTGAAAAGAGGTCAGAACCTTGGGGACATCATCACTTAAGGAAGAGGAGCTTCCCAGGGACAATGAGGACCACTACATGGGAGGCAGGATGCTTCAAGGCACAGAATAGTTTGAATCATAAAAGGCTTCCTACCTCCAGGAAAAGGGAAGAGCAGTGTAGTTAATATTTAGATTTACTTTGCATTGCATTTAATGGAAAATAAAGGGGAAAAAAATGTATCTTGTTAGTCCTATATCATCTGTGCTGTGGTTAGAAAGATTAAAATGATAAGTCTTTTCAAGAAGTGGGGGGATAGCCCTAATTTTGGCAGGCCATAAGACATGTAGTGTCTTCTAGAACTAGGGGAAGAATTAAGGCCAACCAGCATCAAGAAAAATAAGCACCTTGTTTACTGGGTTTAGTATCTGAGTCGTTTTGATGCTTTAGTTGGAATAGAAACCAAATTGAAAAGTGCAATCGATGGCGAGGAAGTAAAGAGTATGGACATGATTCCTCTGAAAAGCTTGGTTATAAAGAAAAGGTGCAGGCCGGGTGTGGTGGCTCACGTCTGTAATCCCAGCATTTTGGGAGGCTGAGGTGGGTGGATCAACGAGGGCAGGAGTTTCAGACCAGCCTGACCAACATGGTGAATCCCCGTCTCTACTAAAAATACAAAAAATTAGCTGGGCATGGTGGCACGTGCCTATAATTCTAGCTACTCAGTAGGCTGAGGCAGGAGAATTGCTTGATTCTGAGAGGCGGAGGTTGCGGTGAGCTTAGATCGCACCATTGCACTCCAGCCTGGGTGACAGAGCAAGACTCTGTCTCCAAAAAAAAAAAAAAAAAAAAAAAAAGGTGAGAATAATAGGATATTTTGAAAGTTTTTTTTTTCTTTTTTGAAGATTGGAGAGTCTTGACTGCATTCATATGTGTTTGAGGGGTAAGGTATGGGCATGGGAAATAGGAAAGAGGTTGAAGATGAAGTATGGACTTCTGGGAGACAGGAGATGATGGAATCTAGAGCAGGATACTCAAAGGATGATCCGCAAATGGGTGGCACTGGCATCACCTGGAAGCTTGTTAGCAATACAAAATTGTTAGACTTCATCACAGATACAGTGAATTAGAATCTGTGGGTGTAGGGCTTTAGCAATCACCAGGTGATTTGGATACATGCTCAAGTTTGAAAATCACTTGGCTAGAGCACAGGTGAAGGGAAAAACTTTGTATGGAAGCAGGAATGCTACTTCCACTGAGATATGAGAGAAGGATGTGAGGATAGATCTCTGGGGCAATTAATAGAGTTGTGAGTAATTTAATTTTCTCTGTGTGTGTGTGTGTGTGAGAAATATTCAAAATAATAATGTCTTTTCAAGAGGTGGGGGGGATGGCCCTAATTGCGGCAGGCCATAAGACACGTAGTGTCTTCTAGAACTAGGGAAAGAATTAAGGCCAACAGCATCAAGAAAAATAAGAACTTTGTTTACTGGGTTTAGTACCTGAGTTATAATACAAAATTGTTAGACTTTATCCCAGATACAGTGAATTAGTATCTGTGAGAGTGGGGCTTTAGGAATGTACCAGGTGATTTTGATGCATGCTTAAGTTTGAGAATCACTTGGCTAGAGCACAGGTGAAGGGAGAAAATTTGTATGGAAAATCTGTATGGAAGCAGGAATGCCACTTCCACTGAGATATGAGATAAGAATGTAAGGTATGATCCTCTGCTGAGAATGAGGACTAGGAAGTGGTTTAAGAATATGCCTGAAGGTCTGCAAAAGCTGCCTTGGTCAATAGAAGGACATGCTTAAGTGAGCATGTTGGAGGCTCAGAGGAACATGGAGCTGAAGAATTGGGAGTCCAACATGCAGACTTTTTAATCTTCTGACAACTGAGAGGGCAGAGTTAATTTGATCTAGTAAGGGGATGTTTGAATTGTGGGTGCAACTGAATTGACTGATCATGGTTTAGGCTAGAAAGTTTCAGGTAATGTAGTCGGTAAGGGAAGGAAGCTGACTGACTGGAAACAAAAGGGGGAAGTGCCTGAAGGTACTAGTGAGGTCAAAGAAGAAAGGCAGTGGGAACTCTAGAGCACTAGAGCTGCAAAGATATTGGGTTTTGGTTAGAGAGTGAGATGCTGATGTGTAAGGTTTCAGAAGGGACCTCTTAGTCTCATTAAAATGCAAAGAAAGTATCCAGTAACAAAGGCAGAGTTCAAAACAAGGAAGAACTTGGAAGAACAGAGACAATTCAGAAGAGACTTTAAAACACAACTATAATCAATGAGAAATAAAAGCAGGTATCACATCTATGAAAGAACAAGATACTTAAACAAGGGAAGGATTAACAAGTAAACAGCTCCTGAAAACTTAAAATATGAGAGCTCAGAATAAGTATTTAATAAAGGTTTGGGAAGGTAAAGGAGAAGAAATATCCCAGCAAGTATAACAAAAACATAAAAACATAGGCAATAGGAAAAGCAAAGATGTGAAAATAGAGGATTGAGTTTATATCAGTTACTTCATTAAACTTTCCTATTATTTATAGTAATTTGTCTTTAGATTAATTTGTCTTTAGATTCTATGGTGTAATCATGTCCTCTGTAAATGTTGACAGTTTTATGTCTTCCTTTCCAATCTTTTGGTTTCTTTTTCTTATCTCATTATGCTGGTAATGACCAAAATACAATGTTGAATAAAAGTGATGATAGTAGTCTCCTTGTCTTCATAATTTTAATGAGAATGCATCCCAACTTTCTCTTTTTGGAAGATGTGTTTCAGAATAAAAAAAAATAGATACCCTTTATCAGGTTAAAGAAGTTCTCTTCTATTCCTGGTTTGTTTATTTATTTATATTATTTATTTATTTGAGATGGAGTTTTGCTCTTGTTGCCTAGGCTGGAGTGCAATGGCATGATCTCGGCTCACTGCAACGTCTGCCTGCTGGGTTCAAGAGATTCTCCTGCCTCAGCCTCCCAAGTAGCTGGGATTACGGGCAGGCATCACCATACCCAGCTAATTTTGTATTTTTAGTAGAGATGGGGGTTTCACCATGTTGGCCAGGCTGATCTTGAACTCCTGACCTCCGGTGATCAGCCCACCTCAGCCTCCCAAAGTGCTGGGATTGCAGGTGTGAGCCACTGCACCTGGCCTTATTCCTGGTTTATTAATTGTTTTTTTCTTTAAGCCAGGGATGAGCAAACTACCACCCAATGGGCCAAATCCAGTCTGCAACTTGTTTTTTTTTTGTATAGCCCATGAGCTAAGAATGATTTTTACATTTCATGTAAAATGTCACATAATATTTTGTGACATGTGAAAATTATATGAAATTCAAATTTAAGTCTCCATAAGTAAAGCTTTATTGGAACATAGCCATGTTCTTCATTCATTTATGTATTGTCTATGACTGCTTTTGTGCTATAAAGGCAGAGGTGAGTAGTTGTGATGGAGCCCATAGGGACCTACAAAGCCAAAGTAAACATTTGGCCCTTTATAGAAAAAGTTTACTGATTCTTGTTTTAAGTCAAAAATGGTATTGGGGGAAAGTTAGGTTCATGGATGTGCAGACCAAGAATAAGGGAAAGATCTCAGCCCTAACTCCTTCTTATACAGATTTTCAATAGGTCCATCTTTTTCAGGTTTACCCTCTTACCCTAGACTTTCTTAGTTTTTAGCTTTCCATTTCTAGAGATTTAGGGCTCTGTCTAAACAGTGGTTTTCCTTCTGTGTAGCATTTCTTTGGATGCACAATAGGTTCCACTTTCATCAGCTCCGCTTTTCACCAGTTTTCCAGAAAAGCATTACAGTCTGTTGCTGTTCCCTGTTCCCCTTGTCTGCCTGATTATTTATTTTCAGAGTCATTTTAGCAGTGTTTGGGGAGGGAGTTATACCTTTTATTCCTCAGGTATCACCACTCTTCTCTTCCTACCGCGAAACAGCACAGTGAAAGGGAGGAGATGGAGTGAAGAGACCGAGGGCAGGGAGAGGGAGGGGGGTGTGACGGGGTGGGGAAGTGAGGAGGAAGAGGGGGAAGAGCTACTGGGGAGGAGGAAGATGGGGGAGGAAGAGGATGATGGGGTGGGGTGGTTCAGGGAGTGAATAGGCCGGGTTGGGTGAGATGAGGCTGGGTGTATGTGCTTGAGGAGTCCGGGAGTGCGGAGGGGCAGAAAGGTAGACAGTGCGTGCGGGAAGAGGGGATGGGGGTGGGGAGGCGAGGGCGGTCAGTGGGTTGAGAGGAGTGGGGAGAAGATTTAGGGCGAGAGAGGTGCCATCGTGCTGGGGAAGGCGGGACTAGGAGAGGTAAAAGAATGGGGAGAGAAATGGGAGGGAGAGAAGGAAGCTGAGGGAGATTTGAGGAGAGAAGGCGCTTGAGGGGGAACCAGGAGGGGAGAAGGCTTGTGAGGGGGAAATGTGAGAGGAGAAGGGGCGCGAGGGGGAACCGCGAGGGGAGAAGGGGCGCGAGGGGGAACAGCGAGGGGAGAAGGGGTCCCGCCTCCTGGCCGCGCCGCCCTAGGTGTCGCCGCCTGGCGGTTACGAGGAGGCCGCCTCCTGCTTGCCGGCCTGGCGGTCCTACTCAACACCGCAAGATTTCAAAAGGGAAATTCCTCCAGGGCTGAGTCACAGGGAAGAAAGCGATTTCCTCCGCCTCTTCCAAAGCGGTAGGTTTCCTTCCTCCGCCTGCCTCTTAAATAACGTGGTATCTCGCAGTTTGGCTGAAACCTGAACTAAATGCAATGCTTTTTTGACTTTTACTTTCTCCCAGAACAACAGTTGTGATATGATCTGTTTTGGGGCCCTTCCTGCGCTCCGCCCTGGGCCAGAGTATGTAAAGCTCGTGGGTCTCTGTGTGTGTCTGAGCAGCTGCTCTGCCAAGACTCCACACAGCTGTGTGTGTGTCGGACCCAAGGCCTTGGTGGCATGGGCTCATGAGGGAATCTCCTGATCCACCAGTCGCAAAGATCCATGGGAGAAGCATGGTTTCCTGAGGTCGCACCATCACTCACTTCTTCCCTTGGCTGGGAGTGGGGGTTCCTTTGGCTCTGTGTCGCTCCCAGGGGGGCTGTCGCCCCATCCAGCTTTTCTTTGTTCTCTGTGGGTCGAGTTGTTTTCCTGATGAGTCCCAATGCAAGTACCTGGATATTTCAGTTGAAGATGCTGTATTCACTTGCCTCTTTTGTTCCTCTCTGTGAGTGCTGTGGACCATAGCTGTTTCTAATCAGCCATCTTGGCCTGGCAATCTACAGTAGTAAATGTTAACATTGGATAGTGTGATTCTTCCTACTTTACTATTCTTTTTAAATATTGTTTTAGCAATTTTTGTTCTTTTGACTTTACATATAGATTTTAGGACCAGTTTGTCTATATCTACAAAAGGAAGCTTTTGATAGGAAATGTGTTAAACCTATAGACCGATTTGAAGAGAATTGACATCTTTGTTGTCTTCCAGTTAAATGACACTGCATGTCTCTCCGTTTGTTTAGATCTATTTTTATTTTTTCATCAGCATTTTGTAGTTTTCAGCCTGCTGATTCTGTACATATTTTGTTAGATTTATACTTAAATATTTAATTTTCTTTGGAGTGGTTGTAAATAGTACTGTGCTTCAGTTTTGGCTTCCTACTTTTTATTGCTAGCATAGAGGAATACAATTGATTACTATTCTGTAACATTGCTAAAAATGTGTTTGAAGTTTCCTCGGAGTATTATCTCTGGATATAAGCTTCTGGGCTGATAGGTCTTATTTTTTAGCAGTTGAAAAATGTTGTGCTACTTTCTTCCTGTTTTGGGTTTTTTGGTGAGAAATCCACTGTAATTCTAATTGTTGTTCTCCTATAAATAATGCTTTTTCTTTCAGAATGTTTTCAAGATTTTTTTAAGTTTTCAGAAATTTGATTATGATGTATCTGAGCATAGATTTCTTTGAGTTTATTATATTAGAAGTTGCTTTAGCTTTTTGAATTACACATTTATGTCTTTCATTAAGTTTGAGAAGTCTTCAATCATTATTTTGTTAAAAAGTTTTTTCAGACCAGCCTGGGCAACATGACAAAACACTGTCTCTACAAAAAAAATAAAAAAAATTAGCTGGTCATGGTGGCATGTGTCAGTGGTCCCAGCTACTCGGGAGGCTAAGGCAGGAGGATCACCTAAGCCTGGGAGTTTGAGGCTGCAGTGAGCTGTGATCATGCCACCGCACTCCAGCCTGTGTAACAGAGTGAGAGCCTGTCTCAATTTTTTTTTTTTTTTAGCACCCTATGCCGTCTCCTTCTGTAATTCCAGTCACAGGAATGTTAGAGACTTTGTTATTGTCCCACAGATACTTGTTGCTCTGTTCGTTTTTTCTTTTCTTTCTTTTTTTTTTTTTATTATACTTTAAGTTCTGGGTTACATGTGCAGAATGTACATTTTTCTTACATAGGTATACATGTGCCCTGGTGGTTTGTTGCACCCATCAACCTGTCACCTATATTAGGTATTTCTCCTAATGTTATCCCTCCCCTAACTCCCCACTCTCTGACAGGCCCCGGTGTGTGATGTTCCCCTCCCTGTGTCCGTATGTTCTCATTGTTCAACTCCCACTTATAAGCAAGAACATGCGGTGTTTGGTTTTCTGATCTTGTGATAGTTTGCTGAAAATGATGGTTTCCAGCTTTATCCATGTTCCTGCAAAGGACACAAACTCATCCTTTTTTATGGCTGCATAGTATTCCATGATATATACGTGCCACATTTTCTAAATCCAGTCTATCATTGATGGACATTTGGGTTGGTTCCAAGTCTTTGCTACTGTGAATAGTGCCACAATAAACATGTGTGCATGTGTCTTTACTATAGAATGATTTATAATCATTTGGGTATATGCCCAGTATTGGGATTGCTGGGTCAAATGGTATTTCCAGTTCTAGATCCTTGAGGAATCGCCACACTGTCTTCCACAGTGGTTGAACTAATTTACACTCCCACCAACAGTGTAAAAGCATTCCTATTTTTCCACAACCTCTCCAGCACCTGTTGTTTCCTGACTTTTTAATGATCGCCATTCTAACTGGTGTGAGATGGAATCTCATTGTGGTTTTGATTTGCATTTCTCTGGTGACCAGTGATGATGAGCATTTTTTTCATATGTCTGTTGGCTGCATAAATGTCTTCTTTTGAGAAGTGTCTGTTCATATCCTTTGCCCACTTTTTGATGGGTTTTTTCTTGTAAATTTAAGTTCTTTGTAGATTCTGGATATTAGCCCTTTGTCACATGGATAGACTGCAAAAATTTTCTCCCATTCTGTAGGTTGCCTGTTCACTCTGATGATACTTTCTTTTGCTGTGCAGAAGCTCTTTAGTTTAATTAGATCCCGTTTGTCAATTTTGGCTTTTGTTGCCATTGCTTTTAGTGTTTTGGACATGAAGTCTTTGCCCATGCCTCTGTCCTGAATGGTATTGCCCAGATTTTCTTCTAGGAGTTTTATGGTCCTAAGTCTTATGTTGAAGTTTTTGATCCATTTTGAGTTGATTTTTGTAAAAGGTGTAAGGAAGGGGCCCAGTTTCAGTTTTCTGCATATGGCTAGCCAGTTTTCCCAACACCATTTACTAAATTGGGAATCTTTTCCCCATTGCTTGTGTGTGTCAGGTTTGTCAAAGATCAGATGGTTGTAGCTGTGTGGTGTTATTTCTGACGCCTCCGTTCTGTTCCATTGGTCTATATATCTGTTTTGGTACCAGTACTATGCTGTTTTGGGTACTGTAGTCTTGTAGTATAGTTTGAAATCAGGTAGCATGATACCTCTAGCTTTGTTCTTCTTGCCCAGGATTGTCTTGGCTACGCAGGCTCTTTTTTGGTTCCATATGAAGTTTAAAGTAGTTTTTTTCCAATTCTGTGAAGAAAGTCAGTGGTAGCTTCATGGGAATAGCATTGAATTTATAAATTACTTTGGGCTGTGTAGCCATTTTCATGATATTGATTCTTCCTATCCATGAACATGGAATGTTTTTCCATTTGTTTGTGTCCTCTCTTATTTCCTTGAGCAGTGGTTTGTAGTTCTACTTGAAGAGGTCCTTCACATCCCTTGTAAGTTGTATTCCTAGGTATTTTATTCTCTTAGTAGCAATTGTGAATGGGAGTTCACTCATGATTTGGCTCTCTGTCTATTATTGGTGTACAGGAATGCTTGTGATTTTTGCACATTGATTTTGTATCCTGAGACTTTGCTGAAGTTGCTTATCAGCTTAAGGAGGTTTTGGGCTGAGACGATGGGGTTTTCTAAATATACAATCATGTCTTCTGCAAACAGAGAAAATTTGATTTCCTCTCTTCCTATTTGAATACTCTTTATTGCTTTCTCTTGCCTGATTGCCCTGGCCAGAACTTCCAATACTATGTTGAATAGGAGTGGTGAGAGAGGGCATCTTTGTCTTGTGCCGGTTTTCAAAGGGAATGCTTCCAGTTTTTGCCCATTCAGTATGATATTGGCTGTGGGTTTGTCATAAATAGCTCTTGTTATTTTGAGATATGTTCCGTCGATACCTAGTTTATTGAGAGTTTTTGGCATGAAGGGGTGTTGAATTTTATCAAAGGCCTTTTCCGTATCTATTGAGATAATCATGTGGTTTTTGTTATTGGTTCTGTTTATGTGATGGATTACATTTATTGATTTGCGTATGTTGAACCAGCCTCGCATCCCAGGGATGAAGCCAACTTGATCGTGGTAGATAAGCTTTTTTATGTGCTGCTGCATTCGGTTTGCCAGTATTTTATTGAGGATTTTCACATTGATGTTCATCAGGGATATTGGCCTGAAATTTTCCTTTTTTGTTGTGTCTCTGCCAGGTTTTGGTATCAGGATGATGCTGGCCTCATAAAATGAGTTAGGGAGGAGTCCCTATTTTTCTATTGTTTGGAATAGTTTCAGAAGGTATGGTACCAGTTCCTCTTTGTACCTCTGGTAGAATTCGCCTGTGAATCCATCTGCTCCTGGGGTTTTTTTTGGGGTAGTAGGCTATTAATTACTGCCTCAATTTCAGAAATTGTTATTGCTTTATTCAGGGATTCGACTTCTTCCTGGCTTAGACTTGGGAGGGTGTATGTGTCCAGGAATTTATCCATTTCTTCTAGATTTTCTAGTTTATTTGCATAGAGGTGTTTATAGTATTCTCTGATGGTAGTTTGTATTTGTATGGGATCAGTGGTGATATCCCCTATATCATTTTTTATTGCATCTATTTGATTCTTCTCTCTTTTCTTCTTTATTAGTCTGGCTAGTGGTCTATTTTGTTGATTTTTTCAAAAAATCAGCTCCTGGATTCATTGATATTTTTGAAGGGTTTTTTGTGTCTCTATCTCCTTCAGTTCTGCTCTGATCTTAGTTATTTCATGTCTTCTGCTAGCTTTTGAATTTATTTGCTGTTGCTTCTCTAGTTCTTTTAATTTCGATGTTAGGGCATCAATTTTAGAACTTTCCTGATTTCTCTTGTGGGCATTTAGTGCTATAAATTTCCCTCTAAACACCGCTTTAAATGTGTCCCAGAGATTCTGGTACATTGTGTCTTCATTTTCATTGGTTTCAAAGAACATTTTTAGTTCTGCCTTCATTTCATTATTTACCCAGTAGTCATTCAGGAACAGGTTGTTCAGTTTCCATTTATTTGTGCAGTTTTGAGTGAGTTTCTTAATCCTGAATTCTAATTTGGTTGCACTGTGGTCTGAGAGACTGTTTGTTATGGTTTCCATTATTTCGCATTTGCTGAGGAGTGTTTTACTTCTGATTATGTGGTCAATTTTAGAATAAGTGCAATGAGGTGCTGAGAAGAATGTATAGTCTGTTGATTTGAGGTGGGGAGTTCTGTAGATGTCTGTTAGGTCTGCTTGGTCCAGAGCTGAGTTCAAGTCCTGAATATCTTTATTTTCTGTCTCATTGATCTGTCTAATATTGACAGTGGGGTGTTAAAGTCTCCCACTATTATTGTTTGGGAGTCTGGGTCTCTAAGAACTTGCTTTATGAATCTGGGTGCTCCTGTATTGGGTGCATATATATTTAGGATAGTTAGCTCTTCTTGCTGCATTGTTCCCTTTACCATTATGTAATGCCCTTCTTTGTCTCTTTTGATTTTTATTGATTTAAAGTCTGTTTTATCAGAGATTAGGATTGCAACTCCTGCTTTTTTTTTGCTTTCCATTTGCTTGGTAAATATTCCCCCATCCCTTTATTTTGAGCCTATGTTTGTCTTTGCACATGAGATGGGTCTTCTGAATACAGCATACTGATGGGTCTTGACTCTTTATCCAATTTGCCAGTCTGTGTCTTTTAATTGGGGCATTTAGCCCATTTACATTAAGGTTAATATTGTTATGTGTGAATTTGATCCTGTCATTATGATGCTAGCTGGTTGTTTCGCCCATTAGTTAATGCAGTTTCTTCATTGTGTCAATGTTCTTTACAATTTGGTATGTTTTTGCAGTGGCTGGTACCAGTTGTTCCTTTCCATGTTTAGTGCTTCCCTCTGGAGCTCTCGTAAGGCAGGTCTGGTGGTGACAAAATCCCTCAGCATTTGCTTGTCTGTAAAGGATTTTATTTCTCCTTCCCTTATGAAGCTTAGTGTGGCTGGATATGAAATTCTGGGTTGAAAATTCTTTTCTTTCAGAACGTTGGATATTGGCCCCCACTCTCTTCTGTCTTATAGGGTTTCTGCAGAGAGTTCGGCTGATAGTCTGATGAGCTTCCCTTTGTGGGTAACCCGACCTTTCTCTCTGGCTGCCCTTAACATTTTCTCTTTCATTTCAACCTTGGTGAATCCGATGATTATGTGTCTTGGGGTTGCTCGTCTTGAGGATTATCTTTGTGGTGTTCTCTGTATTTCCTGAATTTGAATGTTGGCCTGTGTTGCTAAGTTGGAGAAGTTCTCCTGGATAATATCCTGAAGAGTGTTTTCCAACTTGATTCCATTCTCCCCGTCACTTTGAGGTACACCAATCAAACGTAGATTTGGTCTTTTCACATAGTCCCATGTTTCTTTTTTTTTTTTTGAGATGGAGTCTCGCTCTGTCACCGAGGTTGGAGTGCAGTGGTGTGATCTCGGCTCACTGCAAGCTCCACCTTCTGGGTTCATGCCATTCTCCTGCCTCAGCCTCCCAAATAGCTGGGACTACAGGCGCCCACCCCCACGCCCAGCTAATTTTTTGTATTTTTAGTAGAGACGGGGTTTCACCATGTTAGCCAGGATGGTCTCGATCTCCTGACCTCGTGATCCACCCACCTCAGCCTCCCAAAGTGCTGGGATTACAGGTGTGACCCACCGCGCCCCGGCAAGTCCCATATTTCTTGGAGGCTTTGTTCGTTCCTTTTTATTCTTTTTTATCTAATCTTGTCTTCTCTCTTTATTTCATTAAGTTGATCATTAAGTTGATCTTCAATCACTGCTTCATCAGTTTGGCTATTGATACTTGTGTATTCTTCATGAAGTTTTTGTGCTTTGTTTTTCAGCTCCATTAGGTCATTTATGTTCTTCTCTACATTGGTTATTCTAGTTAATTCGATTAACCTTTTTTTAAGGTTTTTAGCTTCTTTGCATTGGCTTAGAACATGCTTCTTGAGCTTGTAGTTTTTTGTTATTACCCACCTTCTGAAGCCTACTTCTGTCAGTTCATCAAACTCATTCTCTGTCCAGTTTTGTTCCCTTGCTGGCGAAGAGTTGTGATCATTTGGAGGAGGAGAGGCATTCTGGTTTTTGGAATTTTCAACCTTTTCATGCTACTTTTTTCCCATCTTTGTGGATTTATCTACCTTTGGTCTTTGATGTTGGTGACCTTCGGATGGGGTCTTTGAGTGGACGTGCTAATCCTTTCTGTTTCTTTTCCTTCTAACAGGCCCCTTTGGTGCCAGTCTGCTGGAGTTTGCTGGAGGTCCACTCCTGACCCTGTTTGCCTGGGTATCACCAGCAGAGGCTGCAAAGCAGCAAAGATTGCTGCCTGTTCTTTCTTCTAGAAGCTTCGACCCAGTGGGGCACCTGTCAGATGCCAGCCAGAGCTCTCCTGTATCAGGTGTCTGTCGGTCCAAGCTAGAAGGTATCTCCCAGTCAGTATACATGGGGATCAGGGACCCACTTGAGGAGGCAGACTGACCCTTAGCAGAGCTTCAATACCATGCTGGGAGGTCCACTGCTCTCTTCAGAGCCATCAGGCAGGGACGTTTAAGTCTGCTATAAGCCCCCGACTGGGGTTGCTGCCTTTTTTACAGAGATGCCCTGTCCAGAGAGGAGCAATCTGGCAGTCTGGCCACAGCAGCCTTGCTGAGCTGCAGTGAGCTCTGCCCAGTTTGAACTTCCCAGCAGCTTTGTTTATACTGTGGCCATAAAACCATCTACTCAAGCCTCAGCAATGGTGGACGTCTCTTCCACCACCAAGCTCAATCATCCCAGGTGAATCTCAGATTGCTGCTGTGCTGGCAGCAAGAATTTCAAGCCAGTGGATCTTAGTTTCCTGGGCTCCATGGGCGTGGGACCAGCCAAGCCAGACCACTTGGCTCCCTGGCTTCAGCCCCTCTTTCCAGGGGAGTGAACGGTTCTGTCTCGCTGGTGTTCCAGGCGCCACTGGGGTATGGAAAAAAGAAAAAAAGCTCCTACAGCTAGTTCAGTGTCTGCCCAATTGGCCACCCAGTTTTGTGCTTGAAACCCAGGGCCCTGGTGGGGTAGTCACTGGAGGGAATCTCCTGGTTTGTGGGTTTCGAAGACTGTGGGACAAGTGCAGTATCTGTGCTGGAGTTCCTCAGGCTCAGACCCTCATGGCTTCCCTTGGGTAGAGGGGAAAATTCCCCGACCCCTTGCACTTCCCAGGTGAGGTGATGCCCCACCCTGCTTCGGCTTGCCCTCCGTGGGCTGCACCCACTGTCCAACCAGTCCCAGTGAGATGAACCGTGTGCCTCAGTTGGAAATGCAGAAATCACCCACCTTCTGCCTCGATCTCGCTGGGAGCTGCAGACTGGTGCTGTTCCTATTCGGCCATCTTGAATCTTGCCTGTTCATTTTTAATTTTTTCTTTCAGTGTATTTTCCTCTCAGTTCAGGCTGGAAAATTTCAATTGCTCTATCTTTGAGTTCACTGATTGTTTCTTTTGTCATATTCATTCTGTTATTGAATCCATCCAGTGAGTTTTCATTTTGGTTATTTTATTTTCCAGCTATAAAATTTCCATTTGCTTCTTTCTTTCTTTTTTTTTTTAGAAATGTTCATCTTTTTATTTTAAGTTCCGGGGTACATATACAGGATGTGCAGGTTTGTTACATAGGTAAACATGTGCCATGGGTAGTGTTCATCTATAGCTCTATCAATGCTTCTTGTCTTTAAGTCTACCTTGTTTGAGAGCTATGTCAGCATTCTTTTTTTTTTTAATTATACTTTAAGTTCTAGGATATATATGCACAATGTGCAGGTTAGTTACATGTCTATACATGTGCCATGTTGGTGTGCTGCACCCATTAACTCGTCATTTAACATTAGGTATATCTCCTAATGCTATCCCTCCCCCCTCCGCCAACCCCACAACAGGCCCTGGTGTGTGATGTTCCCTTTCCTGTGTCCATGTGTTCTCATTGTTCAATTCCCATCTATGAGTGAGAACATGTGGTGTTTGGTTTTTTGTCCTTGCGATAGTTTGCTGAGAATGATGGTTTCCAGCTTCATCCATGTCCCTACAAAGGACATGAACTCATCATTTTTTATGGCTGCATAGTATTCCATGGTGTATATGTGCCACATTTTCTTAATCCAGTCTATCATTGTTGGACATTTGGGTTGGTTCCAAGTCTTTGCTATTGTGAATAGTGCCACAATAAACATACGTGTGCATGTGTCTTTATAGCAGCACGTTTTATAATCCTTTGGGTATATATCCAGTAATGGGATGGCTGGGTCAAATGGTATTTCTAGTTCTAGATCCCTGAGGAATCGCCACACTGACTTCCACAATGGTTGAGCTAGTTTACAGTCCCACCAACAGTGTAAAAGTGTTCCTATTTCTCCACATCCTCTCCAGCACCTGTTGTTTCCTGACTTTTTAATGATTGCCATTCTAACTAGTGTGAGATGGAATCTCATTGTGGTTTTGATTTGCATTTCTCCGATGGCCAGTGATGATGAGCATTTTTTCATGTGTCTTTTGGCTGTGTAAATGTCTTCTTTTGAGAAGTGTCTGTTCATATCCTTCGCCCACTTGTTGATGGGGTTGTTTGTTTTTTTCTTGTAAATTTGTTTGAGTTCATTGTAGATTCTGGATATTAGCCCTTTGTCAGATGAGTAGATGCAAAAATTTTCTCCCATTCTGTAGGTTGCCTGTTCACTCTGATGGTAGTTTCTTTTGCTGTGCAGAAGCTCTTTAGTTTAATTAGATCCCATTTGTCAATTTTGGCATTTGTTGCCATTGCTTTTGGTGTTTTAGACATGAAGTCCTTGCCCATGCCTATGTCCTGAATGGTGTTGCCTAGGTTTTCTTCTAGGGTTTTTATGGTTTTAGGTCTAACATTTAAGAGGATACAAACAAATGGAAGAACATTCCATGCTCATGGGTAGGAAGAATCAATATCGTGAAAATGGCCATACTGCCCAAGGTAATTTATAGATTCAATGCCATCCCCATCAAGCTACCAATGACTTTCTTCACAGAATTGGAAAAAACTACTTTAAAGTTCATATGGAACCAAAAAAGAGCCCACATTGCCAAGTCAGTCCTAAGCCAAAAGAACAAAGCTGGAGGCATCACGCTACCTGACTTCAAACTATACTACAAGGCTACAGTAACCAAAACAGCATGGTACTGGTACCAAAACAGAGATATAGACCCTCAGAAATAATGCCACATATCTACAACTATCTGATCTTTGACAAACCTGACAAAAACAAGAAATGGGGAAAGGATTCCCTATTTAGTAAATGGTGCTGGGAAAAGTGGCTAGCCATATGTAGAAAGCTGAAAATGGATCCCTTCCTTACACCTTATACAAAGATTAATTCAAGATGGATTAAAGACTTAAATGCTTCTTTCTTATATTTTATATTTGTTGCTAAGATGTTCCATTAAAAATAATTTCGAAGTTATTCATAATTGCTTGTTGGAACATTTTTTATGATAGCTGCTGCAAAATACTTGTGAGATAATTGCAATACCTGTGTCATCTTGGTGTTGACACTGTTTGAATTTTCTTATTTAGATTTTTGTGGTTCTTGATAATGACAGGTGATTTTTTGTTTATATGTTGGACATTTTGAATATGGTGCATTGAGGCCTGGTTTCTATTTAATGTTTCTGTTTTAGTAGGCAGTCAACTTGTTTAGGTTCAGAACACATGTCTTGACCCATGTTTATGGGCCATGATGCAAATGTTAATTTAGTGTTCAAAGTCTTTATGGTGCTATTCTGGCTTGTCCTACTTGTGTGCTACTTAGAGGTCAATCTGAAGCCTGGTGATGTTTCACATCACTGTTAAGTTCTCAGGTTTTGTGGATGTCATTTCTGATCAGTTTTTAAAATTTTTTTAAAATTATTTATTTATTTTTGAGACAGAGTCTTGCTCTGTTGCCCAGACTGGAGTGCAGTGGCACGATCTTGGCTCACTGCAACCTCTGCCTCCTGGATTCAAGTGATTTTGCTTCCTCAGCCTCCCGAGTAGCTGGGACTACAGGTGCGCACCACCACACCTGGCTAATTTTTGTATTTTTAGTAGAGATGGGGTTTCACCATGTTAGCCAGGATGGTCTTGATCTCCTGACCTCGTGATCCACCTGCCTTGGCCTCCCAAAGTGCTGGGATTACAGGCATGAGCCACCACGCCCGGCCTATTTATTTATTTATTTATTTATTTTGAGACTGAGTGCAAAAGTGTGTCACCCAGGTTGGAGTGCAATGGCGCTATATCGGCTCACTGCAACCTCCACCTTCTGGATTCAAGTGATTCTCATGCCTCAGCCTCCGAAGTAGCTGGGACTACAGGTGTGTGCCACCACGCCCAGCCTCTGATTAGTTTCTTACATGTACTGCTCACAAGAATTTCATACACAGATTCAGAATATTCCTTTCTCTTTTTTCTGTAATCTTACCAGCCCCACATACTTTAGTTGGGATAGAGAAGAAACTGCCTTGTGATTGCAGGGCAGGGGTTCTGCACCCTGTCTCTACAGCTGCTGCACCAGATACCTTTTGATTCAGAAATTACTTTTTTGGAAATTTAACTTCAGGAAAAATTTAGATAAATGTGTAAAGAGACATACATTTACTGTAGTGTTGGTTTAAATGAAAAGATAAAGTCCACCTACAGGGGAGTGTTTAAATAAATTATGCACTGATTAAATATTATATAGATACATATTATTATGGAAAAATTTTCATGGTATATTGAGTGAAAAGATGCAGGTATGTAAGTTTGAAATCTACTTGGAAAAATGAAGTATCTATCTGTATGTATACTCAGGCATTGAAGAAAGTTAATGATTTAACTTAAATGTTAATAGCAGAGTCATTTTAAGGGATGAGGATGGTTATAGTAATTTTCACTTCCCTCTTTTTTTTTTTTACATTTTTTAGTATTGTATGTTTTTAAATGACCATGCCTTGCTTTGTATTCAAAATAAATTACAAACTCTAATTTGAACAAATCAGATCTAGTCACTTATCTGATGACCAGTACAGTTTTAATCTTAATAAGTCTTCTATTGCCAGTCATTTGATTCTTGTATCTTATGCTGTCCTGCCTGAGAGTAGTCCTACCAAAACCAGTTTTATCTGAGGTTTTTCTTTTCCCTTTTTTTTTTTTTTTTAGAATTGCTTTCCTGTAGAGGAGAAGGATTGAGACATGACCTTTGGTGAAACTGAAGGTATAACTTGAATAATATTCGTTAATCTGGGGAGAATAAAATTTTGAAAGAAGAAATTTAATTTTGATGCTCTTCTTTAAAACCAAGGGCTCCACATTGTCTGTAAGATAAATAATTAAAGCTTTATTTACTATGGCATTCAAGGGACTTCTCAATTGGGCCCCAATCTACTTTTCTGATATCATTTCTGATACTACTTTTCACTTATAGTCCAGCAAGGCCTGTCCACTCACTCTCGTTAGACCCTTCATGCTGTCCTACCTCTGGGCATTGGCTCATATTCACTCCTTGGAATAGACTTGATTTCACCTTTTAAAATCCACTTTTATTTGCTTCATCTAACTTATGACTTCTTCAAAGCAGATCAAATATCATCTTTTTGTGAAGTATCCCAGCACTCTATTAGGGTGAAATTATCATTCCTCCTGTAATATTTTGTTCCTAAGCTGTTTGTTACTGTATATGATAGTTGTTTACTTTTTTCCTCTTAAGACTGAGATTCTTTCAGTAATTTTTGAATGATTTTCATGAACCAGCTAAGCTTAACTCTGGAGAAACAAAGACGAAAAACATCTGGTTTCTCACCTCCAGGTGCACAGAATCTAGTAAAGCGGGTAAACGTATAAACAGAGAATAATTGAGGTATATAAAAGTGGTTTGGGAACTGTGTTGAGGGCAGTCTCCCTTAGTAGGTGTTTAGGAAGACTTTACAAATGAGATGACATTTGACCTGAATCGCAAATAAGTAGGAGCTTGTCGGATGGATAAAAGGTAGAATGTGAGTCCTTTTAACACCTAGTCAAAAGTGATTGGATGGTGGTTAGTTTTAATGTAATTTTTCTTATTTAGTGTATGAAGATGTCCATAAGTTACAAAGCAGTGTGGTTTCATCAGAATTGCCACTGGACCACAGGGTACTTCATATGATAAAGAAGATGTTTCTTTCCACAGTCATTCAGTCCACCATTGAATAGATCTGAAAGGTGTAAAGTTCACTGATATGCATCTGATTTCTTTTTTTCTTTTTTTTTTTTGAGACAGAGTCTTGCTCTGTCACCCAGGCTGGAGTGCAGTGGTGTGGTCTCGACTCACTGCAAGCTCCACCTCCCAGGCTCACGCCATTCTCCTGCCTCAGCCTGTCATGTAGCTGGGACTACAGGTGCTTGCCACCATGCCTGGCTAATTTTTTTTTTTTTTTTTGTATTTTTAGTAGAGATGGGGTTTCACTGTGTTAGTCAGGATGGTCTCGATCTCCTGACCTCGTGATCCGCCTGCCTTGGCCTCCCAAAGTGCTGGGATTCCAGGCGTGAGCCACCCCACCCGGCCCATTTTTTTCTTTTCAACTTTTCTTAGGCTGGACAGACACATTTCAGTGATTGGCAAAGCACCTCATTAAACTTGGCTGCTATAATTTTTCTTCTTTTTTCATCTCATTTTCTATTCTCTCATTTTATTTTTGCCTTTGTTTAATCTACTCTTTGTTGGTTTGGAAGTTCCTTCTGTTTTTAGCTGATAAAAATCTACGACTAATCTCAGATAATTTTATTATTTTTCGTTAGTCATTTTGCTATTCAGGGGTGTTTTCTTTTTTTTAAAAAATAGACTTAATAGACTTAAATAGATAGTTATTATTTGGAATGGACTACATCCAAACAATTATGAGGAACAATTGTGAGGAACTCAGTTCCAGAAACTTTTGTATCCAGTAACTGATAAATAGATAAGTAATGTACTAATGGAAAAAACTCGATCAAATAATAAACCAAAGTCAATCTTTTTTTTTTTTTTTCCCCTAAGATGGAGTCTTGCTCTCTTGCCCAGGCTGGAGTGCAATGGCGTGATCTTGGCTCACTGCAACCTCTGCCTCCTGGGTTCAAACAATTCTTCTGCCTCAGCCTCCCAAGTAGCTGGGATTACAGGCGTGCACCACCACACCCGTCTAATTTTTGTATTTTAGTAGAGATGGGGTTTCACCATGTTGGCCAGGCTGGTCTCGAACTCCTGATCTTGTGATCTGCCCACCTTGGCCTCCCAAAGTGCTGGGATCACAGGCGTGAGACACTGTGCCCTGCCAAAAATTTTTTTTTTTTGAGACAGAGTCTCGCTCTGTCATCCAGGCTGGAATGCAGTGGTGCGATCTCAGCTCACTGCAAGCTCAACCTCCCGGGTTCACGCCATTCTCCTGCCTCAGCCTCCTGAGTAGCTGGGACCAAAGACCCCTGCCACCACGCCCGGCTAATTTTTTTGTATGTTTAGTAGACACAAGGTTTCACCGTGTTAGCCAGGATGATCTCAATCTCTTGACCTTGTGATCGCCCATCTCGGCCTCCCAAAGTGCTGGGATTACAGGCGTGAGCCACCGCGCCCAGCCCAAAGTCAATGTTTTGACCAAGAGCAAGGCTACCACTTGTTATTATTAATTAATTAATTAATTAATTAATTTTTGAGACAGGGTCTTACTATATTGCCTAGGCTGGCTTCAAACTCCCAGGCTCAAGTGATCCTCCTGCCCTGCCTCCTGAGTAGCTGGAATTACAGGTGCGTGGCGCCATGCCTTACTATTTATTTCTAAACACATTGCAGAACATGGAATTTAGGGAGGACAAATTTTGATGAATCAAATAGGTATAGTGATATGGGTAGAAGATTGGTTTACTTTATCATAATTCCTTAAATACATATTGTGTACTTGATTAATGAAATGTTAAAAATAAATGCTTAGATATCATTTGACATTAAATAACTCAATCACTAAGCATGAACTCCATATTTAAAAACTTTATAAAATTTTCAGAGCTCACACAGACAAAATTCCTTATTGTCATGATCACTACGTATAAGTTTGAGTTCTTTCTTACTTTTTTTTTTTGAGACAGAGTTTCGCTCTTGTCGCCCAGGCTGGAGTGCAATGGCGTGACTTCGACTCACTGCAACCTCTGTCTCCTGAGTTCAAGCGATTCTTCTGCCTCAGCCTCCCGAAGTAGCTGGGATTACAGGTGCCCGCCACCACACCCAGCTAATTTTTTTGTATTTTTAGTTGAGACGGGGTTTTACCATATTGGCCAGACTGGTCTGAACTCCTTATCTCAGGTGATCCACCTTATCTCAGGCGCCCCCCGCGATGCGGGGAGTGAGAGCCAGCCCCTCTTCCCTTGGGCCTCCCAAAGTGCTGGGACTACAGGCATGAGCCACAAAGCCCAGCCCTTTCTTACTCTTCATTACATTGTTGAGTATAGTATTAACTATCCTATCAACTGACATTTATATTGCCATTTAATCCAGTTTGATAATTTTTATTTTTAAAATGTGGCATTTCTTGTCCAACAGGAAAATATCACAATCCTAAATATATATGCACCTAACACTGGCGCTCCCAAATTTATAAAACAATTACTACTAGACCTAAGAAATGATATATACAGCAACACAATACTAGTGGGGGACTTTAATACGCCACTGACAGCACTAGACAGATCATTAAGACAGAAAGCCAACAAAAAAACAATGAATTTAAACTATGCCCTGGAACAAATAGACTTAACAGATATATACAGAACATTTTACCCAACAACTGCAGAATATACGTTCAATTCTTCAGCACATGGAACTTTCTCCAGGATAGACCACATGATAGAGCACAAAACAAGTCTCAATAAATTTAAGAAAACTGAAATTATGTTAAGCACTGTCTCAGACCACAGTGAAATAAAACTGGAAATCAGCTCCAAAAGGAACCTTTAAAACCACGCAAATACATGGAAATTAAATAACCTGCTCCTGAATGATCATTGGGTCAACAATGAAATCAAGATGAAAATTAAAAAATTATTCAAGCTGAATAACAATAGTGACATGACCTACAAAAACCTCTGGGATACAGCAAAGGCGGTGCTAAGAGGAAAGTTCTTAGCCCTATATGCCTACATCAGGAAGTCTGAAAGAGCACAAATAGACAACCTAAGGTCACACCTCAAGGAACTAGAGAAACAAGAACCAAGCCCAAAGCCAGCAGAAGAAAGGAAATAACCCAGATCAGAGCAGAGCTAAATGAAATTGAAACAAAAAAATACAGAAGTGAAACAAAAAGCTGGTTCTTTGAAAAGATAAATAAACTTGATAGACCATTGGCAAGATTAACCAAGAAGAGAGAAAATCCAAAGAAGCTCAAGTAGAAATGAAATGGGAGATAGTACAACTGACACCACAGAAATACAAAAGATCATTTGAGGCTACTATGAACACCTTTATGTGCATAAACTAGAAAACCTGGAGGAGATCGATACATTCCTGGGAAGAGAAAACCCTCCTACCTTAAATCAGGAAGAATTAGATACCCTGAACAGACCAATAACAAGCAGCAAGATTGAAATGGTAATAAAAAAATTACAAAAAAAAAAGTCCAGGGCCAGACGGATTCACAACTGAGTTCTACCAGACATTCAAAGAAGAATTGGTACCAATCCTATTGACACTATTCCACAAGATAGAGAAAGAAGGAATCCTCCCTAAATCATTTTATGAAGCCAGTATCATCCTAATACCAAAGCCAGGAAAGAACAAAAGAACATAACAACAACAAAAAAGAAAACTGAAGACCAATATCCCTGATGAACATAGATGCAAAAATCCTTAACAAGATACCAGCTAACCAAATCCAACAACATATCAAAAAGATAATCCACCATGATCAAGTGGGTTTCATAGCAGGGATGCAGGGATGGTCTAACATATGCACGTCAATAAATGTAATACACCACATAAACAATTAAAAACAAAAATCACATGATCATCTCAATAGACACAGAAAAAGCATTTGACAAAATGCAGCATCCTTTTATGATTAAAACTCTCAGCAAAATCAGCCTACAAGGGACATACCTCAATGTAATAAAAACCATGTATGATAAACGCACAGCCAACATAATACTGAATGGGGAAAAGTTGAAAGCATTCCCTCTGAGAATTGGAACAAGACAAGGATGCCCACTTTCACCACTTCAACATAGTACTGGAAGTCCTAGCCAGAGCAATCAGACAAGAGAAAGAATAAAGGCATCCAAGTTGGTAAAGAGGAAGTCAAACTGTCACTGTTTGCTGATGATATGATTGTATACCTGGAAAACCCAGAAGACTCCTCCAAGAAGCTCCTAGAACTGATAAAATAATTCAGCAAATTTCCTGGATACAAAATTAATGTACACAAATCAGTAGCTCTCCTGTACACCAACAGTGACCAAGCTGAGAATCAAATCAAGAACTCAACCACTTTTTACAATAGCTGCAACAAACAAACAAACAAATCACACAATCAAAAAAACTTAGGAATATACCTAACCAAGGAGGTGAAAGACCTCTACAAGGAAAACTACAAAACACTGCTGAAAACAATCATAGATGACACAAACAAATGGAAACACACCCCATGCTCGTGGATGGGTAGAATCAATATTGTGAAAATGACCATACTGCCAAAAGCAATCTACAAATTCAATGCAATTCCCATATAAATACCAGCATCATTCTTCACAGAACTAGAAAAAAAAATCCTAAAATTCATATGGAACCAAAGAAGAGCCCAAATAGCCAAAGCAAGGCTAAGGGAAAAGAACAAATCTGGAGGCATCACATTACCTGATTTCAAACTATACTGTAAGGCCATAGTCACCAAAACAGGATAGTACTGGTATAAAAATAGGGACAAAGACCAATGGAACAGAATAGAGAACCCAGAAATAAACCCAAATACTTACAGCCAGCTGATCTTTGACAAAGAAAACAAAAACATAAAGTGGGTAAAGGACACCCTATTCAACAAATGGTGCTAGGATAATTGGCAAGCCACATGTAGGAGAATGAAACTGGATCCTCATCTCTCACCTTATACAAAAATCAACTCAAGAAGGACTAAGGACTTAAATCTAAGACCTGAAACTATAAAAATTCTAGAAGGTAACATTGGAAAAACCCTTGTAGACATTGGCTTAGGCAAGGATTTCATGACCAAGAACCAAAAGCAAATGCAATAAAAACAAAGATAAATAGCTGGGACTTAATTTAAGAGCTTTTGCATGGCAAAGGGAATAGTCAGCAGAGTAAACAGACAACCCACAGAGTGGGAGAAAATCTTCACAATCTATACATCTGACAAAGGACTAATATCCAGAATCTACAACAAACTCAAGCAAATTAGCAAGAAAGAAAGAAACAATCTCATCAAAAATTGAGCTAAGGACATGAACAGACAATTCTCAAAAGAAGATATACAAATGGCCAACAAACATATGAAGAAATGCTCAGCATCACTAAGGATCAGGGAAATGCAAATCAAAACCACAGTGTGATACCACCTTACTCCTGCTTCTCTGAATCAGGGTTTTTCTAAAGAAATCTTTCAGAATCAGCAAAAGTGGGGATGACCCAGGCATCTTGATTTGCAAAGTCACAAAACTAAGTTGTCAATTATCACTGTAGATGAGCAACTCATCTTTTTAAAGTATAGTTACTGAACTGATTCTGAGAAATCTTTAGAGAGAAAAAACTCAACAGTACAAATTAACTAATTGGGAAAGTTAGAATGTCCTTTCTGAATTTTTCATTAAAAAATTACATTATCTGAAATAACATACAGCTACTAAACTGCTTTGTATTCTATTAAGAAATAGCTCCTAAAGATGTAGTCTTGTTTCATAGTTGTAAGCCCAATTCTTCTCTGTATAGAAAGGAAACATTGTGTACTTAATGAATTATTTATACAGAGCATTTGTTGCCAACTGTTGTTCCAGCTATCTACACAGGAGTCTGTTCTGAGGTGGCAATAGCACATGGGAAGATGAACTTTCCCTGTTTGTTTACCCGTTTTTCTTTGGCTGTATCTGATGACAGTATAAGATGTTCTTAATAAAGTTTTATGTTCTTTTTGAAAAAAAAATCAGAAAATAATAGAGGTTGGCATAGATGCGGTGAACAGGGAACACTTCTACACTGCTGGTGGGAATGTAAACTAGTACAACCACTATAGAAAACAGTTTGGAGATTCCTTAAAGAACTAGAAGTAGAACTACCATTCAATCGAGCAATGCCACTAGTGGGTATCTACCCAGAGCAAAATAAGTCATTATACAAAAAAGATACTTGCACATGCATGTTTATAGCAGCACAAGTTACAACTGCAAAAATGTGGAACCAACCCAAATACCCATCAGTCAACGAATAGACAAGGAAACTATGGCATATATATATGGTGGAATACTACTCAGCCATAAAAAGGAATGAATTAATGGCATTTGCAGCAGTCTGGATGGGATTGGACACTATTCTAAGTGAAGTAACTCAGGAATGGAAAACCAAACATCATATGTTCTCACTCATAAGTGGGAACTAAACTATGAGGATGCAAAGCCATAAGAATGATATTGGGGACTCAGTGGGAAAGGGTGGGAAGGGAGTGAGGGATAAAAGACTACAAATTGGGTTCACTGTATACTGCTTGGGTGATGGGTGCATCAAAGTCTCACAAATCACCGCTAAAGAACTTACTAGTGTAACCAAATACCACCTGTCCCCCTAAAACCTATGGAAATAATAAATAAATAAATAAAAACTTAAGTAAAAACAAATAAAATGTGGCCATTTAGTCCATTTATAATTAATGGAATTATTGATTGATATATATGGGTCTAAGATTATTTTATTGCTCGTTTTCTGTTTTTTCACCTGTTTTGTGTTATATGTTTTCTTATGTTTTTGGCCTCCTATTTGTTTATTGAGACCGCATCTGGCTCTGTTACCCAGGCTGGTGTGCAGTGGTGTGGTCTCTCTTGCAACCTCCACCTCCCAGGCTCAAGTCATCCTGCCACCTCAGCCTCCCGAGTAGCTGGGGCTACAGGTGCACACCAACATGCTCAGCTAATTTTTGTATTTTTTGTAGAGATGGGGTTTTGCTATGTTGCTTGGGCTGGCCTTGAACTCTTGGGCTCAAGGAATCCACTCGCCTCTGCCTCCCAAAGTGCCAGGATTATAGGCATGAGCCACTGCATCTGGCCTCTTGGCCTCCTTTTGGAATGATTTTTATAAATTATTCTATGATCAGCCTTTGTTAGTTTTGTATTATGCATTTTAAATTGTTATTGTTGTTACTTAGAAAATACAAATATATCCCTGATGTGAGTACTTTATTTTAAAATTTATATATTTAAACTGACAAATAAAAATTGTATACAATTATCATGTATAACATGATGTCTTGAAATACGTATACATCACAGAATGCTAAATCATGCTAATTAACATATATCAGCTCATATACTTATCCTTTTTTTATGATGAGAACACTTAAAATCTACTCAGTGATTTTTCAAGAATACAATAATGTTGTTTTAACTATAGTCTCCATGTTATAAAATAGATATTCTGACTTCCTTATTTATTCTATGAAACTAAATTTTGTATCCTTTGACAAACAACTCCCCAATTCCCCCATTTTCTGTCCCCCATTTCCCTGCTCCCAGTACCTGGTAACCACCATTCTACTCTCTGCTTCTTCGTTCAACTTTTTAAGATTCCACATATAAGTGAGATCATGTGGTATTTATCTTTCTGTGCCTTACATTTCACTTAACATAATGTCCTCCAGGTTCATCCATGTTGTCACAAATGACAGAATTTCCTTGTTTTTTAAAAGCTGAATAGTATTCCACTACATACATACATACATACATATATATATATATATATATATATATATATATATATATATATATATATATATATATATCACATTTTCTTTATCCATTTGATGCAGGACAGACATGCCCCAAAATTAGAGCTTAGCCCAGGAAAGTTCTTGACTTTGCCCAGGAATGAATTCAAGGGCAAGCCAGTGGTTTTAGACAGCAATCTTTTATTGAACTTTATTGCTCCTTGCAGAGCAGGGCTAACTCATAGATAATGTGCCAAGTTGGCAATGAATGGACTGTTGGCAACTCTATACCCACTTATACCCACTTTCAATCATATGCCAATCAGTGGTGGGTTAATGCAAATTGAGGAGTAGTTTATTTAAAGCTTTCTAGGAAAGGGGTGGTAACTTCTCGGTCATTGTCATGGGAAGGGGCAATAACTTCTGGGTCCTTACCATGGCATTTGAAAACCGTCATGGTGCTGGTGTCTTATACTAATGAGTAGTGGGGGCAACTAGGGATTGCTTTTGTTACCATCTGCTAGTTTCTGCTGTTTTTTTCACTTATCCTGTCAGTACTAGGAAATAAGTCCTGCCAGTCTCCTACCTCATTCCCCCCTCAGATATTAGATACTCCTCCTTAATCTTAAGGGGGCTGAAGAAGGGTGGAGGTCCATCTTCTGTAACTGCTTCCTGCTGATTTTATGGGCATAGGCCCTGATATGGTTTGGATTTGTGTCCCTGCCCAAATCTTATGTCAAATTTTAATCCCCAATGTCGGAGGAGGGGCCTGGTGGGAGGTGATTGGATCAAGGGGGTGGAGTTCCCCTTTGCCATTCTTATGATACTGAGTTCTCACGAGATCTGGTTGTTTAAAAGTGTGCAGCACCTCCCCCTTCTCTCTCTTCCTCCTGCTCCAGCCATGTAAGATATTGCCTGATTCCCCTTCACATTCCATCATGATTGTAAGTTTCCTGAGGCCTCCCCAGAACATGTACAGCCTGCAGAACTGTGAGCCAATTAAACCTCTTTTCTTTATAAATTACCCAGTTTCAGGCATTTCTTTATAGCAATGTGAGAACGGACTAACACAGAAAATTGGTACTGGGAAGTGGGGCATTGCTATAAAGATACCTGAAAATATAAATCTTAAACTATGAACTTTGGGTGATAATAACACATACACATAGATGAGACTATGAACAAATATTAGGAGAAGCAAATCGTAATTTTAGAAACAGTAAATATTAGTAATTGGCTAAAACTCAATAGGCTAATCAGGACATTAGACACTGAAAAGAAAATCAGTGAATTGGAAGGTAGACTTGAGGAAGTTGTCTATACTGCATTGCAGACAGACTTAAAAATACATAAAAACAAGGTTAACAGAAATAGAGACTAGAATGAGAAGATCCAAAATACATTTGAATTCCAGAAAGAGAATATAGAAAGCATGGAGGAAAAGCAAAGTTCAAAGAAAGAATGCTTAAGAATTTTTCAAAATTGATGAAAGACATTACTGTAAAGTTTTAAGATGCACCCTCCTAAAGCAGGAATAATGAAAATGGACTGGACACATAGTAGTGAAACTGTGTAACACCAAGACAAAGACAAAATTCTAAATATTACCAGACAGAAAAAGACAAAATAACCTGCAAACTAACTAGGTATTAAGCAGACTTCTTAAGAGCAAAAACAAAGGCCAAAAGGCAATGGATAACATCTTCAATTAGCTGAGAAAATACATTGAGTTCCTTATTCAGCAAAACTGTTATTTTACAATGAAGGCGAAGTTAATTTTTCTGGCAAAAGTCCAAGAATTTATTATTCACAGATCCTCATTTAAAAATGAAACCACAGGCGGGGTGCGATGGCTCACACTGGTAATCTCAACACTTTGGGAGGCCAAGGCAGGCAGATCACTTGAGGTCAGGAGTTCGAGACCAGCCTGGCCAACATGGTGAAACCCTGTTTCTATTAAAAATAGAAAAATTAGCTGGGTATGGTGGCACATATCTGTAGTCCCAGATACTCGGGAGGCTGAGGTGGGAGAATCGCTTGAACTCGGGAGGTGGAGGTTGCAGTGAGCTGAGATTGCACTACTGCGCCCTATCTTGGGTGACAGAATGAGAGAGCCTGTCTCACACAAAAAAACTAAAAAACCAAAAAACAAAAAAATCAAACCACAAAGCAAGGATTAAGATACAAAGAGAAATAGTGAGCAATATTGGTAAATATATGAATATATCTGAAAAACACAGACTATAAAAATAATTTTATCATGACTAATTTTGGGGTGCATAAATGTAGCAGAATGAAAATATCAGACAACAATAGCAAAGACAGTGGAATAGTACTGTAAAATTATGCAATATGGAAAGCACTTGGTAAGGTGTCATAAACAAAACTGAGTAAATCAGTAATCATCATAAATACAAATGGTTTAAACTTGCCCCTTAAAAGATCTATACTCTAAGACAGGGAAAAAGGATCCAGTTATTTTCTATTCACAAGACTTATTGGAATCTGAAAAGTAAAATAATAGAGAAAGACAAAGCAGAGGAAAATATTAACCAAAAAGCTATTATTTAAAATAGAATTTAAATCAGAAATTACTATTTGAAATAAAGAATACTGGAAGTTCCTGGGAAAGATGGCTGAATAGGAACAGCTCTGGTCTGCAGCTCCCAGTGAGACCAATGCAGAAGGCGGGTGATTTCTGCATTTCCAACTGAGGTACCCAGTTCATCTCATTGGGACTGGTTAGAAAGTAGGTGCAGCTCATGGAGGGTGAGCAGAAGTGGGGTGGGTTGTTGGTTCACCTGGGAAGTGCAAGGAGCTGGGGACCTCCCTCCTCTAGCCAAGGGGAGCCGTGAGGGACTGTGCTATCCGGACCAGGGACTGTGCTATCTGGACCAGATACTATGCTTTTCCCATGGTTTTTGCAACCCACAGACCAGGAGATTCCCTTGTGTGCCTACACCACTAGGGTGCTGGGTTTCAAGCACAAAACTGGGTGGCTGTTTGGGCAGACACCGAGCTAGCTGCAATTTTTTTTTTCATAGGCCAGTGGCACCTGGAACCCCAGCAAGACAGAACCATTCACTCCCCTGGAAAGGGGGCTGAAGCCAGGGAGCCAAGTGGTCTCGCTCAGTGGGTCCCACTCCCCCAGCGCCCAGCAAGCTAATAACCACTGGCTTGAAATTCTCACTGCCAGCATAGCAGTCTGAAGTCGACCTGGGACAATCCAGGTTGGTGTGGGGAGGGGCGCCCGCCATTACTGAGGCTTGTGTGGGTGGTTTTCCCCTCACAGTGTTAAGGAAGCCACTGGGAAGTTCGGACTTTGCAGAATTCACTGCAGTGCAGCAAAGCAGCTGTGGCCAGACTGCCTCTCTAGATTCCTCCTCAATGGGCAGGGCATCTTTGAAAGAAAGGCAGCCCCAGTCAGGGGCTTATATGTAAAACTCCCATCTTCCTGGGACAGAGCACCTGGGGGAAGGGGCGGCTGTGGGAGCAGCTTCAGCAGACTTAAACATTCCTGCCTGCCAGCTCTGAAGAGAACAGCAGATCTCCCAGCACAGTGCTTGAGCTCTGCTAAGGGACAGACTGCCTCCTCAAGTGGGTCCCTGACCCCCATGCCTCCTAACTGGAAGACACCTCCCATCAGTGGTTGACAGACACCTCATACAGGAGAGCTCTGGCTGGCATCAGACTGGTGCCCTCTGAGATGAAGCTTCCAGAGGAAGGAACAGGCAGCAATCTTTGCTGTTCTGCAGGCTCCACTGGTGATACCCGGGCAAATAGGGTGTATAGTGGACCTCCAGTAAACTCCAGCAGGCCTGCAGAAGAGGGTCCTGACTGTTAGAAGGAAAACCAAAAAACAGAAAGCAATAACATCAGCTGGGCATGGTGGTTTATTCCCAGAACTTTGGGAAGCTGAGGCGGGCAAATCACAAGGTCAGGAGTTTGAGACCAGCCTAGCCAATATGGTGAAACCCTGTTTCTACTAAAAATACAAAAAGTAGCTGGGCATGGTGGCGCGCACTTGTAGTCCCAGCTACTTGGGAGGCTGAGGTGGGAGAATCACTCGAACCTGGAAGGTGGAGGTTGCAGTGAGCCGAGATCACGCCGCTGCACTCCAGGTTGGGCAACAGAGCGAGACTTTGTCTCAAAAAAAAAAAAAAAAAAAAAAAAGGCAATAACATCAACATCAACAAAAAAAAGGATGCCCACACAAAAACCACATCCAAGGTCATCAACATCAAAGATGAAAAGTAGATAAATCCACAAAGATGAGGAAAAACCAGTGCAAAAATGCCGAAAATTCCAAAAACCAGAATGCCTCTTCTCCTTCAAATGATTGCAATGCCTCTCCAGCAAGAGCACAAAACTGGACAGAGAATGAGTTTGACGAACTGACAGAAGTAGGCTTCAGAAAGTGGGTAATAACAAACTCCTCTGAGCTAAAGGAGCATGTTCAAACCCAATGCAAGGAAACTAAGAACCTTGATAAAAGGTTACAGGAACTGCTAACTAGAATAACTAGTTTAGAGAAGAACATAAATGACCTAATGGAGGTGAAAAAACACAGCACAAGAACTTCGTGAAGTGTACACAAGTATCAATAGCCAAATTGATCAAGTGGAAGAAAGGATATCAGAAATTGAAGATCAATTTAATGAAATAAAGTGTGAAGACAAGATTAGAGAAAAAAAATGAAAAGGAATGAACAAAGCCTCCAAGAAATATGGGACTATGTGGAAAGACCAAACCTACGATTGATCGGTGTACCTGAAAGTGACAGGAAGAATGGAACCAAGTTGGAAAACAAGCTTCAGGATGTTATCCAGGAAAACTTCCCCAGCTTAGCAAGACAGGCCAGCATTCAAATTCAGGAAATATAGAGAACACCACAAAGATATTCCTCGAGAAGAGCAACCCCAAGACACAAAATCTTCAGATTCTCCAAGGTTGAAATGAAGGAGAAAATGTTAAGGGCAGCCAGAGAGAAAGGTCAGGTTACCTATAAAGGGAAGCCCACTAGACTAACATTGGCTCTCTCTGCAGAAACCCTATAAGCCAGAAAAGAGTGGGGGCCAATACTCAGTATTCTTAAAGAAAATAATTTTCAACTCAGAATTTCATATCCAGCCACACTAAGCTTCATAAGGGAAGGAGAAATAAAATCCTTTACAGACAAGCAAGTGCTGAGGGATTTTGTCACCACCAGGCCTACCTTAAAAGAGCTCCTGAAGGAAGCACTAAATATGGAAAGGAAAAACCAGTACCAGCCACTGCAAAAACACACCAAAATATAAAGACCAACGACACTATGAAGAAACTGCACCAACTAATATGCAAAATAACCAACTAGCACCAGGAGGACAGGATCAAATTCACACATAACAATATTAACCTTAAATGTAAATGGGCTAAATGCCCCAGTTAAAAGACACAGACTGGCAAATTGGATAAATAGTCAAGACCCATCAGTGTGCTGTATTCAGGAGACCCATCTCATGTGCAAAGATACACATAGGTTCAAAATAAAGGGATGGAGGAATATTTAACAAGCAAATGGAAAGAAAAAAAAAAGCAGGGGTTGCAATCTTAGTCTCTGATAAAACAGACTTTAAACAAACAAAGATCAAAAAGACAAAGAAGGGCATCACATAATGGTAAAGGGATCAATATAACAAGAACAGCTAACTATCCTAAATATATATGCACCCAATACGGGAGCACCCAGATTCATAAAGCAAGTTCCTAGAGACCTATAAAGAGACTTAGACTCCCACACAATAATAATAATTCCTGGACACATACACTCTCCCAAGACTAAACCTGGAAGAAGTTGAATCCCTGAATAGACCAGTAACAAGTTCTGAAATTGAGGCAATAATTAATAGCCTACTACCCCCCAAAAAAGCCCAGGAGCAGACGGATTCACAGGCGAATTCTACCAGAGGTACAAAGAGGAGCTGGTACCATTCCTTCTGAAACTATTCCAAACAATAAAAAAAGAGGGACTCCTCCCTAACTCATTTTATGAGGCCAGCGTCATCCTGATACCAAAACCTAACAGAGACACAACAAAAAAAGAAAGTTTCAGGCCAATATCTCTGAAGAAGATTGATGCAAAAATCCTTAGTAAAATACATGCAAACTGAATCCAGCAGCACATCAAAAAGCTTATCCACCATGATCAAGTCGACTTCATCCCTGGGATGCAAGGCTGGTTCAACATACGCAAATCAATAAACATAATCCATCACATGAACAGAACCAATGACAAAACCCACATGATTATCTCAATAGATACAGAAAAGGCCTTCGATTAAATTTGATACCCCTTCATGCTAAAAACACTCAATAAACTAGGTATTGATGAAACATATCTCAAACTAATAAGAGCTATTCGTGACAAACCCATAGCTAATATACTGAATGAGCAAAAGCTGGAAGCATTCCATTTGAAAACTAGCACGAGACAAAGATGCCCTCTCTCACCACTCCTGTTCAACATAGTGTTGGAAAATCTGGCCGGGGCAATCAAGCAAGAGAAAGCAATAAAGAGTATTCAAATAGGAAGAGAGGAAGTCAAATTGTCTCTGTCTGCAGATGACATGATTGTATATTTAGAAAACTCCATCGTCTCAGCCCCAAAACTTCTTAAGCTGATAAGCAACTTCAGCAAAGTCTCAGGATACAAAATTAATGTGCAAAAATCACAAGCATTCTATATACCAATAATAGACAAAGAGAGCCAAATCATGAGTGAGCTCACAATTGCTACAAAGAGAATAAAACACCTAGAAATACAACTTACAAGGGATGTGAAGGACCTTTTCAAGGAGAACTACACACCACTGCTCAAGGAAATAAGAGAGGACACAAACAAGTGGAAAAACATTCCATGCTCGTGGATAGGAAGAATCAATATTGTGAAAATGGCCATATGGCCCAAAGTAATTTATAGATTCAATGCTATTCCCATCAGGCTACCATTGACTTTCTTCACAGAATTAGAAAAAACGACTTCAAATTTCATATGGAACCAAAAAAAGGGCCCATATAGCCAAGACAATCCTGAGCAAAAAGAACAAAGCTGGAGGCATCATGCTACCTGACTTCAAACTATACTATAAGGCTACAGTAACTAAAAGAACATGGGACTGGTACCAAAACTGATATATAGACCAATAGAACAGAAGAGAGGCTTCAGAAATAACACCACATGTCTACAACCATCTGATCTTTGACAAACCTGACACACACAAGCAATGGGGAAAGGATTCCCTAATTAATAAATGGTGTTGGGAAAACTGGCTAGCCATATGCAGAAAACTGAAACTGGACCCCTTCCTTACACCTTATACAAAATTACCTGAATAAAGACTTAAACAGAAAACCTAAAACCGTAAAAACTCTAGAAAAAAACCTAGGCAATACCATTCAGGACATAGGCATGGGCAAAAAAGATTTCATGACTAAAACACCAAAAGCAATGGCAACAAAAGCCAAAATTGACAAATGGGATCTAATTAAACCAAAGAGCTTCTGCGCAGCAAAAGAAACTTGTCATCAGAGTGAACAGGCAGCCTACAGAATGGGAGAAAATTTTTGCAATCTATCCATCTGAGGAAGGTCTAATATCCAGAACCTACAGGGAACTTAACAAATTTACAAGAAAACAAAACAACCTCATCAAAAAGTGGGCAAAGGATATGAACAGACACTTCTCAAAAGAAGACATTTATGTGGCCAAGAAACATATGAAAAAAGCTCATTATCACTGGTCCTTAGAGAAATGCAAATCAAATCCACAATGAGATTCCATCTTATGCCAGTTAGAATGGCAATCATTAAAAAGTCAGGAAACAACAGATGCTGGAGAAGCTGTGGAGAAATAGGAACACTTTTACACTGTTGATGGGAGTGTAAATTAGTTCAACCATTGTGGAAGACAGTGTGGTGATTCCTCAAGGATCTAGAACCAGAAATACCATTTGACCCAGCAATCCCATTACTGGGTATATCCCCAAAGGATTATAAATCATTCTACTATAAAGACACATGCACACGTATGTTTACTGCAGCACTATTTACAATAGCAAAGACTTGGAACCAACCCAAATGCCCATCAATGATAGACTGGATAAAGAAAATGTGGCACATATATACTATGCAGTCATAAAAAAGAATGAGTTCATGTTCTTTGCAGGAACATGGATGAAGCTATAAACCATCATTCTCAGCAAACTAACACAGGAACAGAAAACTAAACACTGCATGTTCTTGCTCATAAGTGGGAGTTGAACAATGACAACACATGGACACGGGGACGGGGATATCTCACACCAGGGCCTGTCAGGGTGTGAGGGGCAAGAGGAGGGAGAGCATTAGGACAAATACCTAATGCAGGTGGGGCTTAAAACCTAGATGACAAATTGATGGGTGCAGCAAACCACCATGGCACGTGAATACTTATGTAACAAACCTGCACGTTCTGTACATGTATCCCAGAACTTAAAGTATAATAATACAAAAAGAAAGAAAGAATATCATTAAAATTAATAAAAGAAATTATTCTCCTGGAAAAAGCTGGATTCTATACACACAGAACAAATACTAAAAATGCATAAATGTAAATTGTATGAAGCAAAATTGTATCTCTTTACACAGTATACTAAGAAATCCAAGAAATGGCCAGAAAATTATTAGTAATGATATGAGAGTCTGATGTCACATTAATCAAGATAAATACAAAGATTACTTTTCTCTACACTTGTTAAAATTAATTAAAAAAATGTAAAAATCACACTTACAATGACAACAAAACATTATAGGTACCTAGGAGTAAATATAACAAGAACTAATATGAAGAAGTCTGTAAACTTTTCAGAAAGCACCAATTGTAAAGTCTTGTGAAAGCACCAATATGAAGACCTAAACCAATGAAGACTCATACAACATTTCTGGGTGAAGTGACTTCAGTAATAACAATAATGTCAAATATCTCCAAATAGTTAACTCATTTTCAGCCAGAATGCTATTTTTTTTAGAGGGGAGTCAGGTAAAATTAAAGTTCATGTGGTGGAACATATTCCAAAAGAGCCAAGAAAACAAAGAACAAAGAGCAGAATGAGACATGCTTAATAGATACTCAAACTTTCTATATACCCTGTATAATCAAAGCAGTATGATATGACGTTTTTATCCTAATTGCCTCACTTTACAAAATTGTAATATTACCAATATACTGTATATCTGCTTGTGTATTTTATTGTCTATATATCTGCTTATGTACTTTATACATAAGCTGATAAGCAACTTCAGCAAAGTCTTAGGATACTGAACATCTGTGATTTATACCTGAAAAGAATAAATCGCAATAAATCATTGGATTTCTTGATCCACCCAGAACTCGTTTTTGACCCTTGGAGGGCAATGTGGCCCCTGTTGAGAATGCATGATTTAGGGGAAAAAGAATAATTGACTCTACAAATGCTACTGATATAATTTGATATCTGTCAAGAAGGAAAAAAAGTGAAACCTCTGTTCACACCATAAACAAAATGGATTAAATATTTAATTGAAGAGAAATAGAAAATAAAAATTATAAAAGAGAAAAAAATTAAGTGACTATAAATATGTGTACCATAGTAGTCAAGGAGACCATTTATTTATTTATTTATTTATTTATTTTATTTTATTTTTTCAACTTTATTTTAGATTCAGCAAGTACATGTGGAGGTTTGTTACCTGTGAGTATTGTATAATGCTGAGGTTTGGAATATGAATGATCCTGTCACTCAGGTAGTGAGCATAGTAGCCAATAGGTAGATTTTCAACCCTCATCCTCCTCTCTTCTTCCCCTCTCTTCTTGTCTCCAGTATCTATTGTTCCCATCTTTATGTTCATGTGTACCCAATGTTTAGCTCCCACTTGTGAGAACAAGCTGTATTTGGTTTTGTTTCTGTGTTAATTAGCATAGGATAATGGCCTCCAGCTGCATCTGTGTGGCTGCAAAGGACATTTCATTCTTGTTAATGGCTGGGTAGTATTCCATGGTATATATGTACCACATTTCTTTATCCAGTCCACTACTGATGGGCACCTAAGTTGATTCCGTGTCTTTGCTATTGTGAATAGCACTGCGATGAACATATGAACGCACGTGTCTTTTTGGTAGAATAATTTTTCTTTGAGTGTTTTATATATATATATATATATATATATATGTAATGGGATTGCTGGGCCAAATGGTAGTTCTTTTAGTTATTTGAGAAATATCCAAACTGCTTTCCACAGTGGCTGAACTAACTTACATTCTCATTAATCATGTATATGCATTCCAAAGAGACCCTTTAGAAAGCCCAGAAGTTTCCGAGGATAAGGCAGACATATTTGACTAGATGAAATATATTTTTGTATAGTAAAATGTACCTTCATTTAATCTACTTCATGTCAGTTAACAAATCTTTGATGAGCATCTACTATGTGCGAGGCACTTTTCTAAGCATGGAGATTCAGCAGTGAACAAAGTCCCTTAGAGTTTACATTCTTGTGGGGCAGAAAGTCAATAAACAAAAATAAATATATGATGTCAGGTGATAAATGCTAGTAATAAAGATACATCAGGGCAAAGAGATAGAGAATGGGGGGTACTGTTTTACTTAGGGTAGTCAAATTTAAGCATATTTCTTAAAATAATTGAGTAGTGCATATGTTTGAGGGGGAGTGTTCAGGCTGATTCTGAAGCAAGAACATGCTTGGCAGGCATGAGGAGAAATGAGGAGGCCAGTGTGGCTGCATCAATGGAAGGGAGATGGAGAGTGGGTGATGAGGCTAGAGGAGAAGCCAGAAGCTAGATACTGTAAGGCCTTCAAGGCCAGGATAAGAACTTTCATGAAGCTGGGCCTGGTGGCTCAGCCTAATCCCAGCACTTTGGGAGGCTGAGGCAGGAGGGTTGCTTGAGCCCAGGAGTTTGAGACCAGCCTGGGCAACATAAGACCTCATCTCTAGCAAACCTAAAAAATAAAAAATTAGTTGGGCATGGTGGCGTGCATTTGTAGTCCCAACTACTCAGGAGGCCAAATGGAAGGATTGCTTGAGCCTGGGAGGTTGAGGTTGCAGTGAGCTGTGATCATGCCAGTGCACTCCAGCCTGGGCAACAGCTCGAGACCCTATCTCAAACTAACAAACAAAGAAACAAAAAAACAACTTTGCAATTTTTACGCTGATGGGGGTTGGTCTTTGGAGAGTTTTGAGTAGAGAAGTGACTTCATCTGATTTATATTTTGAAAGCACGATTCCGTTGGGAGTGGGGAGTGGGATTGGGAAGCTCAGTTTGGAAGCAGGCACAGCAATGCAGGTGAGGTATGGCGATGGTTTGGACTTCTTGATGAAGGAGATGAGTAGTAGTCAGATTCAAGATATAATTTTAGGGTACAGGTTGATGAATTGGATGTAGAGAAAGAATGAGTAGATTGGGAAAACATTTTCAACACAAATGGCAGATAAAAACTTAATATGCAAAAACACATAAAACTGAGTAAGACAAAGGGCAAACCACCAGTTTGAAAAGCAATTAAATCACAGGAGAGAAAATTCAAAATACGATTAAACTTATGAAAAAATGTTCAGTCTCACTAGTAGTCAGGAAAATACAATTAAAGAAACAGTTAGATACCACTTTTCTCAATAGACAAAGATTAAAAATAGCTACCGCTTCCAGCACCAGTGCAAGTATGGGGAAGATAGGACTCTCATATCTTCCTGTAGGAATATGAATTATTACAAATTTGGGGAAAAGGAATTAGGTAATATCTATTAACATTAAAATACACATTTCTTTTGATCTGGCAGTTCTACTTCTGGAAATCTATCCTAGAGAAATAAAATCCTGATCATATATAGAGATGTGTATTGCAGTATCATTTGGCAATGGCAGAATCATTTAGCCAAAGGCAAAAGGTTGGAAACAAGCTAAATGTCTATCTTTAAGGAAATGGTTGAATAAGCAGTAATTCATTCACACTACTGGATGCTGTGCTATTAAAATGTTAGATTGATGTGTTGCCCATGATGTATTGTTAGGCGAAGAAGACAAGTTGCAGAATTATGTATATAGTTTGACCCTATTTTTAGAAAAAAATTCCTACATATACTCATATTTGCATATATTTTTATATAAACATGGATTAAGATGTGGAGAGATTCATAGAAACTTAACACTGTGAGTTTTTAATTTTTGAAGAGAGAAACTTAATAAAGATTTGAATAGAAAATTTATTGAGACCTAGCTTACAACGTGTATAATCTGTAGTGTGGCATCTCAGGTTTGACTTCCCGGTCTTGGCAAGTGCTCAAGCTTCTGGATGATGATAGATAAGAGTGTCTTTATTCCTGAAACACTAAGATTACAGGCTTGTATTTCTTCAAAACCACAATTGGAACTTCTCAAGTAGAGTGTAGGAACACTAGTTGTTTTTTTCCTATTCCTGATTGTTTTTAAGGGGGAGAGTAAAGGAATCTCATCAAATATAAAACTGAATATTTTGATCAATTTTTCAGCTTATTCTTTTATTCCTTTGGATCCTGTTTTTTCCTTCTATATCTTGTCCCCTTTCTCGGTTCCCTGTATTCACTTCCTTGATATGTCAGTTATAACCTAGGGTGAGAGATATTTAGGGGAAAATGGGAAATTGCATTTTTTTATTTTTATTTTTTGAGACAGAGTCTCACTCTGTCGCCCAGGCTGGAGTGCAGTGGCACGATCTCGGCTCACTGTAACCTCTGCCTCCCGGGTTCAAGCAATTCTCCTGCCTCAGCCTCCTGAGTAGCTGGGACTACAGGTGTGCACCACCACGCCTGGCTAATTTTTGTATTTTTAGTAGAGACGGGTTTCCCCATGTTGGCCAGGCTGGTCTTGAACTTCTGATCTCATGATCTACCCTCCTCGGCCTCCCAAAGTGCTGGAATTACAGACATGAGCCCCACACCCAGCCAGGAAATTGCATTTTTAATGCACTACTAACTCAGGGAGTCTTTAATTGGGATAGGAGCCGCATTAACTGATTTTACATAAATTGTTTGTTTCCTAATATTTTGTGTTTCTCATTCAGCTTCATTATCTCTAAACTCACCTTTCTGCTTTTCTTTCCTATGTTCTGCTCCTAAATGAAAAATGACTAATTGAATTGACTTCTATTCCATTCTTGTGAACAGGACATTTGACATTTGTATTAGTTTATTTGCAAAACAAAATTTACTATTGATTTCTTAAGGTAAGTTTCACATTCCTACTTTTATATTGCCACTATCTTAGAAGTATATATTTATGTATTTTCTTAAAATTTTCATCATTTTGTTAAACATGGTGTCATTTTGATAGCTTGTCCTTTCTCCCTTCCTTTGTTTGGGGTCCTTTAAGATTTCCACATGTGTATCTTTACAGGAGGGTTAACAATTGCTTTAAATTTGTCAGTTTTTCAGTGGCCTTTAGAAAATGGTCCACAGAATTTTTATAGTTGGAGTATTCTATTGTATGATTTACTTGCCTTCAAAGACCTAGTGGGAGTGCAAATGTTTTGACCCCAAGTTAGAAGTTATGGAGAAGATACAGGGAGGTTTCTATAGATCTATCTCTTCTGAATTCTTGCTTCAGTGGGACATACACACAGATATGGAGTCAGCTGAGCTGGGTTGCTGAAGCCTATCTACTGTTTTTTAGTAATTGCCTTGACAAGGTCCCTGCTTCTTACCAGAAATCTGAGAGAAGTTGAATTAGTCATACCCTTCTAAAACCTAGTAGTGGCTGGGCACAGTGGCTCACGCCTGTAATCCCAGCACTTTGGGAGGCTGAGGCGGTGGATCACCTGAGGTCAGGAGTTTGAGACCAGCCTGGACAACATGGTGAAACCCCATCTCTACTAAAAATACACTAATTAGCTGGGCTTGGTGGTGCACTCCTGTAATCCCAGCTACTTAGGAGGCTGAGGCATGAGAATCGCTTGAACCCAGGAGGAGGAGGTTGCAGTGAGCCAAGATCATGCCACTGCACTCCAGCCTGGGTGAAGAGTGAGGAAAAACAAACAAGCAAACAAACAACCTACTAGTTAGCTGTCACATGGACCAGAGGGGCTATAGGAAAAATGACATGAGAATGATGAAAATCTAATACTTTTAACTATGTGAAAATCTTTCTGGTCAAAAATGTTCCCTGATAACAGCATAATGTATGTAAAAGACATGCCAACAAAGGCTGGTAAAATCTCTAAATGTGTATTTTCCACAGATGACAAAAGCAACTTACAATATTAAAATCCATGTTTAATATCTGTCTTCTTCTCTCTCACTCTCTCTCTCTCTGGCAACTCAGTTTTGCTAAACCTGTGCAGCTCATCAAAGACCTGAGGATTCTGTGACTTCTAAAATTAACATAGGCTTCCATACCTGCGGCAGGGCTGTGAGAACACAGTAGACAGCCATACAGTGGATTAGATTGTGCTAGAAGTTATGGAGATACTCTTTTAAGGTTGTGATTGGGTAGCCTGAAACATTTATGAAACATTTTATACTTTGGGCAGAGACTAATGTCTGGTTTCTCTCCTTTTTTCATCAAACGCCTCCAAAGAATAGCATATCAGTATGAAAAGCTTCCTTGGAAGACATCTAGTTAGTCCAAAGAATTTGATAACTAGAATTATAGACTCTCAGGAAGTCTATTTGGAAGGGACCATAAAGATAACTTATTCCAATTACTCAGCTGTTTCCTGAGTCTCCTCTATGGCATTCTCACTGAATGAGCCTTAAACTCTTGCTTAAACTCTTTGGACCTCCACTTCTCCTTATTACTAAGATAAAATTTGTTACTTTGTACCTTCCATTCACTGATCTCATTTCTTTGGGGCTATACAAAATATTCTAATCCCTTATGAACTTTCACTATTTGAAAGTAATTCTCATTGTTTCCTCATATTTGTCTTCCCAGGGGAATTCTGCAACTTCCTGCACACTTGAGTCTTTCTCTCCTGAAGGCATTTAGTTTATCCACATCCCATGATTGAACTAAATGTATATTCAGGGTGTGGGCTAACCAGCACAGTATTGAACAGTATAAAAATAAAATTTCTAAAAATGATTATTTTAAAATAGACTAAAATAAGTTAACTCTGTTGGATGTTTGAAAGGCACATCCCACAACTACTTACTTGTATCTCTATATTCTTCCTGCTTACCTTCCTTCTCCTAGCTTCCTTTCTTTGGAAAGTGCTCTTTAGAAGTTCATTAGTCAGCTCCAAATAGCAACTACAGTGTTCTTTCAGTCCTTATTTTCCTTGAAGTCTCAGTCATTTTTTTCTCAAAACTCTCATCTTCCTTAATTATTGGAACATTCCACTATACAGGTTTTCCTTCTATCTTCCTATCCCTTAGTTAAATTTCTTCAATATATTACATATAACAAACTCAGTCCTTGGACTTCTGCTTTCGTTAGTCCTGTACTTCCTCCTTTGAAGAACTCACTCTTATTGCTTCAATTGTTACCTGTACTCATCTAATTCCAGATATCTCTTGAATGACAAATGTTATTGCTTATCCCCTTAAAACAATTTGTTGTTCCCTCCCTGTCCCCCAAATTAGTTCCTAGTTTGTTTGTTACCTAGTTTCAAAAGTTTTGAAACCATTGTTTTTTTCACTTTTCCTTACTCCTATGCAGTCAGTCATCATGAAGTAATGATTCTTCTTTGATTTTTTTCCTATTTATTCTCTTTCCATTACTTACTCCAAGTACTTCTTAATTAGATTTACTATCTATGATGTTTCTTTTTCTATCTTATTTTTCACAATCACATGATACAACCTTATTTTTAAAATGATACAACCTTATTCATTTCACTCTGTGTCTCAAACATTGTAGAATGCTTCCAGCTGCCTGAAGAGTAAAATATAAATTCCTGGCTTGTTTTTCAAATCCTTTTATATTCTCCTTTTCAAAATTATACCCCAGGATGCCTCCCATGAATCTTCCGTAACAGCAAAATTGCCTACTGCACCTGGAGCATGGCACGACAGCCTTTAACCCTTTACCTTTCTTTTACTCTTTGTAATTCACTCAGCATATCAACACCTTATCCATCTGCTGTGACATATTGTATACCACTACTCCCTTCCCCATGAAGTTACCACCTCTACTTTCTCATCCCATGATGGATTATGTTGTCCATCTAAACTTTTTCTAACTTAGATTTTACTTAAAAAATTGCCATGTATACATATATCACTATATATGTTATAAGCTACTTGATTGCAGGAGCTTTGACTTGTGTTTTTCTGTACACCCCTTATTGCTAGACCAGTGCCTTGCAAACATTAGGCTTGCCATGAGGAGTTACTGGTTGATTGGTTGGAAAGGCTATCATAGACATACTTGTCAAAGGAAATTACTATATATTTCTTTAATTAAAATGTTTTACTTCAGAAAGTATCCAGTCTTTCTTGACGGAATCATATACGTCTTAACTTATAAAACAAATATTTGGAAACTGAGGTTTGTGGCTGAGAGATTAAAAAGGGTGAAACTTCTGAAGAGCAGAAACTGTGATATGAAGATGAAAGGGATTTTATAATTGTAATCTGTTTAGGCAATGGCTGGGATATGGTTTGTATCTGGAGTATGGGAATCATAATAATCACTTGTCTTATGGGCCTTTAAAAAATTTATCCTTACTCTTCCACTTTTTTGTTGTACTTCCTTCCTGTATTTGCCTTCGCCCTTTTCGAGCCTTTTGATTTTTCACCATTGATTTCTGATTCTCTCTTTCCTTTAACTTTGTCCTTTCCTTTGTCACCTTTTGTGTTTTTGTCACCTTTTTCTTTTTTATTTGGATCTTTCTCTGCATCTCTCTCCTTTTCTTTATCATTATTTCCTTTATCCTCAAAACTCTCCTTCTTTTCTTGGGCTTCCTGTCCTTTTAGTACACCTGACTCACTCTTCTTTACTTGGGATTCCAGTGTTTCTGGTACACTCACCTCAGTGTTCTTTACTTGGGATTCTGGTCCTTTCAGTACACCTGCCTCACTCTTCTTTTCTTGGACCTCTTGTTCCTTTGGCACATCTGCCTCAGTCTTCTCTACTTGGCCTTCTTGTCCTTTTGGTACCTTCAACTCACTCTTCTCTACCTGGGCTTCCTGTCCTTTCAGTACAACTGACTCCCTCTTCTTTACCTGGGCTTCCTGTCCCTTTGAGACACCAGACTGACTCTTCTTTACTTGGGATTCCTGTCTTCTTGGCACACCCATCTCACTCTTCTCTACCTGGGCTTCCTGTCCTTTCAGTACAACCAACCCACTCTTCGTTACTTGGGCTTCTTGTCCTTTTGGGACACCTGACTCACTCTTCTTTACTTGGGACTCCTGTCCTCTTGGTACATCTGACACACTTTTCTTTATTTGGGCTCCCTGTCCTTGTGGTATACTCATCTCACTGATTTTTAGTTGGGTTTCCTGTCTTTTTGGTATTCCAGCGTCACTGTCTACCTTGACCTCCATTCCTATTTTGTCTTTCTCTAAATCAGTGCCTTTTCCTTCTCTTTCTGGCTCCTTTATGTGTGCTGATTTCAAGGATTCTACAGAATTCGTAAATATGATGTCATTCTTTAGTGCTTCCTTGTTTTCTTCTCGGCTATTCTGAGACCTTGCAGTGCCTCCACATTTTAGAATCTGGATTTTGGAACAAGATTTTTTTGCAAGTTCTTCATCCATGTAACCTGTTAATATAACTGAGCATACAACAAAAGGGCGTGATTTAGATATCAAGTATTTTCTCTTTATTTCTATTTTTTTCCCCTTGATACTGGTTCCTTTTTTGTCTTAAAACTGACAAACTAAAATTTTTCTGAATCTCAAGTTATCTAAAATGATGGTTCTCTGTACATAAAATTATAAAAGTATCGATAAAATTCTGGACTATTTTCAATAATTTGGAAGATTAATGAGAGAAAAGGTAAAATGTACTGTAAATGAACTGACATTTGTTCAGTGGATTATGGCTAATGAATAATGCTTAGTGGCTAACAGAGGATGTATTCTGAAAAGAAATAGAATTTGTTTTAAGGAAAAATTGTGGGAGGAAGCAATAATTATATTTCTCAAGACAGAAAAAGGAAACTCAAAAATGCTTTCCATATTGAATAAAAGCATATCTTATTATGCAAAAGTAATAACAGTACTAGCTGATAATTATTAAGTGCTTACCACATACCAAGTACTCACTGCTCTAAGCACTTTATGTATTAAATCATTTGATACTCACAACAACCAGGTAGGGTATTATTAACCTCATTTTACAGATGAAGAAACTGAGGCACAGAATGCTTAAATGAATATGAATAAGGTTATGTAATCAGTAGGTGGTGGAGCTGGGATTTGAATCTGAGTAGTCAGACTCCAGTGTTCAGTTTTGATCATTACTGTAGACTACTTCTTGCAATATCTGCAAACTCTGCAAAAATTTCAGGTCCTTTGATCATGTTCAGGTAAATCAGCTGTTACGTCTCAATTCCTGTGTGATTTAACAAACCTGAATTTATTGGCTTCTGCTAGGTATTTTTTATTTGCTTTTGTTTTTTTTAAGTAATATGGTTCCCTGAATTAAGTAAAAGAAATATCTGAGCCACCAAGGAATTGTGTGGGTTCTTGCCGTGGAGCAGAGGGATGTCTTGCTTTGAGAAAATCTAATATTTAATATTTACTATAGTAGAAAGAATACTGAATATAAAAGCTGAATCAGAAGACTTGGGCTGGGGGCAGTGGCTCACACTTGTAATCCCAGCACCTTGGGAGGCCAAAGTGGGCGGATCACTTGAGGTTGGGAGTTGGAGACCAGCCTGGCCAACATGGTGAAACCTGATCTCTACTAAAAATACAAAAATTAGCCAGGCATGGTGGCACACACCTGTAACCCCAGCTACTCATGAGGCTGAGGCAGGAGAATCGCTTGAACCCGGGAGGCAGGGGTTGCAGTGGGCTGGGATTGCACCACTGCACTCCAGTCTAGGTGACAGAGCGATACTCCATCTCACACACACACACACACACACAAAAAAAAAAGAAGACCTAGGTTTATTATTCCTGCTAGCTGGGTTTAATGGGTTTATTAAGGTAAATCAGTTAATCCTCAAAGATTCACTGTTTTTATATTTAGTTTGATCTGCTCACTTTGTAGAGTTACTAAATATTGTAGACAAATGTTAAAGTAACATAGCCTTTGGAGACAGACTGGTTCAAATCCTGCCTCCGCACCTGCCTAGCTGGGTGACCTTTGGCAAACTTTACTTTCTGTCTGTAAAATGGGGGCAATAGTAGTAGCTACCTCAAAGAGGTGTTATGAGATTAAATAATGTTATCTAAATAAAAGCACTTGGTACAGTGCATGGGACATAAGTAGTCAATAAATATTGGCCATTACTACTTCCCAATGAGATAGTACAGGAAAAAACTCTCTAATTCAATCAAGACAAGGCATTCTTAGTTTCCAACAAATAATTTACAGGAGTGGTTAATTGTATTACAGGAAAATTTCTTTTTTTTTTTTTTTTTTGAGATGGAGTTTCGCTCTTGTTGCCCAGGCTGGAGTGCAATGGCACGATCTCGGCTCACCGCAACCTTTGCCTCCCGAGTTCAAGGGATTCTCCTGCCTCAGCCTCCCAAGTAGCTGGGATTACAGGCATGTGCCACCACACCCGGCTAATTTTGTATTTTTAGTAGAGATGGGGTTTCTCCATGTTGGTCAGGCTGGTCTTGAACTCCTGACCTCAGGTGATCCACCTGCCTCGGCCTCCCAAAGTGCTGGGATTACAGGCGTGAGCCACCACACCCAGCCAATTACAGGAAAATTTCTTGCTTAAAAGTGAATTATTGGACTTTTCGTTTTTTACATTTAGGGTTTGATGTTTGAAAAATTGGCATACACATAACTTCAGAATTTTATCAATTATAAAAATGAGGCACACCTGTATTAGATAAGAAACTAATTATAAATCAAAAGAGTTGTTGTAGTTCAGTGTTTTCTTTTATTATTTTCAGCTGTTGACATCCAAATAAAAATAACATTAGGAAAATTACAGTAATGTTTTCTGAACCTTTTTGTATATGTCCCCACCTAGAGTTCTTCATTAAAATATGGTTACTGACATTTTATTCTAGACAATCAATTTTCAGTTTCCTAATGAAAATCAGTGGTAATATATTTCAAGCATTGCTAAATTGAGAAAAATAGTTCAGAATATTTTGATCTTCGACAGTGCTACCAGTGGACACTGTTTTGTTTTGTTTTGTTTAGGGGTATGGTGGTGTGGAATGGTAAGATCATGCTCCGCTGAAGTTTCTAACCTTAAGAATTTCATGGAATGTACTCCTCACATAAGCTGATTTTCCTTAAGCTATGAATATTTTTAGTTTTACTATCCCTTGGGGGTAATTATTTGCTACTGTGTGTAATACTTCATGACTCATTTTAACCTAAATTTACCTTCTAAATTATATAGGCTTTGTAAACCAAAATTAAGTATTATAGGATTTCCTGAAGCACCCAGTGTTTATTCTAGCTACACCTTTCCTAATTTCACAGAATTAAAAAACTTTTTATTCTTTCTCCCACTACACTGAAAAATACCTCTAGTTACTTCTAATAGAATCTTCATACCCTTATTTTAATATATTTGCTGTCATCTTTTAAATCTTGAATTTAATTAACATAGATTAGATTTACAGGATTTATTTTTGAGTAATCTAGCTATCCCATAAAGTGAGGTTCACTTTTATTTCAACTTTGCATTGCAGAAGTAAGCCACAAATCATTATTCCACCACATTCTAAGTTCTTTTCTTCCTTCTCCCAGATTTCAAGATAGTTCATACATCTTTTCCTTCTCTTGGACCTCATAATCATCTAACACATACAGTGTAAATCTTCATAATATAAAGACTTGGAAGCCCTGGCTGCAAGTACATTTATTGCAGGCAGTAGCCCATACTACAAAATTTTAATACAATCAAAAGATTTAATCAAGACTTTGGGGATCATCATAATATATTCAAGCTGAATAAAAAGTAATTATTAAAATTTTTAAATTGGATTAATTTTTGTTAAAGCTAAAAGATATCATGAAATAGCTATCACATTAACAATTCTATCTAAATGATACTTAACATAGAAAATAGAATGTGGGCTTTATTAGGAAACTAATCTTAGGTTCTTAATCCAGTGGTTGTCAGGGAGAGCACAATTGGATCTAGACTGTAAAAGATCTATTCAGTATCAGAGGGATAAATCATTATAGTTCTCAGGCTATGAATTACATTTTAAAAGATCATATACTTATTAGTTGAATGAGGAGGTGAGAAATAAGAGACTCAGTTTGCTGGGATGATGATGTTTGTTGGTTTAATCTATCTTAAACCTTTCTTTGAACATTGACTTAAACCTTAACCTCCTTTTTCTAAAAATATCAACTGGGGCCGATGCAGTGGCTCACACCTGTAATCCTAGCACTTTGGGAGGCTGAGATGGGAGGATCGCTTGAGGCCAGGAGTTCGAGGCCAGCCTGGGCAACATAGTGAGACCCCATCTCTATTTTTTTAAAAAAATAGAAAAACAATCAATTGGGAAAAATGTGTTTGAAAGAGTATATCAATAAGAATATGTCTTTTACAAAAAATTTTTTAAAAGATTAAACAGATTTTTCTCTGGCAACTTAAAAAATTAGTATTCATTAAAAATTTATTACCTCTGGGAAGAGACTTGGCCTGTGATCCCTTCTCAGAGCCCTTGTATTAGTCAGGGTTCTTCTGAGTCAAGTTGACATACAACATCAATCATCAGAGCCCACCTTTTTTTTTTGTAAGAGAAACTCACAAGATCACAGTCCTATCACTTTTTCTATGTGAGGAGAGCATTTGAGGGATGTTGGCGCATTATAATTATTCTGAATGCATACTGTTTCTTGTACCATGAATCAAAAGAAATTAATTTCCCCGGCTGGGTGCAGTGGCTCACGCCTGTAATCCCAGCACTTTGGGATGCTGAAGTGGGCAGATCACCTGAGGTCAGGAGTTCGAGACCAGCCTGACCAACATAGTGAAACCCTGTCTCTATTAAAAATACAAAATTAGCTGGGCATGGTGGCACATGCCTGTAATCCCAGCTACTTGGGAGGCTGAGGCAGGAGAATCACTTGAACCCGTGAGGCAGAGGTTGCAGTGAGGCAAGATCGTGCCATTGCACTCCAGCTTGGGCGACAAGAACGAAACTTTGTCCAAAAAAAAAAAAATTAATTAATTGCCCCTTTCAACTTCATCTCCCTGCCTTCCTTTCCCTCCAAACCCACTCTCTTTCTAGTGTGAACTGAGAAAGAAGAATGAGGCTTAAACACGATTAAATATAAGGACATATTTTGTGTTTGTGTCAGTGTTTGGAATGTTTGAAATGCTTGAAACGTGTCTCACTAGGTTTAAGTCTTATTTGCTTCTTTTGATCATATGTTTACAGAATTAAAAGTTATTATTCTACTTTGTTTTGTATGGTTTCCTTGCTTGAAGAGCTGAGTCATATATTAAGTAATCCCAATAGAGATAAATCTGAATCCAGAAAACAGTTAAAAAAGTCAAACATTGATTTAAATGCGGTCTTCTATTTTTAAAAGGATCCTTTTGTGTACATTTAGTTATCCAGCTTTTCTGTAGATGTATATTTGTATTTGCAAACATTCCATAAAGTTTCCTGACTAATCACAAAAAATGCATTTGTGATTCAGTATAGGAGGCAATGTGTTAGTATGGGAAGAGTGGGAAGAGTGTGTATTTTGGAGATAGGACATCCTGGGTTTAAATCCTGACACCAATGTTTACCAACTCTTTAACCTTGGGTAAATACCTGAGTTAGTTTCCTAATCTGTAAAATGGGGAATAATAATACCTACCAGGCAGGCATATGGTAAGAATAAGAGATGTTACTTTTGTAAGTGCCTAGCACAGTGCACAAATACATAGTCAATGCTCAATACCTACTGTCTTTCAAAGGTAGTTATTTAGAAGGCAATAGAAAGGAGATGGTATTTTGTTTTTAACTAGTTTTTTTCCCCCATTAATATGATTCAGAGGGACTTCACCTATAACTAAAAAAAAGTTCTAAATTCCCAGCAAATAACTAATGGAATTCAGAAACCAATCTTCCTTTCATTATGTTTTCCTGAGAATCAGGGAGGAGATTCTTTTTCAGAGCCTAGAAGATGGCCAGAGATTGTGGCACCCTTTCATATGAGCTTCATCTTCTCTACAGCAATCTCTTAAATTGTAGTTATTTAAAAACTTGGGGCCTGGCACAGTTGCTCACACCTGCAATCCCAGCACTTTGGGAGGCTGAGGCAGGAGGATCACTTGAGCCCAGGAATTCAAGACCAACCTGGGCAACATAGTGAGATCCTGTCTCAAAAAGAAAAGTGGAGGGCGGGGGGGAACCTTGGAAGTTTCTGGAAGATAGGAACATTCAAATTGGCCTTAGAAGCACAGGCCTCTATTTTGGGAGTAGAAACAGACAGGTCACAAAAGAATTAAAAGCAATGTAAAATATCAGAGTTGAGAATAGATATGGAACTTACCCACAGGAGTCAGTGCTAAAAACAAAACACAAAAGAAAGATCAGTGAGGATTTTCTAACTCAAGAGAAACCCACCTTCCAATAGTATCCTTCCTAGGTGAACTTAGAAACAGGACTTGGAGGGAGCACAAAACTCTGTTTCATCCTCAGGAGTGTTGCTGGCCAATGCTCCATATCGCACTCCACACAGAGGGTTATCTTTAGGATGCCATTTAATTAATATAGGCATTTGAAATCTTGGGTAGGTAAAATCACTTCTACTGAAATTCAAACTATTGTATTTCCTGCCTTTCTTTGTTCTTTGATAAGTCTTTCATATGTCTTCTGCAAAACAGTTTTTTGCTCACTGTTCTGGTCCGTTTGAAAAATGTATATTGTTGATCAATTACCAAAATCACATCTAGTCCTGACACATATTCTTTTTGTCAATCTTAGAGGATTTTCTTTTTTAGTAAAAATTATTAGTTGCCAGATTATAGCACAGAGGAAATAGGCTCTGTTGTGATAGATTAGCTGGGAATATATGCTACCAATAATCTTTGGTAGTAAATAACTAGAATCAAACACAAGACCATTATACTTTGTTACAAAAGGAAAATAGATAAGAAGAATTAAAATTGAAATATGAGGAAATCACTTATTGAAGAAATATTGACTGCTGTAAGGTAGAGGAACTCGTAACACAAGAACATTTGGGAAAAAGAACTTAAAGGTCCTAGGCACAGAAATAGGTAAGGCAAGGAAATGATCCAAACTTACTGATTTTTCCAGAACTGTCCACTGAAAGAGATAAAGGCAAACACATCAGTAGGTACTGGGCATTCCCTTCTTCCCAGTCCCCAAACCTCTGCATTGAGTGGGATCTGTGTCATTAACAACTAAATTTCATTTATTTAAATGTGAAGAAACTTCATTTCCCTTCCCCCTTCTCTTTGCCCAGTGTAGTTTACAAAGACCTTGTGATAAGCTACTTTAAATCACCTTTACTTATCATTGATCATTATCAATTTTGTCTAGAATGTCAAGATTACAATTTATAAAATATAGGACATATAATGGTCTTGCTTAGAAGATGTGTGCTAACATTATTTTTTGACATTGATACGAATTTTTTTTTAATATATTTTTTTGAGACAGGGTCTCAGTCTCCCAGGCTGCAGTGCAGTGGCATGAACATGGCTCACTGCAGCTTCCACTTCCGGGGTTCAAGCGATCCTCCAGTTTCAGCCTCCTGAGTAGCTGGGACTACAGGTGCGTGCTACCACACCCAGCTAATTTTTGTATTTTTTTGTAGAGACGGAGTTTCATCACGTTGCCCAGGCTGGTCTGGAACCCTGAGCTCCAGCGATCCACCTGCTTTGGCTTCTCAAAGTGCTGGGATTACAGGTGTAAGCCACCATGCCTGGCCTGGTACGAAATATTTAAGATACAGTTGTTACCAAGTACTGAAATATAGGTATATCTCTTGTGTTGATGTTACTTGATAAACCTAACATAGAAAGCACAAAATAGGCTGGCGCCGTGGCTCATGCCTGTAATCCCAGCACTTTGGAAGGCTGTGAGGCAGGCGGATGGCTTGAGCCTAGGAGTTCAAGACCAGCCTGGGCAACATAATGAGATCCCCATCTCTGCAAAAAAAAAAAGAAAAAATTAGCTGGGTATGGTGGCAAGCACCTGTAGTCCCAGCTGCTCAGAAAGCTGAGGTGGGAGGATTGCTTAGGAAGTCAAGGCTGCAGTGGGCCATGATCACACCAGTGCACTCTAGCCTGGGTGAGTGAAACGCTGTTTTAAAAAAAAAAAAAAGCACAGAATAATAAGAAAGCATGAAACTGTAAGAAACATATACCAGGATTGTTTACCAGAGATACATATGTGGAGTTAGGGTATTTAAAAATGGGAGTTGGCAAAATACAGCCCATGGAATAAATCTAGTTTTTCCATATAAATCTAGTTTTCCAAATAAAAATAGCATCTAGGACATGCTATTTTTGCATGTCCTGTGAGGTAAGAATGGATTTTACATATTTAAATAGTTGAAATAATAATAATAATAATAATAATAATAATATTTTGTGGCACATGAAAATTGTATGAAATTCAAATTTCAATGTCTAAAATAGTATTTTATTGGGACATACCCATGCTCATTCTTTTATATATTGTCTATGACTGTTTTTGTGCTACAACAGCAGGGTTGAGTAGTTGTGACAGAGACTTTAAGGCTTATAAAATTTAAAATATTTGGCTGGGCATGGTGGCTTATACCTGTAATCCCAGCACTTTAGGAGGCTAAGGCAAGGGGATCGTTTGAGGCCAGGACTTTGAGACCAGCCTAGGCAACATAGCAAGACTCAGTTTCTACAAAAAATAAAAAAAAGTTAGCCAAGCATGGTGGCACACATCTGTAGTCCCAGCTACTCAGGAGGCTGAGGCAGGAGAATTGCTTGAGCCCAGGAGTGGAGGTTGTAGTGAACTATGATCACACCACTGCACTCCAGGCTAGGTGACAGAGCAAGACCCTGTCTCAGAACAAAACAAAACCAAAAACACCAAACAAACCAAAAAACACAAAAACCCAGCAAACAAAAACAAACATAAAACATTAAAAACATTTGTAGAAAAAATTTGCTCACCCCAGCCCTACAAGAAACTAATGTAATAAAAATATATTAGGAACTTACTAGTGTGAACTTGAGGTATTCCTGAAAATCAAAACAAGAAAATAGGTTAATGGCAGCATTTTTGGAACAGAAGTACAGTTCTTTCCTACTCCCAATTCCCTAGTTGTTTTTTCTAGGGTACCATAAAGACTTCTAGCAGAATACAATGAAATATGATGAGACAACAGATCCCTTAGTGTGTTATAAGAACCTGACAGTTTTTACCACCTTTATGTGGTCCAACTTATTGTTGTCTCTCTAATTGAGCTCTCTGCTTTCACCCTTGCCTCCCAGTCAGTTCCCAGTACAGCAGTTAGCGGGACCCTTTTAAAGTGTCAGCAAGACTCCTGCTTAAGAGCCACCAATGGTTCCCCATCTTGGTTTAACAAAAGTCAAAATCACAACAGTGGCTTTCAAAGATGGCCCTGGAAGATCTGTCCCTCCAAATCTCTCTTATAGCTTCTTTTTATGTCACTTTTCATTCTGTTCCAGCTATATGGTACTTGCTATCTTGCTTTTCCTCAAATAGTCTGGAAATGTTCCTACCCTAGGGTGGTTTACTTGTTGTCTTCTCTGATTGAAATATTCCCCCCTCAGATATTGCCTGGCTAATTCTCTCACCTATTTCATGTTCCATCTAGTAGTTATAGCAATTGCTGAGAATGAGGCATTAAACTTTCCAACTGTAGTTGTGGGTTTTTCTGTTTCTCTTCAGTTCTAGTACGTGTTTTTTTTTTTTCCCAGTGTGTTTTGAAGCACTGTTGTTTGGTTCATACATATGTAGAATTTCTTTGTCTTCTTGATGCATTGATATTTTTATCATGATATAATGTCCCTCTTTTGTCCCTGGTAAATTTCTTTGCATTTAGGTCCACTTTACGTGATATTAATGTAGCCACATCTGCCTTTTTTTTTGAAAAAATTAATGTTTCATGGCATATATTTTTCATTCTTTTTACTTTTATTGTTAAATTTGAGGTGACTTTCTTGTAGATAGGATATAGTTAGGTCATGTTTTTAATGTACTCTGGTAATCTTTTGAAAAAATTGGTGTATTTAGACCTACACAAAATAAATTTCTGTGATATGCCTGATTGTTATGAGAGGCAAGTCCCAATTCTTTCAAGGAGGGGAAGTCAGAAAAGGCTTAATCTCTGCAGCACTAGTGGTCCAAGTTTAGATGTAATAAACTTTATGGAGGAAAAGGCAAAGATCAATCTTTCTTTTTTATCTTGAATTCTATTTTAGTGTTTTCTCTGTTTGCATTTTGCAGTCTGTCCCTTCTTCTACTCCCATTTGCTACATCTTCTAGTTTTTATTATTTCTACCTTTTATCTTTTGGAGTTTCATCTTGTGACCCTGTGGCTTCAGACTGTGATACAAACTTCTTAGTGTATTATTTCCATAGTCTTCCCAGCATATTTTCCCAGCATTATTTCCTCTGGCTTCTCTTTTGCAACTTAACTCTCTAACCAGAAGAACAAATTGATTTTGGTCCTTTCTATGTGGTTTCTTGTTTCTGTGGGCCTTTGACTTATTTAAAAGACAAAGACAGGAAGAAGAAAGAAAGAAAGGAAGGAAGAAGAAAGAACGAGCGAATGAACAAAAGAAAGAAAGAAAGACCCAAACTAAACCAAAATAGAAACCAAAAACAACAAAAGTGTCAGTGCAAATAAAGGAATCGAGATGCTACAAAAGACCAGAGGAAACTGAGAAAAACAGTAGGAGCTTACTGGTTGCTATTGGACCAATTGCTAAAAATAAAATAAAACAAATCAGTTTTTTTTTAAATTATGTATTGAGTTCCTATTGAAAATCCACTTGGAACACCAGAAAACAGACCTTTGGGAAACATTAAATCTTCTAGGAATATGCTATCTCTTATTAAGTCAATTTTAACTCCACTTTAATAACTTAAATATCCAGGCCATTTTGAATGGCACGTATGATGGGTTATATAAGTGAAGGCCACTTTTTCTAATGAAATAAAATATTTTTTTAAACATTCTTAAACTAGGTCACATTCTTTCAGGAGACTGGCTAATAGTTAAAGGTTACTAATTTATGTTCTCTCTTCATCGTCTTTTTTGTCTTTTCATGTTTTCTCTTCCTTTCAAATCTCTACCATTATACCAGCTCTCACTGTATTTTTTTTACAGTACAGAAAGTTTATTTGTAATTAAAATGTAGTTGAGTTTAGCACCTTTTCTTTTTCTTTTCAGTTTTTATGAGAATTTAAAACTCTTCAAGAGTTAGTAATACTTATTTTAAGTTTTGCTTCTTTTACTTTTTTTCCTATTTCAGTCTCTAATCTCAAAATATCTGTTCTCTTCTTCACCATTCATTGTATTCTCCTTCTAGATTTCCATTACTAAGTTTACTTACTCTTTGCCTTACTGTGGCAGGGCAGGTCTCGCTAACGCAGGCCTCCATAACAACTGTTTCAGCACTGACTGAGTGGTTAAGTTAAATGTTGAAAGCTGATAGAGCCAGGCTAGAATGTAACAAGCCCACCAAGAGTTTGCCTAGGCCTTTCCTGGGCCTTGAAGCATGACAAGATTACGAAGGAATTCTTAACAGGACCCGTTTAGGATTAAAACAAGTTTATTGGGGGGTCTGAAGAAACTCCCCAGGCCTTCACAAACAAGTTTATTGGGGGTCTTCTGAAGGAACTCCATATTTAGCAGGAGACAAGATAAGGGTAATCACTCCAGCACCTGGACCCATTTAGATTAAGTAAATTTACTGAAGCTCTAGAGGAAAGCCTTCAGGACTCACATCTTAGTCACAGATTAGAAGAAGTTAATGACTTATGTCTTTAGATGAATGCACACTTACACGTAGACATATAGCTTAGAAGGTATATTGGCTCTGGAAAACTTTGTAATTTTCAGTTGGTCTGGCAAAAATTTCCAGGCCTTCTCTCTGTACCTACTTATATAAATAAAAACTGTCTTCTTTCTCAGTTCATCTGCATCTCGTTATTGGGCCATGAAGAAAAGCAGCCCGATTCTCCTACCTCAGCCTCCCAAGTAGCTGGGATTACAGGTGTGTGCCACCACACCCAGCTAATTTTTGTATTTTTAGTAGAGATGGGGTTTTGCCATGTTGGCCAGGCTGGTCTCGAACTCCTGACCTCAGGCAATCCTCCTGCCTTGGCCTTCCAAAGTGCTGGGATTACAGGCATGAGCCACCACGCCTGGCCAGGTCATATGTTTTTTAAAGGTCTGTATTGTCAATAAAAACTGGAGGCAAATTGGAACTGAGAAACATTTTTCTTTTCTTTTTTAAGTTGCAGTGCTTGCAAGCAAGTCCTGTCTTCAGAAGAACTGGCTCACTTAATAAGAGACATAGCAGGAGTTTAAGGGGCATAATCTATAAAGTTGGTCAGTTTGCCAATTATTCTCATTGGTGGAAAAATAATTCTCCATCATAATTATATATTGGCAAGGGTCATAACACATTTGTATGACAGTGAAACAGCAAAATAACTAACATGAACTCTTTTTTTGTTTAAAGGACCTTCACCCATTCCTGCATGTAAGTTAGGACAATTTTAGAACACTAAGATAAAATGCAAAAACAGCAATCATGGAATTTTTGAAACTAACTGTACGACTAAGGGGGAATTATGTAAACAACTAATTATGTTTTGTTAAAGATTTACGGGAGCATTGTGACCTGACCAAGGACAAAGACGTTCCCAACCTCCTCTGACTCTTGCTGGCATCCAGATCTCTGTGTTCCTCAGTCATCTCTTGATTCTAACTCCTGCGCATAATTTCCCCATATCCCCCCTCCCATAGAAACCCTCCAGCCAGCCTGAAAGACATTAGAAGGGTGGTACTTTAGAATGCTGGTTCTCCATCTTCTCGGTTTGCTGACTCTCCAATATAATCTGCTTTTCATCCCACCAACCCTTGTCTCTCATGTCTGGCTTTTCAGCTGCAAGCAGCCAAACCTGGGTTTGGTTACTTACATTTATGTGTATCAATATTGTAAAAATCAGCACTAAAATTGTTTCCATTAGGAAGCCAGCAATGTAAAGCATATGAACTTAAGCCTTTATTTTAGGTTGCAGTGCTAAATGGAACTATTATTCAATTTAAGAACATATAAAGCAAGTTGTCTGTCCCTCCCTCCCTCCTTCTCTCCTTCCCTTCCTTCTGGTTTTCTTTCCTTCTTTTTTCACCTCCTGCCATCCTCAGTTTATCTCATGATACAAGGTTTTTCTGACTGTCATGTTTAATGTCAAGTGCTCAGGCAAAATAGATGATTTGGCTAGGCTAACAAAGTATTCATTTTGCAGTATTTCCATTTTTTTAGTGCATTTTCTTATGATTTTGAGGAAATTTTGCTTTCTCTCCACATTTCTATTTTGTTCCTTGTATTGTTAGTGCTTTTCCTTTTCTTTAATTTTGTTTCAAAATAATCAAAATTATTCTGTTATTTTTAAATACTTTTCATTTCATTAATTTTTGCCTAATAAAAGTAGGACATTTTTATTATTGTGTCCTACTCTTGAGATTTTTCCTTTTTTAATCATCTTGAGCTCATGTTTAGTTCATCAATTTTTATTAATGAATAATTTCTATTAAAACCATTTACCATAATAATTTCTCTCTAAATGATATTTTGGTTGTATCCTAAGTGTTTTGACAAGTAATGATTTTATACTCACTTATTTCTATATATTCTGTAATTTCTCTCACAATTTTGTTTGTAACCTGTGGATTATTTGGATGTATGCTTTTTTGTTTCTAAATATGTATATGTTAATATTTTTTGTTATTTATTTCTGTTTTGTTGCCTTGTGCTCAGAAAATGTGATTTATATTATGTTGAAGTGTACTTTGAAATTAGTTGAGGCTTGCTCTAGTTGAAGGAATTGGTGGTCAAGGTAATCTTTTCCATCTGTGCTTGCTTGGTGGAATGTTCAGTGTACATTACTAGATAAAGCTTTCTAAAATTATGTCAAAGCCTCTCTAGCCTTACTAATTTTTGTCTGTTTATTTTATGAGAGAAATATTATTAAAATATCTTTATTTAGTTACAGATGTCTTTGCTATTTTGTCAGTTTTTGTTTTATGTATTTCAAAGGCTATGCTATAAGCTCACAACTTTCACTTATATTTTATCTGATATTTGCACAATTATATCAAGTTTTGTTTTGTTGTTAATTGCCTGGTTTTTTTTTTTTTGAGACAGAATTTCGCTCTTGTCACTTAGGCTGGAGTGCAATGGTGCAATCTCGGCTCACCGCAACCTCTGCCTCCTAGGTTCAAGTGACTCTCCAGCCTCAGCCTCTCAAGTAGCTGGGATGACAAGCATGTGCCACCATGCCTGGCTAATTTTGTATTTTTAGTAGAGACAGGGTTTCACCATGTTGGCCAGGTGGGTCTCGAACTCCTGACCTCAAGTGATCTACCCGCTTTGGCCTCCCAAAGCGCTGGAATTACAGGCATGAGCCACCGCACCTGGCCAATTGCCTGGTATGTTTTAAAATTCCTTCATTTAAATTTTTCTGTGTGTCACCTTATTTTAGGTATATTTCTTAATAGAGTTTAGCTATTTTTCTTATTTTTTTATAGGAAAATAGAAAAATTAAAAAAATTTAATTCTTTTAATTACATCTGAGAGTTTCTAGCTTTTAATCTGTGAGTTTAATCTACTATTGTATAATATTGTGCTAAGCAACATATTTAGACTTTTTTAACCCTCATTTAAAAAAATTTGCTTTTTCACGCCTGTAATCCCAGCACTTTGGGAGGCCGAGGCGGGCGGATCACGAGGTCAGGAGATCGAGACCATCCCGGCTAAAACGGTGAAACCCCGTCTCTACTAAAAATACAAAAAATTAGCCGGGCGTAGTGGCGGGCGCCTGTAGTCCCAGCTACTTGGGAGGCTGAGGCAGGAGAATGGCGTGAACCCGGGAGGCGGAGCTTGCAGTGAGCCGAGATCCCGCCACTGCACTCCAGCCTGGGCGACAGAGCGAGACTCCGTCTCAAAAAAAAAAAAAAAAAAATTTTGCTTTTTATTTGCTTTCTCTTTTTCTTTTTTCTTGCTTTCTTGTGGACTAATATAGTTTTCTTTCTTCTTTTTATTTTCCCTATGGGTTCAGAAGATGTATGTCACATTTCTATTATATTAATAGTTGTCTTTTATTTTTGCCATAAATATTCAAATGTATATATTTAATAAGATGAAAAGTTAATCAGTACATCTGACCTTTTGTCAAATTATCTTAGTTCATAATCATTAGCCTTGTCTCTAAGGTTTTTTTCCCTAATGCTTTAGGTCTACTCATTTTAAAGCACACTAATATATTTCTCCTTCACTCTCTCCTTCTCCTTCTTTTCTTCCTGCTTTTTTTTTTTTTTTTTGACAGGGTCTTGCTCCTAGGCTGGAGTGCGGTGGCATGATCACGGCTTACTGCTGCTTTGACCTCCCAGGCTCGAGCAATCCTCCCACCTCAGCCTACTGAGTAGCTGTGACTACAGGCATGCACCACCACACTCACCTGATGTTTGTATTTTTTGTAGAGACAGGATTTCACCATGGTGCCCAGCCTGGTCTCCAACTCCTGAGCTCAAGCAATCCACCTGCCCTGGCCTCCCAAAGTGCAGGGCTTATAGGTGTGAACCACTGTGCTCAGCCTCTTTCTGCTTTTCCTTCTCCTTCTTCTCTTCCTTCTCTTTTTTTTCTTTATAGTCAACATTTTAGATTTACTGTCATGTTTTGTTGATTTGTTTTCTTACATATGTTTCTTGGTTCTAACTTCTTTTTGAGTTTTTACTCAAAAGTAAACTCCCTGAAGTATGTCCCTTTGATAATTCTTTCACTGGGGACCTGTGTTTAATGAGTTTCTATGTTCTTGAATATACAAAATGACTTCATTTCAGTCTCACTCATAAATGATAATTTTGCTGATTGTATCTTATGGGTTTATAGTAATTTTCCTTCAGTCTTTTGATGATATTGTTCTGTTGTATTCTTTTTAAAATTTTTTTATTTTTAATTTTTATGGGTATATAGTAGGTGCAAGTAGGTACATGAAATATTTTGGTACACTCATACAATGTGTAATAATGTGTAGTAATCACATCAGGGTTAACTGAATATCACCTTAAGCATTTATCATTTCTTTGTGTTACAAACATTGCAATTATATTCTTTTAGTTGTTTCAAAATGTACAATAAATTTCCTTTGACTATAGTCACCCTGTTGTGCTATCAAATATTAGATCTTATCCATTCTATCTAACTATTTTTGTACCTATTAACCATTCCCAATTTTTCTCTCTCCTGACTACCCTCCCCAGGCTCTGGTAACCATCATTCTACTCTCTATCTCCATGAGTTCAATGTTTTAATTTTTAGTTCCCACAAATGAGTATGGACATGTGAAGTCTGTGGTTCTATGCCTGGCTTATTTCACTTAACATAATGACCTTCATTTCCATCCAGGTTGTTGCAAATGATAGGATCTCATTCTTGTTTGGATTTCATTCTTGTTCTGTTGTATTCTGGCACATATTATTGCTAATGAGATGTCTAGTGTTAACATGATTTTTTGCAGGTGATCTGCTTCTCTGGTTGTCTTTATGATTTGCTTTTTAATGTCTGTCAGCTTACTACGATGAGTTTTGGCACATGTAAGTGTGTGTGTGTGTATATATCTGTCTGTGTGTTTTAAAGTTATCTAATTTCAGCTTTCAGTGGACCATTATGATCTGAGGATTTATGTCTCTTTTCTTCTGGAATGTTATTAATTATTACATTTAAAATTATTACCTGACATTTATTCTTTTAATTCTCTCTTATCAAATTCCATTACACCTGACCTCATTCTATTTACAGCTCTTCTTTTTCATATTTTCAATATCTTCTGTGTATTATTTTGAGCTGAGATTTTCAATATTTTCCATGTACTATTTTGAACTGAGATTTCCTCAGTTCTGTCTTCCAGTTTACTCTTTTAAACTGTGATTAATAATATTTAAATATTATTTACATATAGTTACATTAGAATTTATATATTATCTAATCATTGTTTCAATTCTAATAACTTTCTTATTTTCAAGGTTTCAGCTTGGTTCTTTTTTAAATCTGCCTGTTCTTTCTTCAAACTATCTCTCAAATATATATACATATATATATATATATATATTTTTAATCTTTTTAGAAAGGATAGTCTTTCTTTTATTCCCCAATAGGTAAGCCACAACCTATCAGAACTCCAGCCTTTCGTGGCCTTTTCATGCTATACTAGCTGTCATATGCCGTATCAGCTGCCTTACCGTTTAAAATTTTATTATCTCCTTCACCTCCTCCATTTAGGCATTTCTTCCCTCCTATCTTATCAAGGTTACTTATGACATTCATTTTGCAAAATTCCTTGTCAGTTCTTACTCCAAAAATTCATTGCTTAGCTGTTTTTGATGCTGTTGTTTATTTTTTCCATATTGAAATACTATCTTCTCTTGAGTGCTGCGAGACCCCCCCTTTACTGGTTCTCCTTCTTTCTCCCTGCTCACTACTTCTCTATATGCATAGTTAGATTTTTCTCATTCTAAACTTCTAAAACTGATTAATCCTTACCCCTTCATTTTTACATATACCTTTGATTATCTAATTTAGTCCAATCGTCTTAAATGTTACCTATATGCTGATTACTGTCTAATTTATTTCCCACCCAATCTCTCCCTAAATCTTCAGACTCAAATATTTAATTGCCTTTTGATATAGAGTATATGCTTGGATGGGGGGCAGAATGTTTAGTGGGATTTTTCTTGTTACTCCCAAATTGACAAGTAGGATCACAAAGCTGAGGAAAAAGAGGTTATAACTTCCCATTACCCTCCTCAGCAAACTGAGGTGAGACAAGCCCTCAGGAGGGATTGCAGCATTGCCAGCTCCATAATTAAAAGGGAAAGGATTCTTGAGGCTGTGCAGTGCAGAGGTGCTGCTCGCCGGCCTTGACATGATGGCCAAATTAGCTCTCCTATCTCAAGTGTCACCCTTTTTCCAAGACAACATAAGCAAACAACTGTAAAGGGCAGGAGATTTAAGAGTCTTTAGAGTTGTGAGTAGTTAACAAAGGAATGGTGTTGTAGGGGAGGAAGAATAGCGCTTTCTTTTTCTGAAGGCAAATGAGTAGCACTTTGAGATTTGCTTACAGTGATTGGGGGTATCTGTGAGAAAGGATGTGTGGCAACCCATCTCCTGGTTGAATAGTGGATTTGTTGATTTGTTTTGTGCCTATCTGAATGAAGGAAAATAAAATTGGAGAGAGACAGTAGTGCAGAGTGTCCTTGTTCTGTGATAAGGATTCTTGAGCCTCCTGAGGGTTCAGTGGGCAGTGCAAAATACATCCTGGCTTGAGCCTTCTTGCTAGTATGTCACTCAAGTGGGTGGCCTACTTGGTAAGGGCATCTCTGCAGTACGAGCAATGAAGTGTATTGCTCGAGAGGGAGTTGAGGGGCTCTGGAATTGGCAAGACTAGAGTCAGTACTCCCACATCAGGGACTAGGCATGGTCGAGTTCTTGTATGTTCCTCCAAAGAACTGGAATATGTATTGTACAAGACATTTGGGTGTCTGCTCTAGATGACATCAAAGGACAGTCAGTCTCAGGTTCTCAGAGAAAAGAACCTACAACTAACAGAGGAAGGAGATTGCATGCCCCAAATCCATCCTCTCAGCCTCAACAGTGGGAATTATAACAACGGTGGGAATTATAGCAACAAGGAGAGTGGACAGGAAGGGGAAGCACATTGTATTTCTCCTCCCCATTCTGAGTCAGTGTGCCTGAGACGGGCCATTAGGAGAGGAGAGGGTTTTAAAGGGGATGGCTTAAGCATTTTAAATAATTTAGCATAACTAGAAAATTATGGGTTCTAAGACATCATTAAATGATAGGAAGGAGACACATGGCAGAGAACATGCTTGAAGCTTGCTAAGGTCAGATTATTTAATTAATTAGTCCTAAATGTTCCAGGCATCTAGAACCAAGCATACACAAAACTGAACTCACAATAGCATCCTATAAATCTGCTCTTCTCCACTACCTAAATCAATAAATAGTTTCATTCGTCAAGTTTCTTAGACCCCAAATCTAGGAGTAACCCTTGGTGTCTTCTTTTTCCCTTAAAATCACATTCAGTCGAACAGCAGGCCCTGTTGGCTTTGCCCCCAAAATAAATAAAATCTGAAGACCTTCTTCCCACTTCCACTCTGATCACTCTTCTCATTGCCACACTCACCTTTAGTTTCAGGCCTCTTAACTGGTCTTCCTACTTGCCCTCTTGAGCCCTCACTCTCACTCCAGTTAATCCTCCACAATAATAGAGTGATCTTTTAAAATTATAAAGTAGACCCTATCATTTCCCTGTTCAAGCCCTTCAGTTACTTCTCATGATGCCTAGAATGAAATCTGCAATTTTTTATTAAGGACTGCAGGGCCCGACATAATCTGGCTTTTGTCGCTCTGGCCCTACCTCCTGCTCTGCCTCCTTCTTTCTAGCCTGGCTGGCTGTTTTGCACCTCCATAGCAGGCCTGTGCATGTTGTACTTGTTCCTTTTGCCTGAAGCACACTCCCCCTTCTATACCATCTTTCTTTAGTCTGTTACTCTTCTTATTTTTCTACATGAATTTATCTGCCTGACATTTACTGTATGTTTACTTGGCATTATTTGCCTGTTTTATCTCAACATATAAACTCCTTAAGTGCAAGGACTTTGTCTTGCTCATGGCTATATTTCCAGTGCTTAGGATAATGCCTGGCCTACAATAGGCCAATATATATTTGTTGAATACATATATTTTTAAAATGCATTAATATCTTTGAAGACTTTTTCTTTTTTTTCCTTTAGTGTTTGACTTGTTCAATGCTGTTAGGTTTCTTATTTTAGTCTTCTTCAGATTGCTCTAGTTATATTTCTCTGGGTTGGAATTCTCCAATTTGTTGGGACTTGTGAGGTATCACTCATATGGTGCTGGATTTTCTCATAGATTTCATAACTTTTAGTAGTTTCTTATTCCTTGGGGGCTATCTTTCATGGATATTCTATGATATAAATACCCTGGGTTGTGGATCCCTTCTTGGTGGCTATTGTCCTAACTTCCTGGGTACACTGCCACTGAACCAGATCTCAGCTGTTTTAACTTGGAATATTATGCACACTGCATGGGTAGCACACCTCCAGCAGGGCTCTGCACCCTGGACAGATCTAACTCTGGACCTGTGTGGATGGCTTTGTTTTCATGCCTGGGGCAGATGGGTGAAGATATTTTGGCTTCTCCGCGTGGGGAGGCAGCGTGTTTTCTGCTCCTGGCTTTACTCCAAGTGGTGGAATTCCAGTTTTCTACATGTTGTATCTTGAGGCTTTGTCCACCATCTAGGATCAGGTGTTAAAACCCTACCTTTGTTCCTGAGGCAAAGCTGCTACCTCTGTTTCCTCATCCCCTCACCATTCCTCCCAAGAGCTTAACTTTAGCTTTCCTTTCTTTATATGTGTTCCTATATTCCATTTCTGCTCCTTGGAAATCACTCTTACCCTCCTTCTTTATGCTTAGGTATGACTGTGCATTTTTCATTTAAAAATATTTCCAGCCAAGACTTAGCCAGCCAAAAATGAGGTGTTATAAACCCTAGTTACTTTGGCATTCCTTTTTTCTTTCTCCCTACCCCTCGGGTATTGGATTTTTACATTATTTCCCTGCCCATCCTCTTTGATGACTCCTCTGAAAAGGACACTATGCATTCAATTTGGGTTCTGCCTTGTAATTTCTAGCTGTGAGACCAATAATCCCTTCTCCTGAACTTTGGTGGGCCTTGGTCTCTGTTCCCAATTATATGGCCCATGTGCAAACATAGACATCTGGAATTTCCAGCTTCATTTCTGGGTCTCAACCACTGAGTATGTATTTTCATCTGTGCAGTGAGAATACTTAGCTGATCAGCCTCTTTGCTCAGGCTTCAGAAAGGTATGTGGATAGGGATTTTGGAGAGACACTCACTTATAATTCTTTGTTGACAGTTCCATTTCTCTTCACTCAAATACCAATGTCTTTGTCCTAACATTATTGAAATTAATAAAATGTTGTTATTATGAAAACTATATCCAGAGTGTGTTTAGAAGGAACTGGAGGAGGATATATAAGCATATTTGAAATCTGTTAGAATAACATAGATGTCTTTCATGTTTAAAAATTGGAAAATTTTACCTACTATCTGGATTAAGTGAGATGCTTTGACAACTCTAGATGTGAATTCTTGCATGAAGAGGTTGGCTGGAGCTGGGCAGCAGCTACCTTCTTCAGACTATGCGTGTCCTCCCAGTTTAACACAGTTCCCAGGAGACTCACCTCAACTCGCTCATTTACTGACCTGCCTGGGCTCTTTTGGCATCTGCGTTTTTAACCTTGACAGGAACTTTGGGTTTTAATATTAATGTGATTTAATTTCAGGATGAGGAATCTCAGCTGATATTGGGTTTGCTTAAATCATTTGTAACTGAGATATGAGAACCAGATTTGCATTTTGGAAAACTAGGACACAGTGTGAAAGGTGCTTTCACGAATTCTATATTAAATATCATCATGGTCAACGCTTGATCTGGTTTAAAAATTGAGTCACTGTTGGTATGTGTTACCTTGGAAGTTGGGTTTAGAACTAAAATAATGGGGCTGGGCGTGGTGGTTCACACCTGTAAACCCAGCACTTTGGGAGGCCAACGCGGGCGGATCACTTGAGGTCAGGAGTTCAAGAACAGCCTGGCCAAATGAGGAAACCCTGTCTCTACTAAAAATACAATAATTAGCTGGGCATGGTGGCTTGCACCTGTATTGCTAGCCACTTGGGAGGCTCAGGCAGGAGAATTGCTTGGACTCGGCAGGTGGAGGTTGCAGTGAGCCTAGATCACGCCACTGCACTCCAGCCTGTGTGACAGAGTGAGACTCTGTCTCAAAACAAAACAAAACAAAAAAACCTAAATAATGGGAAATATTACAGTTATGAATCGAAAAGTTTGTCTTGCAGTCCTAATCTGGAGGACTTTGGGTAATGTAGAAGCAAATGAATATGAGAAATATGAGTCTCAATCTTTTGGATACTTAGAAGTGGAAACATCTAACATAAATCTCCACATATGACCAGCTGAGAAATAAAGAACTTACTTGCAGTTCTCTGCGAAATTACTAAAAAATAAGCAAAAAGAAATCCATTTAATTTTTCTCAAATGGAGAAAACATAGCATTATCTAACATATTTTGTTGGAGTCTGTGAGGGGAGGACTTGTGTGGGCAAAGAAGGAAGCATTCCAAACCACCCTATAGATTAGTTTTAGATTAGTTTTACAATGCAAAACTAGATATAAGATTAGGCAGTGATGATGTGATGAAATCAAAGGTAGGGTTTCCTTAAAGGCCCTCTTCATTTACTGGACCCAACAGCTTTGGGTATAGTCTCGGGTAGAGACTGCCATATCTTTCTGTTTCCTTTGAATAGCATTATAATGTTTGAGAGAACACTGAAAGCCTCTCTCCATTTAAACATCATTATGGATTTCATCTCTCAATAATTCTGCTTACGTGTTATTTCATAATATTGTTCAGTTTATTACTGATGAATCCTAGCTTAGTCCCTCTTTTAATTAGTGTTTAAAAAGATTCTCTGTAATATAGACCATGTAGGGTAATAAGGAAGCAAGGGAATAATGGGAACCACAAATCACTTTGACAGAAGTGAAGTGAAGGGGACCAAAGAGAACCAAAGTAGAAAAAGACATGTAATACTTACTTATAGGTGCTGCCAGCTGACCTAAAAAAATTAGATATCAGTGAAGATTTGTTTGAAAGGAGCAAGTTTCCTTCTAGGGAGAGATATTTGTGTTGGGGAGAATCTTGGTAGTCACACAGCTCTGGATGACAATGGCTAATTCTCTGTTAAAAGCTCCAATTCTTTATGACTGCATTCTTGGGTAAGTATTTGGGTCAGTTTCTTATCTCTTACAAAGGGGTTAGTGGAGTGATTCTAAGGATTAAATGGGATAATGTAATTAAAGCACCTATATAATTCTATAGGAGGTGCAAAGTACATATGTGTTTGAAATCATGTAAATGTAAGCTTCCTTCTCAGGGAGAAGCTAGATTAGCAGAGGGCAGAGGAAACTGGGAGCTTTGAGTCAGGTAGCTGCACACAGAGTTAGAAATGAGTAGGGTAGGCCAGGCGCCTTGGCTCACACCTGTAATCCCAGCACTTTGGGAGGTCGAGGCAGGCGGATCACGAGGTCAGGAGATCAAGACCATCCTGGCGAACACTGTGATGTTCTAAAAATACAAAAAAATTTCTCCTCCCTATTCTGAGTCAGTGTGCCTGAGACTGGCCACTAGGAGAGGAGAGGGTTTTAAGAGGGGTTGGCCTGAGTGTTTTTAATAATTTAACATGATTAGAAAATTATGGTATGCTACCAGGCTACAGTAAGCAAAACAGTATGGCACTAGTAGGAAATAGACACATAGATCAATGCAACAGAATACAGAGCCCAGAAATAAGGCCACATGACTACAACTATCTGATCTTTAACAAAGCTGAGAAAAACAAGCAATGGGGAAAGGGCTTCCTATTCAATAAACGATACTGGGATAACTGGCCAGCCATATGCAGAAGATTGAAGCTGGACTCCTTCCTTACACCACATACGAAAATTAACTCAAGATGGTTTAAAGATTTAAGTGTAAAACCCAAAGCTATAAAAACCCTGGAAGACCACCTAGGCAATACCATTCTGGACATAGGAATGGGCAAAAATTTCATGATGAAGACAACAAAAGCAACTGTAACAAAAGCAAAAATTGACAGATGGGATCTAATTGAGCTAAAGAGCTTCTGCCCAGCAAAAGAAACTGTCAACAGAGTAAATAGGCAACCTACAGAATGGGAGAAAGTTTTTGTAAACTATGCATCTGGCAAAGGTCTAATATCCAGCGCCTGTAAGGAACTTAAACAAATTTACAAGACAAAAACAATCCCATTAAAAAGTTGGCAAAAAAAGGGAATAGGCACTTTTCAAAAGAAGACGTACATGCAGCTCACAAACATATGAAGAAAAGCTCAACATCACTGATTGTTAGAGAAATGCAAGTCAAAACCACAATGAGATACCATCTCGCACCAGGCAGAATGGCCATTATCAAAATGTCAGAAAATAACAGATACTGGGGAGGCTGTGGAGAAAAAGGAACAGTTTTACCTTGTTGGTGGCAACGTAAATTAGTTCAACCATTGTGGGAAACAGTGTGGCAATTCCTCAAAGACCCCAAAACGGAGCTACCATTCGACCCAGCAATCCCATTTCTGGCTATATGCCCAAAGTAATAAAAATTGTTCTATCATAAAGAAACACACGTGTGTTTATTGCAGCACTATTCACAGTAACAATGACATGGAATCAACCTAAATGCCCGTCAACGATAGACTGGATAAATAAAATGTACATATACACCATATAATACCATGCAGCCATAAAAAGGAACAAGATCATGTCCTTTGCAGGAACATGGATGGAGCTGGAGGGCGTTATCCTTAGCAAACTAATGCAGGAAGAGAGAACCAAATACCACATGTTCTCACTTACAAATGGGAGATAAATGATGAGAACACATGGACACAGAAGGAAACAACAGGCACTGGGGCTTATTGAAGGGTGGAGGGTGAGAGGACGTAGACAGTCAGGAAAAATAACTAAGGGGTTCTAGGCTTAATACCTGGGTGATGAAATAATCTGTACAACAAACCTGCATGACACAAGTTTACCTATATAACAAACTGCACATGTATCCCTGAACTTAAAACTTAAATAAAAATAAAGAAAGCAAGTTAATACTACTTATCATAATATTTCCTTACAAGTAAATAAAGGAAAGCTAAAAAAAGCCAACCAAAGACATAATGAAATATTATTTGGCCATAAAAAGAACTGAAGTACTGCTGCATATTACCATGTGGATGAACCTGGTGAACCTTATGCTAAATGGAAGAAGCCAGGCACAAAAGACCTCCTATTGTTTGATTCCATTTATATGAAATGTCCAGAACAGCTGAATCTATAGAGACAGAAAGAAGATTAGTGGTTGCCTGGGGCTATGGTGTGGAGAGGGTTTTGGGTTGGGGGATAGTGGGAAGTGATTGTTAAACAGAGTTTTTCTGGGGGGTGATGAGAATGTTCTAAAATTCATTGTGGTGATGGTTGCACAACCCAGTGAATATACTAAAAAGCATTAAATTCCACACTTTAAATGAGTGAATTGTGTCATATGTGAATATCATCTCAATAAAGCTGTTATTTACAAAGATAAAAAAGATAAAATTATGGGTTCTAATGCATCATGAAGGGACAGAGAGGAGATATTTTCCAGAAAACATGCTTGAAGCCTGCTAAGGTCAGATTATTTAATTAATTAGTCCTAAATATCCCAGGCATCTAGAACCTAACATATGCAAAACTGAACTCACAATAGCATCCTATAAATCTGCTCTTCTCCGCTACCTAAATGAATAAATAGTCTCATTCGTCAAGTTTCTTAGACCCCAAATCTAGGAGTAACCCTTGGTGTCTTCTTTTTCCCTTAAAATCACATTCAGTCGAACAGCAGGCCCTGTTGGCTTTGCCCCCAAAATAAATAAAATCTGAAGACCTTCTTCCCACTTCCACTCTGATCACTCTCTCCTTGCCACACTCACCTTTAGTTTCAGGCCTCTTAACTGGTCTTCCTACTTGCCCTCTTGAGCCCTCACTCTCACCCCAGTTAATCCTCCACAATAATAGAGTGATCTTTTAAAATTATAAAGTGGGCCCTATCATTTCCCTGTTCAAGCCCTTCAGTTGCCTCTCATGACACCTAGAATGAAATCTGCAATTTTTTATTAAGGACTGCAGGGCCCGACATAATCTGGCTCTTGTCGCTCTGGCCCTACCTCCTGCTCTGCCTCCTTCTTTCTAGCCTGGCTGGCTGTTTTGCACCTCCATAGCAGGCCTGTGCATGTTGTACTTGTTCCTTTTGCCTGAAGCACACTCCCCCTTCTATACCATCTTTCTTTAGTCTGTTACTCTTCTTATTTTTCTACATGAATTTATCTGCCTGACATTTAGTATATGTTTACTTGGCATTATTTGCCTGTTTTATCTCAACATATAAACTCCTTAAGTGCAAGGACTTTGTCTTGCTCATGGCTATATTTCCAGTGCTTAGGATAATGCCTGGCCTACAATAGGCCAATATATATTTGTTGAATACATATATTTTTAAAATGCATTAATATCTTTGAAGACTTTTTCTTTTTTTTCCTTTAGTGTTTGACTTGTTCAGTGCTGTTAGGTTCCTTATTTTAGTCTTCTTCAGATTGCTCTAGTTATATTTCTCTGGGTTGGAATTCTCCAATTTGTTGGGGCTTGTGAGGTATCACTCACCACTCACATGGTGCTGGATTTTCTCATAGATTTCAGAACTTTTAGTAGTTTCTTATTCCTTGGGGGCTATCTTTCATGGATATTCTATGATATAAATACCCTGGGTTGTGGCTCTCTTCTTGGTGGCTATTGTCCTAACTTCCTGGGTACACTGCCACTTAACCAGATCTCAGCTGTTTTGACTTGGAATATTATGCACATTGCATGGGTAGCACACCTCCAGCAGGGCTCTGCACCCTGGACAGATCTAACTCTGGACCTGTGTGGGTGGCTCTGTTTTCATGCCTGGGGCAGATGGGTGAAGATATTTTGGCTTCTGTGCATGGGGAGGCAGTATATTTTCTGCTACTGGCTTTACTCAGAGGGGCCTAATTTCAGTTTTCCGCATGTTGTATCTTGAGGCTTTTGCTGTCATTTGGGAGCAGATGTTGAAACCCTACCTTTGTTCCTGAGGCAAAGCTGTCATCTCTATTTTTTCATCCCCTCACTGTTCCCACCAAGAGCTTAACTTTAGCTTCTTCTTGCAATGTGTTCCTATATTCAATTTCTGCTCCTTGGAAATCTTACCCACCTTTTTTATGCTTAAGCTTGGCTGTATATTTTTCATTTATAGATATTGCCAGGTAACACTTTTTAAACTTTTATTTTAAATTCAGGGACACATGTGCAAGGTTGTTATATAGGTAAACTTGTGTCATGGGGGTTTGTTGTACAGATTATTTTTCTACCCAGATATTAAATCTAGTTATTTTTCCTGATCCTCTCCCGCTCCCACCCTCCACCCTCTGACAGGCCCCAGTGTCTATTTTTCCCCTCTGTGTGTCCATGTGTTCTCATCATTTAGCTCCCGTTTATAAATAAGAACATGTGGTATCTGGTTTTCTGTTCCTGCATTAGTTTGCTAGGGGTAATGGCCTCTAGATCCATCCGTGTTCCAGCAAAGGACATGATCTCATTCTTTTTTTGGCTGCGTAGTATTCCATGGTGTATATGTATCACATTTTCTTTATTCAGTCTACCATTGATGGGCATTTAGGTTGATTCCATGTATTTGCTATTGTGAATAGTTCTGTGTTTAACATAACTGTGCATGTGTCTTTATGATAGAATGGTTTATATTCCTTTGAGTCTATACCCAGTAATGGGATTGGCCAGCCAACACTTAGCTATCCAAAAAGCAGGTGGTATAATCCCTAGTTACTTTTGCGTGCTTTTTTTCATCCCCTCTACTAGGATGATATATAGGATCCAAGACCCTATATATCTATTGGGTCTTGGATTTTTACATCTTTTTCCTGCCCATACTCTCTGATGACTTCTCTGAAAAGGACACTATGCCTTCAATTTGGATTTTGGCTTGTAATTTCTAGCTGTGAGACCAGTAATCCCTTCTCCTGACCTCAGGTGGGCATTGGTCCCTGTGCCCAATTATAGGGCCTATTCCCAAACATAGGCATATGGATTTTGCAGCCTCATCTCTGGGTCGGAACCATTGTCTCTGTATTTTTATCTGTGCCGTGAGAATACTTAGCCGATCAGCCTCTTTGCTCAGGCTTCAGAAAGATGTGTGGATGAGGACTTTGGAGAGACACTGGCTAATTCTGTGTTAATAGCTCCAATTCTCCTCTCTCAAATACCAATGCCTTTGTCCTAACATTATTGAAATGAGTAAAATGTTATTATGAAAACTGTATCCAGAGTGTGTTTAGATGGAACTAGAGGGGAGTATGTAAGTATGTTTGCAATCTGTTAGGGTAACCCAGATGTCTGTCATGTTTAAAACTTGGAAAATTTTACCTACTATCTGGATTAAGTGAGATGCTTTGGCAACTCTGAATCTGAATTCTTGCATGAAGAGGTTGGCTGGAGCAGGCAGCAGCTACCCTCTTCAGACTATATGTGTCCTCCCAGTTTTACACAGTTCCCAGGAGATTCACCTCATCTCACTCATTTACTGACCTGCCTGGGCTCTTTTGGCATCTGCATTTTTAACCTTGACAGGAACTTTGGTTTTTAATATTAGTGTGATTTAATTTCAGGCTGAGGAATCCCAGCGATGTTAGGTTTGCTTAAATCATTTGTAACTGAGATATGAGAACCAAATTTGCATTTTGGAAAGGTAGGACATAGTGTGAAAGGCGGTTTCACGAATTCTATATTAAATATCATCATTGTTAGTGCTTGACCTGGTTTAAATATTGAGTCACTGTTGGTATGTGTTACCTTGGAAGCTGAGTTTAGAACTAAAATAATGGGAAATACTACAGTTACGAATCAAAAAGGTTGACTTGCAGTCCTAATCTTGAAGACTTTGGGTAATGTAGAAGCAAATGAATATGAGAAATATGAGGCACTTAGAAATAGAAACAACTAAGATAAGAAAAGTCCCCACATATGACCAGCTGAGAAGTAGAGTACTTACTTGCGGTTCTCTGTGAAATTACTGAAAAATAAGCAAACAGAAATCCATTTAATTTTTCTCAAATAGAAAACACATAGTATTATCTAATATATTTTGCTGGAGTCTGTGAGGGGAGGACTTGGGTGGGCAGTGAAGGAGGTATTCCAAACCACCCTATAGATTATTTGGTTTTAGATTAGTTTTATAATGCAAAACTAGATGTAAGATTTAGCAGTGATGATGTAATGACGAAGTCAAAGGTAGAGTTTCCTTAAAGGCCCTCTCCACTTATTGGACCTGAACAGCTTTGGGCATAGTGTTGGGAAAAGACCACTGGATCCTTGCACTATAATGTTTGAAAGAACACTGAAGGTTTCTCTCCATTTAGACATCATTTTGGATTTCATCCCTCTCTCTCTTTCTCTCTCCACCCCCCTGAAAATTCCTCCTACTTGTTATTTCATAGTATTGTTCAGTTTATTGTTGATGAATGCTAGCTTAGTCCCACTTTTAATTAGTATTTTAAAAAAATTATAGGGCAAGCAGGGTAATAAGGAAGCAAGAGAAGAATGGGAAACTCAAATCACTTTGACAGAAGTGAAATGAAGGGGACCATAGAGAACCAAAGAAGAAAAAGAGATGTTATACTTACTTATGGGTGCCATGGGTGGACCTAAAAACCAAATTAGATATTGGTGAAGATTTCTTTGAAAGAAACAAGGTTCCCTCTAGGGAGGTATATTTGTGTAGGGGAGAAACTTGGACACCTTTCTGGGTCTAAATTATGATTCTATGACTATGTATTCTTGAGTAAGTATTTGGCTCAGTTTCTTATCTCTTACAAAGGGATTGGTGGAATTATTCTAAGGATTAAATGAGGTAATGTAATTAAAGCACTTAAATAGTTCTAGAGGAGATACAAAGTAAATATATGTTTGAAATTATGTAGATATAACTTCTTTCTCAGGGAGAAGCTGGATGAGCAGAAGGCAGAGGAAACTGGAAGCTTTGAGTCAGGTAGCTGCACACAGAGTTAGAAATGAGCAGGGTAGAGACAGGTCTCTAAGCCTTGCAGGGAACAACAAGAACAACAACAGAAAAGAGTAGAAAAAGAAATGGAACTTACCGCGGGGTGCTGAAGGTGGACCAGCTGAAAAACAGAGAGGTATCTTAGCAACTGTTTTTTCTCCCATGATATTTTCCTTTCTATGTAGAGAGTTTCTTCTTGGTAGGTCATTATAACAATAGGGAAAACTTTCCCTTTGGTATTCATTTATTTTTAATATGAATCAGCAGAATGTGAACTTTCAAAAAATCATTAATAACTTCATGGAATTTTGATGATAGGAAAGTAAGTGGTTAAAGTAGTATGCACCCCAAGCCTGGAAATCTTAGCTGTACTAGGGAAAGGAGAGATTCCAGAATCCTACGGTGGTGAAAACATGGACATACTGATGGCAAGTGAAATGAATCCAGCTTGCAACTAGACCAGAAACAATTATCTCCTTTTTCTTTCCCCATTGCTCAAATTGTCTTTCAGTTTGTTAAGTCCCTTGTAATATATCATTTTGACCTGCTGATAAACTTTCTCCCCTGCCCTTTATTTTTTAATAAAATAGTAAGTTTGATTTTTTCCATAGAGTTATTTAAAAGGTGAGAGAATGATGTGTCACATGAAAGCAAAACACGGAGGAAATAACAACTTAAAGTTGTTATTTAAAGTTTAGGCTTAAATCCTCTAAAGTCTCTAAAAGGTGATACAAATTTTTCTTAGATGTTTTGGAATTTAAATGTGGAAAAAAGAGACCAGATATGGCAGGAGGTTCAAATGAAAAAGGGTTACAGAAACTTCTTATCTACTCCTTTCTCTCCTACCATTTTTTCCCTTTTTAAGGTAGTCTCTTGTTGATGGGCTTTGAAATTTTGTAAAATTTTTTTCTCTGCTCTGACTTATCTCTTCCCTTTTTGCAGTGACTGGTAACTGCTTGAAATCCTGCAGGGGATTGTAAATTGATAGTCTTAAAACTTTCCAGTACATCATGAATAATGCAGAGAGGTTTTGATAATGAGACAGCAAGAGGCCAAGATATATCTCAAGCCCTTTGTATCCCAATATGGGCAGATAAAGACTCTTGGACTCCACTAGAGACCAACTGAGTCCTAAAGGAGAGAATTCAATGAACACATAGACTTACTGATTGTGTGAGGATGCGATCTGACTGAAAAACAAGCAAAGATACTTTTTGTTACCCCTTTCTTGTTTCTTTTCCTACTCATTTTTTTTTCTATTGGTAAATTTACTAGTGATATACTTGCTTGAACATTTTTTTTTTTAATCAAAGGCACTAGAAATTTCCAGAAAACTAATTATCAGCTGGTTGAATTCTGGATAATGGAAAAACAAAAGGCTGAGAAAATAGAACTTCAAGTTCCATGTTGCAACTCAAGTTCCAATAGACATCAGTGGACTTTGATAAGTGCACCACAGAGAAACAAATAAATAACTGACTAATTGCCTGTATAGATGACTTATCTAGAAAGCAGAAATGGATCTATATCATTTTTCTGTCATTTTTTTTCATTCTGCATGGAAAGTTCCTAACATTCTTTAGAGTCATGTAAAAACTTTTTTCTCAGGTCTTTATTTTTTATGCGAGTCAGTGAATGTTCTAGAAACTTATTAATAATTTATTTATGCCTTTCTGCCCATGGATGCCACGGAAGAAGCATCATTAAAGTCTCTCTTCTCCTGGCCGTCTTATCTAAGTCAGAGTCTCCTAAAGAGCCAGAACAACTGAGGAAGCTCTTCATTGGAGGGTTGAGCTTTGAAACAACTGATGAGAGCCTGAGGAGCCATTTTGAGCAGTGAGGGACACTCCCGGACAGTGTGGTCATGAGAGATCCAAACCCAAGCACTCCAGGGGCTTTGGATTTTTCACATATGCCACTGTGGAGGAGGTGGATGCAGCCGTGAATGCAAGGCCACACAAGGTGGATGGAAGAGCTGTGGAACCAAACAGAGCTGTCTCAAGAGAAGATTCTCAAATACCAGGTGCCCACTTAACTGTGAAAAAGATATATGCTGGTGGCATTAAAGAAGACACTGAAGAAATCACCTAAGAAATTATTTTGAGTAGTATGGAAAAATTGAAGTGATTGAAAACATGACTGACCGAGGCAGTTGCAAGAAAAGGGGATTTGCCTTTGTAACCTTTGATGACCATGACTCCGTGGATAAGACTGTCATTCAGAAATACCACAGTGTGAATGGCCACAACTGTGAAGTTAGGAAAGCCTGTCAAAGCAAGAGATGGCTAGTGCTCCATCCAGCCGAAGAGGTCGAAGTGGTTCTGGAAACTTAGGTGGTGGTCATGGAGGTGGTTTCGGTGGGAATGACAACTTTGATCATGGAGGAAACTTCAGTGGTTGTGGTGGCTTTGGTGGCAGCTGTGGTGGTGGTGGATATGGTGGCAGTGAGGATGGCTATAATGGATTTGGTAATGATGGGAGCAATTTTGGAGGTGGTGGAAGCTACAATGATTTTGGCAATTACAACAATCAGTCTTCAAATTTTGGACCCATGAAGGGAGGAAACTTTGGAGGCAGAAGCTGTGGCCTCTATGGTGGTGGAGGCCAATACTTTGCCAAACCATGAAACCAAAGTGGCTATTGTGGTTCCAGTAGCAGCAGTAGCTATGGCAGTGGCAGAAGATTTTAATTAGGAAACAAAGCTTAGCAGGAGAGGAGAGCCAGAGAAGTGACAGGGAAGCTACAGGTTATAACAGATTTGTGAACTCAGCCAAGCACAGTGGTGGCAGGGCCTAGCTGGTACAAAGAAGACATGTTTTAGACAAATACTCATGTGTATGGGCAAAAAACTCGAGGACTGTATTTGTGACTAATTGTATAACAGGTTATTTTAGTTTCTGTTCTGTGGAAAGTGTAAAGCATTCCGACAAAGGGTTTTAATGTAGATTTTTTTTTGCACCCATGCTGTTTATTGCTAAATGTAATAGTCTGATCGTGACACTGAAAAAAATATATATTTGTGTTCTGAGTAATGGAAAAATAAGGGACCAAGGAAATTGGAACATTATCATATCACAATGTGGATGCATACATTTTGGCTTAAGATATGTTAGACACTGCTGGAGATAATTGAGTTTCACTCATGAAGGGAAATGGTCAAACTTACAAGAGGATCCTGTAGCTGAAAAACAAAGATAAATCAACGTGTACAGCCTGCTGAAAGAGGAGCTAGTTTTCGTACTACTTTCCTGAAAGGAAATATCAGAAATGGCAATGGAAGAAACATCCTTCTTAGGGCAGGGGCATAGAGCGCTGTGCTGGGGAATATACCTGCCATCATGCCTTGTGGGGATTCTGCCTTCTGCTTAGTATAGGAGGCTGCAGGAAAGGGAGATGATTGATCTCTTCCCTTTTTGCAGTGAGTGGTTACTGCTGGAAATCCTGCAGGGGATTGGTAATTTCTTTAAACTGTGCTGCCTTTACCTTTCTTCTCCCTATTTCTGCCATCCTGTGAAAGCTTTCATTTATTCATACAAATATCCTTCCCTTCCCTTGTTGACAAGTCACTATAAACTTTGGGTAGTTTCCGAACTTTATCTCTCTATTTTGGGTTTGGTATTCTCCTTTATTCATTCCTTATAGGAGTGGAGCAGCAGCTAAATAGAGGAATAAGCAAAAGAAATGAAGAAATGTGAGTTTCTACACACACAAGACAGAAATGAGCAGAGAGGAAAAGTATGCCAGGCCCTATAGGAAGCCAAAGGCAGCTATCATACAATAGACATGGAACTTAACCAGTCATTTCTGAAGTTTCATCTGGTGGTAAAAAACGGAAGGAACACAAAATGGAGAAATCAACATGTGTAGAACCAAGTGAATTCAGTTCTCCCTTGATAGGCTTAAAGAGGGTAACTGCAGAGAGGATATGGGGGGCCCTAAAATCTGACAGCTCAGTGCATGTCCGGCCTTACGTGCCTTACTTTGTGCTTTGTAGCCTCAGACCTGTTTCTGCTGGTCTGAGGCAGGAGATTGGCTATAAAGTGGTAAAGTGAGGCTTTGTTCTTCCTTCTCATTTCATTTAGGGACAGTAGATGCTTGAAACACTTCTAGAGGTTCATAATGTCTTAAACTTATATGTACTTTTGTCAGTCTCATTTTCTTTTTCTTTTTTTTTTTTCTTTTTGAGACAGAGTCTTGCTCTGTTGCCCAGGCTGGAGTGCAGTGGCATGACCTCAGCTCACTGCAACCTCTGCCTCCCAGGTTCAAGCGATTACAGGTACCTGCCACGAAGTCTGGCTCATTTTTGTAGGTTTTTTTTTTTGAGACGGAGTCTTGCTCTGTCACCCAGGCTGGAGTGCGGTGGCGTGATCTCGGCTTACTGCAAGCTCTGGCTCCTGGGTTCATGCCATTCTCCTGCCTCAGCCTCCCAAGTACCTGGAACTACAGGCACCCGCCACCATGCCCGACTTATTATTATTATTTTTTTTTTGTATTTTTAGTAGAGACAGGGTTTCACTGTGTTAGCCAGGATGGTCTCCATCTCCTGACTTCGTGATCTGCCCACCTTGGCCTCCCAAAGTGCTGGATTACAGGCGTGAGCCACCAGTGTGCCAGGCCTAATTTTTGTATTTTTAATAGAGGCGCGGTTTCATCATGTTGGCCAGGCTGGTCTTGAACTACTGACCTTAAGTGATCTGGCCCACGGGGCCTCCCAGAGTGCTGGGATTATAGGCGTGAGCCACTGCGCCCGGCCTCATTTTTTTTTGTGTGTGTTTTTGAGACAGAGTCTCGCTCTGTCGCCCAGGCTGAAGGGCAGTGACACGATCTCGGCTCACTGCAACCTCCACCTCCCGGGTTCAAGCGATTCTCCTGCCTCTGCCTCCTGAGTAGCTGAGATTACAGGCGTGCACCACCACGCCCAGCTAACTTTTGTATTTTTTTTTTTTAGACAGAGTCTCACTCTGTCACCCAGGCTGGAGTGCAGTGGTGAGATCTCGGCTCACTGCAATCTCCACCTCCCAAGTTCAAGTGATTCTCCTGCCTCAGCCTCCCAAGTAGCTGGGACTACAGGCATGCGCTACCATGCCTGGCCAATTTTTTGTATTTTTAGTAGAGACGAAGTTTCACCATGTTGGCCAGGCTGGTCTTGAACTTCTGACCTCAAGTGATCCACCCACCTTGGCCTCCCAAAGTGCTAGGATTACAGGCATGAGCCACCTTGCCTGGCCAAATTTTTGTATTTTTAGTAGAGACGGGGTTTCACCATGTTTGTCAGGCTGGTCTCGAACTGCTGACCTCGTGATCCACCTGCCTCGGGCTCCCAAAGTGCTGAGATTACAGGCATGAGCCACCATGCCTGGCCCTGGCCTCATTTTCTTTAGTCACTCTTGTTCACTAACCTTTTAATTAATTAATTATATTTAAGAGGTACAAGTACAGATTTCTTATGTCATATATGGCATAGTGGTGAAGTCTGGGCTTTTAGTGTACCCATTACCCAAATAGTGAATATTCCACCCAATAATTTTTATTGACTTGAAAAGCTTTCTTCCTACTCTTCTTTACTAGGGCTGTTGCGAGCCACTAATTTTTGTTAAAGTCATTTAAATTTTAATCAGTTCATTTTGCACTTTCTCCAAATCGCTTATAACTTAGGGGAAAGCTAGAAAGGAATAAAATAGCAATATATTTTTCATTTATACACTATCATATTTTTAAATTGTTTACACATAAGGGAGAGGGAGTCAAGCAGGGGAGAAAAGGGAAAGGGAATTCATGTATCCATGTAGATTCTCTGGCACATGGTGGCTATTAGGGAACTGTGGACCAGATGTGACCCTTCCTTTAGCCCCAGTGAGATCCTCTGAGGTGAGCTGGCTTATGTTTATCCTCCCTGTAATAATTATGAGAACTTCCAAGGCTATAAGTCTTGGCAATCTGTGAGTACTGAGAAAAGCAGTCTTGATTCAGGGGAATAGTCAATAACAAATGGCTCTTATTCATTCACAAAAAGGATAGTTAGAACCAGAATTCAGGGCAGTAAATATCCAGTTTTAATGGTCGTAGTGTGGTTGTGTGGGATGCTGCCTGCCCTCTACACATTTTGGGTTTGTTTTCCCAAGTTATCTTATAGGACTGTAAACTCCATGGCGTCAGTGACCAACCATATCTTTCTCTCCCTTATTCATGACTTTATCCTCAGTGCTCAGCTTAGTATCAGATACATGGTAGGAGCTCAGCTAGATGAAGGAATGTTTGTTTGAATATATGTGACTTGCCCTCTGATAATTCTTCCTGCTTGACTTAAACTTTCTAATGCTATCCCTTAATTTCTAGATTCAGAATTTCCCGTGTCCTGGGGTTGGTTCGATGCCCTAGATTTTAACACCAGTTTCTCCCTAGCTCGTCACAATATGAACTTTCACTTTATTCTCTTCCATATGTGATGCTTCTGCCAGTTCCTGTAAATTACAGCCCAATTACTGTTATATCCTGTTCCATGAGGTGCTCTGTCCTATCTTTCTTTTCCTCTCTCTTTGTCGTGCGTGTGTGTGCGCGCGCGCACGTGTGTTGGGGATGTTTGGAGATAGTGAGCCGGATAGGACATGAGGAAAGAGAAAGGCCTTTGGAGAGAAGACTGGAGAACTCAGGTTAGACTAGACCCTGCATAGTATTTCCTGTTAAATTTTGTTGTCTTTTCTCCCTTTTGTATTTATTCTTAAAATTTGATTTTCTTTTCTCATTTCCTCCTCATTGTCTCCTCCATTATCTTTGAGTAGGCCCTTTAGAAACTACAAAGCACTTCAGAACTGGAAAGCTGCCCTTATTATTCTCTCTCTGCTACTTTAGAAAATTCTTGTATATTGTTATAGAAGACATTATGACTATTTCTGGGGACATTTTCTTACTCTTTTTCTTTTAAAAAAAATAGCCCTGGAGAATTCTCAGTAGGTTGAAATCAGGAAGCATAAAAACATGTGTAAAATAACTGCTCTTATGGCAGTGAGACACATCTAGGGCATTTGAGACAGGGAACAGGCCCTCTAGACACTGTAGAAGATCAAGGAACCTGGAGGGAGAAGGATAGATAAGGTACTTACCATTGGATCCAGGATATTGTACTAAAAAATAGAAACAAACAAATTAAACACACACACACACACACACACACACACACACACACACACACTTCTATTTTTTGAGACAGAGTCTCTCACTCTTTCGCCCAGGCTGGAGTGTGGTAGGGTGATCTTGGCTCACTGCAACCTCCACCTTCTGGGTTCAAGGGATTCTCGTGCCTCAGCCTCCTGAGTAGCAGGGATTACAGGTGCCCGCCACCATGCCTGGCTATTTTTTGTATTTTTAGTAGAGATGGGGTTTCACCATGTTGGCCAGGCTGGTCTCGAACTCCTGACCTCAGGTGATCCTTGGCCTCCCAAAGTGCTGGGATTACAGGTGTGAACCACTGCGCCTGGCCCCAAAACACCTCTATTAGTGATATTTTCCAAAGGCAAGCAGTGAAAATGATTTTCTCAGGAATTACTAAATCTAAGTATTCAGGATTAAATATTTTTCACTGCACTGCTGCTGTACTCTAGCCTCTCCATAAGAACCAGATCTTCTTTTAGGAGATTATTAACCCTGTTTTAGCATAACCACTTCATTCTTGCTTTTCATTATAGGTGTTGGAGATGAGATCCTTAATTGTATTCCTTTCCATATTCCCCCAGTGTTTTTCCTCAGATCACTCTGTTTCACTCTCAGCTATCTTTATGTTCTTGTTCATTTCTTATATTCTTTTCCAGATTCGATTACACCTTTGCCTTAGGAAGTTATTCTAATGATTACTGACAAGCCACTATAATCATTATTAGAACAATGCCTATCTATTATGAATTTTAAGGTAATGGAATTTCCATTTTCTAAAATATAATTGGTTGCCCAGAGAGATGGTTAGTGTTAATCCAAACTGCACCATTTTGTAAGCCTCCAGCAATTTGAAGACCTTGGTAAAAGTGAAACATTCCACGGGGGTTCGGGCTGTGAGAAACATTCTGCCTAACCACCTGAACACAAGGTGGACAAAGGGCCAACTAAAGAAACATCCCTGTCATATTCAGCTGGGAGAAAGTGCAAGGAACACTACATTCTGCAGGAACAAGGGCCAGAACCCCCTCATCATGGGAACATCTTATCAATATCCTGCCGGCCAGCAAGCCATACTACCCAGACCCCTCCCGCCTATACCTATAAGTACCCCCAGCCTGTAAGCAGCAGTGGGCACTGGCATTAGGCTGGTTCCCCACTTCTGTAGGTCTTATGCTGGACATAAAGCCTACATTTGCTGTACAGCCGCCACTCTCTCTGTGTCTTTTCTTTAACCCTCGCCTTCCCTCCAAAACCTAACAGTTACGATATGGGGAAATGAAAGTCTAAGAAATATGATTTTCAGCTTCTTTAACCCAGATACTTAAACAGTTGGAGCCAGTCTCCTTCAGACATAGTAAGAAGCCAGTAGAGATAAGTTGATATATACAGGCAGCTTACCAATAGGTCCTAGAGTTTGCACTAAAAAGAAATTCAAATTGGCATATTAGTACAGTTATTTGGAGAGTGTATTTTTCACTAATTTTATCCTAGAAGTGAGGCTTTGAGAGGTAGAGCAGGGGAGAGGAAGTGATATCAGTTATGAGATCATTAGGGAGACTTAATCCAACTATATTAACTATAGAAAAAAGGAAAAAGGATATTTAGCATTTACTGCAATATTTCAGCCCAAGGTGAAGGTTTTTATAGGATCCTTGCCAACCTAAGGGATACTAGGGAAAGGCAAAACTTTGTTATTAGGTATTAACATTACTGATGGTAGGGAAAGGTGAAACACTTCCCGTCAGTAAGAGTAGAAGATATTTCTTTCTCAAGGGACTGTTCTTTCACTAAAATCTTTATTTCTGATCAACTAATATGTTCCAGAGGTAGACATTAGAATAGGAGGTAAGAATCTAGTTTCTTCTTCTCACAGCTTCCAGCTTATTGGAGAGTGATAGAGCAGTGACTGCTGCTTTGATTAGCTTTAGAGTCTGTGAGCAAAGAGTCAACAAAACCTTCTGTTTTTTTTTGTTTTGTTTTGTTTTGTTTTTTGAGATAAGGTCTCACTCTGTCACCCAGGCTGGAATGCAGTGGTGCAATCCTAGCTCACTACAGTCTCGACCTCCTGGGCTCAAGTGATCCTCCCACCTCAGCCTCTTGAGTAGCTAGGACTACAGCTGCATGCCACTATTCCTGGCTAATTAAAAAAATTTTTGTAGAGATGGGGTCTTGCTCTGTTGTTGCTCAGGCTGATCTTGAACTCCTGGTCTCAAGTGATCCTCCTGTCTTAGCCTCCCAAAGTGCAGAAATTACAGGTGTGAGCCCATGCCTGGCCAAAACCTTCAGTTTTTAATGAGAATTTGGCCTTCAGTTGATTTTCTAGCTCTGATCGCCTGGTGACCTGATAAATATCGAAAGCCTGTTATGTTTTTTTTGTTGTTGTTTTTTTTTTAGACGGAGTCTTACTCTGTCGCCCAGGCTGGAATGCAGTGGCATGATCTCGGCTCACTGCAACCTCTGCCTCCTGGGTTCAAGCGATTCTCCTGCCTTAGCCTCCTGAGTAGCTGGGACTGCAGGCGCACGACACCACACCCAGCTAATTTTTGTATTTTTTTAAGTAGAGATGGGGTTTCACCATATTGGCCAGGCTGGTCTCAAACTTCTGACCTTGTGATCCCCTGGTCTTAGCCTCCCAAAGTGCTGGGATTACTGCACCCAGCCGAAAGCCTGTTATGTTATTTAGCAACACTGCTTACATAAGAATGATCCTTGATGTTAGACTGCATCTGAACTGGGAGAATTGTAAATATGTATTAAGAAGCCATAACTTTGGGCTTCCCTGAGTGTAGTGACCCATGTATTTGGTCATATTCCTTACGGGATCCCTGCAGGTAATGTGTATGGGGTTCTTATAGGAGATTTTAGTTCCTGGTGGATCTGTGGGGTTTCTAAGCTAGGTCAGCTCCCAACTCAACTGACAGAAGGCCAAACAGAATAGGTCCTAGGTGGCTATGTGGACACCTGCATAGATCATGGCGAGTACTACTCCCACAGCAGAGGGATAGCTGTTAATGCCCTTGCTGGCAAACTGTGCTTCCTCCCTTAGGTCCTACTGAGTAGACTGTTCCCAGATGAGAGCTATGGTAATCTTCTAAGTCTGCGTGGTTAGTTGAATCTAAAAAGACCATATCTTCACCCAGTGGGCATTGCAGTTAATAATCCTTCACTTCAGTGTCACTCAGAATGAGAAATATCCACATTTTGATCAATAATCCTCGAACTTTTAACTCTGAATTTTTTTTTTCCTGTGTAAAACACCTGGAAGATGGCTTTCCAGATCTGGATACCCTTGGCTATGAGCAGTAAACCAGTTACACATTTAGATATTATGCTAACTTAATAGTTGCTTTGCCTGTATCTACAAATATGTATCTTTGATTCTGAAGTAGAAGTCTTATGATACCTGCCCTCTTGACATAAGTTACTAAATCCTTGGATAGGTGATCACTTCAAAATTTTGTTTCTTCAGTTTTTCTATATTTTCTTCCTTCCTTTCCAGTTTCAATTTGTGACTTTTTGTACCTTTATTTTTATTCTCTTTCTCAACATACTCATTTCCCTTCTTTATTCTCTTATGTGCCAATTCACTTACTCTTTCTGCTTCCAATTTTCTTCCTACTTTTGTTCTTTTTAAATTTTCTCCTATTTATCTCTCTCTAAACTGCATCTTCATTCTGTATCTGTTATTATTTGTGTTACTCATTCTCTCACTTTTTCTCCTCTAGGCCTTTACTACCCTTTAATCTCAATATTAGAACTTCATTTTATTCATTGTTAATAACCTGTTATAACACCCAAAAATGATAGTGGAAAGAATGAAGAGTTAGTAAAACTTCAGTCTTAATTTTATTAACTAACCCATCCTCTTATTTTTTTGAGAAATGACTCCTGACCCTCAGTTTCCTCATCTCTAAATATGGGGATAATAACTGCCTTACTCATTGCCATTTGAATGTTGTTTAGATGCAACAAAGTAATGTACGCGAGGGTTAAAAAAACAGTAGTAAGACATTATAGGGATCACTCAAAGAATGTGACTAGGTTGCTAAAAGTTGCTGAAAATAGAGCCTAACTCTTCTGGAGAGAACTTTTCAGGGCAATTAGAAAGGAAAGGAAGGCCAGGCGCAGTGGCTCACGCCTGTAATCCCAACACTTTGGGAGGCTGAGGCGGGCGGATCACGAGGTCAGGAGATCGAGACCATTCTGGCTAACAGAGTGAAACCCCATCTCTACTAAAAATACAAAAAAATTAGCCGGGCGTGGTGGTGGGTGCCTGTAGTCCCAGCTACTCGGTAGGCTAAGACAGGAGAACGGCTTGAACCCACGAGGTGGAGCTTGCAGTGAGTGGAGATCATGCCACTGCGCTCCAGCCCGGATGACAGAGCGAGACTCCATCTCAAAAAAAATAAAGAAAGGAAACTTAAAATTTGCATTATTTTACAAAGTGAAGATAATCTAATAATGGAAAAATTATTTGCATGGAAAGCACAGCAGGAAGTTTAGGTGCTGGGTTCTAAGTCTTTATTAAGTATTGGCTCTACAGAGCTAGATTATATGCTGAAGTGGAAACAGCTTAGGACCATCTCTAGCAGGATATTTTTCACTTTGCATTTCAGCTTCATAGTTAATATATTTTTATTGCAGAACCTGGATGAGTCCAATCTGGAGTACTGGGTGAGATTATGAGGTGGCAGAAGGACTTGATCCTTGAGTCCTTGGGCATGAATAATTGAAATAAAAATAGATTGATGTTCTAAGTAAAGTACTAAAAGGCATTATAATTGAGAATCAGATGACTTACCAATGGTTTTTTGAGAGAGCTCTAAAAAAAAAAGAGAAAAGAAATCAGTAGCTATATATATATTTTATATATACTTTTTATTTATATACTTTAATTTGTATACTTTCCCTAGTAGGAATCTGCATCACTATTGTCAAGTTCAGCTGCAGTTGAGTAGTAGAAATGGTGACTTTCTTGCTATGGCAAACTAGTACATATAAGGGCCTCCTCATCTAAAAATCCCTTGTGTGATGCTGAGAAGCCATTGGAAATCTGCAAGGGTTCATTCTCCACTTTGTAGTTTGTTTTTATTGGTGAGGTGTACATTCACACAGCTAATCATGACTTACTGAAATGCTAGGTTGAAGAAAAATAAGGGTTGAAGAAAATGTGAACTCCAAACCCTTGAAATCCCAACATGGAAACCAGGTAGCGATCCCTAAGATACTGCAGGAAAGTAAAATGCTCACTGTGGAGAATCAGAGAGCAAACTTACTGATAGGTCCTGTAGCTCCGGCTGTGAGAGAGAAAGAGGGAGAAAGAAAAAGATATCAGTATGCTTCACCACTGTGAAGGAAATTTCCATTTCCCAACACTCGCTCTAGGGAGTATCATAAATAGAAACAACGGGAAGATCAAGAGTTGCTTGTATGGCGAGCCTCAGGCAGGCTCCCTGCACAATATAAGGGACCTACAGGAATGGAGGCCTCCTCCTGCTTTCAGTGATGGTTGAAAATCTTCAGAGGGTTGGGAAAGACTCACTCCATATTAATCTGTTATGCCTCTATTTTTCTTCTTACATTTTCTTGCCCCTTGCCCCTAGTTTCCTTAGAGACATGGTTTATTTGAAAGGTGTACCTTCCCTTGCTGATGGATCATTATGACTATTTCTAAGAGGGCTGTTTTGGTTTATATTTTTAAATGTTAGCCTGTGAGATTTCTTAACACTTCGTGCATGGCCTCTTTGGAAACTATGTAATAGGAATGCCAGGGGAGTTGAGAAAGACAGTGTTAAAAAAGCAAGTCACCCCTAAACCTCAGCATCACACAATATACCCATTAGCAAACCTGCATATGCACCACCGGAATCTAAAATAAAAGTTGAAATTATTTTTAAAAATGCAGGGCAGATCAGGCCCCAAGACCTTGTAGGTCAGATATCAAAGGGACCAGAGTGGAAAAACAAACTTGATACTTACGAATAGGGGCTGTGAATTGCACTGAAATACAAAAAGGAGGAAAGTGTGGTTTGACATTAATAGAATTTTCATTTTACCAGTATTGTTTCTAAAGAAACTATGAAGCAATTCAACCAGAGGAGAACAACTACTGTGGGACTGCAGATGATCTTAGCCTGGAAGCTGCATAACCCTCCTACCAGATCAAATCATTCAGCATCCATCTTAAATGAGAAATTTAAGTAACTAAAAATAATAAATATAAATAATTAAAATAAACTACAGTTTTAAACATGAATTATTTGGCTTTCCCTTGTCCTAAACTCAGTAGCAATTCAGGATATTGTGTCTGATTGCTTGGGCATCAGAAGGTGTCAGAAGATTTGAATACAATTAAGAAGTATGAGTGAGAAATCCTGCAGGGGTAGAAATGGTAACAGTTAGGATGTGGAGAGGACCCTATATCCTACAGAAGGCCAAAGAACATTAGAGGAAACAGAAAAGGAACTCACTTATAGGTCTAATAGTTCCAGTTAAAATATGGAAAAAACAAAATAGAACTAATGAGAAAATACTGTTTGCATTTAAATTCTTCCTGGGAAAACATCACAAATGTAGACACCAGGAGCAAAATTTCCACTTCAGTGGAGGAACAAATTAAGTTTATAAATGCTTCTTTCTTCATCTTGGAGGATCCCGGTTACTGGTGGAATCTGCCAGCTGGAACTGTGGAGACGCACATTTGGTCAGGCAGCGTTCCTTCCCCTTTCCCCACGGGTGTCCTGCTTGTATCTCAGGAGATTACACAGGCCATTGCCTGTCTTCCAGCTGGCTAATTTGAACTTGCTTAGCTAGAATCTATAGCCTCATCTGAAGGAGACAGTGGGAATTGCTGTCTCTGTAGTGATTTTGGCCCTTATTCAACAGAGTAACTTGGCCTGCCATGTAAAAGGGAATAGAAACTGCTAGGTTGACTTAAGACATTTATAGGTATGAGTGTTGGGCAAAGGAATTGAGACACTAGACCCACATACTTGTTAATAATGCAGTAACAGTCTTCTTCTTTATGACCACACACACACATACACATACACACACACACACCCCACCACACCTCTCTACACCTCATAGGCTATAAGTGATTCTCTCACCTTGGCCTCCCAAAGTGCTGGGATTACATGTATGAGCCACTGTGCTTGGCCTAATATGTGCTTTTATGATACCTACCCAGTATTTGCTCTCAAAGTTTGACTTGATTATTTTAATAATGTTCCATTTGTGTAAATAATCCAAGAGGAGTAGACACAGGATGTGATATACCATGAGCTTTAATTATCAAATCACTTTTTTTCTCCTTCCTTCAGAGTTAGTCCTGTCTCAGGGGCTCAAGCTCTGAACATCCTCAAAAATGAAGGATAGAAATGTGTTAAGAAGTGAATGAAACCCTGATGAGTTTCATCTTTCTTGTCTTTGGCTTTAAGGTCACTCTTGGTGTGGGGAATCTGCAGGGCTGGAAAAGCTGGTTAAATTTGGACCAAGTGCATTCATCTTTTTATTTCCTCTCTCAGGGCAGAGAATTAAAATCCTGTAGAGCAATGGTTCTTAAACTTTGGTATGCACGCAAATCACCTGGGAATCTTATTAAAATGCAGAGTCTGATTTAGTAGGTCGGGGTGGGCAATAGGCTGAGACTCTGCATATCTAAAACTCCAGGGTGACGTTGATGCAGGCCCTTGGACCCACTTTAAGCATCAAGGCCATAAAGGGCTGGCAAAATCTCAGATCATATAAAAGTCATTGTTTCCATTTACCATTTTTTTTCCTTTTTAAATCAACTTCCTCTCACTTATTCCTTATTCTCTATTCCCAACCAGTGCTTCTTCCAGAGATATATGCTACAGTTTCATTTAAAATTCTATCTGGATACTTATTTCAGATTTATTCTTTGTTCATAACAGGGGATATACATCCCACACAAACATCAGTGACAGTCTGGGATCCTCGGTCAGTGAGCTGGGACTCACTGCATGTCACTGAAATTTTCTTGGTGGGTCTTAAGTAGAATGGCCACCATCAAGCCTCTTTCTTTGAGTGTTACTGGGTTTTCTCACAGGGGAATCTTTCTTCCTTTCACTTGACCATTTTTTGTTCTTCACTCTTTTCCCTTTGCTGTTGAATCTCAAGATTTCGGAAAAGTTAAAGGCAATAGTACTTTCTTACAGAGGCACCCCAGTTTATTAAGATAAGAATAGGGAATAAACAAGGGGAAAGGAATGGACAATTTGTGAAAGAAATAAAAAAATCTAGGAATATGAGTGTCTTACATATTCTAACAGTTTAGTAAAGCAAAGCACATGAGAATTAAAGGGCAGAAAAAGAACTTACTCATGGCTCCTGCAGTTCTGGCTAAAATACAAACAAAAAAGGTGAGTTTGAAGAGAGCATGACTCAAGGGTGTTTATCTCAGGGAGTTTCAGATCAAGCATTTACTACATATTTGATTTACATGGAAAGGCAGCAAGAAGGTAAGTAGGCATTTTCCTTTTTTCCTTAGGAGACTGTTAAAATCATACTCCCTGCAGTTATTTTTCTTATTCTTAATTTTCATTATCTTCCTGCTGTCAAATCCTTCTAAAGGTTATAGATAATTTTCCCTGGCCCCAGAATCTTTTTCACAATTTCATTAATTAATCTAGTTTTTATTATAAGAATTTCCACTTTGTTAAATGAAAAAATTAATCAGTCACTTAGAGGATCTTGAAATCAGTCTCAAATTCCTCACACTGGTAAAAGAGAGAACAGTAAAATTGCAAGTTTTTCTCCTTTCCTCCATCTTTATGTGCTTTCTCACCACCTTCCCCATTCCTCTGGTAGCAGGCACATTATAGAATATCAAAATCATTACACATGGTATGCATGTATCAAAATATCACATGTATCCCATAAATTTGTACAATTATTAGGTGTCAGTAAAAAAAGGACTGAGTTGTATATATGGGAAACTTACAAGGAGGTTCTTCAGTTGTTTGTAAACATTTTATACTACCTATAATAAAAATTGAAAAGTGTAACATTACTTAGATTTAGACTTTCAGAAGGCATGGAGATAGACAATCCCATTCCCTCCTCCCCCTCCTCAGGTGTGGTACAAACAGTCTTGAGGTTAAAGAGCTGAGTCCGACTTTTGCTATTCTCTAGCTCTGTGATTTTGGGCAAGTCACTAAATGTTTTGAACATTAATTTCCTCATCTCTAAAACAGAAGTTGTGTCCTCTGTCTTACCTATATTGTGAAGTTGCAGTGAAAAATCAGGAGTAATAACAGAAGGGAAAGATGAAAAGTTGTATTAGAAATGTTATGGAAAGAAATATTCAGTAACTATAAATGAATGAAACACTTCGGCAAAGTAGTAAGCTACTTTATATTTTACTTTTTTCTGCTTTAATTTTTCCTCTTATTTCTGACTGTCCTTTGGAAAGTTCTGAGTCCTGACAGCAGAGTATTATAATGTGCACTTAATTCTGTTTTTATTTTTGATTTATTAATTTCTGTTATTTTAATCTTTAAAACAACCCTATCTTCTTGTGTACCTTAGTACCTTAATTATGTCATTTTAATCTCTGTTGCTTCTGTCTTGAGAAATAACCAATCATATTTTAAGATGTTGAAAATTTTGCAATTTTTTTTCTTAAAATAATTGAATAATTTGTTTCCTTCTTTGTGTATAATTATTTTTCGCTTATTTGTTACTTTGCTGTTTTGGGGAGGGAAATAGTAGCTTTCCCCAGAAATGACAGGATCTACCCTCAGCATTTGGGAAGAGATGTCTGTTTTTCTATGTGGTATTTTAGGCCGTCAATCACTGAACTGTCAGTTTCTTGAGAAGGTGAAGCCACTCCTACCACCAAATAAAGATAATTTTAAAAGGACAGTTTTCATATACTTAATTTTTTAAGATTTAAGATATTAACCTATGTTAGGAGTGACAAGTATACTTGAGTTATGCATATTTAATTTTGATCAATTATTAATGACTATCTGGAGATGACAAGAATTTTAGGATACATGTGAGCTGAGCAGGAAAGAGAATCATGATCAATTACTGATTTCTGCCACAGGCAAAGGCATGAGCAGAAATGTAACACAGGTCATATATATTCCATTCCTGACCTAAAGTAATATGGAATAATGAGGAGAAAGGAATTTTTCTTTCTTTTTTTTTTTTGAGACAATCTCTCTCTGTCACCCAGACTGGAGTGCAGTGGCACAGTCTCGGCTCACTGCAACCTTCACCTCCTGGGTTGAAGTCATTCTTGTGCCTCAGCCTCCTGAGTAGCTGGGATTACAGGCATGTGCCACCACGCCCAGCTAATTTTTGTATTTTTAGTAGAGATGGGGTTTCGCCATGTTGGCCAGGCTGGTCTCAAACTCCTGGCCTTGAGTGATCCCCTCACCTCGGCCTCCCAAAGTGCTGGGATTACAGGTGTGAGCCTCCATACTGGGCCAAGAAAGGAAATTCTTGAACTGAGTATTTTGTGGCGTTTCCCAGCTGAAGACAAATAAGCAGGGCAGTGGAAGGTATTTACTTGTTGCCTTACAGAGTAAAGAAGAAGATAAAAAAAACTTACGATGTACATATCCTGCCAAAATACTGAATATTGTGTGTTTTGGATTAAGGACATTGTCTCTGTGGATATTCTTCCTAATGGGAGCATCAGAGTTAGTTCTTTTAGAGAGTACCACATTTTCCATACCAGACAGAATTCCTGATTATCTCTGTGGGGATCGATCACAAACTCAGTTGCATTAAGGGGCCCAGCAGGTCTCATGATTGTGAATCTGCTAGTTATAAGGGATAGAGATGGTGAAAAGTCCATGCCCTACCCAGAGGCATTCAAATTCAAAATTTAAAATAATACCATCCTGACCAAACAAAACACATCTATAGGTGGCACCGGGCTAGTGGTGGCTAATTTGGGAGCTCTGTTTTCAGATGAGAAGAGATTTAAGTGAGCACCGTCTATACTTCAACAACAGTGCACTTTGAAATCAGTATCATATGGTTGTGGCCTGAGTTGGGATAGGGCAAGTGAATCCCTTCCTTTTCGTTACTTTAAGGATAGGTATTGGTTGGATCACATTTAATTAAAACCTGTGAGTAATAAACTTGTTCAGATTGTGAAGCATCTGGAAGTTTTGATACCTTTTAGAAAAAATAATGAAATATGATATATTTAATTCCATCTTTGAACAAGAAACAACTTTGCTAGTAGGAAATGTGACCCTAATATGCAACCACAAATGTAATAGTCAGTATGAAAACTTTTGTAGGAAAAGCACATAGATCAGAAAAAAAACCCTGTCCAGTCAGGATTATCTGTTTTGGATTTTTTGCCGATTTCCTCACTTCCCTCCTCCTCATTCCTGTCACAGTCTTCCCTTCATTTAGAAAATGTGTTCTTTTTTTTTTTTTTTGACAATCAATTGAAATCAGTTCCAGAAGGTTTATTTAAACTTTACCTCTTTGGTTTTCCTCCCTTCTCTATTCATTTTTTCCAGCTTCCCTCACTTCTCTGTTCTTTTTTTTTTTTTTGAGATGGAGTCTCACTCTGTCACCCAGGTTGGATGGCAGTGTTGCGATCCTGGCTCACTGCAACCTCCTCTCCCAGGTTCAAGCAATTCTCCTGCCTCAGCCTCCCGAGTAGCTGGAATTACAGGAGCATACCACCACGCCCAGCTAATTTTGTATTTTTGGTAGAGACGGGGTTTCAGCAGGCTGGTCTCGAACTCCTGACCTCAGGTGATCCACCTGCCTCAGCCTCCTAAAATGTCATGATTACGGGCGTGAGCCATGGTGCCCAGCCTCTTCTCTGTTCTTTTATTTGATTAATTTTCAACTGGTTGTTGAAATTAGTTATGTAACGGACTTGAAATTTTAATGAGAGATTAAATAACTTGCCTATGTTCAAATAAATAGTAAGTAGGGAGCTGGGATACAACTCCAGTTAGCCTGGCTCTAGAGTCTGCATGCTTAACTGCTAGGCAATAGTCCTCTGTAAATTGAAAATAATTAACAAGCAAATTTATTTTAAAAGTGATTTTTTAGTAGGTCTTATTATATTATTCTCAATTCATGGAGAAATAGTGTATAGTTCAGATACGAAGTGAGCAATAACTTTTTCCTAAGCCTACAGTCAGAGTGTACAGCATAATTTCCTCCCTTGAAGGTAGGCTGTGATTAGAGAGGGACATAGTCAAGGGAGGATCTGTTTAAGATGGAAGAAAATCAAACCTGTTCTATACCTTAAGGAGAAGCAGTTAAAGGAAGGAAAATATTTAAAGATGTAGAAGAGAGAAGAAATGACTTCTGAAGAAATAAGGGGGTGAGAGGATGTGGTCAAAGGCAAGAATAAAATAATTTGCTTAAGCAAGGTGGGAGGTCTCCTTGTCTTAGAGAGGGGGAAATGTGAGAAAGGTGGGCATGATCCAGTTAAGATGGCTAATGAAGGACAAGGTGGAGAATTATGAGTCTTAAGCCCTTTCACCCTGACATAGCAGGAAACAGGAAATAGTTAAGACAGGGAGAAGTCCTCTGCCTAGCATAGGAGCCCAACAACACCAGAGTTTGAAACAAGAAGATAAACTTACTCATGGATCCTTGAGGTAAAGCTAAAGAACAATAACAATTATTCAAGTCAGTCTAAAGTTTCAATAATCCATCAATTTCCCAAAAGTCTTCCCAGAAATAGTGTCCTCCCTCAGGTTATTAGACTTTCCATTCCCCTGTAGGTAGGCTCATAAAGTGGCCACACTTGCAAGTGATCCCATGTCTTTTCCCCCTTAGACACTATGCAGGAGTGAAAGTTTCAGGGGAATATTCAGCTTTACTATATTTCCAATATTCTGATTTCATTCACCACCTTTCTCCTGTCTTTTCCGTTTCTCCCTCCCTCTTTCTTTCATCTTTTCAGTTTGGAGAGTCTTCTTTCCCTAATGTGATAGCCTCAAGAACCAAAGAAAGGCAATGTTACAAAGGTTCTAGTTTTATAAGAAAAGAAAACCGAGATTGAGAAAGGGAAGGGCTGTGCCTGAATATGCAAAAAATTAAAGGCAGTTTTAGCTTCCAGTTTGCTTGACTTTAAGTTCAGCACGTTTTCCTTCATATTCTTTACAATTTTCTCTTCTTTCTGAATATTCCTTAAACATTTTTTTCTTTAACGTACTGACCATCTTCCCTCTCCAACATTTTGTTTCTGTTCTTTTTGTTCAGCTCTAAAATGTTTCTCTTGTAAAATAACCTAAATTCTAGGGCAAGACTTGTAGAAGGTTTAATGATATTAACTTTGATAGTAATTTGTACAAGCTACCATAGAATGAACCCTCACTATATTCAGTGGAGAAAGTCTGGGCATTAGTCTTATTTGTCTTACATTGACTGTTAAATGACTATGCAAAGTTTGATAATTCTCACCATCTTTTGGAACTGCATTTATTTAATTTAATTTATTTATTTATTTTATTTTATTATTATTGTACTTTAAGTTTTAGGGTACATGTGCACAATGTGCAGGTTAGTTACATATGTATACATGTGCCATGCTGGTGTGCTGCATCCATTAACTCGTCATTTAGCATTAGGTATATTTCCTAATGCTATCCCTCCCCCCTCCCCCCACCCCCCACCCCACAACAGTCGATCAATGACAGGGTTTAATAATTTTTCTTCTGCTCAACTTTTATGATTCAATGAGGCTAAATTCACAAACTAAAGCCCTGTGTTCTTGGGCCTTTTAGCCTTAGGGTAAGTTTTGGTAGGAGAAGCAAAAAGGCTGACTTTCTAGAAATAGGGCCTGCCTAGAAAGAGGTAAATAAGGAGGACAAGGTCCCTAGACAAACAAGCGTTTATGGTACTGAAACAACCAAGAACTTGCTCAATTCCCTTGTAAATTGTGCTAGATACCCACATCTCTAAGTGCATGTCAATTGCTTAAAAGCATCAGCGTTAATCCCCCTTTGAAAAGAAGATCAGAAAAAAAATCCCTCACACTACCCTCACCAGGGAGCATCAAATCCTCTATGCCAGCTGTAGTGTGATTTTTTCATGGATTGTTTAGGCATCTTGTATTTTGGTGGTGTGGCCGAGGCCCAGAATGACATGTAGGACTGATGATGAGCAGAGAAGGTGATTCCCTTTTCCTTTTCTTCTCAGCCTTTGTAAAGACTGAAACTGTTAAGGGAACTTGGAAGACCTTAGGTTTTTTTTGGGGGGCTGGGGTCGGGGGGACAGGGTTTCACTCTGTTGCCCAGGTTGAAGTTCAGTGGTTGCATAGCTCACTATAACCTCTCACTACTGGGCTCAAGTGATCCTCCCAACTCAGCCTCCCATGTAGCTAGGACTACAGGCATGCCACCATGCCCTACTAATTCTTTTAATTGTTCTGTAGAGACAGAGCCTCACTATGTTGTCCAGGCTGGTCTTGAGTTCCTGGCCTCCAGGATCCTCCTACTTCGGCCTCCCAAAGTGCTGGGATTACAGGTGTAAGCCACCATGCTTGGCCCTTAGTCTTTTTTTTTTTTTTTCTTTTTCCTCTACTTGCTTTTAGGAGGTGGAGGACCTTAGTCTTGATTAAACTTTCCTTAGTTTCCCTATGTGCTCCCTTCTTATTATCTGTTTGCTCTCATTTCTCTTTCCTAAATTGAGAAATAGAAAATAAACTGAAATATGGTTCCTGGAATTGGCACTGAGGAATAATAATAAAAATCCACATCAGTCTGAGTTAATTGGTTTATAAAGTATATAATTCTCACCGAAATCATTTTAGAAAGGGGACCCTTGATTAGGTCTCATTAAGTACAATGGGCCATCAACTACTAGAATGCTTGGGTTTGAATTCTGGTTCCTCTACTTACTAGCTGTGTTACTCTGCCTGTTTTTTTTTTTTTTATGCCTAAGTTTATTCATTTTAAAAATAGGATTTATAATATCTACTTTCTAGGATTATTATGAAGAAAAAATGTTTAGGACAGAGCCTGGAGCATAATGCTCAACACATATTATTATATCATCATTTCAGATTGCAGTCCTTATCTGTTTATACATGTATGGGTAATGGACCATAGTCTCCTCTATCTTGGGCACTACGCTAGTTCAAGATTTTCACGGAAATAATAGGATCAAGCCCTTTGAGGTCCTGGTTTGAGAGGCCCTTTCTCGAGTTATCACAGTCCAGTGAATTGCCTATGAGAATTATCTCTCAAGAGGGCCTCATCCATTCTGTAGGACCACACGTCATCTTGAGCTTCAGGGATGAATAGCTTCCTGTGGCCCTATGCATCTTTCAGCTAAATACTCTACATAACTAATTACTCATCATCCTTTGAGATTAATCCCAAAATGTGTCATATCCTCATTTAATTTACTCACCATCCAAAGACAATTCCTCATCTTAAGGATGCTTATTATCATAATGCTTTTTATAATTCCTAATCGGGACGTTCCTTCCACCTCTCCTTACTCCCTAAAACACACCATGCTGTCTGAAATTCATATCAGCAAATTTTCCTGTATCTTTAACTTCTCCAAACGTTTTCTTCACCGTCTTGCTTTAATATTCCTGTATCTCAAGCCTGGGTGCGGTGTCTCATGCCTGTAACCCCAGCAATTTGGGAAGCCGGGGAGGGCAAATCACTTGAGGCCAGGAGTTCAAGACCAGCCTGGGCAAGATGGCAAAACCCTGTCTCTACTAAAAATACAAAAATTAGCTGGGTATTGTGGCACACGCCTGTAATCCCAGCTGCTTGGGTGGCTGAGGCACAAGAATCGCTTGAACCCGGGAGGTGGAGTTGCAGCGAGCCGAGGTTGCACCCTGCACTCCAGCCTGGGTAATGGAGTGAGATTCTATCTCAATTTTTTAAAAAAATACTGTATCTCAGATGTTGCTCAAAGCATACAAAATTGCAGTTAGATGGGAGGAATACTTTCAGGAGATCTATTGTATAACATGGTGATCGTAGTTAATAATGTGTTATACTTGACATTTGCTAAGAGAGTAGATTTTAAGTGTTCTTACCACAAAAAGTATGTGAGGAAATGGATATGTTAACAGCTTGATTTAGTCATTCTACAATGTATACATATATCAACACATTATGTTGTATACCATAAATATGTACAATTTTGTCAATTAAAAATTATAACATTTTTAAAAAACCATGTCTCTTACAGCCCTCTTAGATTTTTTTTTTTTTTGAGACAGGGTCTCACTCTGTCACCCAGGCTGGAGTGCAGTGGCGTAATCACAATTCACTGTAGCCTTGACCTCTTGGGCTCAAGTGATCCTCCCACCTCAGCCTTCCAAGTAGCTGGGACCACAGGTGCACACCACCATGCCGGCTAATTTTTTATTCATTGTAGAGACAGGGTCTCACTCTGTTGTTGAGGCTGTGATGTCTGGTTTTTTGTATGTTTGTTTTAGAAAAAATCCATACCCATATACATGCCTGAATGTAGGTAAATGTCATTTTTGCTCCCCATTGCTGTTTCCGAACAGTCTTCTCCAGTAGAAACTCCTGTTGTCTTTGAAGCACATATGAGACTTTACTCTGTACCTCTCTCCTTCTTGCCATCATAAATAAATATGATGGTCATTCTCTCCCATTTCATTCTCTACCAGAAGCCAGGGTTGCCTTTTTAAAGCATAAATGTGGCTTTATCCCTTCCCTGATGAAAACAATGGCTTATTGTGGTGCTCAGAATTGTTCTCCATATTTTATTCTAAAAGACTTTTTGTGATCTGGCCTCTCCCTACCTTTCAAACTCCTCCACGATCTTTCACAACTGGCCTTCCTGCAATCTCTCATACATGCTACTCTTCTTCCCCTCTCAGGAACTTGGTGTTCTTTCTGCCTGAGATACTCTTCCCTAAGATCCTCCTGTGGCTGCCACCTTTTCGCCATTCAGAGTCAGTTCAGATATCTCCTCAGGGAAATTTCTTCTAATCTCCTAGCTAAAGGCCCTCACTTCTTGGTCTTGCTCTATCATATTATCTTAATTTGTTTTCTCCGTAGAATTTACTATGATAGTCTAGTAATCATAGTAGGAATTATCTAGAAAGGGAAATCATTGTATTTGTTTGCTTATGTGTTTATTTTCTGTCTTACCTCACTAGAATCTATGCTGTCTGTGAAATACTTATGTTGTCTTAGGTATAGCAGCTGCAGTGCTCTAAATGATTTCCCCTTTGGAGGGTTTTTATGGCAAGCCTGTCTCACATGGGTCCTCTGCAGATTTTGCTGAAGAAACTGAAGATTTGAGTTTATTGTTTAGCATGTTTCAACTCCCAAATATTTTACCCTTTCCATAAGTTAGATGAAAACAAAGTAAAACTAGATAAAACATGTTTTAATTATAAAAGTAATAAAATATTGAGCTTGATAGCTTTCTAAGGGCACCTGTTCACAGTTGTATATACAACAAAACAGCCTTATTCATGGGATAAGGTTATGGCACAGTATTGGATTAGCACACTAATTCTGATATTTTATATTAATTTACATTTTAAGATTTTCAAATTACATTTTAAAAATTGAAGTAATATATTTTCAACATATGCATGATTTTCTAAATTCCTTGGAACAAACATTTTATTTCCAAAGAATACTTTGGATTGGAAGAGTAAATACATTTAATGATGTCCTGGGGGTAGCTGGACAACCTCAGGACTTGGAGTCCAAAGGCCAGTGTTTAGAACCTCAGTTTTACTCTTTTGCTAGCTATATGCCTTGGGTCAAGTTAAATAATATCTTTAAATTTCATTTTTTCCTCATGTGTAATATCTGTAAATAGTCAAGAAAGATGACTTGCTTTAATTACAAACCTCTCCTTGTCCCCTACTTCCATTCCCTGGTCTCTTCACAAGCCTCTCTCTTCTTCCCTCCTATTCCTAAGTTAATGAATTTATTACTGTTTTGCTGAAACTATGATTGCCAGCTAAAACCATTTTAATCCTCTCTTTATTCTTTAATCGGTGGACTTCTCATTCTTCGAAGTTCTCATTAATTTTAGACAAAATGCTCAATGATGGGGAAGGAAAAGCAGGTGAGGGACAAAATCTCAGCAGGGTTAGGGAATGTTCCTTAGTTCTGTGACACACTAAAGAGACTTAGAATTTGGAAATATGAAATTTCCCTCCTTGCTCTCCTAAAAGTAAATATAAACAAAAAATTCATGTGGTTGTCTGGCTCAAAAACTATCCATTTCTTTCTTTTTTTTTTTTTTTGCAGGGGACAGGGCAGGAATGAGTATCAGAACCAGGAACGCCTGGGAGCACCAAACCCTTAGTGTCAGTTGCAGCTCAGGGGGATAGGGAATTAGCCATCTCTTCCATTGCTGCCAGCCTGACTTGGGGATGCCTCAGGGAAGGCTGCCCTTTCGTGCTAGCCATGTAAAGCTTTAAAATTCTGAGGACACAGCTAATATCATTTATCCCTCATTCTATATTATCTTCATCCTCATCTTATTTTTCTTACTAACTTTTTGCTCTTATCCTTTATTTACTCTGTTTTTCCAACACTTCAGGTTTGGAAATTGCTCTCTTCATGTCATCATAATAAACCACTAGAAACTTGCATTTACTTTTGACTGATTATTGAAGTGTCTGGTTATGGAGAACAAAGAAATTGGAGAAATGTGAAGCTTAAGCTTCTGCTGTGCTGCAGCGAAGAAGTCTGGGAAGTTTAGGAAGATATCCTCTTGACTAAATGGGGCTAAATGTCAGCAGAATTGAAGAAAAGTAAAGGAACTTACCAATACTTGATCGAGACAGTGCTAAAATAAAACACATCAAAAGAAGAATGAGTTCTGTTTGTCCCAGGGAGAACTTAGATGCCATAGACACTATATTGCAGAAAGGTTGTGGAAAAGAAGATAGAAATGAGTCACAACTTATTTCCTGGTATCAATTGCAATGCAATGTGGTGAGCAGCTGGATATCTACATATGGATTCCAATACTTTTGTGGTAAGGTGGGACTACAAGATCTATGCAACCTGTCTTTCAATTTTGGTAAGAGAATAAAAATATTTTTGGAGATTGCTAGTTTCTCAATCTGAGGACATTTTTCTGTCCCTATAAGTCTTCTTTCATTGGCGATTCTGCTGCTCTGTTCTTTCCTTCTCTACCTTTCCTCCACCTCTTCCTCTCTCTCCTTAATTTTCTTTCTGTTTTCCCTTTGTTCGAAAAGATTTTTTGTTACACCAAACAGTTACCACCTAACTGCTTCAACAGGGGTTTCCACTTTCCAAAATTCACTTGTGCCCTATGGAGATGAAGAATAGCAAGAGACCAAATCAGGAAGTTCTTGAATAATATTAGAAGCTAAAGAGTCAAAGTAGTGAAAGTATTTAGAACCTCGGGGCTTACTGAAAGGGTGCTTGCTATTGAGGGGAATATTTCATCCTCTCCTTTAAGTGATTACTTTGAACATGGTATTTTTTAAAGTTTATAAAGTAGAGCTGAGCTTGAAAACTAAAAAGAGAAGTAATATATTCAAGAAAAATATATCAAGAAGGAACCCATATTCTTGGTAATGAATGAGAAGTTTTACCACCCATGTGATACCTTATTGGGGGACTGAGGCTTAAACACCTGATCACCAGCAGAAATCAAGGCCATAGGCCTCATGCATTGTAAGAACCTGGGATTATCTTCCTGTTTAATATGTTAGGTTACATGGAAAAAGGGAATTAATATTGCAGATGAAGTTAAAGTTGCTAATCAGCTGACCTTAAAATAGGATGATGATTTTGGTATATCTGAGTGGGCCTAATATAATCACAAAGATTTTTAAGAGTGGGAGAGGGAGATAAAAGAGAGTAAGAGAAAGAGGTACTACAGTGGAAGAAGGGCAGAATGGTGTGATGTGAGGACTTGATTCATTTTTGTTCACTTTGAAGATAGAAGAAGGGAGCCATGAACCAAGGAATGTGGCCAGCCTCTAGAAGCTGAAAAAGCAAGGAAACAGATTTGTTCCTAGAACCTCCAGAAAGAATGCAGTCTTGCTGACAACCTGATTGTTGTCCAGGGAGACATATATGACAGATTTATAACCTATGGAACTGATAGATAATAAATTTGTGTTGTTTTAAGCCATTAAGTTTGTGGTAATTTGTTAGAGCAGCTATAGAAAACTAATACAACGTGGTTGACTATTTCCCCAAAATTCCCTTGTAGTTAGGTGTGGCTATATGCTTGAGTTCTAGCCAATCTAATGTTGTTAGAAGTGATATGAAAGTCATCCAGGCTTGTTTGTAAAGTCATCCACTCATGATCTTCAAGCTTTTTTCTTTCTGTTCACTTAAGGTGGACTAACATGATGAACTTAGGAGCCATTATTTGAAGATGGTGGAGTCATTAGTTAAGATGAATTTGAGTGCCTAAGACACTGCTGAGAGAAGGGCCATCCGCCAATCTGGAATTCCTGTTTTGGACTTCTCATAAGTAAGAAATAAAATTCTATTAGGGAAAACCACTGAGATTTTAAGATCCGGGGCTAACTTAATCAGTGCAGATAAGAAATATAAAAGAGAAGTCACAAGATCTGAAAGATGGAAGGAAAATCTTTACATACATAGTAATTTTAGAAGTAGAGACTATAGTTTGTTGTTAGATATAGATATAAATATGGGCAAAATTCATAGCAATTAAAGTTAAATTTTTCTGTAATTAGAAAGATTGAGTCCACAGAATGGAAACTCTTGAATGTTTATGAGTGTGAGATTAACTTCATTTATCCTGCTCAGAGTAAATGGAAGCATTCAGGATTTTCCATTGTGGGTGTGAGATTCACTTCATTTATCCTGCTCAGGATAACCTCACACTCATAAAAAGTTAATCTCACACCTATAAACATTATAATTAAATGCAGAGCACAAAAATAAAGAGAATCTTGAAAATATATTTACTTAGGAACAAACATCAAACTAGTGATAGATTCTTATCAACAATAATAAATAATAAACAACAAGCAAATGGAATAAATCTTCAAAGTACAGAGGGAAAATAATGTTCAATTCTATACCTAGCTAAATTTTCATTTAAGGCTGAAGGTGAAGTAAAGCTATTTTCAGCCATATGAAGGCTTAGAAAATTTTTCACATACATGTAGAGTTTAAAGAACCAGTAAAGGATTGTATTTGGGCAAGAAATAGAAGAGAAAAGACACAGGATGTAGCAAATAATGTTAAGCAAAAACAATGCTGAAATATTGTTGTAAGTCTAAGTAATAATTAATTGTGAAAATAAATAATTATTTTGTCTTTAAAAAGAATACCACAAACAAGATGGAGAATTTGGAAAGAGTAGTTTGGAGGGAAGATGGTCAAATAAAAGTTATTATCTAGTCTTGGAAGAAGATACCGATTATCTTTAATTTTTAAAGAAAAATTAAATAGTACACATGTTACAAATATCAGGATACATAAAACAAAATCCAGAAAAACACTAAGTAAAACAAAAGAAACAAGGAATTCTAATATACCAGCAGAAGGTAGAAAAGAAGATTTAAAAATGAAAGAACAGAGCATAGTACTGTAAGTTGAAAACACAATATAAATTGGAAACATTTAGATAAACATATAACAATTCACAATATAAAATGAACTAAATTCATCTATTAGGAAACAGAAAATTTTACATTGTTAATATGAACAAAGTCAAGCAATATGCCATTTAAAAAAGACACAAGACAAAAACAAACTTTTAAGGTTCAAAATAAAAGGATGAAAAATAGGCAAATACTAATTAAAACAAAGGTGTTAGAACAATGCTAATATCAGAGTGTAGAATTGAAGTAAAAAAATAGTCATGAGGATATGAGTGGATATGAGGATATGAGTTTCAGCAGCATTTAGAAGTTACTTAGATACTTATATTAGAAAATAAGAGCGCCCACTTTGGCAGCATATATACTAAAATTGGAATGATACAGAGAAGATTAGCGTGGCCCGTGTGTAAGGATGGCATGAAAATTCATGGTGTCCCATATAAAAATAAAATAAAAAAAGAAGATGAGAAAGTCTGGAAATTGATTAAGAGTTTCATACAGCAAGCTAGAAAAAGGAACAAAAATAAAGCAAAAGTAAAGAGAAGGAATTTTACCCATAGATATACATAGCCCAAGCTATGACAAGAAAATGGTTTTAAGAATTGGAAAAGGAAACTCAAGATTATCAGATTTTGCAGATGACATGATTTTTTACATATAGAATTCAAAAGAATCTGAAAATTATTAGAACTCTAAGAGCACAGCAGGGTGGCTAGATACAAAATCTACTCTCAAATATACAACATATAACTTATATTCCAACAATAATTATTTGTAAAATCCATGTAGAGAGATAGTATTCACATCCGAAACAAAAAACAAGTATGTGTATAAGAATTAATGCAGCAAAAGACATGCAAGACCTTTCTGAAGAAAATTATATTACATTATTGAAGGGTATATGAGAAAATTTGAATAGTAGGCAACCATGTTAATGCATGGGAATAATTGATTTTACAAATTAATCTACAGGCTCAATGAAATTTCAATGAAATCCTAATATGACTCATAGATTTTGAGAAATTATGAAATTCTTGTGTAAGAGAAAAGGTCAAAGAATAGCCAACACATTTCTGAAAAAGAACAAAGATAATGTGCTATTTTTTGTAATAAATGTTATAAAGTTTTAGTAGTGAAAGCAATGGAGTATTGGTTCAGTAAAAGACAAAAGATCACTGGAACAGAAAATAAAATCCACGGAAAAACGAAATATATAAGATGAAGATGGCATTACAAATCAGCAGAGAAAGAATGCACCAGTCAATAAATCTAGTTGGAACAAGGTGAGACGAAATCCCTCTAGTTGGTTTTCCAGATGAAAGGAAAATTAGATCTCACCTGTATTATTACTAAAATCACTCACCAAAACCAAAAAACAATTAACAAAGCCCCATTTGGATTAAAGTTCTATATGTAGAAAGGGAAATTTCAAAACTATTAAGAGAAAGTATTAGATAAAATCTTTGTGATACCCAGATAAGGCCAAAGAAACTAAAAAGCAGAAACTCTAAAAGAAAACAAGAGATTGACAAATTTTATTACAATAAATTGTGTGGTGTTGGGGGAGAGTGAGTAGAGGCCTTCTAAAAGTCAAGAGACAGCATAAAAATTTAAAGCTAAGAGACAGAATTGGATGAGATAATTGCAGATATTTAACATATAAAAGTTGATCTTTCATAATAATAAAGAATTACTACAGATCAATAACTAATAGATAAATGGGTAAAGTAAATGAACAAGCAATTTATATAGGGTGAAGCCTCACTAGCTAGTAAGCCTATGAGAAGATACTCAATTTCAGGAGTGAGCAGGGAATGCAGATTTTAAAAATTGTATACGTATTCAAGTGGCAATAATAGAAAAATATGACAAAATCTGGGATTGTTACTAATGCAGAGAAATTGGAAATATTTATTTATTTTTGTATGCCTCTATGTAACTACCAAGGAGCTTAATTAATAGCTACTAAAATTTAAAATATGCATAAATTACATAAATGCTCATATACAATGTGAACACTAATCCTACTTCAGGGTATGTACCCCGGATAAACTCTTTTCCATCTACTTAAGGACTGTCTTTGCAGCATTATTTGTGATAGCAGAAATTGGAAACATTGAGAATGCATCGGTAGTAGAAATAATAGAAAAATATTGTATATTCATAAGGTGGAATATTATTCAACAAAGTGTATAACCTGGATTTCAAAACTACATTTTGAGAGAAAAATGCAAATCGTAATGATACTATCAGACAGATGCCATTTTAGTAAAATTAAACATTAAAAAAAGATACTATATTTTGTTCAGTGATAGGTAGAGACTATAAATATATGTAAATAGACTTAAATATTTAAAATATATTAATAAGCCTTTGGGAAGAAGGGAGTGGAATATGTCTATGATAACTTGAGAAATATGACAAGAATATTATCAATTTGTCACATCTAAGGTGTGATATACAAGTGTTAATTATTTTTATACTTAATTTTAAAAACTTTCTTAAAAGAGAAAAAATACAGAAAAAATAGGGCTTGCAAACCAGATGACAGTAGAATTGAAAGAAAACCACAAAGCACTTACCTAGAGAGTTGGTTGATGGTGCTAAAATACACACACAGAAAACATGAGGTGAATCATGAGAGTTTGGATCCCTAATCTTTACATATCAGCTTCAGTTGCTGTCACCCCCTTCTCAGGAGTTAAAGTCTAGGCCCCGGGAGTCATCACTGATCTGGTGATGGGTACTGACAGCCACTCCCACCAGCTACTGCATATGCTTTCCATCTCTAAAAATGGGTTTAATTTTTAGTAGGCAGATGCCATTCCTACTGCCCTAATTCCTCCCTCCCTTTTTTCCCTCTCTATTTTCTTCTCTCTCTCCCTTTTATCTTTATTACTTTCCTTTTCTCTTGCTCATCACTTCTATTGTTTTCCTTTTCTCCCAGCCAGATCATTCTAAACCAGCACTAGAAAACTTTATCTATTGCTTAGTATTCATATGACTTGACATATGACAGGATTTCTCTTTCCTCCAAAGCATTTACAATCTAGGGAAATGTTACTAATAGGAAGCAAATTTTTGTTAAGAAGCAAGATAATACTTACTGTAATCTCTTTTGGATCTCTCTGAAAACATAAACAAAAGAAAGAAAAATCAATTTGGATATTCTATTTCTGTAGTTTTGGTATCACTACAGAGGATTACCCAATCAACACCCTCAAATATCCAGTTAGGCAAGAAACTGGAGACAAAATCTCCTCATGGCTTAATTTATAAGTTTAATGACATTAAAAAAACAGGCAGAGTTTAATTAAGGTAAATACATGTAGTGAGAAGAAATAATAAACTATACATGCAAACATTGAAACAGAAGAATGTATAGTTATAAGGTAAGTTGAGGTCAAATAAAAGAAGGAATGGCAAAATATTTACTCAGCTGACTGAGAATTCAAGTTCAGTGACAATATGGCAAATTATAATGAATGCAAATGTGTATATTGATTGCGATTGAATGTGCATCCTATGATCTAAAACTTGTTTCTTAGTGATGTCATGGAAACAGACTTTCTAAAAGATCTGGAGACAAAGCAAATTACATGGAAAACTAGTCATGTTATCACTGTTGTTTTCATAAAAGTGTAAAAGTAAATAGTAATATTGATACTTTGTAGTTGATTTAAATTATGTTGAATCATAATATCATTTGCTATTTCACTAAAGTATAGTTAAAGATCTACTCAGAAATGTGAAGACAATAGTATTTTTTTTTTCAGCTTCTTTTCTGAAAATGAGTGCTCTCCTTCCATACTTGGCAGTCATTGTGATGGGAATTAAGTACAAAACACATTCTCTGTTTTATAATAATGTTTCTTGTTTCTCATGGTTCTATGGGGATTTTAAAAACGGTGTCTCAAGCCTGTAGTCCCAGCACTTTGGGAGGCCGAAGTGGGTGTGTTACCTGAGGTCAGGAGTTCGAGACCAGCCTGGCCAACATGGTGAAACCCTGTCTCTAGTGAAAATACAAAAATTCTCTGGGCCTGGTGGTACACGCCTGTAATCCCAGCTACTCAGGAGGCTGAGGCAGGAGAATTGCCTGTGCCCGGGAGACGGAGATTGCAGTAAGCCGAGATAGTGCCACTGCACTCCAGCCTGGCCCACAGAGCAAGACTCTGTCTCAATGAAAAAAAAAAAGGGAAAATACATCAAGATGTTAATAGAGTTGCCGCAAAAATGGAAAATACCACTGAAATGCCGAACATTTTAATATGCTGCACTTGAAATTTGTTATAAAAACTTTCATGCGCTGCACTTAACATTTGCTGGAAAAATACTAAGAATAAATTTAATTTCAAAAAAATTTTGGAATAACCATGGCAGCTTTTATATGTGATATATTTAAGTTAAACTAAACTTTGAGTACTAAATTTCATGTACCTAAACTAACATAATGACCTTACCTAATATTAATATCTTCCTGCCAGAAGATTTCTATAGTCTTAAGTTGACCAGTACATTTATATTCCTATGTCTAGAAATAATGGAGGGAAGACTAGCAGGGCGTGGGAACCTAGAAACTTAGGATGACTGAGATTTATAGGTTATGTTAGGGGGACTGGAAAGTCAGAAAAATAGTCATTTGGGTTTATGAATTTTAAAGTATGACTTATTGAAACAACAATAAAATGTTTACTGATTCAAGTTTTTCCTTAAGAATGCAAGGGAGCCCAGATTAGAAAGATACTAAGATTGTAGGCTTGTACACTAAAGATCTGTAAACAGGAAATTAAAAATTAAGATATTACTAAATTACATAAGAATGAACTCTCTGACTGCCTAAAATTTGGAATTAGACAATTCTAAATTCCTATCCAGGTTGTCACTTCCAAGTCCTGTGGCCTTGGGCAAGTCATTAATGTTTTTTAAGCATAAGTTTCTCTTCTGTAAATTAGGGATAACAATAGTAAATTACTTTCTTCATTTAAGAGGTACTTATTAAGGATCTCCCTCGCTGTGGTGAGGTGAATAGACTATAAGAAGGCAAGAGGAGTATCAAGGAAACAAGGTAGGAGGCAAGAGATACTGGTGTTTGGGCAAGGATTGTCATGGTGGTGGAAGGTGGTTTGATTTGGAGTATAATTTGAAAGCATCAGAGATGGGATTTGATGGTGGATTGGATGAAGAGAGTAGGAAAGGAGTTAAATATCATTCCAAGGTAGATAGTCTGAGCAATTAGGTGAATACAGGTGCTAGCACCAGTGTGTAGAAGGGATTAGGGCTTGGGTTTTAGACATGCTAAGAGATGCCTTTCATATATCTTCAGGACACGTGTGCTATGATTATATAGGTTGGCTCACTGCACAAAGGGTTAAGGGAACTGAAATCCCCAGCAGTGTCTCTGGGGTGGGGCTGCATTCACTTGCAGGAAGGAACACCTTTTCCTAATATGCACCAAAGCAACCTGTAGGCTACTGGAGGCCTTGGACAGCCAGGGAGGGATTTTTGGGTAGCTCATCTTTGTGTGGTTGACAGGGTTGTTTGTAGATATTCAATATTAATAAAATGAAAAAATGCTCACCAGAATGACTAACATATAGTAGGTGCTGAGTACATGTTAATTCTCCTCCCTTCTTATAGTGTGTAGTTTTATTTTGCTTATCCGTGTACCCTTAAATTCCTAACACTGAGGTAGCTTCTTGCACTGGTTAAATCTGGTATTCTGGTGGACTGTTACTGGAGAGGTTTTTTCCCAAGAAATATGAGATGTAAATGACAACAGTAGACAACAGCAGTATTTCTTTGCACCCTTGGAATTTTATTGCACAAGTCATATCTTAATGTGATAAACTTTTAAGAATTTATTCCTTGATTTCTTTTTATTATTATTATACTTTAAGTTCTAGGGTATATGTGCACAACGTGCAGGTTTGTTACATATGTATACATGTGCCATGTTGGTATGCTGCACCCATTAACTCGTCATTTACATTAGGTATATCTCCTAATGCTATCCCTCCCCACTCCCCTCACCCCACAACAGGCCCCGGTGTGTGATGTTCCCCTTCCTGTGTCCAAGTGTTCTCATTGTTCAATTCCCACCTGTGAGTGAGAACATGAGGTGTTTGATTTTTTGTCCTTGCGATAGTTTGCCGAGAATGATGGTTTCCAGCTTCATCCATGTTCCTACAAAGGACACGAACTCATCCTTTTTTATTGCTGCATAGTATTCCATGGTGTATATGTGCCACATTTTCTTAATCCGGTGTATCATTGATGGACTTTTGGGTTGGTTCCAAGTCTTGGCTGTTGTGAATAGTGCCGCAATAAACATACGTGTGCATGTGTCTTTATAGCAGCATGATTTGTTTTATTATTATTATTATTATTATTATTATTATTATACTTTAAGTTTTAGGGTACATGTGCACAATGTGCAGGTTAGTTACATATGTATACATGTGCCATGCTGGTGCGCTGCACCCACTAACTCGTCATCTAGCATTAGGTATATCTCCCAATGCTATCCCTCCCCCCTACCCCCACCCCACAGCAGTCCCCAGAGTGTGATGTTCCCCTTCCTGTGTCCATGTGTTCTCATTGTTCAATTCTCCTTTGGGTATATACCCAGTAATGGGATGGCTGGGTCAAATAGTATTTCTAGTTCTAGATCCCTGAGGAATAGCCACACTGACTTCCACAATGGTTGAACTAGTTTACAGCCCCACCAACAGTGTAAAAGTGTTCCTGTTTCTCCACATCCTCTGTAGCACCTGTTGTTTCCTGACTTTTTAATGATCGCCATTCTAACTGGTGTGAGATGGTATCTCATTGTGGTTTTGATTTGCATTTCTCTGATGGCCAGTGATGATGAGCATTTTTTCATGTGTCTTTTGGCTGCATAAATGTCTTCTTTTTAGAAGTCTCTGTTCATATCCTTCACCCACTTGTTGATGGGGTTGTTTGTTTTTTTCTTGTGAATTTGTTTGAGTTCTTTGTAGATTCTGGATATTAGCCCTTTGTCAGATGAGTAGATTGCAAAAATTTTCTCCCATTCTGTAGTTTGCCTGTTCACTCTGATGGTAGTTTCTTTTGCTGTGCAGAAGCTCTTTAGTTTAATTAGATCCCATTTGTCCATTTTGGCTTTTGTTGCCATTGCTTTTGGTGTTTTAGACATGAAGTCCTTGCCCATGCCTATGTCCTGAATGGTATTGCCTAGGTTTTCTTCTAGGGTTTTTATGGTTTCAGGTCTAACATTTAAGTCTTTAATCCATCTTGAATTAATTCAATGAGTAGTTAGCATTTGTGAGATCTGGGATGTTGAATTTCTCTTGACTACTCAGATTATTTTTTTCTTTTCTTTAGCTTTATTGAGGTATAATTATAAAAATTATATATATTTAAGGTATTACAGTGTGCGATTCTAATATATGTATACATTGTGAAATGATTGCCACAATCAAGCTAATTAACATATCTACCACTTCAAATACTTACTTCTATTTTTCATTTTGTGATGAGAATATGTAAGACCTACACTCTTAGTAAATTTCAAGTGTATAATACATTATAGTCACCATGCTGTACATTGGGTCTACATAACGTATTTGTCATAAAACTGCAAGTTTGTACCCTTTGGCCAACTTCTGCCCATTTCTTCTACCCCCTAACTTCTGGTAATCACCTTTCTGCTGAGTTCAACTTTTTAAGGTTCCATATATACATGAGATCATGTAGTATTTGTCTTTCTATGCGTGGCTAATTATACTTAGCCTAAGGTCTTCCAGGTTCATCCATGTTGTCACAAATGGCAAGATTTCTTTCTTTTCCTAAGGCTGTATAATATTTCATTGTGTGTGTGTGTGTGTATGTGTGTGTGTCTGTGTATCACATTTTCTTTATCCATTCATCCACTGATGGACACCTTGTTTATTCCTCTATCCCGGGTATTGTAAATAATGCTGCAATGAATATGGGAGTGCAAATATCTCTTCAGGATAATGATTTTTATTTCCTTTGAATATATGCCCAGAAGTAGCATTCCTGAATCATATGGTAGTTCTATTTTTAATTTATTGGAGGAACCACAATACTGTTTTCCATAATGGCTGTATTACTTTACATTCCTAACAACAGTGTACAAGGGTTCCCTTTTCTCCATATCCTTGCCAACACTTGTTATCCCTTGACATTTTGAATGCATCCTATCTGGTGTGAGGTGCATTTCCTTGATGATTAGTGATATTGTGCACCTTTATTTATTAGTTGGCTGTAAGTCTTCTCTGAAAAAATGTCTATTTAGGTCCTTAGTCCATTTTATTTTATTTTATTTTGTTTTTTTCTCTCTCTCTTTTTTTTTATTATACTTTAAGTTCTAGGGTACATGTGCACAATGTGCAGGTTTGTTACATATATATACATGTGCCATGTTGGTGTGCTGCACCCATTAACTCGTCATTTACATTAGGTATTTCTCCTAATGCTATCCCTCCCTGCTTCCCCCACCCCGCAACAGGCCCCAGTGTGTGATGTTCCCCACCCTGTGTCCAAGTGTTCTCATTGTTCAGTTCCCACCTATGAGTGAGAACATGCAGTGTTTGGTTTTCTGTCCTTGCAATAGTTTGCTGAGAATGATGGTTTCCAGCTTCATCCATGTCCCTACAAAGGACATGAACTCATCATTTTTTATTGCTGCATAGTATTCCATGGTGTATATGTGCCACATATTCTTAATCTGGTGTATCATTGATGGACTTTTGGGTTGGTTCCAAGTCTTTGCTATTGTGAATAGTGCCACAATAAACACACGTGTGCATGTGTCTTTATAGTAGCATGATTTATAATCCTTTGGGTATATACCCAATAATGAGATGGCTGGGTCAAATGGTATTTCTAGTTCTAGATCCTTGAGGAATCACCACACTGTCTTCCACAATGGTTGAACTAGTTTACACTCCCACCAACATTGTAAAAACATTCCTATTTCTCCATATCCTCTCCAGCACCTGTTTCCTGACTTTTTAATGATTGCCATTCTAACTGGTGTGAGATGGTATCTCACTGTGGTTTTGATTTGCATTTCTCTGATGGCCAGTGATGATGAGCATTTTTTCATATGTCTGTTGGCTGCGTAAATGTCTTCTTTTAAGAATTGTCTGTTCATGGACTAAGGTTCATGAACAGATATGAACCTTAGTCCATTTTAAAATCAGCTTATTTGTTTCAGCTGTATTTTGAGTTGTATCTTGCTTTTGAGTTGTATGAGTTCCTTATATATTTTGGATATTGCTGTGGTTTTAATGTCCTCTCCGAAACTCATGTTGAAACTTAATCCTCAATGTGACAGCATTGAGAAGTGAGGCCTTAAAGAGGTGATTATATCATGAGGGTTCTACCCACATAAATGGATTAATCCACTAATGGATTAATGAGTTGTCAGGCAAGTGGAACTGGTGGCTTCATAAGAAGAGGAACGGGCCGGGCGCGGTGGCTCAAGCCTGTAATCCCAGCACTTTGGGAGGCCGAGGTGGGCGGATCACGAGGTCAGGAGATCAAGACCATCCTGGCTAACACGGTGAAACCCTGTCTCTACTAAAAATACAAAAATTAGCCGGGCGTAGTGGCAGGCGCCTGTAGTCCCAGCAACTCGGGAGGCTGAGGCAGGAGAATGGCGTGAACCCGGGAGGCAGAGCCTGCAGTGAGCCGAGATCACGCCACTGCACTCTAGCCTGGGCAACAGAGCCAGACTCCGTCTCAAAAAAAAAAAAAAAAAAAGAAGAGGAATGACCTAAGCACAGCATGTTAGCCACCTTGCCATGTTATGCCCTGTACCACTTCAGGAATCTGCAGAGAGTCCCCACTAGCAAGAAGGCTCTCTTGCGCCACATGCGCCCCCTCAGCCTTGGACTTTCCATCCTCCATAACTGTAAGAAATAATAATACATTTCTTTTCTTTATAAATTACCCAGTTTCAGATATTCTGTTATAAGCAACAGAAGCAGATTAAGACAAATATTAACCACTTATCAGATATATGGTTTGCAAATATTTTCTCCTATTCTGTGAGTTGGCTTTCATTTTGTTGATTGTTTCCTTTGTTGTCCAGAAACAATTTTGTTTGATGAGATACCACTTATTTTTGCTTTTGTTACTGTGTTTTTGGTGTCATATAAAACAACTTGCAAAGACCAATGTCATGGAACTTTTCACTGTTTTATTATAGGAGTTTTATAGTGGCAAGTCTTACATTAAAGTCTTCAATCCATTTTGAATTGATCTTTGTGTATGGTATATGATAAGGGCCAATTTCTTTTTGTTTTTGCATATGGATATCCGGTTTTCCCAATAACATTTATCCTTTCCCTATTGGGTATTCTTGGTAACTTTATTTTCTCCCTTGTTAATTTTCTGTGTGGATGCTCTATTCATTGTCAATAATGGGTTACTGAAGTCCGCTACGATTATTATATTGCTGTTTCTCCCTTCAGTTATGTAAATATTATATATTTAGGTGCTCTGACATTATGTGCATATGTACTTATAATTTTTATATCCTCTTGATGAATTAGCCCTTTATAATTATATAATGAGCTCCTTTGTCTCTTGTTATAATTTTTGACTAAAAGTCTGTTTTGCCTGATGTAAGTATAGCCACCCCTACCGTCTTTTGTTTTCCATTTGCATGGAGCATCTTTTTTTCATCCCTTTACTTTCATTCTATATGTATCCTTAGAGCTGGAGTGTGTCTGCTACAGGCAGCATAGATAGTTGCAACTTGTTTTTAAATACATTTAGCTACTCTGTGTCTTTTCATTAGAAAATTTAATCCATTTACGTTCAAGTAATTATTGATAGTTAAGGACTTAATATAGTTATTTTCTTGGTTGTTTTTTGGCTGTTTAGTATATCCTTTCTTCCTTTCTTCCTGTCTTTCTTTGTGATTTGCTGATTTTCTGTAGTGGTATGCTTTAATATCTTTCTGTTTTGTGTATCTAGTATAGGTTTTTGGTTTGTGGTTACCATAAGCTTACATAAAACATGGTTTCAACAGTCTATTTGAAGCTAATAATAACTTAGATTATTAAAATAGATTACATACAAAAACTCTACATATTATTCTCCCTACTTTTTACATTCTCAGTGTCAAAATTTACATTTAAAAAAATTGTATATTCATTAACAAATTATATACTTTTAATATTTTGTCTTTTAACTTTTATATTAGCATTAAAAGTTATTTATATACCATCATTACAGTATTAGAATATTCTGAATTGACTGTATATTTACCTTACCAGTGAATTTTATACTTGGATATGTTTTCATTTTACTAATTATTGGCCTTTCATTTCAGCTTGAAGAACATTCTCTAGCATTTCTTGTAAGGCAGATCTATTGGTGATAAACTCCCTCAGCTTTTGTTTGTCTGATAAAGACTATCTCTTTCTCAGATCTGAAAAACAGCTTTACGGGTAAAGAGTTATTGGTTGGCAGTTTTTTTCTTTCAGTAAATTGAATATATCATCCCACTATGTACTGGCCTAGAAAATGTCTGCATAGAAGTGCTAATATCCTTTTGATGTACCTTTAAATGTGATATGCTTCTTTCAAGATTCTCTCTTTAACTTTGATTATTGACAATTTGACATAATGTCTTGGAGAAGTCTTCTTTGGGTTAAATACAATTGGAAAGTTTTGAGTTTCATATATCGAGATGTCTATATCTCTTCACAGATTTGGAAAGTTTTTAGCAATTATGCCTTAAATAAGCATTTATTCTATTTTATTTCTCTTTTCCTCTGAGACTCCAATAATGCAAAAAGTTAGCTCCCTTGATGGTGTCCCATAAATCTTGTACATATTTCTTCATTTCTTTTCTTTGTGGTTTTTTTTTTTTTGTACTCTGACTAGATAATTTTAAATGATTGGTCTTTGACTTCTCTTATTCTTTCTTGTACTTGATCCATCATCTTGGAAGCTCTCTATTTCCTTTTTGTTTTAGTTTAGGCATTGCACCCTTCAGCTCCAAAATTTGTATGGCTCTGTTTTGTTTTTTTTTCTCTTTGTTGAACTTCTACTTTTGTTCTTGTGTTGTTTTCCTGATGTCATTATATTGTTTGTGTTGTCTTGTAGCTCACTGAGCTTTCTTATAACAATTGTTTTGGATTTTTTTGTCAGGCAACTGGTGGATTGATTTTTAGGCAAACCTTCATTTTTGGGGGTTAGTTACTGAAATATTATTGTGTTCTTTTAGCGGTGTCATGTTTCCTTGATTTTTATGACCTTGAAGTCTTGTCTTGTGTTTTCACATTTGAAGAAACAGTCACCCTGTTCAATATTTGTTTGTGCCTACTTCACAGGTGGGATTTTTTCCCTTTTTTGAAAGAAAATCTCACTCTGCTACCCAGAGTGGAGCAGTGGCATGATCGTGGCTCACTGCAGCATCAAACTCTTGGGCTCAAGCAATCCTCCCACCTCAGCCTCCTGAGTAGCTGGGACTGCAGGTGTGCACCACCACATCCAACTGATTTTTTTTTTTTTTTTAGAGACGGAGTCTCACTATGTTGCCCAGGCCAGTCTCGAACTCCTAGTCTCAAGAAGTCCTCCTGCCTTGGCCTCCCAAAGTGCTGGGATTTCAGGCATGAACTACCACACCCAGGGTAGATGGGATTTCTAAGATTGTGCTTTCTCTCAATCCTGCAAAGCCAGTCCAGGTTCTGAGAGCCTTCCCTTTGTTTTCCCTAGGGTGGTGCTCTGGAATTCTCAAGTTTGTGTCCTTTTTTCCAATCCCACAAAGTCAAACTGACTGTGAGATGTTTCCTTTTGTTGTCCATGGTGGCTCATTTGGGGACTCAGCCTAGATGGGAGAGTGAAATGTGTGAAAGGCATGCCTGTGGGTCAGTAGTGCAAGGAGCATAGGTCACGCATCTCAAATAGCAGGCTTTCTGATGAGGCTTTCTGATGAGTGGGTTCTGCAGTCTCTTTTCCCTGCTCCCAGCCTCTCCTAACCATTCAACTATGCTGATCATCTCAATGTTCTGGGTGGAGTGAGAAATAAGTGGGCTTATCGGACAGCATCCTGAATGGCTGGGGGATGTGGGCACTCATTAAGTTCTGTACATTTTTTCTGTTGGAGAAATTGTGGGCCAAGTGGGTCTGTCTCAGCATTGAGTTGTGCCACCTTGGGGGAGGAGTGATGTGGGTAAAGTGAAACTGTTCTTCTTACCCTCTTTAGTACATCTGTTCTAGGATTTTATAACCTGACAGCGTGCTGGAACTTCTCTGCTGGACTCCTGGACTCCCACAATGGTATTGTCTCATCTGTGGATAGTTGTCTAAATTGATGCTTCTGTGTGGGAAGAAAGCTCCTATTCTACTATTTTGCTGATGCCTTTCTCTCATATTACTTTTGTTAAATAATTAGGAGTTGGATAGGAGAGGAATTGCATAGCTTTGGGGAAAATGGTGCCTCATAGCGTGATGGTGAACATTTGTGAACATTTCTCAGAATATTCTGTAACTACTTTGATTTCTTCTTCTTCTTTTTTAAATTTTGGTCAGTTTTTATAGCCTTTTATGTTGTGGCAGGAAGAAGCCTGATTTTCCTTTAATTTTACAAAAATCTCTACATATACTTACCTCGGTTATCATATGAAGTGTCTAGAGAATTGAAGAAAAATTATAAGATTCTTAATTTCTCATAAACAGACTCCTATATTAATTTCTTAGCAATACAATAATTTACCACTTTGTGTTGAATATGCATGTCGGGATCCTAAAAGAGAAGATAAAAACATAATGAGATTTTACTTCAACAAGTGAGTCTATATTATTTTTTGTTAGATAGAAATCTGTTTACCTCTTCCTCTTTTAGATCTCTGAGAAGAAAAATCTTTTAGGAAAGAAAAAAACATATTAACTTTACCAACAGTTCATTAAAAAATAAGTTTATCGGGCCGGGCGTGGTGGCTCACGCCTATGTTCCCAGCACTTTGGGAGGCCGAGGCGGGTGGATCACGAGGTCAGGAGATCGAGACCATCCTGGCTAACACGGTGAAACCCCGTCTCTACTAAAAACACACAAAAAAATTGGCCGGCCGTGGTGGCAGGTGCCTGTGGTCACTGCTCAGAAGGCTGAGAGAGGAGAATGGCGTGAGCCCGGGAGGCGGAGCTTGCAGTGAGCCGAGATTGCGCCACTGCACTCCAGCCTGGGCGACAGTGCGAGACTCTGTCTCAAAAAAAAAAAAAAAAAAAAAGTTTATCATTAGTCTCAATCCAACTACTAAAAGATTTGCTAGTTTCCCAGATATTCCCATTTTCTTTAGGTTCCATTTCAGAAAATAAAGAGGGAATGCCATGGCACTGTGCTCTTCACTCTTGTTGTTCATGATAGATGAATCATAGAGGTAAGAAGGAGAAGGATGGACCAAGAGTCCAAGTGTGGGGCATGGACAGCAAGCGAAGTGACTGAGTTACTTTCTCTTTTCTTTCCTCAACTCTCAGGGATCTATATGCTTGTAGCGTGTGTGTGTGTGTGTGTGTGTGTGTGTGTGTGTGTAATTATTTCCACATCCACAATCTCATAACCTTATAGTTCTGGTGTAGCTGGTGGGCCTGGTGTGGACAACTTTAGTGGCTTCCAGCAAGAATGAGAGGTAGCTCTAGTGGTTCTTGTTGAGTTCTGGAGATAGGACTAGTCAGAAAGAGAGAAAGAGGGAAGGAAAGAGAGAGAGAGAGAGAGAAAGAGAGAGAGAGACAGCCGAGGGAACATCTATAGGCAGCCCTGGTGAGTGGATACTGAAAGAGAACATTGAGTGTTGGGGCGTGAGGGTTAGGGATAGCCATGGTACATTGAAATTAGTGGTACTGGTGTGTCCCTTCAAAAAAGTAGACAGCGCATTGCCGTCTTCTCATAACTCTCACGTTTCAAAACCTGAATTTGATATCCAGCTCCCTCCTCAGCTAGGTGAACTTGAGTAAGTCTCAATCTTTTGAGCATAAATTTCATCTTCTTAAATGGGGATAAGCTTTGTTTACCTCTTCTACTGTATGGCTTTCAAAGTGTATTTTCACATATACTATTCCATTTCATATTCATTTTATCCACATTTTAAACATCCAGGAAATTGTTTCGGAGCGGTTCCTTAACCTTTCTAATATCTTGGAAGTAGACAGAAGATGGAAATGAATTCTTTTGATGGTCTTAAGAAGGAGAATTATTTACCTTTTCTGAGAAAAATGCACAATTTTTCTTGAGAAAGAGAGAGAGGAGTGATAAGCATTTGAATATTATAAAAACGAAAGATATGCTGACTCAACAAATCATGCTCAATTGGAGATGAGTTGATTCACACTCTAAAGAGTATATTCCTTCATTAACTGTCTAGTAGTTCCTAATCTATTTACCTCTACCATCCTCATAGTCCAGAAGTCTAGCACCTAGAAAAAAAGGGAGAGCACATGATTTTGCTTCTTGATTATTAATGAGGCTTTATTTAAGACTCTGAGAACTAATGTAAACATGAACTCCTAATGGTGAATAATGATGTGAATTAATTTACTTTGCAGGAACTAGGAATTGTGCATAAGCTACAAGAGCTGACGATGATAAGTGACTGTGTCAATCACCAATTTTATAATATTAGCCAGGCTAAATGATAGTCAGAAGGAGTTTCAGAGTTTCTTTTACCTCTTGATACTTCAGCAGCTAGTCTCCTGGTTTTTGCCTCATACCAATCCTGTGCTATCTTTCTTAACAACTTTGGCATCTCTCCAGACCTTTCCATGGAAAGTCTTCTTCAATTCTTCACATCCTGAAGTTGGTACTCTTCTCAATCATAATTACCCTAACTGTGTTCACTCTCGTTATTCTAGGATACATTATATTTTTCGGTCCGGCCACTTCACTAAGGCCGTCTTCATGAATGGATTTAGGCTTTTTACTGAACCATCTGTTCCAGTGCCTGAACTGGAACAGTTCTCTGTTGCTGCTCTCAGACCACAGGAAGCATCTGAAGGGAGCCTCAGAATTATGCAGGCCTACCCAGTATTAATTAATTCTCCCCAACTCCAGTTTGGCATTCAGTACTGCTCAGAAATCTCTGGTAGATTTCTCCCACTCACTTAGAAGCAGTTCAGTTCATGCAATGGTGCACTATGCAAGGTTCTGGAAACACAACTGTAAACAAGACAGATTTCATTCCTGACTTGTGAAAATTCTGTAAGTACTATATTTATTTTTCTCATGAGTATAAGTACTTACTTTGTTCTGAACTGTATCTGGAGATATACATTTCTGTGGAAGAATTAGGCAAAATGTTTTTATTAGTTACTTAGGAGAAGTGTTCTTCCTCTGATCAAACTCTTCTCACTCTAAGCTATGCTTCTTGCTTACCAAGGTGGTCCTCCTGATATAATGCATTGTTGTTCTCACCCATTTTCCACATCTCCCATCAGCCCTGTTTTACCTATCTTTTCACACTACTTATGCTTTGAGGGCTCACAGGCATTGAGGATGGGAAACAGGGAGGGAATACAGCTGATTAGAAAGTTGTGGGAGAGAAACAGAAAAATCCAGGAAAGAGAGACCTTATGGCATAGAAATAGGTCTTAGCTTTTATGAGCTCCATCTCTATTTCATCGACAAGTACTACTCTGTATTTGTCTCTTCTTATCATCTCCCCAAATTAAGTCACTAAAAGTCTCCAATTCTTTTTATATAATACTAGATACTGGTGTTTAGCAACATACTGTCTTCTCACTTCTATTTTTTTTTTTTAAACTCAGGTAATTTCCCTTGGAGCTCAGGTAATTTTCTTTTAAAATATTCTTATTACTTTTGCTAAACTCTGTGATTTTTTTTTTTTTTTTTGAGATGGAGTCTTGCACTGTCACCCAGGCTGGAGTGCAATGGCGTGATCTCGGCTCACTGCAACCTCCGTCTCCTGGGTTCAAACAATTCTCCTGCCTCAGTCTCCCGAGCGGCTAGGCTTACAGTTACCTGCCACCATGCCCAGCTAATTTTTGTATTTTTAGAAGAGACAGGGTTTCACCATTTTGGTCAGGCTGGTCTTGAACTCCTGACCTTGTGATCCGCCTGCCTCGGCCTCCCAAAGTGCTGGGATTACAGGCGTGAGCCACCGCTCCCGGCCTGTGACTTTTTCTTTGACATTATTGATAATGTAAACCTTGGGAGTTAAAAGTGCAGGGACAATCACTAATAGGTCAGAGATTCTTTGACTCAAGTATTGAAACAGATTCCCAGAATATTGGCAAAGTCTCTAGCTGTTTGATGAGTGAGATGAACTCAGACTGAATCTTGGCATCCCTCCCTCCGTGGTTTTCACAGGAAATCTTCATTTTGACTCATTATTACTCACCACTTTGCTTACGTCGTGCCCATCTTGTTAACAAAATAGCCAGGATGGCAAGTCCCAGTAGAGTCAGGATGACAGCCAAAGTTATTTCTGAAAACAAAAACTCACCTGTAAACATGCTTATTTAGACCAGGAAATTACCAGAAACAACTTCTGATCACCTCTTACTATCCACCAGATAGACTTTTTTTTCTTTCCCCTTTCTGCTACTTCAACTCCTTTATTCTTTTATTTGCCGCATATTACTGTCCTCACATTCCCGCCCCTGCCCATTTTTAGCTCTTACATTGGTTCTTTGGTCGTATACTAAGAACCTCAGATGCTGTGTACCCTTGGTTTAGAGTTGGAAATCTGACAGATTTCCTCCTCAGTTGAACCCTTTACTCCCCAGGCAGGAAGAATGTTAAAGGGAATCAGTGGTCTACGAAGCTATCCACTGGGGTATGGGGAAAATATTAGAACTTCTATTTTCTGTGTAATTTTAACTCATACCTTTAAAGTTGCAAGATTTTCTGTATATATATATATATATATATGGCTATAAATAAGATTTATAAATATACTTTTATAGGCAATGCATACTCAAAACATTTTTATTAGTGAGTGATCAAAAAACTTTCAGCACCTTGACTGAAGGGTGCTGACTGAAGGTGGTTTTATTAATGAAAGCCACAGCAAAGGACAGAAATTTCTTGTCACAGAAAAACCTTTCAGTCATCACTTGCCAACCTCCTGATGATAAGATGGATATTTGCGAGGTTTGTTATTGTGGTTAGTAGGATAAAATATGCTGGGATTGCTTAACTTGTGTTTGTTTATGTGTCATTGATCTGCATTCAATTGATGTAAGATAGAGTCTTGCAGTCATAGGAGAGAAAAATCTTAGACAATATCATATGGTTATAAAGGGCAGTGGCTATGAAGGATCGGGGGAGAAAAAAAAAGAAAAGAGAGAGAGAGAGAGAGAGAAAGGAAAGAAGAAAAAAACAACCATAAAACTGCCTGTGAAAGTAAAAGCTCTGAAGAATATTGAGCTCTGAAAGACTAGGAAAGTAGATTACACCCACATTAAGACTACTTCAAACGAACAATAGGTGAATCCATCTCAAGATATAATAACACACCTCCAACCAGGGCAGATTAGGCATTTGTCTACTGAGTCTTCTAGGTGTTTGGTCCTGTGAGAAAATTCTCCTGCCAAATCAACTTTTGGAGATTTTCTTCTAATGTACCTCTAAAATGAACAGCAAGTAGTCAATATGCCCTCTATTATGTGAATTTTTTTTTCTAGTGTTAAATAACTCATCGGGGAGGAAAGGATAACTAGATGGTGTACTCAGTACTACTGTATATTCCTTTTCTTCCTTTAGTGTCTGAAATGCCCTGTCTATAGGGCAGTTAGAAGATGGTCCACCCTATTAATAGGGAAAATGAGAGGAAATCATTATTTCTGAGTTGAGGCAGATTATATAGAGTGACCATGCTACAGGAAGTGAGATAATGGGCTAAGGAATTTTTCCTAGTGCTACGGAGGATGGTTATTTTCTTTGTTCAGTTTAAACTCTAGAAACCAAAGGAGAAACCAGCACTATCAGCCTAGAGCTTAGTTAACTGTGGGTTGTTTCCCCCAGGCTTCCAGAGGAATCAATAAGAGTGAAAGAAAAAATACTGAATTTGAAAAGGAAGCAGGCAAGGAAGATAAAGCAGTTGTGTTAAAGTCCCTAAGTCCCTAAGAGGAGACTCCTGAACTACTAGAGTTGAGGAAGCCTCAAAGAGGGAGTTAGTCCATACCCAAGACTGTCATTTTCCATGTATTGTCTTCATCAGGTCTCGCATCATCTGGATTTCTTTGTCAGAGAGAGATCAAGGTAAAACGAAAAACTCAAGTTCACTGTTTCTGAGCAATATGAACTTGGGTGTCAGGGAGGCCCTTGTAGGCAGAGATGCAGAGGATCACTGAGAAATTGTGTGGAGCAGATTGATCAGACCTAAGCAAATGATGGGAGTGTGGCCTGTGAAGGTTCTAGAATCTGTGTCATAACAGAGACTTAGAACATTAGTGAGGCAGGAGAAAAGGCAGAGGATCAAAAGGCTAGGAAGATTTAATAATGCTTTGGAGGACCTTGAACTTGTATAGGATACTGGAAGGGAACTCACTCTTTCTGGGCTTTAGAATTATTTCTAGTTTTTCAGAGATTTTTAAGGCCAGAGATTGTACATCATTAATCTTTGTAACTCTTTTTTTTAATTTTTTTTGAAGATAGAGTTTCACTCTTGTTGCCCAGGCTGGAGAGCAGTGGCACCATTTCGGCTCACTGCAACCTCCACTTCCTGGGTTTAAGCAATTCTCCTGCCTCAGCCTCCCAAGTAGCTGGGATTACAGGCATGCGCCACCACACCCAGCTAATTTTGTATTTTTAGTAGAGATGGGGTTTCTCCATGTCGGTCAGGCTGGTGTCAAACTCCCTACCTCAGGTGATCCACCCGCCTTGGCCTCCCAGAGTGCTGGGATTACAGGCGTGAGCCACCGTGCCCAGCCTAATGTTTGTAACTCTTGAGGCAGAGAACCTTCCACAGAATAAGCATTTTATAAATGTTTGATAATTAAAAATGAGAAAAATGACTATATTTAAAAAGAGGCAGACTGGATAAAGAAAATGTGGTAAATATACACCGTGGAATACTACACAACCATAAAAAATAATGAGATGATGTCCTTTGCAGCAACATGGATGGAGGTGGAGACCACTATTCTAAGCAAACTAAAGCAGGAACAGAAAACCAAATACCATATGTTCTCACTTATAAGTGGGAGCTAAACAACAAGAACACATGGACACTAAGAGGGGAACAACAGACACTGGGGCCTACTTAAGGGTGGAGGCTAGGAGGAGGGAGACAGCATATCTCTTGGGTTTTATGCTTATTACCCAGGTGACTAAAGAATCTGTACACCAAACCCCCACAACACACAGTTTACCCATATAACAAACAATTACATACATGTACCCTTAAAACTAAAAGTTAAAAAAAGAAGAGCCTTGAAACAAATGAAGGTGAACAAAGGAAGTCAAGTTGTTGGAGTTAGATAGCAAGAAGAAATCCAGTCCAGAGGTCTATGGTGCTAGGAAGAGTGAGCCAGTAAATGGGATCTCATAAGCCACTGTGGAGAACAAGGAAGAGTAATAACACCTTTTATTGAGTGTCTATTGACTACAAAGTTCTATAGTGGGTACCTTATAAGCACAAACTTGTTTAATCCCTAATAAACTGTACGATGAAATTCTTTGAGATGGAGAGAGACACTAGAAGTTACCCAGCCAACAAATGGCAGAGTTTCTGACTCCAAAGCCCACACTGTATTCACAAAGCCACATTTTGTTTCAGTCTTCTATGCATCCTGTGGTGGTGATTTCTAAGTTAAGAAGTCAGTCACTTGAAGAGGAAGGTGATGACTTCTAGTTTTAGGATGCTCCACCTGCCAAAAATAATCTCAAAATTGTTGAGATTATTTTTCCATAAGTGTTTTATGCATACTTATGGAACACCATCAAACATACAAATATATGAATTATGGAAGTACCAAAAGAAGAAAAAGAGGAAGGGGCAGTAAGCTTAATCAATGGAATATTATCTGAAAATTTTCCAAATCTTGAGAGGGATATGAACATCCGGATTGAAGACGATCAAAGCATCCCAAGCAAGTTCAATTCAAAAAAGACATACTCCAAGATATATTATAATCAAATTGTCAAAGGTCAAACACAAAGAGAGAATTCTGAAAGAAACATCATGTGTAAGAGATCTCCCATAAGTCCATTACCAGACTTCTCAACGGAAACCTTGCAAGTCAGTATTTTTAACCTGCAGAATTGCTATTTATTTCTATAATTTCTCCTTCTGATATTCTCAAATTGCTGAGACATCATTCTTATACTTTATTTTTTAGACATGTCTTATTCTGCTAATTACAATGTCTGGGCTTCTTCAGAAACAGTTTCTTTTTATTATTTTCTGTGCATGGGTCATGATTTCTTTTCTCTTTACATGCTTCATTATTTTTTGCTGAAATCTAGACATTTTGAATATTATAATGTTGCAATTTAGAAACCAGATTTCCTCCCTCTACAGAGTTTGCTGTTGTTGCATTTGTTGTATTACTACTTGTTTGTTTGTTTGTTTAAAGATTTTTCTGATCTAATTTTATAAAGTCTCCATTCTTTCCTGAATGTAACGTTTGATGTTTCTGCCCGGTTAGCTTAGTCATTAGCTAATGATTGAACAGAGACAATGCCTAGAACCAAAGCAAACACTATGCTAGTCTGTGCCAAGGAACTCTGTGTGTGTGTGTGTGTGTGTGTGTGTGTGTGTGTGTGTGTGTTGAGGTACACCTTCAACATTCAACCAGTCTCACTTTTGCCCCTCCAACAAATGCCCAGTGAATTTGCGCCCAGTAAGGTCCAGGTCACCTTCTTCCTACAGGATTTAAAGCAAACCAAGGGGGATCTTGGCAAGCTTTCAGATGACCCTTATAGATATATAGAGGTTTTCCAGACTTTCACCCATATATTTAAACTCTCCTGGAGAGATGTTATGCTACTTTTGAATCAGACCCTGATGGACACTGAGAAGCAGGCCGCTCTGCAAGCAGTAAAGAGATTTGGGAATGAGCTTTGTATCACATATGGCATCAGGGAAGGGAGCAAACATTATCCAACTGGAAGAGAAGCAGTAAAAGTGAATGACCCTAAGTGGGATCCCAATGACAGGTGGAAGACTGGAAGAGGAGACGCTTTCAGATGTGCATAATGGAAGGCTTTTGTAGGACTAAGACCAAGCCTCTCAATTATACTAAGTTGTCCATGATCGACGAGGTATTTGATGAAAATCCTGCTGCCTTCCTGGAGAGACTAAGAGAGGCCTTGGTAAAGCATACCTGTCTATCTCCTGATTCAGTAGAGGGACAGCTAACCCTAAAGGATAAATTTATTACTCAGGCAGCTCCTGACCTCAGGAGGAAGTTGCAGAAACGGGCCCTGGGACCGGATAGTACATTAGAGGACCTTCTGAAAGTGGCCACCTTGGTCTTTTATAATACAGACAGGGAGGCCCAGGAAAGAGAGAGGAAATACAGGAAAGACACAGAAGCTTTAATGGCCACCAGGCAAGCCCACAAACCCCAGAATTCCCAGGGTACACCTGTTAACTACTAAAGATATGGCCAGAACAGTTATCTCATTCTAAAAGTTTATCCACTCCCATACAAGGTTTAATTTCTTTCACCAGGGTGAAACATCTCAGGGTACAATGTTGTTGTTAGTATATTTCACTTCTTATCTCTGTAATCTTTGGCACTAATTTTTTTTCCTTGTATAATACACGTATTTATTATAGTATGTATAGTATGTATGTATGTAGTTACAGTGTGTATAACTTGGGTATACATACCCAAGTATATATAATCCATGCATACTTAACCTTATAAAACTTGTTTTTTCTCTCACACCTGGAAGCCATCAACCTCCAAATGGTCAGGGAACCGGAGCCTTGGATGATGGCTCCCCTTTGCTAGGAACCCTTATATAGACCTCTGGGAAGAATCTGACTGCCGTTTTCCCCAAAACGATGCCCCTATCAGCAGGAAGCAGCTAAGACCCGTCATCATCCATATTCGAACAGCAGTTAGATGTACCTCTTCAGACAGGGGAGGTGATATAGAAGAGGGGCAGGGAAGTGCTGGTAAGGGAAGGGCATGGTCCCTGGCTAAGGCTCCACCCCTGGGCCTGTGCCCACAGACCTAGGTAAGGACAGACACTCCTGCCTTCATGCCCAAATGTTGCATTTCCCAAGACCACCCTGGCCTGCCATGCCCCCATCCTGTGCCTGTAAAAATCCTGAGACCCTAGCAGGCAGGGACAGAAGCGGCTGGACGTCAAAAGGAACACATCAGTGGAAGAACACACAAGTGGCTGGATGTCAAGAGGGACACATCGGTTAAAGATCATGCCAACAGGAACCAGCAGATGCTGGCATGCTGGCAGGCCATTGACCAGCGGAACAAAATGGAGTTTGGCCAGGGCAGTTGGAGGGGAACCCAGCTGCTGAGCAGCCTGACTCCAGGGGAAAACCACCTTCCCACTCCATCTCCCTTCTGGCTCCCCCATCTGCTGAGAGCCACTTCCACTCAATAAGACCTTGCTCTCATTCTTCAAGCCCACATGTGATCTGATTTTTCTGGTACACCAAGGTAAGAACCTGGGATACAGAAAGCCCTCTGTCCTTGCAATAAGGCAGAGGGTCTAATTGAGCTAGTTAACACTAGCTGCCTATACATGGCAAAACTAAAAGAGCACACAGTAACACATGCCCACTGGGGCTTCAGGAACTGTAAACATACACCCCTAGATGCTGCCGTGAGGCCAGAGCCCCACATCCTGTCCGTCTGTATGCTCTCCCTAGAGGTTTGAGCAGCAGGGCACTGAAGAAGTGAGCCACTCCCGCTGTTGCAAGCCCTGTGAGGGGGACAAGAAGACCTTTCCCATTTCAGTATCTTAGAAGGTGGTAACTGCTGTGAAAAGTGAAAAAGCAAGTCAGTGAAAGAGAACTACTGGCAGCTGCAGTGGGATTTCGATTTAAATAGATTATCCTGGATATACCTCTGTGAGAAGGCAATACTTGGGGGAAGTAGGGTAGACATCTAAGTGGATTTCTGAGTGAAGAGTTTTCCAGGCAGAGAAGACAACTACAGCAAAGACCGTAAGATAGGAATGTGTCTGGTGTTTTCAAGGAATATGAAGTGGCCAGTGTCACTGGTATGAACTGATCCAGGAAAACAACAGTAGGAAAATAAGTTAGAAAGATAATGGATCAGCCAGGCATGGTGGCTCATGCCTGTAATCCCAGCACTTTGGGAGGCCAAGGTGGGAAGACCCCTTGAACCTAGGAATTCAAGACCAGCTGGGGAAAGATGGCAAGACCCCGTCTCTACAAAATAATAAAAAAATTAGCCAGGCATGGTGGCATGCACCTGTAGTCCAGTTACTCAGAAGACTGAGGCAGGGGAAGACCCTTTGATCCCAGGAGGTTGAGGCTGCAGTGAGCTATGATTGTTCCACTGTACTCCAGCCTGGGCAACAGAGCAAGACCCCGCCTCAAAAAAAATTGTAACATCTAGTGAGCTACTGACAGGACTTTGATTTTAACTTGAATGAAATAAAGAGATAAGATGGGTCATTATGTAGGCAAATGACACGTTTTTACCTATGTCTGCATAAAGACATAAAACAATTTTGCTGCTGTGTTAAGAAAAGACAGTAGTGGGAGGAAAAGAAGAAGCAAGGAGACTACTGTTAAGAGTTATCCAGGCAATCATTGACAGTACCTTTGTCTAGTTTGTGAACTACTAAAGTGGTGAAATGCATTTAAATTTGTAGCAGTATTTTCCCCACTGGGGATAAGGGAATGACTGCCAAAGATTGCCAATACCTAGGCATTAAGGAGAACATAAATATAAGTATGGAATTTCATGCAGACCAGGGTTAAAGGGTCTAAGGATACACCTGAGACAATGTCTGAAAACTAAGGAAGGGAAGAAAAGTGAACAGAAATAGAGTTAAGTGGGAGTAGTTGTCAGAAAAGAAAGTAATGTCTAATTATACAGCTGTTTATTGATTAACAGAGGGCTTCTAAAGGGCAGTTATTTAGATAAGAACTTCTTAGATGAGAGTGCAACTTCGCTGAGCGTAGTCGATTCTAATCTTAGGCCCTTTGCCATAGACATTTTCTTTCCCTGATGATTTTTTTAAATCCATATTTTATATCTGCAAACACATTTTTCTTTCCCTCAGGTTCCAGAATCTGTGTCTCAAGCCTACGTGGCTTAGATGGGATCTAACAAGAAAAGTCTGTCCCCTCTCTGGGTTACTGGGTCCAACCAGTTGGCAAGTTTTAGCTCTGATTTTGTTTCTTAACTTCTAGAATAACAGAAATATAGGGTATCTTAGTATTTCAATGACAAACTCTGACAAAAGGATATATATCAGAGGTGGGGACTTTCAACAAATATTGGACTAGAGCAAATAAAACTGTCATATGCAGTTGGCATTATTGTGTATTTAGAAATTGCAAGAAATACTACAGCTAAATTTTTGGAATTAATAAGTTTACCAAGGTTATTAAATACAAGAATAATATCCAAGAACCAACACATTTTTATAAGACAGAAATGAAGAGAACATACAATTTGAAAAGAAAATACAATTCACATTATCATCAAAATTACACACTACCTAGGAATACATCTTTTTAAAAAGTTCAAAATATGTGGATTAAATGTAAAAAAACTTTGTCTTATAGATATCCAGATATAGCTATAGCTCTCTATAAATAAAGAGGCATGTATAGTTTTTAGAGTAAAAATAAATACATATTTTATTTTATTTTATTTGCTTGCTGCAAAACTTTTGTGACATATTGGCTCCTTAAGCAATATTTGGAAACAGGGTAATACTGTTGAGAAAACAAACATATTACATTTAGAGATTCGAAATGAGAATATATACTTTACAAATTAAACCACATACTTTGACATTTTCTTTAAAAACTACATTTATAAATTGTATGGTAACACCAATGTTTATCTATTCCCTGGGCCAATCTACTAAATTATCATGATATGGATAATAATCCTCCATGGCAATGTCAAAGATGGTATTTAAATAGACATTTGATAGATAGATAGATAGATAGATAGATGATAGACACACACATAAAATTTGTTTGATTTTGTGTTTTTATTATTTCTATACCTGGAGTCAAGGGGTTAACTGAGCTAGGTGCAATCTGATTCTTTTTATTCTAAGTAAAATAGCCAGGCACAGAAAGACAAATACTGTGATCTCACTTATACATGGAATCTAAAAAGTCAGACTCATAGGAGTGGAGAGCAGAATGGTGATTACAGGCTGGGGAAGTGGGGCGAATATGGGGAAGATGAGAAGATGTTGGTCAAAGAGTACAAGGTTTCAGTTACACAAGAGCAATATGTTTTTGAAATATATTGCTAATAATAATGTATATTTTACAAATTACAAAGAGGAAATTTCAGTCTGTTAACCAAAAAAAATTGATAAGCATGTGAAGTGATGATTATGTTAATCAGTTTAATTCAATCATTCACTATATAGCTTAATTTAATAATTCCACTATATATAATATATAGATTTATTTTTATACTTTTATATATTTGTATATAGTTATATATATCTATGAATATGTAGTTATATATTATTTATATATAGTTACATATTAGTATATATATTTATAGTCTATAAATATATGTAATATATAATATACATTATGTTGTACATAATATATATGCTGTGTATGAAATATATATAAATAGTTTTGAGGTACATATATCTGTCAAAACTTGATATTATGCCTCATAAATATATATATTATTTTCTATTATAAAAGAAAATATTAAATATAAATCAAATTTATTTATATACCAGTAAAGCATATAAAATTATATAAATATTGAAAACAAACCTATGTAAATATAGATATACCTCTTTATTTAAAAGACTTCCTACAGCCATGGATTGGAAAACTTAATATTACTAAGGTGACAATATTATCCAATGTGATAGGGAGATTCAATGTAATTCCTTACCAAAATCTTAATGGCATTATTTTTTGGATAGAAATAGAAAAATCTCTCTTAAAATTCATGTGGAACATAAAAGGACCTCAAGTAACCAAAACAATCTTGAAAAACAAGAAACAAATTTGCAGGACTCTCACTCCCCAGTTTCAAAACTTAATACAAAGTTACAGTAATCAAGAGCACATGCAGCACTGGTATAAAGAAAAATACAGAGACAAATGGAGAAGCATTGAGAGGCCAGAAGTGAACTCTCAATTCATTTACCACGGGTGCCAAGACCATTCAATGGGGAAACGGTGGTCTTTGACAAATGGTGTTGGGAAAATTAGACACCCACATGCAGGAAGAATGAAGTTGGATTCTTACTTTAAGCCATGTGCAAATTCAATCAAATTGAACCAAAGACCTAAATTTAAGTGATAAAACTGTAAAACTCTTAAAAGAGAACAAGGGAAAAATCTTCATGACTTTGGATTAGGTAATGGCTTCTTTAAAATGACACCAAAAGCACAGACCACAAAAGAAAAATTACATAAATTGGGCTTCGTAAAAATTAAAAACTTTTGTGCATCAAAATACACTTATCAAGAGAGTGAAAAGAAAACCTACAGAATTGTTTGCACAGATGCAAAGATTCTAATTAAAACAGTAAGATAAATCTAGTAAAAAATACATATAATTAAGTGTAGTTTAATCTTAAAAATATAAATTTTGTAATACATTAATACAATTATGAAATTATATACCTAATATAAAGCAAAAACAAAATTAAAAACAAGAAAATAAAAACTATATAATCTTAGATGGCACAAACATTTTAAAATAAAAGTTAATATCCACTCATGATTTTAAAAATAAAACAACAGCAGCAACAATATCCTCTAGCAATGTAAGAATAGAAGAAAATTTTCTGAGTCTACTAAATAGTGCCAGGGAAGAATCAAAAGCTAACATCAATAACAGTAGTGTTGTATTGCTCACTTTACCCCTAAAATCGAGAACAAGAAAAGAATGTCCTCTATTAGTACTTCCAGTAGTGAGGAGGACCTGGCCAGAAGAATAAAGCAAAATAATTAATTAATTAAAAGTAATAAAGATTGGAAAGAAAGAACACAGTATTGTCATTCACACATAATGTGCTTAAGTACTTAGATAATCGAATGGAATCTATAAAACCACCAAACTTCTAGAATAATTAATCAGGGATTTTAGCAAGGTCTCAGTGTACAAAATTAATAATGAAAATAAATTTTATTTCCATACATTAGTAATTAACATTTGGAAAATGAATATATCACTTACAATAGAATCAAATAGTATAAAATTCTTAAGAATATAGTTAACAAAGTATATGCAAGATACCTACACTGAAAACTGCAAAACCCTTCAGATAAAAATTTAAAAATACCTACATAAAGGAAGAGACCTAACAAAAGTGTTGTATCTAGACTATTTGAAGAATTTCTTCAACTTCATAAAAATATTAAATAATGCAACAAAATAGAACAAAGATTTGAATGAATATTTCATAAATGAAGATAGATGACTAAAGAATTCAACATAATCATCAGGAAAATGCAAACCAAAATGAGTTATTACTTTACACTCACTGACCTGGATATAATTTAAAAGGCTGAAAATATCAATTATTGGTTATGTGGAGTCACTGAAACTCTCATACATTGCTTATTTGAATGTAAAATAGTGCAGCCACTTTGGAAAACTGATTTGTAGTATTTTATAAAATTAAACACATACCTACTCTTTGACCCAGACATTGTATATGGAATGAAAAGTATAAAAGAAATGAAATATGTGTCCACAATAGACTTGAAAGAGAATGTTCATAGCAATTTTATTAATAATAGCCCAAACCTAGAAACATCCAGGTATCCATCAGCAGAAAAATGAGTGGAAAAAACTGAAGCATATTCATAAAATGAAATTCAACTTAAAATATTAAAAGAACATACACAGCAATATACATGATCTCAACATTATATTGAATGAAAAAAATTAGATACAACAGAGCAAATAGTGTATTATTACCATATGAAGTTAATGAAAAGGCAAAACTAAACTTTGATGATGGGAATCAGACTACTGGTTGCCTGTGAAAAATTAATGTTCTTTGTTTGGATTAAGGTATGAATTACTTGGGTGTATTCAATTGTTAATACTTATAATCTGTGCTTGTAAAAATACATGTCTGTAAATTATACTTCAATCATTTAAAAAAGAGAGATTACAAAATTTTGAGTTTGAGAGTAGAAATTCAAGCCTAATCTTCTTGAGCCTTTTAAGACTACTGGGTTGAAAGGGAGACAGACCCTAGCTTACTTTATAACACTGATGATATAGATTTGAGGTGAGAGAAAAAAAATATTTTTCATCATCCTAATGAAATTTATGTCTTCTCACATCCACAATTTTTTTCAATCTCATGTCTTTGGAAAATCCTGCTTCGCAAATATGGAAGAGAAAGCTATACCCTCCCCTCTAGGAATCAGAGGTTGTCCTAACGTCCTCTTTCACATCATTCTCTTCTATAAACCCAGTGTCCTTAAAATTAGTTAGGCCTATAGTCAAGTAAGCCTGTAATAATAAATATAGTAAGTGGAACTGCCAACCCTGTCTTTCCTAATCTTTTGAATTAGCAAAATATCCTTTATCCAAAGGGAAGAAAAGAAATCCTGTGTCAGGAGGACATAATTGCTATCTCTCCAGAAAAGAATGCCAATCCATGTATCTCTCTCTTTGTTTTTTTAGAGAGAGAGACAGGGTCTCTCTCTGTCACCCAGGCTGGAGTGCAGTGGTACAGACATGGCTAACTGCAGCCTCTATCTCCCAGGCTCAAGCAATCCTTGTCCTCCTGCTTCAGCCTCCTGAGTAGCTGGGACTACAGGCATGTGCCACCAAACTCAGCTAATTTTTTGATGTGTGTAGAAATGGGGCCTCACTATGTTGCCCAGGCTGGTCTCAAATTCCTGTCCTTAAGCTACCCTCCCATCTTGGCCTTCGAAAGTGCTCGGCTGTTGGGATTACAGGCTTGAGTCACCACACCAGCCTCCCTCTATCTAGAAACAGAATAAAGGTGAGGGGGTAGGTAGGCAGGATTAAACAAACAAAAAACACTGTCCTCTGTGAATGATCGATTCAACCAAATTAAAGACCATGTATCAAAACCCTGCACCATTCTCTCTACTGACAATCACACTCTTGCATAGTCCCTCACACTATAGCAGGAGTGGTCTGTATGACCAGTTGACAACAGCAGAAATTATGGTATGTTACTTCCTATATTAGGTCATGAAAACATTAAAGTCTTCCTTCTTCTCCCCCACTTCCCTCCCCTCTTCTCTCTCTCTCATCATCTGTTCTGGGGGAAGTCAGCTGCCAAATCTTAAAGACACTCAGGTGGCTCGGTGGAGAGGCCTATTGGTGAGGAACTGAAGCCTTCAGTCAACAGCCATGTAATGAGCCTTCTTGTAAAGAGACCCCCAACCCCAGTCAAGGATTCAGATGGCTGCAGCCCCAGCCAATGGCTTCACTGCAACCTATGAGAGACTGAGCCAGAGCTACCCAGCTAAGCTGCTCCAAAATTCCTGACCTGTAAGATAATATGCAATTGTTGTTTTAAGCCACTAAGTTTCCAGGTAATTTGTTACCAGTAATAAATAATTAATTCACTAAGAATCTGTCATAAGTGTGGCTTCTCTCTGGATTATGATTACTCACTTACTACAGTGGTTCCCAAAATGCAAGCCTAAGCTGAATCCTAGTAGTTCTTCTTTGAATGCAGCAGCTTTGCCCTTGATACATGACTTTCTCTCAGTTCAATTGTATTAAATATTTGAAACACAGAAATGCCTGCCTGGACCCTCACCATGAATCCCCATCCCTTCTGATACCGGAATCTGGTTGCTATTTCTAGAACATTTCTCATCAAGACATTATCCTAACTTATGGTTTCATTGCTAATTCATAGACACTTGTCCCATTATAGAGATCTAGTGATTTCCATGTGAGATTTTTGCCCTCACACATGCCAATTCCCCTTGTTCTACCTGTTTACCTAACATCAATCAGATGTCAATAATGGAAAAGAAAAAAATCAAGAAGTAGGAGCTTAAGACACTGTGTACTGGCAGGGCTATTGCTTATTTCTGCCGTACCCCTCTTTCTTGTCATCTCTTAGTTCAGATGCCTTGGCCCTGTGCATAGTGTGCTCTATCTCATGAATCTGAAGTAAAGAGAATCAAAAGGATGAAGAGCTTTAAATCTTTTGACAACATTTAAGAGAGAACAGGAAATTTTCCTCCCTTTTCCTGGAAGTCTTTGCTGATGAATGAAAAATTGGGTTTCCTTTATGTAACCTGTCGATGGGGAGGCAAAACTTGTCCAGAAAAAATAAAAATGTTCTCACTGTGCTATGTTACTAGAATTGTGATCTGAAGCCTGGAGCAGAACTTACCTATGCTACTCATCTCAATCCTTTTAGGCAGTGGCACTAGGAGCCTTACTCTGTTCAAATTTGGTGCCTTCCTACCGTTATGGAAGGAAGCTCTGTATTCTCCTTACTTTCTCAACCTTTGATCCTAACAGAGGCAGTTTCTTTTTCTTTTTTTTTTAATTGATCATTCTTGGGTGTTTCTCGCAGAGGGGGATTTGGCAGGGTCACAGGACAATAGTGGAGGGAAGGTCAGCAGATAAACAAGTGAACAAAGGTCTCTGGTTTTCCTAGGCAGAGGACCCTGCGGCCTTCCGCAGTGTTTGTGTCCCTGGGTACTTGAGATTAGGGAGTGGTGATGACTCTTAACGAGCATGCTGCCTTCAAGCATCTGTTTAACAAAGCACATCTTGCACCGCCCTTAATCCATTCAACCCTGAGTGGACACAGCACATGTCTCAGAGAGCACAGGGTTGGGGGTAAGGTCACAGATCAACAGGATCCCAAGGCAGAATTTTTCTTAGTACAGAACAAAATGAAAAGTCTCCCATGTCTACTTCTTTCTACACAGACGCGGCAACCATCCGATTTCTCAATCTTTTCCCCACCTTTCCCCTCTTTCTATTCCACAAAACCGCCATTGTCATCATGGCCCGTTCTCAATGAGCTGTTGGGTACACCTCCCAGACGGGGTGGTGGCCGGGCAGAGGGGCTCCTCACTTCCCAGTAGGGGCGACCGGGCAGAGGCGCCCCTCACCTCCCGGATGGCGCGGCTGGCCGGGCGGGGGGCTGACCCCCCACCTCCCTCCCGGACGGGGCAGCTGGCCGGGCGGGGGACTGACCCCCCCACCTCCCTCCCGGACGGGGCGGCTGGCCGGGCAGAGGGGCTCCTCACTTCCCAGTAGGGGCGGCCAGGCAGAGGCGCCCCTCAGCTACCGGACCGGGTGGCTGGCCGGGCGGGGGGCTGACCCCCCCACCTCCCTCCTGGACGGGGCGGCTGGCCGGGCGGGGGGCTGACCCCCCACCTCCCTCCCGGACGGGGCGTCTCGCCTGGCGGGGGGCTGACCCCCCCACCTCCCTCCCGGACTGAGCGGCTGGCCAGGCGGGGGGCTGACTCCCCCACCTCCCTCCCGGACGGGGCGGCTGGCCGGGCGGGGGGCTGACCCCCCCACCTCCCTCCCGGACGGGGCGGCTGGCCGGGCAGAGGGGCTCCTCACTTCCCAGTAGGGGCGGCCGGGCAGAGGCGCCCCTCACCTCCCGGACGGGGTGGCTGGCCGGGAGGGGGCTGACCCCCCCACCTCCCTTCCGGATGGGGTGGCTGCCGGGCGGAGACGCTCCTCACTTCCCAGACGGGGTGGCAGCCAGGCGGAGGGGTTCCTCACTTCTCAGATGGGGCGGCCGGGCAGAGACGCTCCTCACCTCCCAGACGGGGCGGCGGGGCAGAGGCGCTCCCCACATCTCAGACGATGGGCGGCCGGGCAGAGACGCTCCTCACTTCCTAGATGGGATGGTGGCCGGGAAGAGGCGCTCCTCACTTCCTAGGTGGGATGGCGGCCGGGCAGAGACGCTCCTCATTTTCCAGACTGGGCAGCCAGGCAGAGGGGCTCCTCACATCCCAGACGATGGGCGGCCAGGCAGAGACGCACCTCACTTCCCAGACGGGGTAGCGGCCGGGCAGAGGCTGCAATCTCGGCACTTTGGGGGGCCAAGGCAGGCGGCTGGGAGGTGGAGGTTGTAGCCAGCCGAGATCACGCCACTGCACTCCAGCCTGGGCACCATTGAGCACTGAGTTAACGAGACTCCGTCTGCAATCCCGGCACCTCGGGAGGCCGAGGCTGGCGGATCACTCGCGGTTAGGAGCTGGAGACCAGCCCGGCCAACACAGCGAAACTCCGTCTCCACCAAAAAAATACGAAAACCCGTCAGGCGTGGCGGCGCGCGCCTGCAATGGCAGGCACTGGGCAGGCTGAGGCAGGAGAATCAGGCAGGGAGGTTGCAGTGAGCCGAGATGGCAGCAGCACAGTCCAGAGGGAGACTGTGGAAAGGGGAGAGGGAGAGGGAGGAGAGGGAGAGGGGGAGGGGGAGGGGGAGGGGGAGGGGGAGGGGGAGGGGGAGAGGGAGAGGGAGAGGAGAGGGAGAGGTCTAATTTACAAATACAAATTCTTATGAGAAAAATTTTAATTACTGAGGATGTTTGGTTTGAAAAGAAGATTAGTTACTACCAGTATTAGTACTATTGCTACTATCACCTCTGCTATTAGTGTTACTATAAATATTGGAAGCTAAAATGAACCAAGTGTTCATCACAGAGAAGTCATAGTATTAAGTTCCCTATACGCTATCTCATTTATTTCTCACAATAGTCCTGTGCTGAATGCCATAATTATTTGCATTATTATGAGAGTTAGGTGTGCCTGAAAGAAGCAAGGTAACGTCACCAAGATCAGAGCTACTAAAGAAAGAGCAATTATCAAGATTCAGATCTTTTTGACTACAAGGCCTGGGATTTCAATCACTAGAAATAAAGGTGTATGAGAAGTGGATGGCCCAGTTATTACATAAACCCACAGAAAATGAAAATGAAGAGGCTTAAATGAAAGTGGACACACCATGACTGGAAATACTATAGGACTTAATTTTAAGAACAAGCAATAACGTAACAGGCGTTTGAAGAATAGGCAGGACCCCATCCTGAAAACCTTACCCTGGAACACTTTCAGGTGTGACAGCCATCCTGGCTAGACAGTCCTAGCCTGGCTGGAATAGATGGTTACTGAAGATCTTGCCCAACCCTAGCCTTCTAGGACTTACACATCGTGTATCTCCTAGGACGGACCACAGTTTTACCTAACCTTCCAGTTTTCTCCCTCTTGTTTTTCTCCATTCTGCCTTCCCAGTATTTGCAGCTTTCCTCCTTTTTTTTTTTTTTTTTTCCAACTATACATGCAGTGGCTGTTTCTCTGGATCCAGATGCAGCTCATCCCAACCTCATCCGATCTGAGGGTAGAAGATACACTTCTTCAACGGAGAATGTTCCCCGAACTGGGATGCCCCCACACACCAAGGACAAGGGGAATCCAAAACCATCTTCAGTGTTCTGGGTTTACCACAGGGGAGACATTACTTTACCACAGGGGAGACAGACATTACTGGGAGGTAGAAGTAAATAATGGGGACAGAAGTTGGACCAGGAACGAGATGAGCTCTGGGTGTTTGTTCAGCACAATGAAGAGAGAGTGGTGGTTTGTAGAAAGTCCAGAGAAGAATTTCTGCATGGTGACATGTGAAGAAGGAAGGGTCATGGCTCTCACTTCCTGCCCAGAGACTCTGTCAGGAGCCTCCCTGTCCCCCTAGAAGGTTTCCAGGACAGCAAGGCTGGAGACGTGTCTTTTCACAACGAGGTCGATTAGTCCCACATCTATTCTCTTACTGGAATCACCTTCTGTGGGATTTTCCATCCTTATTCTAGCCTTCAGAGTGCTGGCACATCTGTGACCTTCTGCTTAGATCATCATGAAAATTGTCCTGATTCTTTTCCAGTTACCCCTGTAACTTCTTTAACGAGTTGTGATAGAGATGTTGCCCAGGAAGCTAATGTTCTATTAGCATAATAAGCAGCGAAGTGTTGGCACCTCTGCTGTCTCCACTGGAGCATCTTCTAGGTACATTCACCAGGAAAGCTGTCCTTGGATGGTGAGTAGGTCAGTTTCACTAGGTGTGATTTCACTTTCTGTCAAAGAGGAAGAGGCAGAAAGTGAAGTGAGAGAACTGGAAAATGTCCAGGGAGATTTCCTCCGGTGCTGCTATTGGGGAAATACAGTCTCTTTGTGGGCAGCAACTATTTCTCACAAGAAAACTCCAAACAAGTTCATGGATTTCTCATCTGTTTTCATGCTGAGTGTGTGTTGAAGTATATAATTTTAAAGCTACATTTACAGGGAAATCTCTTCTTACTATTTTTGTTATCAAATATGGAGGAGGGGAGGCGTTTGAAGGGAAGTATTGCAGTAGAGTGAATTCTCACTTCCATTACCACTGTTGGAGATGCATAGGAATCTGTCCAAGTCCTTTAATAGCTCAGCGTGTTTGCTCTTCAGGCTCTAGTGTACAATCAACTGCTAATCTTGGACTTTGACAAGGGACGGAGAAGGCTCATGAATAATTGTAAATAATTGGAGGAGGAGCCCAAGCCTTCTGGAAGGAAAGAGCCCTTTTCTTTAATAAGTTCTCACTGGTCAGCAAGTCCAGAATTGTGTCCTATGTGAGAATGTGAATGAAAGAGGAGTCAATGTTGCAGTTTATACTTTAGGAGAGAAAGCAGTAAAGTAGAAATAAAGAAACATCTGTACCAAGAGTCATTGCTAACATTAACATTCTTTTTCTTCCTGACCTGTTCTGCCCACTGTTGAGGGTTTCCCTTGTCCTTGCTGCATGTAAGACTTCTCCAGCTGTTTATCATCAAGTTGTCTTCAAGGATATAGAATATGAGCTTCTCCTGCTTTTTGTTTGTTTGTGTATTTTTGTTTGTTTGTTTGTTTTTTCTTTGACGGAGTCTCGCTCTGTCACCAGGCTGGAGTGCTGTGGCACCATCTCTGCTCACTGTAACCTGCACCTCCCAGGTTCAAGCGATTCTCCTGCCTCAGCCTCCTGAGTAGCTGGGACTATAGGCATGTACCACCACGCCCAGCTAATTTTTGTATTTTTTTTAATACTTTAAGTTCTAGGGTACATGTGCACAACGTGCAGGTTTGTTACACATGTATACATGTGCCATGTTGGTTTGCTGCACCCATCAACTCATCATTTAAATTAGGTATTTCTCCTAATGCTATCCCTCCCCGCTCCTCCCACCCCACGACAGACCCTGGTGTGTGATGTTCCCCGCCCTGTGTCCAGGTGTTCTCATTGTTCAATTCCCACGCAGCCATAAAAAAGGATGAGTTCATATCCTTTGTAGGGACATGGATGAACCTGGAAACCACAATTTTTGTATTTTTAGTATAAGAGAGAGGGTTTCACCGTGTTGGCCCAGATGGTCTCCATCTCTTTACCTTGTGATCCACCCGCCTTGTCCTCAGAAAGTGTTGGGATTACAGGCGTGAGCCACCGCACCTGGCCGAGCTTCTTCTGTTAAATGAACCCTTTCTTCCTGATGATGGAAGAGATCCCCTTAGTTTTTCTTCTACAGTATTTGCAGATCTGTAAACCACAAGTGCCTCTAACAATCTGTCCTGTAGATGTATCTCCTTGGTGAAATTTCACGTCACACACTAAGTGGCAAAGACAGTATTCGAAGCCAGGAAGAATCAAGCCAGAGCCTAGTCCTAATTTCACTGACCCTAAAGGGAGGCTTACATATTTCATCAAGAAATAATCAAGGCAGGACAGAGGTAAATAAATGGTGATAAAATATTAATAGTTATAATCAAATGGACATGGTGGATGAGAAGGGATTTCTGGACATGCGAGCCCTAAACATGGGGGTAACAACAAAACAGGAACAAATGGGGTGGAACTGTGGTATAGAACACGAAATGTAACAGGTTCAGCCTTAGACATTTTACTTTTTTATACACTTAGGACATTCAGCATGAGGTTCAAGAGGAGTTTTTACTATCTCTTTTTCAGAGTCTAAATTCATATTTTTTCTACAACAAGATTCTTAAACTTGTCACTTCTTTACTCATTTTAATGGGTGTTTGTCCTTCTAAGCTTAGAGATTGGGGAGCAGTGGCTGCAGGTGGACATGGTAGAAAACGTGAAGGTGGATGGTTGATTGGACTCAGAGCTTTAGACCTGTCAGGGATAACAGTGTCCATCTTATTTTCATTTGTAGCTTTGAGTAAATCAATAAGTAGTGCAGGGTCTCCAAGTAGCCTATCCTTTCTGGAAAAGTGAATTCACCACCTGGCTACATCAATTAATTCTTTATTGCTGGACTACTCTGGCACTCCCATTTTTAGTAAAGTTTATGAAGGTATAATAAGACATTCCAAAAACAGAGTGACTCCACTGCAAAAAAGAAAGACCTGAGGGCAGGAATTATGTCTTATTAAGGATTGTATCTCTAGGCCTTAGCATAGTACATTCAACAGGTAAGATATTCAATAAATATCACTTTATGAGACAATTCATGCATTTTACAAATGTTTATTGATAATCAATGTATGTCATTTTTACAGGTTGTGGGGCTAGACAAGAAGGAAAAAAATCACTGTCCTCATGGAAGTTAAATTGTACTGACAAAGGAGGAAAATGTCAGGGAGTTAACAATTCAGTCTCTGTGGCTTCCTCCTGTCCTCTCCCTGAAACTGAGATCCAGCCAATCTGCACATTTATTCTGAGAGTGGCCCCACTTTAATGACTACACCCAGCTGTCTACACACCAGGAGGGGAGGGAACTGTATCCTGAGGCACCAACCCGATTACCCACCCAACAGCCACAGGGACTTCCAGTGACTGGGGCATCATCCTCAATGCCACCAACCCCTCTCCTTCCTGTGGCTTTTCTAACTGGAACTGGAACTCAGAAAGTACATTAATCACCAATTTGGGAAGCTATAGGAAAGTATGTTTTCTAATATACAGTGAGAGAATGTGACTGATAAAACCAATTTTCTTGAGACTTTCTCCCTGGAAAGTGAATATATGTATTCATAGGGCCTTCACAAGCACAGACTAACAAGCAAAGAGCTACATTCACTGGGAAGGAAGACTCAAAAGTAAGTGAAAAATAATAGTTAACCTTTAGATGTTGTGCAATAAATTATTTTTAATTACATTAAATCAAAATAGTGTTAAAATATTTTCAGGTAAACCTAGTATATTTACTAATAAATTTAAGTCTTCATAAATATAAAGATAGATCAATGTAAATGTAAAAATCATTTGTTAAACTCCAGAGATTATATAAACAAAAGGTGAACCTAATGTAAAACTGTGGACTTTAGTTGAAAATAATGTGTCACTATTCTTTCATGGGTTGTAACAAATGTGCCACACTAATGTAAGATGTTAATAATAGCAGAAATAGGGGGGAGAGAGGAGGGATCTAGGAGCTCTCTGGATTTTCCATTTTATTTTGTTATAAATCTAAAACTGTTCTTAAAAATAATGTCTGTTAATTTTTTTTTTAAAAAGGAAAGAAGCACTGATACATGCTATGACATGGAAGAACTCTAAAAATATTAGGCTAAGGGAAAGAAGCCACATACACATACACATACACAGATAGTTTATGGTTCCATTTATATAAAATATTCAGAATAGAAAAGTTCATAGGGACAGAAAGTAGATTACCTGGGGAGTAGGGGGTGAAAAATGGGTAGTAACTGCTTAATGGGTATGAAGTTTCGTTTAGGGCGATGAAAATATTCTGGAACTAGAAAGTGATGATGATGGTCACACAGCAATGTCACATATACAATACCACAGAACTGTACACTTTAAAATGGTTAAAGGGTTTTATTTTATGTTATGTATTTTACCACAATTGAAAAAAATGTTTATTAAAATTAATGTGTAAACATTTGTGGAAGAATAATGTGTAGTTTCTAACATTTATGTGTTTAAATTTATGAGTTTAAAAATAGAAAAAAAAATGATGGCCCAGAAGAGCAAGTTCAGAGTGCTGTTCATGAGTGATCCGCATGGGACCGCGATGCCTCTGACGTCTGCCATCCTGGAGAGCAGCAGAGCGTCACTAGCAGGTCCTCGTCTTCTCACTTCATAACATTCTTTCCAAAAGTCTTGTTGACATTCTTCTGTCTTCCACATATAGTTTATCTTCTTGAACTCATTATAACTTTAAAATATTTTTACTGTGTTACATGTACTGCTTATATTTGTTTATTTTATAATTATTAATTTTAAATTGTGCACTTTATTTTGCTCTAACAATAAAATTGACATGTTCGTATAGATGATACATAATTTTTCGCTTGGATCGGAAAGTGTAAAATTTTTTTCCTGACTCAATTTCCTGTATCAACTTTCTCAAAAAGTCTGGAGGAGGGATTTTACAACACTTCATAAGATTTTCAAGATTATATTTTAGTGATCAGATTTTTCTCCCCCTTATGCAGCTGTATTTTCTTTCACTTTTTTTTAACTGTATATATATATTTTTTATTTTCTCAGTTCCACCTATGTGGACAATTAATTGTCACCATCTTAAATAAACTGATCAGGCCAGGTGTGGTGGCTCATGCCTGTAATTCCAGCACTTTGGGAGGCCGAGGCGAGTGGATCATTTGAGGCCAGAAGTTTGAGACCAGCCTGGCCAACAAAGTGAAACCCCATCTCTACTAAAAATACAAAAATAGGCTGGGCATGGTGGCACATGCCTGTAATCCCAGCTACTCATGAGACTGAGGCAAGAGAATTGCTTGAACCCGGGAGGCAGAGGTTGCAGTCAGCTGAGATCATGCCACTGCACTCCAGCCTGGGTGACAGAGTGAGACTTTGTCTCAGAAAAAAAAAAAAAAAAAAAAAAAGAAAAGAAAAAAAAAAAAAAAAGAAACTGACCAAATCCTTGATTATTCCTTTCATTTCTTCCTGTAGGCTAAATTGTATTTCCCATGGGATTTTCTAAGGGTCCTTGATTATCAGATGTCAGATTGTGATTGATAGGCCGGATCTCAGAGAACCTGGAACAGGATAGGTCTCTGAAAAGATCAGTCTCCAGCAGATTTTCCTGAGTAGAATTAAAACACCTTGAGTTAGTACTTCAATGATCATGGCAGCCCCCTTCAAGCAGTTAGAGAAATGAGAAATGATCAGGACTCAGAATATCATTCTGGTTTCCAGAATCCCAGATTGTTATTTTCCTGATACGTTGGAGATGTTCTTGTGGGTACAGAAAAAATGTCCAGAGAACCTACATTAGGGAACCAAAGAATGAAGCGGGGTGCAGAGTCCCAGAGAAGGAAGTTTTGGGGAAGGTGTAGATAGGGCACTTGCCAATCATGTTATAAGAGGAGAGGTATTCAGAGGCACGGTCAGGGGGATTCTGACTTGTTCAGGGGCCACCTTCAAGGGGATGGGGCTTGGAAGAGAGGGGATGGCCCAGAACTCATTTCTTTTGCAATCCATTGCCTAAAACTCACTGTCAGGTGACACAGAGATGACTCTTTCTTTGCAACATGTGCTTGGCAACCTCCGGGACCCATCGCGCCCTGTTCCCAGTCTCCACCTCTCAGTACCAGCTCCCTGACAGGAGTTCCCTCTGGCCCATAGAGCAGATAGTCAGATCTCTGTGGGATATCTGGCTGCCTGAATGTCCATGGATCACACGCTTGTTCTGTTCAGAAGAAATCAGTCTCAGGTGAGCTGTGTTTGAAGCCAATGTCACATTCACTGTAAAGAAAGAGAATCCATTCTGATAATTAATCAATATAATTTCATTCTATTAACAGCCAAACAGGAAGACAAGTGTTTCACGGACATAAGAAATTTAAAGTGGAAGCACTTTCTAGAGCACACAAAACAGCCTCCCTAACACATGAGAAGTCACCAGCAACACAGAAATCACCAACAAGTAGGTCACCACATTTTTAAAGATCATAGGAAATTGTTCACGCCAACAAATCTCAGTGAACCTCAGCTCTCAGCCTTGAAAACAAGGATGGCTGTACTACTCACTTTTTTCTTCTTCTTCCCTAACCAGATCACTGGGGAATGGGCAGCAGGAAATCAAATCATTATCTTTTAATCATTTTGCTTCTATTACAAGTGGAAACACTGACCTCATGCATCACTGAGCCTGGATTGCATGATAAGCCCTGGGCTTTCCTGTTTCTCATGTTTCCTTAGTTACTGGATATTCACTGACTGCCTCCCATAGGTGACTTGTGAAAAGGGAGGCTCGGGGAAGTACGCAGTACGGTTCCCACTGCAGTGTGCTCCGCTGTTTCTGTTTCCCTGACTTACCTCTTTTCAGCTCCTCTTCCTGGGCAGGCCTACAGCCACAGCAAGAAGCAATCCCCAAACAAGCAGTGTTTTCCACAAAAACGTCATCCTGGACTCTAAAATGGAAACCCAAGAATCCCTTGAAACTGTGAAACTGGGACAATATTAAGATTGTACTTTTCATCTGAGCAGCTTCTAGGCTGGAGAGAAGGGAGAGAATTTGGCCTCCCAGGAAGCAGTTGGCCTGCTCCTCCCTGCTCTGGAGATGCAGAGGAGAGAATGCAAGTATTTCATGTTTGCTCGTCTCAGAAATGTACACATGCACAGACAAGTTTTCCCTTCTCTCTTCCAACTATATCACACAATCACTGGAATGACTTGAGGAGGAAAGGATAAAATTACTCAAGCCGCAACCATGAAGATGGTATTAATAAAAATCAGTTTCTAATCCAGAAGAAAATCCTCCATGAGGGGGAAAACACAAAGTTCTGTAATTTAATTGTTTTCACATCAGAAGAAGAGAATTTAAAGAGAGAGAGTGAAAACAGGGTCAATTACGAGAATTTAGTGTGTATCCAATGATAAAAATAATTGCAGGGCGCTAGTTGAGGGTGTCAGAGAGAAACTCAGAGGAGTAGAATCCCTGGGTGTCCTGAAAACCAGCTTTGCAGAGGATAGCAGGAGACCTCGTCAGAGATCAGCAAATAAAAATCACAAAGGAAGAAGAGCAATACAATGAGTAAGTCTGAGTTGGTCTTCATATTTATTTTCCAAACCTGAAGGAACATAAGGAATCACCAACCTGAGAGAGAAAAAGTTGCGATTTTCTCCTCGCCCAAAAAGGGGATGCTGATGGAACAAGTGACGTCCACAGCGGAGATGTTTGTGACCCTTAGCAATGTCTGCACGTGGAACAGCCCGTGGCTGCCTTGAGTCAGGGCCTGGGAAGATGATGGTATCGTCTTTCCTTCCATGTCCCTCCATGGCACGTGGGGCTGTGGGAACCACCCATCTGAAGAGCACATCGGCTGCATTTCTCCATCTTCTTGCCCCTCCACAGTGATCAGTGGGGAAGAACCCAGACCTGGGGCAGAGAAAGCAACCAAAGCCTGGGGTCCTTTCAAGTGGATGAGTGGGCAGCAATTTCACTGGGAGGAAAGAAGGGGATGTGGAGGGCTTGGGGAAGGGAGAAAAGCTTAAGGGGGATTGCACTCCACTTAGGGATGAGGCTGGCTGGAGCATTTTCTTATTTTGTTTGTTTGCTTATTTTTATTCTTTGTATTCCTAAATCATTCTGGGATGATTAAGAGGTAAGGTAAATGTTCAAATCCAACATTTATTCTGTCCCTGAGAACAAAATAACTTCGGCCAGGGCATGGGTCACATGGACAGGATTAACATACGGAGTAGGAGGATATTCTCAAAAATCGAAACCTTATAAATATCTACGTCCAATGGCAGAAAATACGAGGCTCATGAAACTTCTCAACATGCGCTCCCATGGCTAAACGTGTTTATTAATTTAGAATCAAAATCCGTGGGAGAAACACGTAGCATATCCAAGACTTGGGCCTATATGTACTCAATGGCATCTGCTAACCTTGGACGTTTCAATTCTCACACACACGGACAGTGGGAAATGATGCTGCAGGGAGTGATTTCATCTTTTCTCCCCTGTCCCTGCCAAAACTGTCAATATTTATAATTTTGGTTTACACAGTGGATCCAGTTTAGTCTTCAGATGATTACAGTTTCTAGAATTTTATTGCATTTCTCAGAATTCTAATAACACACTGTGAAACAATGAGCCTTTTGTAAAATATGTAGTAAGATACTCAGATTTCCTTAAAGATATGGTCAATTTTTGAAGATACTGGAAAAGATACAAGTTATATGCCCAAATAATTAAATTTCATCCATTTGAGTTTGTGGATTTTAAGTAACTATGACAGTTTCACACACTGGAGGATTTGATATAAATTTGATGATGAATAAGCATTAAGAAAATTTCAAATGTCAGAGAAATTGTCCAGGAACTAGCATATTAAAGTGGCAGGAGCAGGTATTGAATACAAAATATCTATCTAGAATTCTTACTTACCACCTTCAGATCCAAACTGGCCTCCTGGTAGACATCATCTTTTTCAAAAAGGCAGCGGTACTGCCCGTCGTCCGAAGGTCTGGCACTGAGTATCTGCAGGGTCAGTCTGCCCTCGTCAATGGCGTCACTCACCAGTACAGTCCTCCCTCTGTACTCTGCCATCTGCTCTCCAGCCACATGGTCCCCATCCATATACACATGCACAGCAGGGTAACGGTGGGATCGGTCCCACCTCACCTCCATGCTCTGTGCATTCGCCTTGGGGGACAGGTAACAGGTTAGCTGTATATCTTCTCCCACTCTGACGAGGATGGGCTGGGAAGGTCCATTCACTTTTAAAGAAGCTGTTAAATAGAGTGGACAAAACACAATGAAAGAATCAAAATGGAACCAATAATGTCATCTCTAAGAACAGCTCCATTGGAGTTTAGAAACCATGAGCATCCCAGGGTTGCTGTGAGGCTCAGGGTCATCCTTAGGTGAGGTGGGGGTTTCATGGACTCAGAATAGAGGTTGCTCTTCTTTAAGGAGGAATCATTCCATGATGTGTGTCAGTCTGAGTAAAACAGTAATTGAATCCCTACCTGCTTCTACCTGTATTTTTTTCAGTTTACAGACCAATAATAAAATAATTTTGCAATTAAAACTCCCAGATAGGCTGGGTGTGGTGGCTCAAGTCTATAATCCCAGCACTTTGGGAGGCCGAAGCGGGTGGATCACCAGAGGTCAGGAGTTCAAGACCAGCCTGGCCAACATGGTGAAACCCCGTCTCTACAGAAATACAAAAATTAGTCGGGCATGATGGTGGGTGCCTGTAATCCCAGCTACTCAGGAGGCTGAGGTGGAAGAATTGCTCGAACCCGGGAGGCAGAGGTTGCAGTGAGCTGAGATCATGCCACTGCACTCCAGGCTGGGTGACAAAGCGAGACTTTAAAAACAAACAAACAAAAAACACCCAGAATAAAGTGAACAGTTTATAAATTTGGCCCCAGATGCCTCTGTACCTGACTCCTTATGTAACAAACTGCAATTTAACTTAGTACGTCAACTACTGAAAGCCTAACTTAGGTTGCAGTTTGTTACATAAGCACTCAGGTACAGAGGCATCCTGGGGCCAAATTTATAAATTGCTCATTTTATTCTGAGAGTTTTAATTGCAAAATTATTTTATGAATAAGCCTAACTTAGGAGCTAAGGCTAACTTAGGAGTACACTTTTGTAATAAATAGCTGAGTAGCAGCTGCTGCACTTCTGTTAGTTGCAGGCAGCCAACTGTTGAAACCCTGTTCAAATCGGCAAACGCCAGGCTGCAACCAATAGAGCTGTCTCTGTACCTCACTTCTGTTTTCTGTACCTCATTTCCATTTTCTGTCCATAAATGCTGTCTGACCAAATTGCTGCTTTGAATTCTCTGAAACCGTTCTGATTCTGAGGGATGGCTTGTTTATGAGTCATCCTTTTCTCAGTTAGACTCTGCTAAATTTAGTCTGTCTAAAGTTTTTCTTCTAACACTTCAATTCTGTATGATTTTAAACTACTTCTTAATCTGTCTTAAACTACTTCTTAATGCCTCAGTTTCTTAAACTGTAAATTTGCTATACAACTACCAAAATCATAATGTTTCAGAGTTGAACAAAATAGTTTGCATTAAGTGCCTGGAAGACCCTGCAGCGTGAGCAGAGGTGCACAGACCTGTGAGACTTGAAGGCGTTGGAGCCATCCCCACCCTCTGACGTGGTAATAGGGAGGGGTTTAAAAACATGTCTCATGTGGACTTTTGGTAATGATATTTGAAGAAGCTTTCCTCTAGGTGGACTTTATAGTACCTTGTAAGTCTGGTCCAGCCGCTATATTTTATTTCCCCAATGCTCCACATAGGTGGAGTTATAGACACACACCAGTTGAATGTCCTCAAATAATTTTGAAAATTAAAATTAACATTTTAAGATCAATAATTGGGGAAGTCGGCAAAGTACAAATTGTGAAACAATGATGAATGTAAAAAAGGGGTCTAATTCTCTCACTGTGCAAAGTGGGGAAAGATGTTCTCTGAGGGCTTTCCTGGGCCCAAGCTATATTACATTTTCCATTCTCATCAGGCCCTGCCCGTGCCATTTTTTCTCTATTCTAAATTAAGTGTCGTCCTTTTCTGTTAAATGATAAGAATGGTTTTGCATAAGGTGTGATCATTTATAATAGAAACACAAGCATAAAATTGTTGGTTCTCTGCATAGAGTCACTGGCCAAAGGCGTTAACATCCCATTATGTCATTGGCCGAAAACTGCCAGCTACCTTTGTAGAGAGGAAAGTCCCTGTCAACACAATTTGAATTTTCAGATTATTACCTTCCATTCCAGGTAACAGTTGACTCCCAGTTATTTCCAGCATTTTGTTTGCTTTGTCCTGTAATTTTACCTAAAACAATATTATTTTCCTCTCCTATGTATCTATTAAAGTCTGAAGACAAGAATCAGAAAAAATGGACTAGGGATTAGTTTGGGGCTGTTTCTGCATCCACATGGCTTACGGTAAATTACTTAATAAAACAGACTGTTTCCTCATCTCCTTTATCCATATGAGGATTTTATTCCCTGTCCGTGTGTGACCTGTGCACATATTAGATCTTAAACTGGCTTGCCCTGCCTGACATAGGTAATTAAGAGCTAAAATTGACTTCAATGGAGACTGAAGGAAGCAAAATGTAAGTATGGAGATTCAATTAATTTGATGCATTACAGATACAGACAAAACTCCTTTTGTCCAGAATCCAAGTAAAACTAAAGTTTAAAGTGCTAAAAAAATCATGCAGCCCTGTTTGTTAATAATTGATGTTCTACTAGAATACAAGCTCCTTGGGAGCCACTATGCCTAACCCACTTTTTTTTTCTTTCAATTTTAAGTTCCGGGGTACATGTGCAGGATGTGCAGGTTTGTTACATAGGTAAACATGTGCCATGGTGGCTTACTGCACAGGTCATCCCATCACCCAGGTGTTAAGCCCAGCATCCATTAGCTGTTCTTCCTGATGCTCTCCCTCCCCCATCCCCCAACAGGTGTCCAGTGTGTGTTGTTCCCTGCCATGCATCCATGTGTTCTCACCAATCAGCTCCCCCTTATAAGTGTGAACATGCAGTAGTTAACCTCCTTTTTCTATACGGTTTTGTACACAGCCTTCCAGACAATTTTGTGCTGAAATATATTGCTTTGTTTTGTTTTGGTTATTGTTTGTATGTTCTGAATGCCTTCTGAATATCCACTGAAAAATTAATTCCCTTCTGGAGCGTGAAGTACACTGAATTATACACTGATTCCTTGAAACCTGATAATCTCATCATCATACCACATAATCCTCTTTCAATCAGCATATTCAATTAATGCACTATCTCATTTCTCAAATATGCTAAGTTATATCTAATCTCTTAGAACTGGACACTACATTAGAGATTAAATTCAACCTGTTCACTTTAAAGATGAGAAAAATAGAGATGAATGAGCTGACAAAGTCACACATAAGTAATTAAGGACTTGCACTGTTAAGTTAGATAGATGTAGATTAGAAGGTAAACATCACCATTTCTTCCTGATTTTTGGCAAACCATGTATGTCTCTAAGATTGTTTCTTAGCTGTAATATGAGGATAAAGCAATTAAACTTTATAATTATTGTAAGAAAAAATGAAATAATTCCCATAACATATTCAGCATCGTGCCTGGCATACAATTAATATTTTTAAAAACTATTATTTTTATAAATGAAAAACATTATTTGTAAGACTACAAGCAGTGATTTCAGTCTTAGGACTTCCATAGAGAGCTGGGTGTCCCATCATTAGAGCTCACCTGCAAAGCTTCCGTGCCCAGAGCCCTCCTCTCCCACCTGACAGGAAGCAAAGGGAAGCTCCATCTTTCCGTGTTGGTTAATTGTGGCCCCGGAGGTTACCATGACTTAGGAACAACAGGACATGGGGTCGTATTGTGTGTGCTGGGTCTCCAGTGGGTCTCAGAGAACTCAGAGGAGTGACTCTTCTCCTAAAACCTTCTTGAGAGACAGACTTGTGTCAACCTGCCCCAAACACTGGCTTTACTTCCTGATCTCAGAAGGGTAAGATACACAGGTGTGTGTCTCTCCTCAGATTGTGGAGTTACTTTGCGCCTTCCAGGGACCCTTCCCTTTATGTTTATGGCCTAATGGGGTTGAAGGTGCCATAGTAGACTCTGGTAGAGATTGGGTTGTGTTTGTTACCCTGATTTTCCTCAAAAACTCTTTTGTGGGCTGAAAGGTGTGCTTAAGCTCACCTAAAGCACACACATGGATACACATTCCTGGAGCAGGTGACTTGATGGAGAGCAAGGAATTGATGGAAAGAGCACATAAGGGATCCACGTTCTATGCACCTAGGCAGGGAGGCAGGCTGGTTGCCTTGGGCTGGGAGAAGAGGCCATAAAAAGGAGGGAGCTAGTAAGGAGGTAAAGGGGAAACTCAAAGGGGCTCAGCCATCGGCTGGTTATGTTTTAAACCACTTATCTCAGGTGCAGCAAAATAATACCCTCAGTCCAACTCCGAGATTTAAAAAACAAAAATTAGGCTGGGTGCAGTGGCTCATGCCTGTAATCCCAGCACCTTTGGGAGGCCAAGGCCGGCGGATCATGAGGTCAGGAGATCGAGACCATCCTGGCCAACATGGTGAAACCCCGTCTCTACTAAAAAAAAAAAAAAAAAATTAGCTGGGTGTGGTGGTGCATGCCTGTAGTCCCAGTTACTCAGGAGGCTGAAGCAGGAGAATAGCTTGAATCCAGGAGATGGAGGTTGCAGTGAGCCAAGATGGCGCCATTGCACTCCAGCTTGGGCAACAGAGCGAGACTCCGTCTCAAAAAAAAAAAAAATGCCCAGCGTGGTGGCTCACGCCTGTAATCCCAGCACTTTGGGAGGCTGAGGTGGGGGGATCACGAGATCAGGAGATCGAGACCATCCTGGCTAACACGGTGAAATCTCGTCTCTACTAAAAATACAAAAAATTAGCCGGGCGTGGTGGCGGTTGCCTGTAGTCCCAGCTACTTGGGAGGCTGAGGCAGGAGAATGGCCTGAACCTGGGAGGCGGAGCTTGCAGTGAGCCAAGATCGCGCCACTGCACTCCAGCCTGGGCGACAGAGCAAGACTCCGTCTCAAAAAAAAAAAAAAAAAAAAAAAAAAAAAAAAATTGCTACACTCACAGTATCCCAGGTTGCACTCAGAAAGTAACAGCTCCCTCCCAATAGTGATTAGCTTAGGGGTGTACTGGGGTGAGGAGCAGGTGCAGGACCCCATAGCAGAGTTGAGCAGGGAGGTGCTGGGTGCAACCCAGGTTGTCATAATGATGCTGCCCTTGTTCACACTTGAAATGTTTTCAAAGGGCCTCCAGGCCCCGGCCAGCTGTCTGCTGTCATCCCCCACACATTCTGAGGCAGCTCCCTTTCCCCTCAACACATAGAACAGAGATGATGCCATGCTTCCTATAGGTGTCCATCTGATGCTCACTGGAATCTCCATGAGCCCCCAAAGTGTCAGGTAACACAGCTGCAACCTCCTTGAATGAGGCCATTACTTTGCTGGTCTCCTCTGGTATTTAATGAACATAGGACCTGGTAAAATCGTGCCTCAGTTTTTCCTCTGGGTCACATGGTCTCGTGGTAGCTCCCCTCCCTCTGCTGGGGAGGGCAGAGGCTCCCTCCACAGGTGTGTGCCAGCACCTCGTACTTACCCAGCTCAGTCTGGAGTTTCTCTGGAAAAAGAACAAGAATAACATATTAAGGAATTTGGTGTAAGGGAAAGGAGAGAAACTATTTTTTAAAAAAGAAAGCAATTTATACATTATATAGGGAAGCTCAATTCATTAAAAAAATGAAATGCAGAAAAATACTGATTCTTTCCCACAGATTACCCAATGATACAGCTTTTTTTCCTTTTCTCTGCACAACAAAAATGCTGTCACTTCTATCTCCCCATGATTCTGTTGGTTTCTTCTGATATTTACAGCATAAATACTTAGCTATCAGCATGAAAATAACATATGTTCCTTTTATAGATACACAGAAAGTACAAAATTATATGGACATAAACAGTATCACCTAAATTACAAAGTAGAGAGACGAATTATATGTAATATACAATCAGCTTCATTTAAAATTAAAATGTAACATTAACTTTAAAGTTTTTTTAATCTATCCATTTATATGAATAACTGTATACTTATATCCAAATGTGGAGGGTATCCTGAAAGTTTTAGTGCAGTTATAAGTTATTTAAGGCCAGTAACTTTTATGTGATTGGAAATGTCAATTTATAGGTAGATGTCATGTTTATCATTGAATAGTGCATCATGAGGATTTTTTTCAACCATTAAAATTATTTAAAAATATCTTTTTATTAATGCTATAATGTATAGTAAGACAAGATTCCACACTGTACTGTTGTATTGGGGGGTTGGTTGTTTTTGCTGCTATTTATAAATAAGGCCATAATTAATATTCTATTATGCAAATAGTTGTCTACATCTCTGATTATCTTCATATGATAGATTTCTAGAAGTAATCAGCACAAGACAGCATAGGAAAACATTTCAGTTGAAGAAATATAGCTTTATTTTCTTTACAATGCAATGAATACTTGTGAGTAAAAACAATCAATGCAGAAGAAGGAAAGGTAGAACTCAAAAATAACGCAGGCGCCATAACAGCTATTCAAGTAAAATGTAGTGCGTATATTTCCAGTCATAAATGTTTTATGGCTTTCAATACATATTGCTATATGATAGATAATGTCTCTTGATAAAAATACGAGGTGCTATGGTGCAGTCCCTGGGACCTCTCCTGCTGATCTGAGCATGTGGGTCCTAGAGGCAGAGCACTGACCTGGGAGGCTGATGACCGACCCCTTCTCCTCAGTGAGGACGGGGTTGTGGACCAAGCAGGACACAGACTCTGCAGAGGCGTTCCTGACCACCAGGGTGGCTTCCGCATAGAACAGGCCATCTTTATCTTGGATGCGATGCTCAGACACGGCCAGCAGCTTCTCTCCCCGGATGTCTTCCCAATACACCTGGGGCTCTGGGAACCAGCCCCTTGCAGTGCACACAAGCTGGACTCCACTCTCCCCAGGTCCCTCCATGTGGATGCTAGGGGCAGACCCCAGACCTGCAGAGGGAAGCCACAGCTCTGACACCCAGAGCCCACAGAGGCAGAAATCACAGAGGCTGAGATCCCAGTGACGTTGCTCACAGGGAGGTGGCCGGAGTTCAGGAGTCTGAGGAGCAGAAAGTCGACCTCAGTCTCCCCATTCAAATGTGAGTTCAGATACACTTTATTTGTTCCCCAGTCTGGGTCTTTACATTTTAGCATCTGACCAGTACTTTTCTCCAGATCCAGAAAGGGGAATCGGAGAAGGGGGACATCATGACATTTTGCAACGCCTCTAGCACTGCAAACAGAGATGAGCTGTAATTTATTCATTAATTCCTCTGTGCCATGAACTCTGCCTTTTTCATCTTAAAATTATCTGTATTGGGCACATTGTCTGGTATTTTAGATGATGTCTTGAACTCCAATTTGATTGAAGATTTAACACAAAGTCAGAAATCACTCCCCAGGGGCCTGTTCTTCCTGCATCTTTTGCTGGTGGCTGTGATCTTCGGAAGCAAGTGGATAAACGGGAGCATGTGAAATGCGAATCTCCACGAGGCGTTATTTGTAGCTAAATATTCTATTCAATGGGTAAGATGGTTTTGAGAAATCCTAGTTTACAACAGTTTATGAAATCATGAATTTTTTTTCTCTATTTAACGTGAAACTCCCACACCCAAACTAAGGGGACTATATTTTCCATAAATGGGAATTCTGTCTTAATCACTTGCTGGTAAAAGAGAGATCCACTCCCTTCCCTTGGACCCTTAGAAAATGTGTGACTTATTTGTAAATGTTCCTGATATTGAAATACATCAGTACGTTCCCTGTCCCCCCATGTCAGAAATATATGTATTCCTCCATCCATTTTGAATCACCTTGAACACAGTAACAGTAATGGATGTTAAGAAAAAAAAAGGTATTAGGAAACAGCCTCCCAGGGAAGTAAAGAAGGAAGCAGTATCAGCTGGAGACGTTAACATCTCCAGAGAACTATTTTCCCCATTTGCCTTAGTAATTGGATTTACTTGATTTTCTCTTTAGAGCATGGAGAAGTTAGCCCTGTCAGGGAATCATATGATAGTTTACTTTTCATAAGACAGATCCATTCTTCAGTTGTCCCCTTCTTCCCTACTCCTTCCTGCTTAGCTAATACAACAGCAATATGAAGAACCTTCCCATTCACAGAGGGTGTGTCCAAAAGCATCTGTGAGTCCCCAATTCATTGAACACTAGTATATAACAATCTCCAAAGCACGACATTCTTAGCCTTTTCAGTCTTGTTGATAGCTTTCTAACTGAGGGCATTTCACAAGGAAAGAACATTTTCACGTCTCAGTTTCTGCATAGATGGGATTGGGTAGAGAAAAACCAATGCCCTGAGATACAGATGCCGGACGTCAGCTGGGCTCATTCATGCAGCAATTGGTTTGCTCTTGCGCACCAGCCTTAGGTAGCACAAATGTGTGTCTCAGCAAAATTGCTAAAGACTGCATGTCATGGATTCCAAATAATCCTCAAGAACAGTCAAAACTGTGCAAATTAAATTTGGGAAAATATTTTAACACTAAGCTTGAAGACTCCAGAACCACTTATTTTTAAATCAATCAGGGTAGAGGACTAAGCATTAGGAATTACCTTGATGATTCAAAAGGATTTCCTCAACTGTCACAAAGCTTACCACAAATTAATATATCTCTGCCTCTTGAGACCCTGTGTCTTTCCCCAGATATTCACCTGCTACTTTGAGCAGCAAGCTTGTTTCTCCACAGTAGTTCCCATCCTGGAAATGGCACCAGTATTGTCCATTGTCGGAGGGCTGGATGTTGTGTATCTTCAGTGCCACATTTCCCTTTGCAATGCCATTCTCTATCCACTCTACCCAGCCTCTGTACTCCTCCATCTGCATCTCAGTCACCTCCACTCCATCCCTGTGCACAAACACAGGTGTGCTGGGCTCTGAGCGGTACCACCTCACCTCCACGTGCATTGTGGTCCTCTTGGGGAGTAGCTGGCAGGTTAACAGGGCATCTTCCCCAACCCCGGCCAGGATAGGATGAGCAGGGCCAATGACTCTAAAGTCTTCTATAAAATAAGTGAAAAAGAGGAACGAGGAAATGCCAATCAGAAAATCATATGCATGCTTTGGGGTGTCCAGCCTGTCAAAATGGAGGCAACTAGAAGAGGGAGAGATATATGTTTAATGTTTTAGAGAAATCCAGCATGATGATTTGCACATCTGTTTGTTACAGAGTCAATTTTGTGTACTGAAAACAAATGCAGTTCAAAAATGTGGGTGAGGTTGCTGTCTGTCACCTACCAGCTATGTGATTCGGTGGCAAATCTATTACTCTTGGTAAGATTTTGAGATTTGAAGTCCTAATTTCTTCATCTTCAAGATATTAATACCAGCATACCTGGGTTGTTTTTATTCTCAAGTAAATTATTTATTCCTTGAGTCATTTATTCTCATGTAAATTGACTTTTTAAATTGGAAACCTTATTCTTGTTATTAACATTTTATTTTCCTGAAGTTTAGATAATAAATCCATTTATTAGCTTTTTTTAGCCTTTCAGGATTCCTCTTCTCTTAGATATAAAAACTGTTTTTTTTTTGTTTTTTTTTTGTTTTTTTTTTGTTTGTTTTTTTCCCGTCTGGAGTTGGCAGGAGGCCAATTACTGGGACTATGTACAATGCAGTTTTCACAAGGACATTTTGTGCTGGATTAAGGACACTGGTTTGTCTAGAGATTTTTGGGTCTTCCAAACAAATTCTAAGACATGTCTGATCTCTTCCTTGTTATCTGCAAATTGAAGAGATGTTTAACAGTTATGTATGTTATTATGTTTGATCATTTTATGTCATGTATGATATGTTCTTTCTCATTCTAAATGCTCCGGGGCCATTTGCTCTTTCTCTGTGCAGATCCAATCCTGCTAGGAAGAACCTCACCCTACTTAGCTGCTGCTGGGTATCAAATAGATGCTGCTCAAAAGGTGGCTAAAGAGCCTAAGTGGAGATCTGCTTGTATTCTTCATTGATGAAGTCTAAATATGAAGCTAGAACTGAAGACATTCCATCAGATTGACTGTTACAGGGTAGGGAGCTGCAGCACAAGCACAGAGAAGCCAGCAGCTTCATCACATCACACCAGCTCTGCAGCGCCAAGGCAGACACACCAGCTCTGCGGCACCGAGGCAGACACACCAGCTCTGCGGTGCCGAGGCAGAGCCTGCGCCCTCTGATGCTCTGTGTCGTGTTTTTTCCCACTTCGCCATGCTGCATTTTCCTTAGGGCTCTGACATCTCCTTCTGACACTGATTTTTTTTTTTTGACACTGAATTTTTAAATAATTATTTTTCAAGGTGCAACATTTTGACGTCAAAATTCAGCTAGTGAGATTTCCAAAGTCCCTTTCTTCTAATTTCTTATTTCCAAGTATTTTTTTTAATTGCAGCTTAATTTATGATAAGAAGCAGCTGCATTTCTTGACCCCAAAGTACTAGAGTGAATTAATAATTTAACGTGGTGCAACCACTGATTCAAGTGCTTTTAATGTCTCATTTAATCCTAAAGCCTGTGCTGGCCTCTGAGATGTAGTTACTGCTGTTATTCTCATTAAAAAGATGAAAGAACTAAGGTATGAGGTGCTCAAGTAACTTTCCAAAGGTGACTCAGCTAGGAGTGGAGGAGCTCCTGGGAGTGGAGGAGCTCCTCAAAAGTGAGGAGTTCCTTTTTGGATACAGGTGGCTTGGCCCCAGACTTACACTCTTAGATGTTGTTCTCGACCTTTGGACCCAGACTAGCTCACTGGGACATTAGACTATACAGTAAAGGGAGAAGGGAATCCTACCTGACTGCTTCATTGTCAGCAGGATGAATAGGAAGGAGGCGACTGCACCAGACAGATTGTAGCCTGGAAAATCCACCATCCTCCCTGGAACAAAGACAAGGAAACGCTGTGCCTAAGTGAGGCTGTGACACACCCGGCACACTCCATGGCTTCCATTGGTTATGCAGTCTTAGCAGAGAATCCACATCAACCCCTGCACAGTCAGTGAAATGGGCTTGGCTCCATTTCTCTGCAATTACTGATCACATCCAACCCTTTACCTAACGTGTTATATTGTGAGACAATGTAGCAAATGTAAGAAGCCTTGCTTGCTCATTTCGGCTTGCTAGCATACTTTCACAAAGCCCCTGCTGTGATGACCTGCAGTTCTCCAGAAAGATGCTTCAAAGACAAAACAAGATTGAGCACACGGCCTCCCATCTCTCTTGCCTGAGTCACTCTACTCCTTAAAAGATAAGCAATAATAGTCCTTGCCTTTTCCTACACATAAGATAACGTCTGATTGAAGGATACCTCTGTAACCTATAACCAGATCTGCTCATACACCCAAACGTTGATGTAGTTCGGCTTCAATGTAGCTTCTGAGCTAATTTGATGTAGTGGTTAATACGTAACCTCCTGACATCGAAAAGGATATGGATTTGTTTCTGAATCATAAAGTTTTACTGATTGTTTTGTGCATGAAATATTTTAGTCTATATATTGTCATCTGTGTCCAATGATTGTAACCTCTGTATTGTACCCTCCAGTGAAAAAAGACAACTCCAATATGAAGAGCCCCTTTCTTTCTGCCTGAACTTCCTTACAAAAGCCTTCCAACTTGTAACAGACTTTGGACCACCCTCAACTTCGTTGGTGTGTCTTCCTACATCAGTCCTGACATTTGCCTTCCAATAGAACTTTATGAAATTATTCCTGCCTCAGCAACCCTAATTTCATGAGACAATATTTTAAGCAATTTTTTAGGTGTAAGGAAGTCTTGTGACTGAAATGAAAAAACACTTGAGGTAAAGGAACAATAATATTAAAAAAACCCCAAACCAAACCAAAGCAAACAAAACTCCTTAGGTTCATCTGTTGTGAGCTTGCAAAACTTATAGAGCAAGATTCAAATATTTTTTCCTGTCCTCCTCCCAACTCCTCCTGCAAAGCCTTTCTTTACCACTGTTTTCTACACATGGAGGAAAGGGCAGGAAGGCTCTGCGTCTCCACACTGCAGCCAGAAAGCCAACATTCAGTGCTAGCGCTCAGAGAACCCGGGACACAGAGATGCCGTGGAAAGTGAAAGAAAGAGTAGTAGAAAGATAGTCGGGAAAATATCTGTAAGTGGCCTTTTAGAATAGACTTAAAAACACGAATGAATTAAAAAAACAAAAAGCCCAACTGGCAGAAACTGGCAAACCCAGCAACCCCACTGTCCCAGCTGAACAAAAATACTTCACACAGCTAAAAACTTTAAAACTTACCAGGACAAGGATAGAAGGCTAGTTTTACCATTGAAAAATACAAACTTCAGAGTGAAAGAAGTCTAAGACTTATTATATGTGATGTGTCAAGTATTTTATTGAAAGAAAACTTGCTTCACACAAAGTAGAGAAACCAGCTCAGGAGCAATGTCAAGTCAATTACAGTTTCCCCCTTTCCAAGAAACTACTGCTAGTAAGATTTTATGGGACAGGGGTAAAAATCAACATTCTGAAATGGAGATTTAACAATCAAATGAGTCAGGAGATTGTTGTTACACAAATATTGCCCATTTGCTTTATAAAAAATATGTACTTTCATATAAGATATCTCTAAGGAAACTTATATGAGCCCATTCACAATACCTAGATCGAAAAGGGCAGTATGATATTTATGTGAAAATGGGGTTGGGTGTTAGAAGACAGTGCAGACCATGAGCACCTTGCCACCTGAAACTTACCAGTCACCTCCCCTTAGACTGAAGGGTGTTGCTGATGCCTCCCTGACTCCTTTTGTGAAAAGCAGGAACATTTTTTTCCACCAAGTAAGAGTAAAGAAAGCCCCACAACATCCATACCAAGCATGATTTCTCAGCCTTGTGAACTAAAATGAACTCACACTTGCTACAGACCACTTCAGAGGCTTGCGTTCCTGTAGGTCTTTCATGTCAAAGCGGTGGGAGGGAAAATCTACAAGTGAACTCTCAAAAAAATTGCTCAAATCAATGAAGCTTTCGAAGAATGTTGGGAGAATCCATCTCCAGTGCTCAGATAGACTGTGAGAGAATATATCAGGGAGGATAACCACCTTGGACCAGGGTTCTTAATGGGCAAAGAGGCTGTTTTGCCCTTAGAGGACATTTGGCAATGTCTGGGAACATTTTCAGTTGTCACGACTGGGGGAGGGGACATATATTGAGTAGAAACCAGGGGTGTTGCTAAACATTCTATGAGGCACGTGGCAGCCCCCACAACAAAGAGTCATCCAGCCCAGAAGGCCGGTGGTGCCGAGGAAATGCCCTGCCACAGGGTTTGCTGTCAGGATGCTGAAAAGCTTTGGCACATTTTTTGAAAATAGATAACTAGACTTAAATTGCCATCTTTAAGTAAAAACCTTTTAAAATGATAAGCTTTTGACCCCTCCGTTTTACTATTTGGATGTAATGCAAGAATCTTCTGAAACTGCTGTTCCTATTAAATATAGTAAATTTTGGTGTTGTCAAGATATATGATCTAATATGCAAATGTATCATCAAATTCTCAAAAACCCATGTTTAATTTAATTTAATTTTCTGGATAAAGTTTAAGTGTTAAATTGTAATAATAAGTGGTAGCTTATGTTTAGGCATTAGATGATGAACAATTCTGAATTTCAAGGCCTATCCTGCACTGCTAAAACTCATATCAAAGAAAATTGCAAATTACTACGTATCATGCATGGGTCATTAGAACTTTTTTCAGTAAAAGCCTCAAATGTTGCTCCTCAAAATGCCAAGCAGCCATAGTAACTGACTGGTAAGAATAAATTAACTTAGTTCACGAAGTTGAAAGCTTATGTATCTTAGTTCACGAAGTTGAAAGCTTATGTATCTATGTAGACATTAAAAACAGCTATAGTTTGTTTTTTTCTTGTAAATTTGTTTGAGTTCATTGTAGATTCTGGATATTAGCCCTTTGTCAGATGAGTAGGTTGCGAAAATTTTCTCCCATGTTGTAGGTTGCCTGTTCACTCTGATGGTAGTTTCTTTTGCTGTGCAGAAGCTCTTTAGTTTAATTAGATCCCATTTGTCAATTTTGTCTTTTGTTGCCATTGCTTTTGGTGTTTTGGACATGAAGTCCTTGCCCACGCCTATGTCCTGAATGGTAATGCCTAGGTTTTCTTCTAGGGTTTTTATGGTTTTAGGTTTAACGTTTAAATCTTTAATCCATCTTGAATTGATTTTTGTATAAGGTGTAAGGAAGGGATAGACTGGATTAAGAAAATGTGGCACATATACACCATGGAATACTATGCAGCCATAAAAAATGATGAGTTCATATCCTTTGTAGGGACATGGATGAAATTGGAAACCATCATTCTCAGTAAACTATCGCAAGAACAAAAAACCAAACACCGCATATTCTCACTCATAGGTGGGAATTGAACAATGAGATCACATGGACACAGGAAGGGGAATATCACACTCTGGGGACTGTGGTGGGGTCGGGGGAGGGGGGAGGGATAGCATTGGGAGATATACCTAATGCTAGATGACACATTAGTGGGTGCAGCGCACCAGCATGGCACATGTATACATATGTAACTAACCTGCACAATGTGCACATGTACCCTAAAACTTAGAGTATAATAAAAAAAAAAAATTAAAAAAAAAAAAACAGCTATAGTTTATCATATGTTAAAACAATACATTTTTATAGAGAAAGCTAAAATAAGATTTCTAGGAGACAAAGTGAATTGGGTTTTTGTGTGTGTGTGTGTGACCTTGGACATCTTTCTTTACTTTTTTGAGCCTGTATTTTCTCTGCTGTGTGGTGGAGACAATCATCCTAATGTTTTCCAAGCTGTGTCATGACCATGTGACATAAGAAGACGTCAAGGCTCAGGGACACATGCCCCACATCATCCATGACAAATGAAAATGTGATCCTGGTTTTCTCGTTTTTAATTTCGTGCTTCTTCCTCACTCAGCCTGCTTCACAAGAACACTGTGAGGGTCAAATGGGCTACAATCGCACTTTGAAGACTGCGCAGTGGGATATAAATGTAAGTGGGAGGCAGTGTAACAGGTGGCAGCATTTCCCTAAAGGACATTGATTCTGTCCGTATGTCCTACTCTGTAATCTGAGACAATGTCCCCAGCTTCCCGTGGCCATCCTTCACCAGGGAATCCAAACCACTCACGTGTCTCCCTCTCTCCTTTGGGGCGAAACCTGGTGCTACTGGGTCTTCTCACTTAGCCCCAGATGTATCTTCATCCACATAGCAGGTGGTCAGAAACAGGTCAGAGCCCTGGGGTGTGCTGATCAAAGACAGAACTGTGGGAGAGCCAGAGAGTGTGGAGGCCTCCTCCAGGACTTTGGGTGAAGGAGGATTTAAGCCGTCTCACCCCAGTTGAAGGCAGAGCCAAATCCCGGAGGCCCTGTGAAAATGAGATTGCATTCTGAAAATCAGAATAGCACATTCACCTCCTAACAGCTATAATCCTCTCAACAGTGAAACTCCGGGGACAAGTGGACTTTGGCTGGGTTCAGTTGTGAATTCTGCAGACGTGCACACAAAATCATGACACTGGCAATTCTCACCTTCCCCAGAAAGCCAAGGCCTTCATGGAGGCCTCATCTGCAACCCCCCAGTTAGGTCCTCACACAGACCCCACCGTCCCACACATCAGCGGGTGCTATCCACCCTTCCCTCCACCTTGCCACACATCAAAGATTCCCAACTAGTGCCAAGTCTTCACCAGAGCATGGCACTCATCGGGCTGGAGTTGGAAGCAAAACTGAATATCAAACGTGCCATCCCTCATTCCACTGATGAGAAAACAGAGACCCAGAGAAAGGAACTGCCCTCTCCAGGATCAGAGCTCTGGGCCAAGGTCCCTTGTGGGCTACTTTATTGCTCTTTTTACTCAGGTACTTTATCTCCCTTTGCTGAGTAATAAAAGGTTTAATTACTCTCAGATGTTTACCAAAGAAATGTAATAACCTTCTCAGCATAATATTTGGGCATGAAGAGTATAATGATAGGCATATTTTGTGTGTGTTTTTGTTTCTGCCAGATTTTCCTTTACGTTCCCCTTAAGTCTGTGTTCCTTGAGCTAGAGGGGGTCTCAGATATAGTCTCAGGATTTCAAGAGTTCTCCAGAACAATTTTTAATTTAATTGCAGATTTTCATGTCAATGTAATGATAAAAGCATATGCAGCATTATGATGTTACAAGGTTTGAGCCGATTTTTTCCTTAAGTTTCTTTCCCTCCCATTATGAGCAGCCCATAATTGGGTCCCCTGACTTACGGTTACGATTCTTAATGTAAGGGTTTCCCCCTCCATCCTTCAGTCTAGACAAAGACCCTCCCCTCACTGTAGAGGATGAGAGATTTGGAGAGAAGAGAAACATAATTAAACATGGACGAGGATAGGAGGGTCTCTTTACCCTGGTTCTCTCTCAATTGGAGTAGAGGGGAATGAACCCCACTTCACCTCCGGTTCCCAGAATGGTAGCGATGCCCACAGATGTCCCTCTCAGAGTGGCAGCAAAGGAAAAGTTCTCCAAGGCAAGAAGTGGCAGACTCTGGAAGGCTCCAACAGTGGGATGAAAGTTTGCTGCCTAAAATGCTGGGATGGAATGTTCCAGCAAGAGGAGAGTGGCATCAAGGACATAACAGTGATCGTCACCACTGTGGGAAGGACAGTGACGACCAGGAAACACGACGCGATAGTGACATATTGTGGGAGCTGATGATGCAAATGTGAGGAGAGACTTCTACACCAGCCCTGCTCCGCCTCCCACCTCAGAACTTAGAAATCACACGGCAGGTGAAGGAGAGGCTGCTATTAAATTAATTGTGTGAAAGCCCCTGAATTTATCTGGAAATTACCAGATGAACTCCTCTGTCAGAAGACATAATAATGCTTGGCATACAAATTAAAATCCGTAATAGGAAAATATAGAAATTTACTTTATACACCTGAATGTGTGAAAAGATGCCGCTCATTGCATGCATTCTGTAGTATCATCTCTATGGTACCAAATGCTGCAATTATTTGAATTTTTTATGGTCAGTCACATCAGCGCCAACTCACCGCGTAAAGAAGCTCCGTTTACACTCGCGTGTGTGTGTTCTCACAAATCATCTGCATACACTTTCTCAGAGGTCTGCCTGTGCTGAGAACTGTGTCCTAAATTATGCTACATATTATGGGAGGTCATTTTGTGCAGGAAGATGTTGGTGTGTGGGAGAGAAAAAAAGGAGTCACAATCTCTGCATTCTGACTAGAGTCCACCTCCAGGAGAAGCGGGAAAACAAGGCATAAGCTGCTAGAACTGAGGAGAGGGAAAAACAAGCATCCGGCGAGGGCAGGAGGAACAGGAGAGGGGAGTCATGGATCTGCCTGGCCACCAGAGGGCAGCAGAGACGGGCTCACTGTCGGCTTCAAGGATGTTCCGCAAGTCGATTTACTTACAGACCCTTCTTCAAATGCGGCGGTCACCTGTGACCCACATTCATAACTCCCTCAGCCACTAGACGACAAAAGAAGCCCTGAGTTTAGGCTGACTGAGATTTTCATTCTAGCTTTGCTATACATTTGGGCAAGCTTTACTTTGGGTAAGTCTGTTCTTTCCAGGGGTCTCAATTTTCTTAGTTTTTACACAGGGATAGTATGTGGGTGGCTCACATTAAAGTATCGTTGTAAGGATAAAGTAAGAATATAATCATGATACAAAATCCCTTTATAGCTATTAGGTGTCATTACTGGGAATGGAAGGTCTTGGAAAGAAGGTGGATAGAAAAATAGAGGAGATTAGAAATGAAGATAAGAAATCAAGGTCAATCCAAGAAATGTCAGGAAAGTGTTGCTATGAATATGGAGAAGTTCAGGCGACGCCATCAGCTGTTTCTTGGGGACCTGGTTGAAAGATGTTTTGAGAGCTCTTAGATCAACTCACCAGAAAGATGATTACTTTGTGGAGTCTCCCAGCAGTGAGACTTATACAGGTATCGTTTCCTCAGGGAAAGGAAAGAAAAATCAGCAGCTCTCATCTCCTGGAGGCACAGTGGCTTGTCCTCCACAGTCCCCTCGGTTTGCTGACTGACTGGAGGAGAGAGAGCACCTGCAGAAGCCCTGCGACTCCTCCCCCAGATGTGAGTGGGGGGCCTGGGATTCCCGAGGCCAGTGAGGGGAGGGTGGTGCTCACAGGACGGAGGCCTTTCCTCACAGCGTGGCCACGGTTCAATCTGCACCTCTGGCCATTTTTCTTGATTGGCAAAAAGAAGGAAAGAAGAAAGGAAGAAAGGGAGGAAGGGAGGGAGGGGGGAGGAAGGAGGGAGGGAAAGAAAAGAAAAGAAAAAAGAAGAAAAGAAAGAAAAGAGAAGAAAGGAGGAAGGGCAGGCAGTAGAACTTCTGAATAGGAAAATGCCCAAACATTTAGGGATGGAGGACTGAGGTATTCTTAGTTCTGGCTGACCTACAGTCTAAGTTGAGCTCTTTACATACATGGCTGTCATATACTTTACAAAAAGTGTCTGACAAACCAGTTCCTCTAAAACTTTTAATTTTAAAAAATTTAGGTTGGGTGTGGTGGCTCACACCTGTAATTTCAGCACTTTGGGAGGCCGAGGCATGTGAATCACCTGAGGTCAGGAGTTTGAGACCAGCCTGGGCAACATGGTGAAACCCCGTTTTTACTAAAAATACAAAAATTAGCTGGGCGTGGTGGTGCACGCCTGTAATCCCAGCTACTCCAGAGGCTAAGGTAGGAGAATCACTTGAACCTGGGAGGCGGAGGTTGCAGTGAGCTGAAATTGCGCCATTGCACTCCAGCCTGGGCAACAGAGTGAGACTCTGTCTCAAAAAATAAATAAAATAAAATAAAATAAAATAAATTTTTACTTTTAAATTTACTTTTATGAAAGAGTTACAGAAGTTTAAGACAATCACAATGATCATCTATTATTTTTTGAAAATGATGAAATTACCTAAAATTGATTCTACTGCAGGTGGGAGCCTATAAGACTAAAGTTCCCAGGAAGAGATGTAAGCTTCGGTGAAGCCCACCTCAGTTGACTCCAAAACTAATGCAGATGCCCCCTTGGGGAATTGCGGGGAGGGGGTGTACAGAATGTGTTAATACCATCACACTCCTCCCAGGACCCCAAAGAAGCTGCACTCACAGAGATATCCGGGCATGTCTCACACTGGAAATAGGGGACCCTTCCAAATATTGGGAGAAAGAAGGCAAAGAAAATCATACCGATCTACTAAGCCTCCTGCATTTGCACCCATCCAGCCTGCCATTCATCCTGGGTTCTTTTACTTGGTCCTCTTGGGGCCTCTGAGAGGATCTCCATCTCTGCGAAGTGCATTCCCCACCGGGCTGTTGCAGTTCCACACATGGCCAGTAGATGACAGGTTTGTTCAAGAACCGCCTCCAAGATTTTACTACTGCACCGCGATTTCAGAGTGGCGGGAAGGACTGAGAGTCCCATTTAGAAACTTCCCAAATCTTAACTGCCAATATCTTTCTTTCTAAAATTGTGTTTTTGTATTTCGTGGTAAACTCAGTTCAAAGCCGCGGATGGGGGCAGGAATAGGAAAACTGCTGCTGCTGCTGAATATGCTTCTCTCTCTTAAAGGTCCCAGCAGAATTCTGCCACTGAACCACCCTGGGAGAATGCGGGGGAAAGAGAGGAGGAGAGAAGGACAGAGAGAGAGAGAGAGCCAGAGAGGATATGAGGGAGATAGGGAGAGAGGACTGCTTCATTGTCTTAAATTCGTTGTAATCACGTCGCAATACCAGGCACTCATTCTTAAGGTAGCAAAGCAGAAAATATTATAAGTTCAGTTATTAATGTCATTTGCACTTTTGAGAGTAGAGAACATAGGCACTAATATTATAATAATTCAATAACTATGAAGGAATCAAGACAATCTTCAGGGAGGATGTGGTGCATGGAATGGAATGTAAGGAATCGTTCATACTTCATGTAGGTTTAGCATTTCTTGATTACAAGCTAAATAAGGGGTGGATTACTCATGAGTTTTCCGGGAAGGTGGTGGGCAATTCCTGGACTAAGGGCTTCTCTCCTTTTTAGACCATATAGGGTAATTTTGGATGTTGCCATGGCATCTGTAAACTGTCATGGCGCTGGTGGGAGTGTCTTTTAGCATGCTAATACTTTATAATTAGCATATAATGAGCAGTGAGGATGACCAGAGGTCACTCTTGTGGCCATGTTGGTTTTGGTGGGTTTTGGCCCGTTTCTTAACTGCAACCTGTTTTATCAGCAAGGTCTTCATGACCTGTATCCTGTGCAGACCTCCTATCTCATCCTGTGACTGAAAGTGCCTTAACCTCCTGGGAATGCAGCCCAGTAGCTCTCAGCCTCATTGTACCCAGCCCCTATTCAAGATGGAGTTGCTCCGGCTCAAACACCTCTGACATTTGTGGACACGTAGAAAAGGATAATTAATGGGTTAGCAGGATGAAAGGAAAACTATACCCCAAAGGATAGCCTAGCCATTGAAACTGATATGAACTGGAATATGAAAATAATTGGGGACAATTTAGTTTCATGACCATATATAAAACATTTAACTATGTCTGGTTGTATTTTAACATAAAATTGGGCATGGGAAACTATTTTTAAAATATTCTTTATTTTTTAAATTGACCTGGATTTTTCTTTCAACTTTTATTATTTTAAAAATTAGTTTAAGCCTGGCAGATTTCACATAATTTCAGACTCCTTTTGGCAAACAGTAAACATTACAGCCTGGAAAGCTTGATTGCTTATATATAAAACCCTAAGAGAGCTATTGAAAATGCCTAGAATGTGTGAATTTAACAATGGTAAAATACAAAAACAAATTGTAATTCTATACACCACAGCAGAATATCATATATAAAATTTAAAAATCACTTCATTATGACAGCAATAAAAACATAAAATACTTAGACATAAACTGAACCGAAAGATGTGTGATGTGAAACTATAAAATACTGATGAGAGAAACTGATAAAATTCTAAATGTGTAAAGAGATATAATATATTTTGATTTGGGAAGAATTGATATTTTTGAAATAACAGTTCTCAACACGATCTTGATCAATATTCCCACTGGGTTTCTTTGTGGCAATAGACAATTCTAAAATTTATATGAAAATACAAAGGATCTACAATAGCCAAAACTTATTTGAAAAAGGACAGAAGAAATATGCAAAGCTTGGTTTCAAGTCATGCTTCAAAGCTATGGGCAACATGTCAAGGCTAGTAATGTAAGTTAGAGAAACTTCAACAAAGAATTGTGCTTAGTTGTGGGAATCCATGGGAGATTCTGGAATGAAGATGCATAGGAAACAAATGCAAGAGATGAGTCCTGGGCCCTCAGTCATTTAGAGGTTGGGAAGATGGGAGACTTGGCAAGGCAGGCTGAGATCTGGCTGTTATTCTCATGTGATGAGAATCTCAAGACAGTGAGGTTTAGTAACAAGTCAAGAAAATACATCAATGATGCAGTAGTGGTTAACTACATAAAATGCTTCTGATATGATGAATAAAATGACATCCTAGAGATGACCATTGGATTTGGCAACATGGAGCTAACACATGTCAGTGACAAGGAGTTCAGTTAAAGATGTGGACTGTAGCCTGATCTGTGAAGAGTGGAAGAAGAATGGGGAGGAATGGAAATAACAGGTGCAGCCCAATATTTTTAAGAGTTTCCTTCAGATTAGAAGTAAAAATTCATCAGCAGAGTTGGATTTAGGGAAAAGGAAATGCCGTGGCATGTTTATATGCTGATTGGAATCACTCACTAGAGAGAGGAAATTTTTTTGGTAAACTGGATAAAGATACTTACAACATATTAAACCATGAAAAGGATTAGTACCCAGAACATAGAAAGGCCTCCTACAAATCAATTAGTAAAGGACTATATTTTTCTGAGAAAAAAAATGGTAAAGGCAAGAAGAAACATTTTATAGTAACATGTATAAATGACATGTGAATATGTGAAAAAATTTCAAACTCTTCATTATAAGTCAGAGAAATGTAAATAAACGCCACACTGAAAAAACAATAAAAATATCAAAACCTAGCAAGGATGTGGGTCAATGTTTCTACCAACAGACTTCTGAAGGAAATAGAAATTGTTAGGATCATTTTGGAAAACAAGTCAGCATAACATAGTAAGGTTGAAAATATATATACATTATCATACTACATTACTACTACAATGCTACTCTAGAACATACATCAAGAACTATTGCAAGTTCATTACAACTTCATTCCTAATAGCAAAACATCAAAACAACTTAAGTATCCATTAACAACTGAATAACTTTATATATTTTCATATCAATTATAGTTATTTATACTATATAGTTATTTATAGTTAAATTCATAAATGGAAATAGCTTTTTTTTTTGAGACGGAGTCTTGCTCTGTTGCCCAGGCTGGAGTGCAGTGGCGTGATCTCGGCTCACTGCAAGCTCTGCCTTCCGGGTTCACACCATTCTCCTGCCTCAGCCTTCCCAGTAGCTGGGACTACAGGTGCCCGCCACCACGCCCGGCTAATTTTTTGTATTTTTAGTAGAGACGAGGTTTCACCATGTTAGCCAGGGTGGTCTCGATCTCCTGACCGCGTGATCCTCCCGCCTTGGCCTCCCAAAGTGCTGGGATTACAGGCGTGAGCCACCACGCCCGGTCAGAAATAGCTTTTTTAGGGCTGGTAAAATGGCCTTCATCTAGATTTTCTCATGCTTGTTTGTGAATTGGCTCCCCTCTCGATGAGCTGGTGCACTATCATTATGAGTTTTGTGCAACATTGAGTTCTTGCTTGGCAAGTTTTGTAGAATTTCTTTCCTGGGTTTTGCATGCTGAAAACATGGCTTCATTGGGCATTGGTAAATCAAACGGAGAGGAGGCAGTGCGGCAAGTACAAAGACCATAGTTACAATACTCCAAACCAAAAATATCTGAGACAGATCTCAATCAATTTAGAAGTTTATTTTGCTAGGGTTTAAGACAATGCCCAGAAGACAAGTCTGTGGCTTTCTCCAAAGATGATTTAGAAGCCTTCAATATTTAAAGGTGAAAAGCAGACTGGAGGGAGAATTGAATAGCTCCAATAGTGTACTTTCCTTGGTAATTTTCACTCTTCCTTGGACTATCACATAGGTTGAAACTCTGATATATGTCAAGGTTGTAAACCAAAAAGTGTCTGAGACAGGTCTTAAGCAATTTAGAAGTTTATTTTCCCAAGGTTAGGGACATGCTGGAAAGAAAAAATCATCAAATGACACAGGCAATCTGGTCTGTGTCTTTCTCCAAAGATGATTTCAATATTTAAAGGGGAAAAGTGGGCTGACAGGGAAAGAGAGAAGGTATGGCAATCCACATGTTGCAAGGAAAAAGGGGCAGGTAGGGGAAGAGTCAGTTATGTATTCATCTTGCTCTCAGTAAATCATCGCTTTGCATATGATTAGGTGAACATAGAGTAGCTACCGGTGGGGATATTTTTAACCTTTTATCTGTAGCTATCTGCTTGGAAACCAAAGGAAAGGCAATTTCTTGCGTGACTCAGCTTTCACCTTAATTCTTTCCTTTTGACATGGTGAATTGGGGTGCCAAATTTTTAGTTTCCTTTCACAATTTATACAAAACACAACTCAACAGACATCCTCATATCCCAGTGTATGTGGCGGCTCTGGATTCTATTCCTGCTCACCTGGACCTGATTGATCTGATATAGGCAGCTTGGAAACTACTTAGGTAGATGGTGGGGAGGGAAACGTTCCAGCTAACCATGAGCAAGTAAAATACAACTTCACATCCATCATTATCCAGCCCCAAATCATCCAACATCTAGATAATTCCTTAGAGTAAGGGAACAAGATAATGGCCACAACCAAGTAGGAAAGAATCACGTATACAGACGATTTTCATTCCCAAAGATCAGAAGATGTAAATGCAAAGAGAAAAAGTGCTTCCTACGATGCCAGCTCCAGCTTGATAAGAATATATGCTATTTATTATGTGAGGGGGAAACATGTTCAATACAGCTAGCTGCTTCAGCTTCCATGTGGTGTTTGATACCTGTGTTCCTTTTCATTTGGCTCAACTTCCATTAAGCACAAAAACCTCACAAAATGTTCAAAGGGCTAGAGGGACAAATTTGGATTTCATGCCTCACAAATAAAGGAAGGACTCCATAAGATAAAAATACGCTTTCCATAGAAACCTTGGAAGTCTAATATGTGGAATAAGGTGAAATAGAAACAGATCATCCTTCATAGGAACTGAATCCTGAGTTCTAACTAACTAATCCTAGACTAGATTTGGGTGATTTGAGATATTAATGACCTTAGCCTCATAGCCTCATTGCCTGACACAAGCAAAACTAAATAACCTCTAGAGAAATATAATATTTCCTGGAGCCTCAAATTATCACTCATATTTTTCTTCTGCATGGCATCAATTAAAAAATATATAAGAAAACAAAAAATAATAAAATCCAAGAAAAACATAACAGAACATAAATATACGACTTTGACTTCTCTGTGGGATACTGCTAGATTAACTCAACACTCCCAGTACACCAGCTAGAAAAGTTAAAAATTTAAAACACAAAATTCGTACTTTAAAGGAAAAGGAGAGCTGTGGAAGCAACATGCACTAGATGAAATACAATTGCAGAGAATAGGTGATCCTTTTGAGGTGAGCTGACAATCACAGCTCTTCCCCTGCCACCCATGGGGCATTTGCCAATTCATTGTTCATACAGAAGAGGTGTCATGGGCTCAGGAGGGAATCTGCTGGAGAAAGGGAAACCAAGCAAGGGACACAGGGACAGACTAAGAAATTAGATATTTGAGGTTCTCAAATTCTCAAATTCATGGCGTGATTTCCCCACAAGATATTTCTTGAGCTGTGGTGCAGCACTGAGCTATGAGCCAGGCCCCAAACTCCAAAGGCAGAATGAGGACTCCTCCATGTTGCTTGTGTTCAGGACACGGAGAACTGCCTTCAGCCTGGGTCTGTCGAGCACAAGGTGGGTCTCCCCGTTTTCACATGTGCCTGCTCCTGAAGCCACCTGAGAAGGAGGCCAGGGAGCTGGGCCAGCAAGTACTGAAGTTCAGGGCTGAATCTCTCACTGACATTTGTAGGAACAGAGACCTACCTGGGTCTTAATTAAAAGCTCTGGAAGGAGAGTCATGGCCTCTGGTATTGACGGAGTAGTTTGTATTGAAATAACCCTCTTGCTGGTAACAATGATAAATTCTGGACCACCTTCATTTTCCAACTTATTTCATTGTGTTGTGATAAGAACACCTTACATGAAATATACCCTCTTTACAAGTTTTTAACTACAATACAGTATTGTTAACTGTAGGCACAATGTTGTATAGTAGATCTCTAGAACTTATTCATCTTGCATAACTAAAATGTTATATTGGTTGAACAGTAACTCCCCCATTTACCTTGCCCCCAGTCTCTGGCAACCACCAACGTATTCTCTGTTTCTATGAGATTGGCTACCTAGACACCTCATATAAGTGGGATTGAAGCAGCCTCGTTTGTCTGGGGTGACCTGAGGTTTGTTGTCTCGTGGCCATAGAGATCAAGGATGCAGACACACAAAAAGTAAGGCTAAGAGTGGAAATTTAAAGAATGTCTTTATTCCTGTCTTCGTTTTGTTATTTACCCAGTAGTCATTCAGGAGCAGGTTGTTCAGTTTGCATGTATTTGTGTGGTTTTGAGTGACTTTCATAATCCTGAGTTCTAATTTGATTGCACTGTGGTCTGAGAAACTGTTATGATTTCCATTCTTTTGCATTTGCTGAGGAGTGTTTTACTTCCAATTATGTGGTCAATTTTAGAACAAGTGCGATGTGGTGCTGAGAAGTATGTATATTCTGTTGATTTGGGGTGGAGAGTTCTGTAGATGTCTATTAGGTCTGCTTGGTCCAGAGCTAAGTTCAAGTCCTGAATATCTTTGTTAATTTTCTGTCTTGTTGATCTGTCTAATATTGACAGTGGAGTGTTGAAGTCTCCCACTATTATTATGTGGGAGTCTAAGTCTCTTTGTAGATCTCTAAGAACTTGCTTTATGAATCTGGGTGCTCCTGTATTGGGTGCATATATATTTAGGATAGTTAGCTCTTTTTGTTGAATTAATCCCTTTACCATTGTGTAATGCCCTCTTTTGTCTCTTTTGATTTTTGCTGGTTTAAAGTCTGTTCTATCAGAGGTGTTTATAGTATTCTCTGATGGTAGTTTGTATTTCTGTGGGATCAGTGGTGATATCCCCTTTATCATTTTTATTGCATCTATTTGATTCTTCTCTCATTTCTTCTTTATTAGTCTGGTTAGCGGTCTATCTATTGATCTTTTTTTACAAAAAAAAAAAAAAAAAAAAACCCAGCTCCTGGATTCATTGATTTTTTGAAGGGTTTTTCATGTCTCTATCTCCTTCAGTTATGCTCTGATCTTAGTTATTTCTTGCCTTCTGCTAGCTTTTGAATTTGTTTGCCCTTCTCTAGTTCTTTTAATTGTGATGTTAGGATGTTGATTTTAGATCTTTCCTGCTTTCTCTTGTGGGCATTTAGTGCTATAAATTTCCCTCTACACACTGCTTTAAATGTGTCCCAGAAATTCTGGTATGTTGTGTCTTTGTTCTCACTGCCTGAAAGGAATTTAACCCATAAGGAGGCCAAGTCAATGCTAGCTTTCAAGGCTTTTAAGTACAGATAACGGTCTTGCTTGAGGGCAATGTTGCAGGCTACAAATTAAAGCCCTTTGTGATCCAGCAAGGTGAAAACCCCAGGACCTTCCTTTAAGAATATAAAAAGAGGCCAGATACGGTGGCTCACGCCTGTAATCCCAGCACTTTGGGAGGCCGAGGTGGGCAGATCACGAGGTCAGGAGATCAAGACCATCTTGGCTAACACAGTGAAACCCTGTCTCTACTAAAAATACAAAAAGTTAGCCGGGTGTGGTGGTGGGCACCTGTAGTCCCAGCTACTCAGGAGGCTGAGGCAGGAGAATGGTGTGAATCTGGGAGGTGGAGCTTGCAGTGAGCCGAGATCATGCCACTGCATTCCAGTCTGGAAGACAGAGCTAGATTCCATAAAAAAAAAAAATATATATATATATATATATATATATATAAAGTATATCCTGCCAGTACACTACAGGTGTAATAAAACATCATGGATGACCCATCTCCTCTTCCATGATTACATCCTAAATTGCTATGCCAGAGAAATAGAGAGGCATTGTCTGAAAAATACCATAACTTTCAAGATTTTGTTTATGGTTATTTGTTCTCCTGCACATCCTCCTGTTATTAATGATCTTTATCCCAATATCGAAGTGGTGCTTCTCCCTCTTTAATCCAACCAATGGATCAAGGAATTATAGCAGCTTTTAAGGTTTACTATCTGAAGAGGGCCTTTGCCCATGTTATTATGGTAACTCAGGAAGACACTGAGAAGACAGTGATGCAATTCTGGAAGGATAACAACAGCTATGGCTACATCAAGAACCTTGCTTGGGATGGGGATGATGTCACCGAGGAGTGTGTGAATGGCATCTGGAAGAAGACACTCAGGAGGTTTGTCTGTGAGTTCAAAGGGTTTGCCAAGGATGAGGAGATTGCAAAAATCTACAAGGCTTTGGTTGAGATGGCAAACAACTTTAAACTGAGTACGGATGAGGATGGCATTAGGAGCTCCTAGAGGTAGTTCCTTGGAATTGACTAATGAGGAGTTGTTGGAACTGAGACAGGAATGCATAGTTGAAGTAGTGGTCAGAAAAAAAGGAAACTGAAGGAGAAGAAGAAGAAGAACCCCAAATAAAATTCCCTGTGCAGGGTTTAGCAGGAGCTTTTGCAGACCTCAACAAGCTCCTTAAAAATTTGAAAACATGAACCCCAGCACAACAAGGTTTTCATTAATAAAGAGGAATGTTCACGGTGAATCATCTGCTTATAAGCAAATCTATGATGAAAAAAGGAAACCAAGCAAACCATCATGGACCTGTTTCTGAAGAGTGACACCTCCTCAAGAAGAGCCTCAAGCAGGTCCTTCAGGAGGAATTCCAGAAGAAAGTGTAGTTATCATAGGAGATGGCCTCTCCATGTGTGCTATGGCCCCTGAAGACATTTTGGTAGGACAAGATGTGGAAGTGGGAAACAGTGATATTGATGATCCTGACTCTGAGTAGGCCTAGGCTAATGTGTGTGTTTCTTAGATTTTTTTTTAAGTTTAAAAAGTGAAAAAAAAAAATTAAGTAGAAAAAAGCTCATAGTATAAGGATATAAAGAAAATATTTTTGTATAGTGTTTGTGTTTTAAGCTGTGCTATTACAAAACAGTCAAAAAGTTAAAAAATTAAGTATATAAAGTTTAAAAAGTTAGAGTAAGCTAAGGTTAATTATTGTAGAAAAACATTTTTCATAAATTTAATGTTGTCTTAGTTACAGTATTTATAAAGTCTACAGTAATGTATAGTAATGCCTTAGGCCCTTGCATTCACTCACCACTCACTCACTGACTCATCAGGGCAACTTCCAGTTCTGCAAGCTCCATTCATGGTAAGTGTCCTAGAAAGATCTACCATTTAAAAATCTTTCATATGGTATTTTTACCACACCTTTTGTATGTTTAGATACATAAACAGTTAGCATTGTGTTACAATTACCAATAGTATTCAATACAGTCACATGCTGTACAGGTTTGTCGCCTAGGGGTAATAGGGTGTACCATATAGCCTAAATGTATAGTAGGCTATAACATCTAGTTTGCGTAAGGACACTCTGTGATGTTCACACAAAGATGAAATCACCTAATGACACATTTCTCAGAGCTTGTCCCTTTAGCTAAGTGATGCATGACTTCAGTTTTGCCCCATTTCTAGAGCATAGTCCTCCATGACTTTCAATGAAAAACCCGATAGCTTTCATCTTCTCAATCCTGAAGAGCTGAAGGAGATTTAGGCTGAACTTAAAGAAATTTTCAGCTTAGCTCATTAGTCTTCTACTCCATACATCTTCAACATTTAACAAGTGTTTTGAAAAAGACACCTACAAAGTGCTTGAAGTCATCAACTCTCAAATCTTGTCATTGCAGCACCACGTCAAATGACAAAACACTTGCTATTTTCTTAGTCCACTGGAGGAGCCTATTGTCAGAGGCCAAACCTGGATTATTAGCTCCAAACAAGCACTCAGATCAGTAAGTGTCCTCAGGTGATAAGTGGTTGTTGCTACTTGGCATCAATTCACCAGTTCTTCTGAAACTTACGTCTGTTTTGTTTTAGGGCCCTTATCAATGGTAGGTCTTTGTTTCCTCAACACCACTGGACAGTGAAAGATTTTGCACTGCCTTTCAGAAGTTGACACTTTAGTTTTTTGTTTTACCTTCTACCGTAGCATCAGAAGTTAACCAACGTGTTTTGAAGAAACCAGAGTGTTTGAGATGCCTCAGTTTTCTAGTTACATCACACTGGCCCCATAATTGCTGCTGATTTCTTTCTTACAGCAGAAAACTGTAGGAAAATTGTAGCAGAAAACTTTTCTACAGCAGAAAACGGTAGCAGAAAAATGGCACTAAAACGCAGCGTACACTTGCAAACAGCAAATGCTACCAAGAGAAACAGTGATGTCCAAACGTCAGCTTACATTTGCATGGTTCTTCTTTGGAATTTTTATTCATCTAGTCCTATTTACTTTCTTAGCTAAACAATGCTTTTTAAAAATATACCTTTAAAATTTTATCCTATTTTTGTAGTTGTTGCCAGTGGGACAATTTGTCCTACTGTGACCCTAATGCATCTTATACTGTGGTGGAAAAAAGAATAAGATTTTAAATTGTGCTTTCTGAAAAACTGGATATAGAAACAGACAATGGCCAGACCATATATAAAAATAGGCCTGGCTGGGCATGGTGGCTCACGCCTGTAATCCCAGCACTTTGGGAGGCCAAGCGGATGGATCATGAGGTCAAGAGATCAAGACCATCCTGGCCAACATGGTGAAACCCCTGTCTCTACTAAAAATACAAATTTAGCTGGGCATGGTGGCGCGCAGCTGTAGTCCCAGCTACTCGGGAGGCTGAGGCAGGAAAATCACTTGAGCCCAGGAGGTGGAGGTTGCAGTGAGCTGAGATCGTGCCACTGCACTCCAGCCTGGCGACAGAGCAAGACTCCATCTAAGAAAAAAAAAAAAAAAAATAGACCTTTGACCCACAGCCTACAGCAGCCTGCCTGGGGAACCAATTCCCTTATCTTCAATAAACAATACAGCAAGGTAGTCTGCTTAAGTCCGACTTGCAGGAAGTCAGATTGCTGTCTCTAGTAACAATCCAGGAGGCTAAATAATAACTTTTATAACAATTGTTTTAAAATGGCCAGGACTTGATTAATAACTGACAGTTCCCCCAATATTTGTGCCTGCTTCCAACTTAGGACCAACCAGGGAAAGCTAAATATGCATCCTACCCAATTACATAGGATACTCCACTTCCAGTTACCCCTTAAGCATTCCCCATGCCAACAGCCTCCAATCAGGTCCCTTTTAACCACTATAAAGTTTCCTACTTCTTTGCCTGTCTTTGAGTCTCTGCCAAAATGCAAAAGATGGTGGCTGACTCCTTTGTTATAGCAATTTGTGAATAATTTTTGCTCTTTTCATTTGGTTGATCTTCATGTATTTTCACATTATTAAGCTTTATATAAATTAAAATCCAAGAGGCTAACATTTAATTAATGACATTTAAGATCTTCTATATCGGATAATGCTATACATTATATTAGGTTTAATATTTCTATTAAGTATAGATTTAGTAAATTACTAAAAATGCTAAAAATTCATCAAATATATATGTAAGTACAAATAAGGAGAATGCAAAGAGAGATATTAGAAAGGGGTAATATATTCAGGAATAAATATTCAAGATATTTTAAGTTGGAGATATTGTCTGTTGGTACTAAATCAATTTCCCCCTGTTTTGTGCTTTTTTCCATATCACTTGGGGTTGAAGCCTGGACACCACTTCTTCCAGAGTCCCTTTCTTAGGAAGGCACTCACTTGCGATTAGAAGGCAGTGGAAAATTGCTGTCATTCTGCTTCTGACAGCAAGTAGCAGCAGCTGCCAGGAGTGTGGGTTTGTTTAGTGCTGCAGGGCCAATAGTAGCTTCCTGCAGTTCCTGACCTTTGGAAGCACAATTTTGCTTTTTCTGTCCTTACAAAACTTTTGCAATGCACTTCACTGTATTACATCTCTCTGGGCTTAAAATACCTTGAGTGTGTTTTTTCCCCCTTGTAAATCTGGGCTAGACTGAATAATCTTGTAAGTATGTAAATATAAGCAACTATTTTAAAATAACCTGGGTTTTTAAATGTAATACAGATGCTCTTCAACTTATGATGGGGTTAACTCCCAATAAATCCATTGTAAATTGAAAATATTGTGAGTTGAAAGTGTAGAGTATAAGTTGTTCACCTTCATGATCATGTGGCTGAGGCTGCCTGGCATTGTGAAAGAGTATCTTACTTAGTATCGCTGGTCTGGAATAAGATCAAAATTTAAAGTATGGTTTATACAGAATGGATATTGCTTTTACACCACTGAAAAGTCAAAAAATCCTAAGTCAAACCATCTTAAGTCAGGTGTGTCTGTAGTTTAAAAAAAATTACAAATAAAGAATATCCAATGTTGTTGGGAGTGCAGAGAAGATTTACAAGGTAAACATTGATTTGTTTAAAGTTTGAGAGAAAAAATTAGATAATATGCTTTATGATTTTTAAATGTTAATTTCAAAATAATTATACATTCACAGGAGTTGATGAAAATAGTACAGAGAGGTCCCTTGTACCCTTCACCCAGTTTCCCCCAATGGTTACATCATACATAACTATAGCACAATATTGAAACAAGGAAATCGACACTGATACAATGTATTTGCAGTTTTCTACTTTATCACATGTGTAGATTCATGTAACCACCACTGTGATCAAAATACAGAACTATATTCCATCACCACGAAGATCTTCCTCATGCCACTCGCCCTCCTTAAGAGTCACACCATTCCCCCACCCCCACCATCCCTACACTGTGCCAACCACTAATTTGATTTTCATCTGTATAATTTTATCATTTAGAAAATGTTATATAAATGGAATTATACTATATGTGACCTTCCGAGACTGGCATTTTGTACTCAGAATAATGCCCTTGGGATCTGTATTAGGTGCTCCAGAGCAGTTGTACTAACAGGATATGTATATATAGAAAGATACTTCTTTTAAAGAATTTGCTCACATGATTGTGGAAGCTTACTGAGTCCAAATTCTGATGGAAGAGGCCAGCAGTGGAGGAGACTGGGACAGAGTTGCAGTTTGAGCCCAAAGGTAGTCTGCTGTGGAACCAGGAAGAACCAGGATTGCAGATGGAGTCTGAGACAATCTGTTGGAGAGTTCCCTCTTATGCTAATCAGGCATTCAACTGATTAAATGAGGGGAACCCAGTTATGGAGGGCAATGTACTTTACTTAAAATCTACTGACTTAAATATGTAACTCTCACCCCAAAACTGCCAGATGATGTGAAATTCCATGTCCTCTACTTGGCTCCATTGACACTCAGATGGAGTAGATTAAACAACAGACAAAGTCCTCACTTAACATCATCAATAGGTTCTTAGAAGCTGTGACTTTAAGCAAAATGACATATAATAAAACTAATTTGACCATAGGCTAATTCAGCGATCCCCAACATTTTTGGCACCAGGGACTGGTTTTGTGGAAGAAAATTTTGCCATGGATGGGGGTTGGGGACTAGCGGTGGCAGGGAGTGGGATGGCACAACCTAGATCCCTCGCATGCGCAGTCCACAATACAGTTCACAAAGGTTTGCACTCCTGTGAGAATCCAATGCCTCTGCTGATCTGACAGCAGGCCATTAGTGGTCTGTGGCCCAGGGGTTGGGAACCCCTGGGCTAATTGATGCGAACAAGATTTAAGTTCCTGTGGCTTATTTCTGGTCACAAACACATCACCAAACTCCTAAATAAAGACTCAGAACACTTCTAATATTAAACATTAAAATAAATGGGAACTATATATACATTTAAGGTAGGTTTATAATAACAAGTAAGATAATTAATTATCCAGTTTTTGGTGAATTAGTGAGTGATGGTGGTCACAGTGGTGGTGGGTTACATTAAGGAACAAATGTTTGTAAAAGGAAAATGGTAAGGAGCACCTCCTGCCACCACACAGCTCAAACGCAAAGAAGAACAAATACGTTGAACTCACTGAGTACTTTTGTACCCCATTGTTTACTATTGTACAGTTGTATGAATATCATGTACTTTACAAATGTTTATTTTAGAAACATTTCTATTCATTCGCTTATTCATTTTCCAACCTGCTTATTCCAGTTCAAGGTCATGGATGACTGGAGCCTATCCCGGCAGCTCAAGGACAAGAGAGGAACCAACCTTGTATAGGATGCCATCCCATCCATTGTGGGATGCAGACACACACACACATATACACACACACACACACACACACACACACAAAGTCACTCTGCTGGGACAATTTAGACTCACCAATTAACCTAACATGCATGTCTTTGGGATGTGGGATAAAACTCAAATACACAAAGAAAACCCATGCGGACGTGGGGAGAACACACAAACTCCTCATGGACAGTGGCCCTGGCCAGGAACCTATTTATTTTCTCACCAACATTGTAACAAAACGTTGAACAAAACAATGCTATAGGAGGACGCTCTGTGTTTCTCACAGTCCTGGAGGCTGGGAAGTCCAAGATCAAGATGCTGACAGGTTCAATTCCTGGTGAACTTAGAACTGAAGGCTCTCTGGCAGGGGTGCCTTGTGGCTGCAGGCTGGGTATAGAAACTCAGGCTCCCCACTAGGCCTCCACTTACAGAATCCTGACTGGGAGGGAGAGGGTCTCATCAGCGCTCCCACATGGCCTCTACTGACACCAGGAAGGGAGAAGTGCCTCCTTACACCTGGACAGTGGTGAAAGTCCCAGCTTTCTACTTGGCCTCCTCTGACAACACCTTGGCAAAGTGGGTGAGGAGTGCTTCCTTGCAACAGGGCAGGTGGAAGTCCAGGCTCTTCACATGGGCTTCACTAACACCACAGTGTGGAGGTGGCTGATTACTGATAAGCAGGGGCAAAAGTCCTAGGTCCCCAGTTGGCTTCCTCTGACATAAGCCTGATGGGTCTAGGTAGTGTCTCATTATCGCCAGGCAATGGGATAAGACAAAGCTCCTCACTCAGTGTTTGCTGACTGAGGCGGGATGGAAGCCCCTGATTTTTCTGTATTTGACTGGAGTAGTGCGGTTACTGTCAGTTATCTGCCTGGTAGGCTGCTCTTTCTTGTTCCCTTGGATAGAGAAACATGCTTTCCTTAGGATATTTTTGTCTGTGACTACTGATGTTTCCTGTTTTCCAGTTTCTCCAGCACTCATTCCTGGATATATTAGGCAGAAAGAAGACCTATGAAACTCACCACTCTGTCATTCCCAAATCCCATGGTCTGAGGCCAACCTGCTTCTCCTCTCCATCATTCAAGGGCTTTTTATGTCTGTCTGTAGCTGTACTTAGCAGGAGGAATAGGAAGAATTGTACCTACTTCAACTTGTCTTAGAACCAGAAATCTCTCACCATATTTTTTAAAATATGTTTTTGTCATATATTAAAATATTATACATCTATCCTTAGATCCTTAAATAAACATATAATCTATCCTTAGAGTTAATTTGGTAACAAAAATAAAACAAGACTAAAACTATTAATTATGTTAAAGCCATAAAAAATATGCAAATTTTTTCCCAAAATATGGGAAATGTGCGTGTGTGTGTGTGTATCTCCTATGTATACACATATACCATATGACATATACACATAAAAAAAAGACATAAAATGAAAATTGCCGATGTATCAATACCCGGGGGCAGGGAGTATTCTCAGGTTTAACTAAATACTCATATTCAAGTTTTTACCATAGGCCACACCTGGCTCTCAGATTCACTTAGAAGGATATTAGACAGAAGTCAAAGTATGCCAAAGTGCTGAATCAGGTCTTTTTCTTCAGTGGGAGAAGTTCTTGAAACAGTCCATAATTTATTCCAGGTGCTAGTTTCATCCTCTGCCCCCATCCCCCAAGTGACAACTCAGGTACAAGGAGCTGAATTTACACCTGTGGAAGTTGTGTCCACCCTAGCTTAGAATCCTCATGTCATCTACGAGCTAGTACCTCTTATAACAAACCCATGGGCACAGCTTCCAGAGTCCCTGTAAAGGGCATGCTCAGTTACAAGGGTCACTGCATTTGGAAATACCCAAACTATGGGTCCCCGTCATTTGTTACGGTTCATGAAATATTCTTCCCAGTAAAGATACAAAATGCCAACCAGAAGCCATTTGTGCCATAAGCAATGTTGTCTAAAAATCCAGCTGACATTCTTCCTCCATCAGGTTTCCAGAAAACAGCTAGAAAATTAGCCTAAGATTAAATACATCATGGAGAAGTAGAAAGGGTGTTATAAAGCATTTATCCACAAGATTCAAAATGAAATACAGTTAATTTTGTCCGTTTTAAGACATTATTTCAACCTTCAAATTATTTAAAAGAAGTACATCCTATATTTTGTGTGCTTATTCAAAAAAGGCATGGTAATACTTATAAAAAGACTTTAAATATTTTTATAAGTTTTAAATATTTTATAAGTAATTTTATAAATAAAATTACAAACCATTTAAGTGACCTAATTAAATCAAACACACTTTGAATATGCACATAAGAAAAAAATTAGTTGAAGCATCCTGACTTAAGAAATCCTTGATCTTTCATAAGGTGTCTGAATACTCAATGTCAAAAACACTTATGAAGAATTAAACACTGTTGACCACAAGAGGGAAACCTAGTCCCAGTTATACTATAAATTAGAAAATCAAGGGAAAAATATGTGTCCTGAGAACTTTTGAAATAGTCACATATAAACATAGTATACAAGAAAAAACCAACCATCATCCCTACCCAAGGATATGTTTGTGGTATGAGTGGTTTTAGTGTTTTGAGTGGACTGGTTCTTGGACTCCACATATTATTGGCTACAGAGATAGAGACTTGATTTAGAAAATCACAGTTGCCACTTTCTAAGTAAGCCCTTGACCAAAAGACTAGATTTCTTTAAACCCAGTTTTCTCAGGTAAAATGGAAATACAACTATTATCTAATAAATATAAGTAAGCTTTAGTGTCATAGTCATAGCAGTAGTATTTTCAATTGGTAAAAAGAAACTGGACCCCAAAAAAGAATTTCAGTGAAAGCAGTAACAGTCTTCTGGCATATTTCTCACCTTTCTTTCTACCTTAAAGGTTCAAAGTTCCTAAGTAATCTCAGAAACCTAAAATAGTTTATTCTCTATCCTCACTATTGGTTTTTAAAAAACATTTTGCAGCATGGACCACTGCTCGTGTACAGATGCTCTCCAGCTTAACAATAGGGTTATGTCCCAATAAACCCATTATAACTTGAAAATATCTTAAGCTGAAAATGCATTTAATACACCAATAAACCCATCATAAAGTTGAACAATCATAAGCCAAATTATAAGTCAGAGACCATCTGTATTAGCTTAAGTCTTGGAATGGTTTATTTTTTAGATGCCATTTAGCCACTTATATTCTCTTCTATTTTATTGTGAGAACTAATTCCCCTCTTACATTCTGTGCTTGACCCATGCTATACTTAGTGTGAACAAGAGCCACCTTCTTCTCATGACTTCTATTTTTTGTGAAAATTTCCTTCACTCATTCATGACATTTGGATTTGAAATCTTACCTACTTAAGTACTTTAAAAAATCATTTTCTACCATCTTTCTTATCAGGAGGCTCTAGTGATTCCTTCTCCACACTTCTAACTTCTCATCTTCACACTCCTTGTCTTCCTAACTTCACTACAGTAAGTGTTTTACATGTTTAGAACTCAGCTCCTTTACTATGATTGCTAACCATGTACCTTAAATAAACCGTCTTCTAGTTTTTTGTTTCTTACTCTCAATTATACCTTTTAGAAAAGAATTAAGAGTAGAAAAAGACTGCTACATAGACATTCTTATGATCTTCAGAAATGAGCACAGATCATGCTTAATGAAAAAAGATTTCCAAATAATGCTGCATATGTCCAGAGAAAAGGTGGCAGAAATGACTGTCATCTGGGGGCACTATTGTCTGGACATGGCCAGTTCTCAGAACTCCAGTCCCTAAATTCCCTTCTAACTAAAGGAAAAGCCTCTTAAGGGTCTTATAGAAATCCTGCCACTTTCACCTGAAAGAATAATCTTCAGTTATGTGGCACATGGCCAAGAGTAAAAGTCTTTAGTCACTTGGAAGCAGACAGACACTGTAATGCTAAATAATTGGACATAACATGGAACTTACTGAGGCCTCAAATATCAATTTTACTTTGGGAAAAAGAGCAGCATCCTTAAAAGTGATTGAAAGTAACTCAAGTTTATTCCTTAACAGAGTGATGCTTAATCTAACAAAAAACATGTTATATGCACACTCTTCTCCATTACCTTGTAAGAAAACTGGACTAGGAAACACAGCTGAAATGGCCAGTTCTGCCTCCATTTCCTAAACCGTGTTATAATTATGTCTATGTGACCAGTAACAGACAATGACCATGATTTATACTTTTTCATATGTTTGTTGTTTTGTTTTCAATGTTTGTGGTCTTTCCTCAGTATCAGCTAAGAGGCCATTAACACAGATATCTATTTATGGACATGCGAGACTGTTGTTCACCTCTTTTGCAGAATTCATAAAGAAATGATGGGGAAAACACATCAAAGATAGAGTGGATAAAGCAAATGTGCCACATATACACCATGGAATACTATGCAGCCATGAAAAAGAATGAGTTCATGTCCTTTGCAGGGACATTGATGAAGCTGGAAACCATCATTCTCAGCAAAATAACACAGGAACAGAAAACCAAACACTGAATTTTCTCACTCATAAGTGGGAGTTGAACAATGAGAACACATGGACACAGGGGCCTGTTGGGGGGGGTGGGGGGCAAGGGGAGGAGAGCATTAGGACAAATACCTAGTGCTTGAGGAGCTTAAAACCTAGATGACGGGTTGATGGGAGCAGAAAACCACCACGGCACACGTATACCTATGTAACAAACCTGCATGTTCTGCACATGTATCCCAGAACTTAAAGTAGAATAAAATAAATAAGTAAATAAGGAATGATGGGACAAACAAGTTTCTGTTATTGTCTCTCTACTGACCAAAGGGTGGTCAGAGAGTATAGGATGAAGCAGATTTGTGATATCCTTGAATAGATCTGCTCTTTACTATGAATTCTATCATCTACTCCCGGCGTATGTGGGAAAGGGACCAACCTACTTGCCTGGAATTTAGTGAAATTGTTTTCTAGGGGGACCAAGAGTTTCCTCTACTTGATATGAAGTTGGGTGGTTGAAGATGATAGGATTGGCTTCTGCTTCCATCAGAATCCTAAAGGGCAGGGTATATGGACTAGTTGGTATTGGATCTTGGAAACTGTGATGCATTGGGAATGGTCACACTCCCAGAGTTTGTGGACACAAAGAATGTTTTAGTGTTCCCTATACACCAGACACGGGCCATGAAGGAATCTGAAGAGCCTACCAAACCTTGCACAAGAGAAAAGCTTTACTTGGAACATCATCCAGGCTCAGAGAACACAAATATTTCATTTCCAGTAAGACGTTTCTGGTCTTTTTCTCTTCCTCCCCTTCCCTGAACCTACCCTAGATGAGCTATGGCCTCAAAGTGCCAGTAGAACATAAGAAGGAAGGAGAACCACACTCATTCCTGCCTTCAACAATTTACACAGGGATAGAAAGAGATTTATATTAAATCAAGTTGGGACTTTCAATTATTATATAGTACCAAACAATCTAATTGCTGAACTAAGATATACTTGTGCAATTTAAGGGAATTGTAGAATAGCATATTAATTAGAATCAAGAAAATAATTCATGAAGTATGCTATAATTCCTACCCAAGCGCAGGGGAATAGCATCTCTAATGAAATTCTCTAAAGAGGCAAGAGCAGGCACAATGAGTTTTTGTTTGATTAAAGATTCCATTTAGTGCTTATCCAACCTAGCAATTACATTTGTATGCTTCAGATGTTTTAAAAAAATAAACAAAAGAAAGTACCTTAAATAAAGAATAGGATCAAATAGTATTTAAACAATTGAGTAAATTAAAAAATTATATGAATTAGATTGATTGAAATTGATACTTTCCTAATTCTCCTCCTTCAACACACAGACACACACACACACACACACACACACACGTATGCATACAAACACATCTGAATTCTATAAAATCATTCTGACCTTGATGAGATTCCATAGTTTACTCATGCAACAGAACATAATGTCTAAATGAAGTTTCTGGTCTCTGTTTTACATGGATGATTGAGTAAAATCATTCCCTATTCCTGGAAGAATAGCTAAGAAAGGATTCACAGGTGAGGACATGCGTTTTTTCAGAAGATGAGAACAAAGATGAGAAGATGAGAGCAACAGAATGTCCTATATCCTAATTCTCTGTGCTGACTTCGGAGTGGCCAATATGATAGAGATGGAAGGAACTCTGAAAACAAATTGCCAGAATTTCTAAGGAACAGGAGATGTTGAGTGAGTGAATCAAGCCATGGACTGGCTGTATGGGGGCAGCTATTAGAGACAACTACCCTTAGACTTCTTTGGTGATTGGTCAAGCTAATCTTTTCCTTCAGAGTCTCTCAATTATAAGACTTAGCTTGTGCCATTTAGAACAGACAAGAACACAGAGAATTATAGAACAATCTGACTACAGGTTCTCAAGTTATAGCAATGAAACTTGTAGTTGGCCGGCAGGAAAATATTCTGAGATGTGGATTCAAAGTTTCTAAGTGTGCACACGTACACACACACACACCCCTACCTGCATGCATTTTCTAATTTACAAAGACTACTCAAGTAAAGAGGGGTAATTTCACACCTCAGGAGGTCTGTATAAAGATAACTCTGGTCTTTAAAGCATCAGGTTTCAGGTAGAGGTGAAGAGAGAATGAATCAAACTCAAACTGCCATCCTCCCAGGTTAAAGATGAGTCCAGTCATCGTGGAGCCCTCTATTAACACAGGACATGCTAGGAAGGCCCATTAACCCACTGCCCTAGCACATTTGTTAACGTCCTAGTGCATTTGTTGATATCAACAGTTCACAGTTTTTATTCTGATAGGGATCTATTCCAGCAGACCAGCTTCTGTGACCTCTCAGGATGCGAAAAAGTAACACAAGAAAAGCTTCTTATGTAGTGAATTGAGAAGGAAATACCTAGATCAATATTCCCTCAGCACCTCTGGTAGGAAGTCCTTAGTAGGAGAAAAACACCATGAAGACCCTTAGTGCAGAAGGAAAAGGGGGTAGGGGGTGGTGGAAGGGAAGCTAAAAGAAGGGGCTGGAGGTTCTCAGAATTCAAACCACACAAACAAATGAAGTATTGAGGTCCCAGACTTGATCTGGGCCCAGTGTGAAAGCCCTAACTTATTTCTCCAGAAGAATATGTCCTCTGGTTTTAGACTTGGCACTGTGGGGAGAACCAGAGTGATCTATGGTGGATATACACACAAACATAGACACACATATTTGCATTTAGTAATTTTTGTAAAATTTCCATTTGCTTCTCTGATCCTGTCTGTATCTTTGGGAATAGATGTAAGAATATTACATCTCTCAGGCTTGCTCTGCCCCAGGTTTCTGAACGTGGAATACATTTCTCCAGTGAAACTCAGTATTATGAGATTTGGGAGGTGGAAGTTAGGCCACAGCCATCTCAGGGACAGGTTTCACAGACATGAGTTTTGGCAGCAGCCTTGTGTTCTAAAGACATTTACTCCTAGGGGCTCTAGAGGATCTGCAACATCAGCAGAGGCTTCCTGTGGGTTCCTCATCTTTTAAAATTAGGGGTCTGCAGTGACTTGTGCTCCTCCAGACCCCCTAACAGTTTTAAGGGCTAATTCCCTGTAATATATTCAGTTCTGCTTAGACTGATTACAGGGATTCCTATTTCTTGACTGAATTCTCATGGCTATAGTGGCTCGTCACCATTTGACATCACCAAGAAGTCCTCATTCAGGTGCCTTTGGAAATTCCCTCAAACACACAGGAAATTAGAGTTTGAAAGAAAACGGAGAACCATGAGCACTGTCCAAATAGGAACTTCTCTCCTATCACAGAGAAAGGGAACTGAAAGTCATTTCTCAAGTCTCCCAAATTTAGTAATCTCACAAGAAGAACCAATCAGTGTTCTAGGACTAAACAGTGTCATAAGTTGCTGAGCAACAACTTGGATTGAAGATGCTATTATAATATATGAAATGTCTTTGAATTTACCATGTTTTTCTCAAGCACCATTTAAGAACAAGGCATTATGGCAGCCAGCAAAGGGCAGACATAGAAAATTATACATGGTTTTGCCTCTAAAAGAGGAGATGACAAGCTTAAATCATAGGATCAGACTCTTAGCACAGACTGATACCATAGGCTCTCATCTGGCCCATTCTCCTGACTCTTTACCTTTCAGGAAAGGTATTCCTGAAAATTGCAGGAGAGACCATGCTGTAGGTCTCTTTCTAGCGATCTAGGAGTTAATGCCACAGTGTGTTCAAAGCCCTTTGATGCGATCAGATAATCAGTAATGTATGGAATATTTGTGTTCATAACTTGTGAGAACGGCTGCATGGCAGGACAAGACCCCAGCACAACAGTCTGGAAAATCCACCCTAAGCAGACATGTCATGACTGATGTTGAACAATGGACTCACCAGCCAGGCACGGTGGCTCATGCCTGTAATCCCAGCACTTTGGGAGGCAGAAGCAGGCAGATCACGAGGTCAGGAGATCAAAACCATCCTGGTTAACATGGTGCAACCCCGTCTCTACTGAAAATACAAAAAAAAAAAAAAAAATTGGCCTGGCATGGTGGCGGGCGCCTGTAGTCCTAGCTACTCGGGAGGCTGAGGCAGGAGAATGGCGTGAACCCAGGAGGCAGAGCTTTCAGTGAGCCGAGATCGTGCCACTGCACTCCAGCCTGGGCGACAGAGCAAGACTTCCGTCTCGAAAACAAAACAACAACAAAAAAAACAATGGATTCACCATCCGATGGGCTCCCTCACTGCCAGGTCACTCTTCATGGAAGTATTTGTATTCCAGTCCTTTCTGTGGAAAGAACTTAACATTCTCCTTTTCATAACACTGTATCTTCAGAAACAAGAGAGTCGAAGTCTCCTAATTTTCAGGACTGTCTATGTTGAACATCAAAATATATTCTTTAGAGCAGATCTTTAATAATCATATGACAAGAGAAAAACTTTCATAATCTTATGACATGAGGGAAGGAATATTAAAGCCGTTCTGTGAGTTATTATCTCTAACGTTCCCAATAGAATAGGCTTTGCCAGCTGGGTGCGGTGGCTCATGCCTGTAATCCCAGCACTTTGCGAGGCCAAGGCGGGCAAATCACGAGGTCAGGAGTCTGAGACCAGCCTGACCAACATGGTGAAACCCCGTCTCTACTAAAAATACAAAAATTAGCCGGGCATGGTGGTGGGCGCCTGTAATCCCAGCTACTCAGGAGGCTGAGGCAGGAGAATCGCTTGAACCCGGGAGGCGGAGATTACAATGAGCTGAGATCACACCACCAACTCCAGCTTGGGCGACAGAGCAAGACTCTGTCTAAAAAAAAAAAAAAAAAAAAAAGAATAGGCTTTGCCCACTATACTCTCTCATATTCATTGACCTGAATCCTCAAATGAGGTGTGTCCATTAGTCAACTCCAATCTCTTGTCATATATAAGATGGTAGAGATGAGAAGAAGGTAGCTCCTTTACAGCCCACTATTTCCACTAACTACTACCTGTGTTTCAAGATACAGCCTTTCATCCTTCTCCAGTGTTGAGAGTGTTGAACCTCAGAGTTTCTCCTCTCATTTTCTCTAAATGAGATACAATGCCAGCCATCCCAAGCTCTTGGCCTGAGTTGATCATCTTGAAGTCTAGGACTCCAAGAAGCATGAAAGAGCTTCTTTAGTGAAGCTATGTCCTCAGTACTGCCAAAATTCAGACAATCTCCATGGCCTGACAATTTACCTTCTATTTGGGTAATTTATTGTCCCTTACGCAAACTCTCCAACTGTCATTGCACAGACATATGATCTGTATTTAGCTCTCACTTTAGGTGTTTCCATTGATTCTATTCTCACTAATGTGCTTCAGGTATATCCCTGTCTAGAAGTCAGATTGGGGTTAAAGAGTCTGTCCGTGATTGACTAACAGTCTTAAATACTTGATTTGTTGTTGTTGTTGTCCTGTTTGTTTAAGAACTTTACTTCTTTATCCAATGAACGGAGTATCTTGTGTCCTGGACCCTTTGCAAGAACCCTTCCCCTAGCAACAGATGCGTCATCTCAAAATATTTTTCTGATTGGCCAAAGAGTAATTGATTTGCATTTTAATGGTCAGACTCTATTACACCCCACATTCTCTTTTCTTTTATTCTTGTCTGTTCTGCCTCACTCCCGAGCTCTACTGACTCCCAAAAGAGCGCCCAAGAAGAAAATGGCCATAAGTGGAGTCCCTGTGCTAGGATTTTTCATCATAGCTGTGCTGATGAGCGCTCAGGAATCATGGGCTATCAAAGGTAGGTGCTGAGGGAATGAAATCTGGGACGATAGACTACGAAGCATTGGAGAAAAGACCTATGGACATTTGGAAGATAATGTGTGGAGTGAAAGAATAGTGTGACAGGTATTATGTGGTCTCGACAGAAAGTATAACAAATTGTGGTTTGGTGGAGTTCTTCCCTCACCACAAACTGAAGTAAGTCAAATTTGGTTTAGAGGGTCAAAACTGAGTTGTGTATTGATGAATAGCACGGTCCTGCTACAAGCCAAACTGGGGGTGGGGGTGGGGGTGGGGGAGGAAGAATATTTTCTGGCAAGCATTAACAAGTTATATTTCTGGGCTTTAATTATTCTTTCTGGAAAATTAGTAAAATTAAAAACTAAAAACCACACATAGTTTTGCTAGAATTAAATGAAAAAAAAAGTTATTAGCCCTGTTCTTATCTGAATACATGATACAGTAGTTATTTTTTGGAGTGTAAATCCTGTCGGTATATATTGAGCACATATATTGTGTTGAAGATTACTAGAAGGAAAAGTCATCAAAAAGCAACAATTTACCCCAGGAAAAGGGGAGGGAAGGCATGCTGATATGAGTTGCCTCATGGGACAGTGATAGCCATTCCCTGCCTTCCCATCTCCATGGTACAGCAGATCTTATATCATGTTAACTTAGTAATATTTCCAAGAGAGTAGAAAAATAAGTAAGGAAATGGGGAATCTGATATTATTGTCTCTCATCTCCAGAGCAACATTGGTGCTGTTGTAAAGATGTACTGTAGAAAAGTATTCTTCACCCAGCGTGACCCCCACAGAAGGTGTCAGGTAGACTTGAAATAAGCAAAGTAATAACCCAGCTCCCATACCCATAGTGGCAATTGTAGATTTCTATTGCCCCAAAAGAGCCATACATAGGGATACTTACCTAGAAAGACAGAGGATCTTCCCTTGGTTTGTGAAGAGGCAGCTAGTATATTTGTGTGTGTTTGCATAGATGCAAACGGTAAATAAATTCCTAGGTTTATCAATACACAGTCAAACATTAAAATCTCTCATCTTGGCTGGGCACGGTGGCTCACGCCTGTAATCCCAGCACTTTGGGAGGCCGAGGCGGGCGGATCACGAGGTCAAGAGATCGAGACCGTCCTGGGCAACATGGTGAAACCCCGTCTCTACTAAAAATACAAAAAATTAGCTGGGTATGGTGGCACACGCCTGTAGTCCCAGCTACTCGGGAGGCTGAGGCAGGAGAATTGCTTGAGCCCGGGAGGCGGAGGTTGCAGTGAGCTGAGATGGTGCCACTGCACTCCAGCCTGGCGATAGAGCAAGACTCCGTCTCAAACAACCAAACCAAAACAAAACAAAATATCTCACCTTATCTTTGAAGACTAAGGAAAAAAAAAATCTCCCACTCATCGATACACTCCACAGAGGCAGCATACTCTCCCAGTGTAGCTTTCTCTTTTCATGTTCATTATTCCCTTGGTGTTGGTTATTCTCAATGTCAATCGTAACAGAACATCTTCCATAATAACAGTCCCAATTTAAGGAGCATTAAGATAAAAGGTGGAATTGCCAAGGTCAATCCAGACGAGAACCTTCTCATAGAGGTAACCACCGTGTGGGTTTGGATGCTGGGAAGCAGGGGGACTATGACGCTACAAGGTCTCAGTCTTAATTTTTGGAGTACTTCAGTCCCCAGGTATATTTTCCATAGATTTGGCCCTTAAATAAAGAGAAGCTTCTGACTCTAAAATGTAAACAGTGCTTGTTACAGTCTTGTTGATATATTAAGAAATTACTCACCTTATCTCATTTAATCTTAAAAACAAACCCCTGACAGGATCAAAACCACAGCAGGACTACATAATAGGAAAACTATACATAAATAGGTAGAATAATCTGCTCAGGATCACTAGGTAAGTTGCTGAATAAGAATTCAAGATGTTTTTGATCCCAGAGTTTAAAACCCAACCTTTCAAACAGTGTTTCCTTCTTCTTAGAGTACAATGTTCTGAGAAAGAGATCCTCTGGAATTCTGGCCTAAGTGTATTTAATGCCCGGGTAAAGAAAGTGAGAGAACATTTCTCTTTAGGGGCTGCTGCTGGATTTCTAAAAAGAAAATAATTTCTCAGCTAGTAACATGGAGCCAAACAACAGCTTCACAAGACTCTGGGTTCTTTAGCCCTCATCTCCTTCAATCCACCCTCTTTATAACCAGTCCTTCTTGTTTTTCCCCTCCCAGCTTTGTTCAGCAGCATGCCCTTCACCCAGACCTTGTCTTGTCACTCATCCCTACTCGCCATCATTCTTTCATTCCTCTTGGCCCAATCTCTCTCCACCACTTCCTGCCTACATGTATGTAGGTTATTCATTTCCCTCTCTTGATTCCCCCCACCCAACTCTCTTTCTCCATTTCTTGCCTTTCAGAAGAACATGTGATCATCCAGGCCGAGTTCTATCTGAATCCTGACCAATCAGGCGAGTTTATGTTTGACTTTGATGGTGATGAGATTTTCCATGTGGATATGGCAAAGAAGGAGACGGTCTGGCGGCTTGAAGAATTTGGACGATTTGCCAGCTTTGAGGCTCAAGGTGCATTGGCCAACATAGCTGTGGACAAAGCCAACCTGGAAATCATGACAAAGCGCTCCAACTATACTCCGATCACCAATGGTACCTCCCTCTCTGCTGCACTCCTGGACATGGGAATCCATAGTTTGAAAGTAGTTGCTTCAGCTCTTTGTGTTAGATTATTGTAACTGATTTTCCCTCCAAGGGCCTAACCTTGCCATTAACAAGCCCCAAATTCTCATGCCAGAGGTCTGAGAACTTTATGGGTTTGATCCTATCTTGTTGTGCTCAAGTCTTGTCTCTGTCATCCATGGTCTCCTACGAAGTCATTGCCCTAAGTTCATGCTAGGGGAGCCAGAAGGGAAGTCCTTGGATATCTTATACCTCAATATTGGCTCAATTTCTTGGGGAGGGGGTGCTGTCAGAGATTGTTATCTGAGGATGTGACATAGATTTCTCAGGGCACAATTTCAACTACTTTTTCAGCTTTAGGGTTTTTAGATACGTTTGTACCACAATTGAGCATGGGAGGGAGAGGGGTGAGCCTAAGCAGTGATGGCTGATTTCTGTCACGTCTGTCATGTGTCCCCCAGTACCTCCAGAGGTAACTGTGCTCACGAACAGCCCTGTGGAACTGAGAGAGCCCAACGTCCTCATCTGTTTCATCGACAAGTTCACCCCACCAGTGGTCAATGTCACGTGGCTTCGAAATGGAAAACCTGTCACCACAGGAGTGTCAGAGACAGTCTTCCTGCCCAGGGAAGACCACCTTTTCCGCAAGTTCCACTATCTCCCCTTCCTGCCCTCAACTGAGGACGTTTACGACTGCAGGGTGGAGCACTGGGGCTTGGATGAGCCTCTTCTCAAGCACTGGGGTATGGACCAACACTCAATCTCCTTTATTTCAAGGTTTCCTCCTATGATGCTTGTGTGAAACTCGGTGTTCTAACTGTTTCATAATATCTGCTACAATTAATATAACTGTCTTCTCCTACTATCCAGCTTCCTCCTTTTTTTAATCTGTAATTCTCTCAATACATCATTCTGTCTTCCTCTTCTTTAATCTATGAATAACTTTTCTCTTTATTAAGAACCCTACATTTGATTCTGAGTGTTACTTCTTCCCACACTCATTACCATGTACTCTGCCTTATCTCCCCCCAGAGTTTGATGCTCCAAGCCCTCTCCCAGAGACTACAGAGAACGTGGTGTGTGCCCTGGGCCTGACTGTGGGTCTGGTGGGCATCATTATTGGGACCATCTTCATCATCAAGGGAGTGCGCAAAAGCAATGCAGCAGAACGCAGGGGGCCTCTGTAAGGCACATGGAGGTGAGTTAGGTGTGGTCAGAGGAAGACATATATGGAGATATCTGAGGGAGGAAAACAGGGTGGGGAAAGGAAATGTAATGCATTTAAGAGACAAGGTAGGAACAGATGTGGCTCTTGATTTCTCTTTGCTAGAATGAATCAGACATTGGTATCATCTGGTATCCCAAAGCTTCAGGGTCTGTCATCCCTTTCTATAGACGGGCACCTTGATCACGGCTCCAGTCTTAGAAATCATCTCCAGTACCTAAAACCATTGTTTCACATTAGAATACTGAGTCTAGGGATCTAGAAAATACATTAGAATATGGAGTCTAGGGATCTAGAAAATACTGAGTCTAGGGATCTAGAAAAATAAGCCTCAAGATTTGGGCACATCCTAGCTTGTATTTCCTGGGGCAGGTCATCAGTTCAGAAGCATTTCCAGATCCTGGCTCCTTTCAGGTTAGGGTCAATTCATTGCATGAAATGGGAATCTCTTAGAGGCCAATGCCTGCTTTTGCTTCTTTAGTCTCAAATGTAGTATGAGAAACTCTAAAAAAAGGTAAAGCATGGTTGCTTATTATGTTCAGTTGGAGAGTAGGAACTAACTGTATACAGTTAGTTCATGTTGGAAAGGTTAGATGAACATTGAAAGAATTTTGCAAAGTCAAAGGATTAAGAGAGAAGAGGAAGGAATCTGAAGCAAGGAGCTCAAAACGGATCTTAAATTCCTTGGTAACTATGTGTGTCTTGCTATAGGTGATGGTGTTTCTTAGAGAGAAGATCACTGAAGAAACTTCTGCTTTAATGACTTTACAAAGCTGGCAATATTACAATCCTTGACCTCAGTGAAAGCAGTCATCTTCAGCGTTTTCCAGCCCTATAGCCACCCCAAGTGTGGTTATGCCTCCTCGATTGCTCCGTACTCTAACATCTAGCTGGCTTCCCTGTCTATTGCCTTTTCCTGTATCTATTTTCCTCTATTTCCTATCATTTTATTATCACCATGCAATGCCTCTGGAATAAAACATACAGGAGTCTGTCTCTGCTATGGAATGCCCCATGGGGCATCTCTTGTGTACTTATTGTTTAAGGTTTCCTCAAACTGTGATTTTTCTGAACACAATAAACTATTTTGATGATCTTGGGTGGAATTTTTGGTGTTTAAGCCAGTTCTTTGGGTGGCGGTGGGGGGTGGGGAGTCGGTCCTGGGGAATATATGTGATCCTTTCCCGGTAAAATATCTGAATGTTGAATTTATCTTATAAATTCTAGAATTCATCAGACATATCCCGGTTCATTTGGGCTTGGTCTCATTTTGTGCATCTGCAGGCAACCCTCTTGTTGTGGTCTAGTCCTCATCAGGAAAACCTAAAGTGGGGTTGGTTTGTTGGGAGATCTCTACTGAGCAATGATATAACTCTGTCTTCAGTAGAGTGAATCTGAAACCCCAAGGTATGGATCTCAGAATGCATGGGATAGAGGGGAGCAGATGGGGTTAGAGTGGGGAGAAGGAAGACAGAAGAATCCATAAACATTGCAGGATTTACATATCAACATCGTTCATTCCAGATTTAATGAGCAAAGAGGTTGGACACTGAAGACTGGCCTTACCCATTCTGTTAGACATAGTCTCAGATGCCTATTTTATTACCGAGAGAGTAGTCTGACTGATTCTTGAAACCACCTTATATTTGAAGATGTGTCTTTGAGTGGAAAAGCTGAGTGAAATTTGGGGTTGGGGAGAAAGATATGACATTAAGATGAGAGGAAGGAATATTTGAAACACAATGAACTGTTGCTCATTTGTCTATAAAACTATGACTTGATATTTATCTCTAAAATAGTTTCTAGAACCTGCCATAAACCACTAAGATAAACTATTCATGATAGTGTGGTAGACTGCAAATAAATGCTGTTGAAATGAGTTAGGCTTGGGTTTCATCTTGGCTGTATCATTTACTAGCTATGTTTTCACTGGTATCTTACTTAACTTAGCCTCACATTACTCATGAAAATACTGGTGTTAATTTTTACTACATTGAATTAATATCAGAATTAAAAGGAAAACGCAAGCAAAGTAATTAGATACATGCTTAGTGATAATAAAATATTGCAAAAAATTATACATTCTGTTGTTTTTCTCAAAATTTCTATAGACTGATGATAAAAATCTAAGAGAAGCTAAACAAAACAAGGATAAACCAAAGCATCATGACATTCTAAGCCTTACTAATAAATAAGAAGTTTCTCGGCTGGGCACGGTGGCTCACGCCTGTAATCCAGCACTTTGGGAGGCCGAGGTGGGCGGATCACAAGGTCAGGAAATCAAGACCATCCTGGCCAACATGGTGAAACCCCATCTCTACTAAAAATACAAAAATTAGCCAGGCGTGGTGATAGGCGCCTGTAATCCCAGCTACTCTGGAGGTTGAGGCAGGAGAATCTCTTGAATCCGGGAGGCAGAGGTTGCAGTGAGCCGAGATCGCACCACTGCGCTCCTGCCTGGCAACAGACTGAGACTCCGTCTCAAAAAAAAAAAAAAAAAAAAGTTTCTCTACTGTTGGTTCAGAGAATCAAAGCAGAATCTTGAGACTACTGATGGTAGAATAGGTACGAGTGTCTTTCTTACATGACTACAAACTTTATTATAAAATAAATAGCTTAACACAGAGAATACACTAAAACTTAGACAAGCATGGATTAAGAAAGCAAAAAGTAAACCCATATACTACCATGTAAGAAAACCATTTTTGGCCAGGTGCGGTGGCTCACGCCTGTAATCCCAGCACTTTGGGAGGCCGAGGCGGGCGGATCACGAGGTCAGGAGATCGAGACCATCCTGGCTAACATGGTGAAACCCCGTCTCTACTAAAAAAAAAAAAAACAAAAAATTAGCCGGGTGTGGTGGCGGGTGCCTGTAGTCCCAGCTACTCGAGAAGTTGAGGCAGGAAAATGGCGTGAACCCAAGAGGCAGAGCTTGCAGTAAGCCGAGATCACACCACTGCACTCCAGCCTGGGCGACAGAGCGAGACTCCATCTCAAAAAAAAGAAAAAAAAAAAAAAAAAAAAAAAAAAAAGAAAACCATTTTAATAGACTTTTATTTTTAGAGCTGTTTTAAGCTAACAGAAAAATTGCAGAAATTGTATACAGAGCTCCCCCACCCCCAGTTTCTACAATGCTTAACATCCTGTATTAATGTGGTACACTTGTTACAATTGATGAACCAATACTAATAATTATTATTAACTAAAATTCATAGTTATACGAGGGTTCACTCTGTATTACACAGTTATATGGGTTCTGACAAATACATAATATCATATATCCACCATTACAGGATTAAACAAAATAGCTTCACTGATCTAAAAATGACCCAGGCTCCATCTACTCATCCTTCCTTCCTCCCTCTGAGCCATTGGCATTCTCTGAGCTATTTACTAGTGTTTTGCCTTTTTCAGAATGTCACATACTTGTAATCATACAGCATAGAGCTTTTTCAGATGAGATTCTTTTGCTTAGCCATATGCATACAGGTTTCCTGCGTATATTGTCATAGCTTGATAGCTTATTTTTCTTTAATGTTAAATAATACTCCATTGTATAAATGTACTATGGTTTATTTACCCATTAATCTATTGAAGGACATCTTGGTTGCTTCTAATTTTTGGCAATTATGAATAAAGCTGCTATAAACATCCATGAACAGATGTTTGTGCAAACACAAGTTTTCCACTTTGGATAAATACATAGAAGTGCAATTGCTGGATCATATGGTAAGAGTATGTTTAACTTTGTTAGAAACAACTAGAATATCTTCCAAAATGGCTGTATCATTTTGCATTCCTACCAGCAATGAATGAGAGTCCCTGTTTTTCTATATCCTTGCCAGCATTTGGTATTCTGGGGTTTGGGATTTAAGCAAGAAAGCCATTTTAATATTTTTTTATTTTAAAATAATTATAGATTCAGGGGAAATTGCAAAGACAGTATAGAGACATTCTGCATACGCCTTCACCCAGTTTCTCCAAATGTTTATATTTTAAGTAATTATAGCACAGTAGCAAAACCAAGAAAATACCTTGATACAATGTGTATGTATAGTTTTATGCATATGTCTTATCACATTTGTAGATTCATGTAACCACCACCACAATCAAGCACAGAGCTATTCCATATCACAGAGATCTTCATCATGCTTCCCTTTATAGCCAAATTCCCCCCACACAATCACCTTAACAACTTAAAACCACTAATTTCTTTGCTATTAATCTCTAGAATAGTGTCATTTTGAAAATACTAGTTAAATGGAATCATGCAGTATGTGACTGGTGTTTTTCACTTAGCATAATACCCATGAGATCCATCCAAGCTGCTGCATATATCAACAATCTTTTTTTTTTTTTTATTGCTAAGTAGTATTCCATGGTCTAAATGCAGCACAGTTTGCTTAACTATTTGCCTATTGAAGGACATTTTGGCTGTTTCTAGTTTGGGGTCACTATAAATAAGGCTGTTTTGAACATGTGTTTAAGGTTTTTCTATGAGCATGAGTTCATGAGTTTTCATTTCTCTGGTATAAATGTCTGGGATATAATTCATGGGCATATGGAAATATATGTTTAGTTTTTCAAGAAACTGCCAAACTTAGCCAAGTATGATGATGATGGCTTATACCTGTAATCCCAGCACTTTGGGAGGCCAAGGAGGAAGGATAAATTGAGGCCAGGAATTTGAGGCCAGCCCCAGCGTCTACACTTTTTTTTTTTTTTTTGAGACAGAGTCTCTCTCTGTTGCCAGACTGGAGTGCCGTCATGCGATCTCGGCTCACTGCAACCTCCGCCTCCCAGGTTCAAGCAATTCTTCTGCCTCAGCCTCTCGAGTAGCTGAGACTACAGGTGCACACCACCACGCCCAATTAATTTTTGTATTTTTAGTAGAGACAGGGTTTCACCATGTTGGCCAGGATGGTCTTGACCTCATGACCTCGTGATCCGCTTGCCTTGGCCTCCCAAAGTGCTGAGATTACAGGCATGAGCCACCGTGCCCGGCCAAATGTTTTGTTTTGTTTTTGTTTTTTGTTTTTTGTCAGGTGGATGAGGTGGCATGCCCCTATAGTCACAGCTACTTGGGAGGCTGAGGTGGGAGGATTGCTTGAGCCCAGGAATTTGAGGCTGCAGTGAGCCACTGCACTTCAGCCTATCTGACAGAGCAAGATCCTGTCTCCAAAAGGAAGGAAGGGAGGGAAGAAGCAAGGAAGGAAGGAAGGAAGGAAGGAGAAAAAAGAAGGGAGGGAGGGAGGAAGGAAGAAAGGAAAGATGGAAGAAAGGAAGGAAGGGAGGGAGGAGAAAGAGAAAGAAAAAGAAGGAAGGAAGAAGGGAAGGAGGGAGGGAAGGGAGGAAGGGAGGGAGGGTGAAAGGAAGGAAAGAAGGAAGGAAGGAGAAAGAAAAGGAAGAGAGAAAGAGAAAGGAAAAGAAGGAAGGAAGAAGGGAAGGAGGGAGGGAAGGGAGGAAGGGAGGGAGGGTGAAAGGAAGGAAAGAAGGAAGGAAGGAGAAAGAAAAGGAAGAGAGAAAGAGAAAGAAAAAAGAAAGAAGAAAGAAAGAGAGAGAAGGAAAGGAAAGAAAGAAGGAAAGGAAAGAAAGAAAAAGAAAAAGGAAGGAAGGAAAGAAGGAAGGAAGGAAGAAAGAAAAAGAAAGAAGGAAGGAAAGAAAGAAAGAAAGAGAAAGAAAGAAACCGATAAACTATTCTCTAATTGCTTTGTGGGAGTATGGCCACTTTCATCATATTGATTTTTCCTTTTTTTTTTTTTTTTTTTTTTTTTTTTGCGATAGAGTCTGGCTCTGTCGCCCAGGCTGGAGTGCAATGGCGTGATTTCGGCTCACTGAAACCTCTGCCTCCTGGGTTCAGGTGATTCTCCTGCCTCAGCCTCCCTAGTAGCTGGGATTACAGGTGCACACCATCACGCCTGGATAATTTTTTTGTATTTTTACTAGAGATGGGGTTTCACCATGTTGGCCAGGTTGGTCTCAAATTCCTGACCTCAGGTGATTTGCCTGCCTTGGCCTCCGGAAGTGCTAGGATTACAGATGTGAGCCACCGCGCCCAGACAATATTGATTCTTCCTTTTCCATGAACATGATATTTTTTTCCATTTATTTGTGTCATCTCTGAGTTCTTTGAGCAGTGGTTTGTAGTTTTCCTTGTAGAGATCTTTCTCCTCCCTAGTTAGCTGTATTCCTAGGTATTTCGTGTGTGTGTGGCAATCGTGAATGGGATTACGTTCCTGATTTGGCTCTCAGCTTGACTGTTGTGGTGTATAGGAATGTTAGTAATTTTTCCACATTAATTTTGAATGCCAAGACTTTGCTGAAGTTGTTCATTAGCTTAAAGAGCTTTTGGGCTGAGACTATGGGGTTTTCTTGATATAGGATCATGCCATCTGCAAATAGGCATAGTTCAATTTCCTCTCTTCCTGTTTGGATGCCTTTAATTCTTTTTCTTGCTTGTTGCCCTGGCCAAGACTTCCAATACTATGTTGGATAGGAGTAGTGAGAGAGGGTATCCTTGTCTTGCGCTGGTTTTCAAGGGGAATGCTTCTAGCTTTTTCCCATTTAGTATGGTATTAGCTGTGGGGTTGTCACAGAAGGCTCTTATTATTTTAAGTTATGTTCACTTACTACTCAGTTTATTAAGAGTTTTTAACATGAAGGGATATTGAATTTTATCAAAAACCATTCCTGCATCTATTGAGCTAATCATGTGGTTTCTGTCTTTAGTACTGCTTATGTAATGAATCAAATTTATTGATTTGCATATGTTGAACTAACCTTGCATCACCAAGATAAAGCATACTTGATCATTGTAGATTAGCTTTTTAATGTACTGCTGGATTCAGTTTGCCAGTATTTCGTGGAGGATTTTTGCATCAATCTTCATCAATAATATTTGCCTGAAGTTTTCTTTTGTGTGTGTGTCTGCCAGGTTTTGGTGCTGATCCTGATGATGCTGGCCTCATAGAATGAGTTAGAGAGGTATCCCTCTTCCTCAATTTTTTGGAATAATTATAACAGGAATGGTACCAGCTCTTCTTTGTACATCAGGCAGAATTCAGCTGTGAATTATTCTAGTCCTAGGGGTTTTTTTTGTTTGGTAGTCTACTTATTACTGATTTAATTTCTGAGATCATTATCAGTCTGTTCAGGGATTGAATTTCTTCCTGGTTCTGTCTTGGGAGGGTGTACGTGTCCAGAAATTTATCAATTTCTTCTAGTTTTCCTAGTTTATGTGCATAGAGGTGTTTTTAATATTCTCTGATGGTTATTTGTGTTTCTGTGGGGTCAGTGGTAATATCCCCATTGTAATTTCTGAGCGTGATTATTTGAATCTTCTCTCTTTTCTTCTTTATTAGTCTAACTAGAGGTCTTTTTTTTTATTAATTTTTTTTTAGGAAACCAATTCCTGGACTCATTGATCTTTTGAGTGTTGTTTTTTTTTCTGTCTCAATCTCCTTTAGTTCAGCTCTGATTTTGGTTATTTCTTGTCTTCTGCTAGCCTTGATATTGGTTTGTACCTGGTTGACCAGTTCTTTTAGTTGTGATGTTAGGTTGTTAAATTGAGGTCTTTCTAACTTTTTCATGTGGGTATTTGATGCATAAATTTCCCACTTAACACTGCCTTAGCTGTGTCCCAGAGATTCTGGTATGTTGTATCGTTGTTCTCATCAGTTTTAAAGAACTTCTCAATTTCTTCCTTAATTTCATTATTTACACAAAAGTCATTCAGGAGCAGGCGGTTCAACTTCCATGTAATTGTAGGGTTTTGAATGAATTTCTTAGTCTTAATTTCTAATTTGATTGCACTGTTGTCTGAAAGATTGTTTTTTATGATTTCAGTTCTTTTGCATTTGCTGAGGAGTATTTGACTTCCGATTATGTGATCAATTTTAGAGTACATGCCATGTGGTGATGAGAAGAATGTGTATACTGTTGTTTTGGTGTGGATAATTCTATAGATGTCTATCAGGTCCATTTGATTCAGTGCTGAGTTCAAGTCCTGAATATCTTTGTTAATTTTTTGTCTCGATGATCTGTCTAATATTATCAGTGAGTTGTTAACATCTCCAAGTATTATTGTGTTGGAGTCTAAGTCTCTTTGAAGGTCCCTAAGAACTTGCTTTATGAATCTGGGTGTTCCTGTGTTGGGTGCTGATCTGGTTTGGCTGTGTTCCCATTCAAATCTCACCTTGAATTGTAGCTCCCCCAATTCTCACATGCCACGGGAGGCACCTGGTGGGAGGTAATTGAATCATGGGGGCGGGTCTTTCCCATGCTATTCTCATCATAGTGAATAAGTCTCATGAGATCTGATAGTTTTATAAAGAGGAGTTTCCCTGCACAAGTTCTCTTGTCTTGTCTGCCACCATGTGAGATGTGATTTTCACCTTCCATCATGATTGTGAGGCATCCCTAGCCATGTGGAACTGTCAGTCCATTAAATTTCTTTCTTTTGTAAATTGCCCAGTCTCAGGTATATCTTTGTCAGCAGCATAATAGACTAATAGAGGAGAGTGGAGCACTGCTGAAAAGATACCTGAAAATGTGGAAGTGACTTTGGAACTGGGTAACAGGCAGAGGTTGGAACAGTTTGGAGGGCTCAGAAGAAGATAGGAAAATGTGGGAAATTTTGGAACTTCCTAGAGACTTGTTGAATGCCTTTGCCCAAATTGCTGATGGTGATGTGGACAATAACGTCCAGGCTAAGGTAGTCTCAGATGGAAATGAGGAACTTGTTGGGAACTGGAGCAAAGGTGACTCATTATGCTTTAGCAAAGAGACTGGTGACATTTTGCCCCTGTCCTAGAGATTTGTGGAACTTTGAACTTGAGAGAGATGATTTAGGGTATCTGGCAGAAGATATTTCTAAGCAGCAAAGCATTCAAGAGGTTACTTGCGTGCTGTTAAAGCCATTCAGTTTTATAAGGGAAGCAGAGCATAAATGTTTGGAAAATTTGCAGCCTGACAATGCAATAGAAAAGAAAATCCAATTTTCTGAGGATAAATTCAAGCCGGCTGCAGAAATTTCATGGGTAACGAGGAGCTGAATGTTAATTATTAAGACAATGGGGAAAATGTCTCCAAGGCATATCAGAGGTTTTTTTTTTTTTTTTCCAGAGTCTCGCTCTGTCGCCCAGGCTGGAGTGCAGTGGCATGATCTCGGTTCACTGCAAGCTCTGCCTGCCGGGTTCATGCCATTCTCCTGCCTCAGCCTTCCAAGTAGCTGGGACTACAGGCATCCGCCACCACACCTGGCTAATTTTTTGTATTTTTAGTAGAGACGGGGTTTCACCATGTTAGCCAGGATGGTCTCGATCTCCTGACCTCATGATCCACCCACCTCGGCCTCCCAAAGTGCTGGGATTACAGGCGTGAGCCACCATGCCTGGCCATGTCAGAGGTCTTGATGGCAGCCCTGCCCATCACAGGCCTGGAGGCCTAGGAGGAAAGAGTGGTTTCTTGGGCTGGGCCCAGTGTCCCCGTGCTGTATGCGGTCTTTGGACTTGGTGCCCTGTGTCTCAGCCGCTCCAGCTGTGACTAAAAGGGGCCAACATAGAGCTCAGGCCACGGCTTCAGAGGATGCAAGCCCCAAGCCTTGGCAGCTTCCATGTGGTGTTGAGCCTACAGGTACACAGAAGTCAAGAGTTGAGGTTTGGGAACCTCCACCTAGATTTCAGAGGATGTATGGAAATGCCTGGATGTCCAGGCAGAAGTTTGCTGCCTGGGCAGGGCACTCATGTGGAACCTCTGCTAGGGCAGTGCAGAAGGGAAATGTGGAGTGGGCACCCTCACACAGAGTTCTCAATGGGGCAGTGCCTAGTGGAGTTTTGAAAAGAGGAACACCATCCTCCAGACTCCAGAGTGATGGATCCACTGACAGCTTGCATCATGCACTGGAAAAGCTGCAGACACTCAATGCCAGCCCATGAAAGCAGCTTGGAGGGAGGCTATATCCTGCAAAGCCACAGGGGCGGAGCTGCTCAAGACCAGGGGAACCCACCTCTTGTATCAGTGTGACCTGGATGTGAGATACGGAATCAAAGGAGGTCATTTTTTGGAGTTTAAGATTTAAGTGCTCTGCTGGATTTCAGAGTTGCATGGAGCCTTTAAGTCCCTTCATTTTGGCCAGTTTCTTCCATTTGGAATGGGTACATTTATTCAATGCCTGTACCCTCATTGTGTCTAAGAAGTAACTAGCTTGCTTTTGATTTTACAGGCTCATAGGCAGAAGGGACTTGCCTTGTCTCAGATGAGAATTTGGACTGTGGATTTTGAGTTAATGTAGAAATAAGACTTTGGGGTACTCTTGAGAAGGCATGATTGGTTTGAAATATGAGGGCATGAGATTTGGGAGGGGCCGGTGGTGGAATGATATGGTTTGGCCCTGTCCCCACCCAAATCTCACCTTGAATTGTAGGTCCCATAATACCCACATGTTGTGGGAGGGACCTGGTGGGAGGTAATTTAATCATGGGGTAGGTCTTTCCCGTACTATTCTTGTGATAGTGAATAAGTCTCATGAGATTTGATGGTTTTATGAAGGGGAGTTTCCCTGCCCAAGTCCTCTTCTCTTGTCTGCTGCCATGTGAGATGTGCTTTTCACCTTCCACCATGATTGTGAGGCCTCCCCAGCCATGTGGAACTGCGAGTCCATTAAACCTCCTTCTTTTGTAAATTGCCCAATCTCAAGTATGCCTTTATTAGCAGCATGATAATGGACTAATATAAATGAATATATATTTAAGAAATGGATAAATTCCTGGACACATACACCCTCTCAAGACTGAACCAGGAAGAAACTGAATTCCTAAACAGACCAATAATGAGTTCTGAAATTGAGTCAGTAATAAAAAGCCTACCAACCAAAAAAAGCCTGGGACCAGATGGATTCACAGCTGAATTCTACCAGATGGATAAAGAAGACCTGGTCCTATTCCTATTAAAATTATTCCAAAAAAATTGAGGAGAAGGGATTACTCCCCAATTCATTCTGAGGCCAGCATCATCCTGATACCAAAACCGGGCAGAAACAACAAAAAAAGAAAATTTCAGGCCAATATTCTTGATGAACATAGATGCAAATATCCTTAACAAAATACTAACAAACCAAATCAAGCAGCACATCAAAAGCTAATGTACCACGATCAAGTAGATTTTACCCCTGAGATGCAAGGTTAGTTCAACATATACAAATCAACAAATGTGATCCATCACATAAAGCAGAATGAAAGGCAACAACCACCTGATCATCTCAATAGATGTGGAAAAGGCTTTTGATAAAATTCAACAGCACTTCATGTTAAAAATGCTCAGTTCACGCCTGTAATCCCAGCACTTTGGGAGGCTGAGGTGGGCAGATCACAAGGTCAGGAGATTGAGACCATCCTGGCCAACATGGTGAAACCTTGTCTCTACTAAAAATGAAAACTTAGCTGGGCATGGTGGCATGCGCCTGTAGTCGCAGCTACTCAGGAGGCTGAAGCAGGAGAATCGCTTGAACCCAGAAGGCGGAGGTTGCAGTGAGCCAAGATCCCGCCACTGCACTCCAGCCTGACAACAGAGAAAGACTCCATCTTAAAAAAAAAAAAAAACCTCAGTAAACTAGGCATTGGAGGAACATACTTCAAAATAATAAGAGCCATCAATGACAAAGCCACAGCCAACAACATAGTGAATGGGCAAAAGCTGGAAGCATCACTCTTGAAAATCAGCAGGAGACAAGGATGCCCTCTCTCACCACTGTTTTTTTTTTTTTTTTTGGAGACAGAGTCTTGCTCTGTTGCCAGGCTGGAGTAGTGCAGTGGCGCGATCTCAGCTCACTGCAATCTCCGCTTCCCAGGTTGAAGCAATTCTCCTGCCTCAGCCTCCCAAGTAGCTGGGACTACAGGCACATGCCACCACGCCTGGCATTTTTTTTTTTTTTTTTTTTTTAGTAGAGACCAGGTTTCATCATGTTAGCCAGGATGGTGTTGATATCCTCACCTCGTGATCCACCCACCTCAGCCTCCTAAAGCACTGGGATTACAGGTGTAAGCCACTGTGCCCGGCCCTCCCTCACCATTCTTATTCAAGATAGTATTGGAAGTCCTGACCAGAACATCAGGCCAGAGAAAGAAATAAAGGGCATTCAAAGAGGAAGAGTGGAAGTCAAACTATCCCTGTTTGCAGATGATATGATCCTGTGTCTAGAAAACCCTAAATCTCCAAATCTTGGCCCAAAAGTTCCTTTAGCTGATAAACAACTTCAGCAAAGTTTCAGGATAAAAAAAATCAACATATAAAAATCAGCAGCATTCCTATACACAAAGAACACTCAAGCTGAGACCCATATCAAGAACATAATCCCACTCACAATTTCCACACACACACATATTACCTAAGAATACAGCTAACTATGGAGATGAAAGATCTCTACAAGAAGAACTACAAAACACTGCTCAGAGAAATCAGAGATGACACAAACAAATGGAAAAAATTATCATTCTCATGGATAGGAAGACTCAATATCATTAAAATGGCCATACTGCCCAAAGTAATTTATAGATTCAATGCTATTCCCATTAAACTACCACTGACAGTCTTCACAGAACTAGAACAAACTATTTTAAAATTCATATGGAAGCAAAACAGAGCCTAAATAGCTAAGGCAATCCTAAGCAAAAGAATAAAGTAAGAGTTACTATGTTGCTCAACTTCAAACTATACTATGAGGCCACAGTAACCAAAACAGCATGGTACTGGTACAAAAGCAGACACACAGACAAATGGAACAGAATAGAGAGTCCAGAAATAATGCTGTACAACTCCAACCATCTGATCTTTGACAAAGATGACAAAAACAAGCAATGAGGAAAGGACTCCTCATTCAATAAACGGTGCTGTACTAACTGGCTAGCCATATGCAGAAGACTGAAGCTGGACTGCTACCTTACACCATATACAAAAATCAACTTAAAATGAATTAATGACTTAAATGTAAAACCTAAAATCATAAAAACCCTGGAAAGTAACCTAGAATATACCATTCTGAACATAGGACTTGGCAAAGATTTCATGGCAAAGACACCAAAAGCAATCACAACAAAAACAAAAATTGACAAATGGGACCTAATTTAACTTAAGAGCTTCTGTGCAGTAAAAGAAACTATCGACAGAGTAAATAGAAAACCTAGAGAATGGAGAAAATGTCAAGTCCTAATTCGGGAAAAGGAGTCAGGCTGGTGGGACCAGAAGAAAGCAAAGAGGTAAAACAAATAAGCTGTAAGTCTGTCTTTCCTCATGGTCCAGAACACACAGCCCTCCTGTGCAAATAACTCACAGTCTTCCCGTGCCCAACTATCATCAGACATCTATAAACTAGCTCACTGCAACCCTGGCATTGTTGCTACTGCACATAGCACTCTGCAGCCTAAGAACCATCCTATAAAATCTCCTGCAAGCCTTTGTTTCCGTGCAGTCAGCTTCTCTTCTGCTGGCCTGCCTGCCTGTTGCCTCCTTGCAACATATTTTCCTACTTTCTCTAATAAATCTGCTTTTTTTTTCTACCTACAACTGTCTTGGTAAATTCTTTTACCCTGGCGCCACTGGCCCAGATAGTTATTGCTCACCTGCAACAGAAAATATTTGCAAACTATGCATCTGACAAAGGTCTAATATCCAGAATCTATAAGGAACTTAAACAAATTTACAAGAAAAAAACCAAACAACCTCATTAAAATATGGGCATGAACAGACATGAACAGACACTTTTCAAAAGAAGACATACATGCAGCCAACAAACATAGGAAAAAATTCTCAACAGCACTAATTATTAGAGATATGCAAGTCAAAATCACAATAAGATACCATCTCATACCAGTGTGAATGGCTACTATTAAAAAGTCAAAAAATAACAGATGCTGGTGAGGTTGCAAGGAAAGAGAATGCTTATACACTGCTAATAGAAATGTAAATTAGTTCAGCCATTGTGGAAAGCAGTGGGGTGCAAAGAACTAAAAAGAAAATTACCATTTGATTCAGCAATCCCATTACTGTGTATATACCTAAAGGGATATAAACCATTCTACCATAAAGACACATGCACACATATGTTCACTGCAGCACTGTTCACAATAGCAAAGACATTGAATCAACCTAGATGCCCATCAACAGTGGACTGGTTAAAGGAAACGTGGTACATATACACCATGGAATACTATGCAGCCATAAAAAGAATGAGATTCTGTCCAGAATTGGTTCCTTCCGGTGGGTTCTTGGTCTCGCTGACTTCAAAAATGAAGCCATGAACCCTCGTGGTGAGTGTTACAGTTCTTAAAGATGGTGTGTCCGGAGTTTGTTCCTTCAGATGTTCAAATGTATCCCAAGTTTCTTCCTTCTGGTGGGTTCGTGGTCTTGCTGATTTCAGGAGTGAAGCCGCAGACCTTTGCTGTGAGTGTTACAGCTCTTAAAGGTGGTGCATCTGGAGTTGTTCATTCCTCCCAGTGGGTTTGTGGTCTCGCTGACATCAGGAGTGAAGCTGCAGACTTTCACAGTGAGTGTTACAGCTCTTAAAGGTGGTGCGTCCTGAGTTGTTCGTTCCTCCTGGTGGGTTTGTTGTCTTGCTGGCTTCAGGAGTGAAGCTGCAGACCTTAGCAGTGAGTGTTACAGCTCATAAAGGTAGTGCGGACCCAAAGAGTGAGCAGCAGCAAGATTTATTGCAAAGAGTGAAAGGACAAAGCTTCCACAGTGTGGAAGGGGACCTGAGTGGGTTGCAGCTGCTGGCTGGGGTGGCCAGCTTTTATTCCCTTATTTGGCCCTGTCCACATCCTGCTGATTGGTCCATTTTACAGAGTGCTGATTGGCACGTTTGCAAACTTTTAGCTAGACACAGAGCACTGATTGGGGCATTTCTACAGAGTGCTGATTGGTGCGTTTACAAACCTTTAGCTAGATGCAGAGTGCTGATTGGTGTGTTTTCACAGAGTGCTGATTGGTGCTTTTACAATCCTTTAGCTAGACAGAAAAGTTCTCCAAGTCCCTGCCCAACCCAGAAGCCCAGCCAGCGTCACCTCTCAAGATCATGTCCTTTGCAGGAACATGGATGGAGCTGGAGGCCATTATCTTATGCAAACTAACATAGGGACAAAAAACCAAATACCACATGTTCTCACTTATAAGTGGGAACTAAACATTGAGTACACATGGATACAAAGAAGAGAACAGTAGATATGGGGACCTACTTGAGGGTGAAGGATAGGAGGAGGGAAAGGATCAGGAAAAATACCTGTGAGATACTATGCTTATTACCTTGGTGATGAAATTATCTGTACATCAAACACACCTGACATGCAGTTTACCTATAGAGCAAACCTGTACATGTATCCCTAAAACTAAAATAAAAGTTTAAAATAAAAAAGAAAGAAATTAGTTGAATACTTTTTTCTCAGTGAAATGCTTATGCAAACAAATATCATACACTTTTATTTCAGAGATTTCGGGATCATAAAGGGTGTGTACCAAGGACAGTTTGTGACTAGCCTCCTCACATTATCCCTCACATTATCATTTCTCATCTCTTCTCCCCTAAACTTTCATGCCAACAGCAGACTAGGTAAGTTTCCCTTTCCTGCATCTCTAATGATTCAGGGCGATTAAGGTCTCCTTCTCCAGCCCCCTGCACCACCATTCCCACCCCCATCTCATCTCATCTCTGCCCAGAAGGCTGGAAGGACAAGCTGAAGCTCCCTCCTGTGTTCCCTCCCACAGCAGACACACAGACAAATCCCCACTCTACACTCACCTACCTGAGCCCTCCTAATTCCTTCTGGCTCACAATCCTACACCCTCCCACAGGGTGCTTACGTGTGCATACACACACACTCCCTGTTCTCAGGGACCCTACTGCCCTCCCCCACCCGCCTTGCTCACCTCGCCTGTGCATGGAGAAGCTCTCAAAAACCCCGTAGTTGTGTCTGCAGTAGGTGTCCAACAGACCCCGCAAGCAGCCCAAGAGGTTCTTCTGGCTGTTTGCATTCCTGGACTCTTCTCCGCTCCAGCTCCGCCACCGCCCGGAACTTTCTGACGTCCCTATGGAAGCGCGCATACTCCTTCCGGTGTGGACGAGTCTCTGCACAAACCGCATCCGCTCTGTCCCATTGCAGAAATAGCACTCGTGTTTAATCTGCTCCAAGAAATGTGCCGCAGGGACATGAAGAACCGGTTTCTTGGGCGGCATCCTAGGAAAAGAGTGATGGCTATGCCCACAATCAGCAGGGCGAGGGGCGGAACACCTTGACTGGCCCCCACCAGCCACCCCCGACCACCTAGGGGTTCCTCTTCCATCTGCCTGAGGCGGAGGGAGGCTGCGAGGGGCGTGGAATACCATTTGGGATCCGCTACCCATTTCCGAGCTGAGCTGGACGCCTCTTTGCAAGGCTCTGGATCAGGATCACCTTCCTCATCACTGTCTCCTGCGCTTCCTCCTCCTGGGAGCCTCCATCCAAAAGACACTTCTGCTGCCTCCTATCATGCCACACTCTACTCATTCCTTAAACAAGACCCACTGCCTCCATTCTGTAAATGCTTCCTTAGTGCTTACCTTGTGTCTCATCTGTGCCGTCTCCTGGGAATCCAAACGGGAAAAATAGACCTCATCCCTCCGCTGGAGGAGCTTAAAGAGAAGTGAAATTGATGGCAAAAAACCAAACACGCAACACCTTATACAGGAACGAAAAATGTTAAGAGAAGTGTGGAGTTCTAGAAGAAAGAATAGGATGATCTAAATTACATTAGGGTGCCAGAGAAGGACTCTGAGAGTGACAGCTCAAATGTGACCTTACAGGTTTAGTGGGTGTGAGCCAGGGGGCAGAGTGGAGCCCGTGTGTGTCTCTGGACAAAAAGGGAGGCACATTTCAGGTAAGCATAATATCATGTACAAAAGCTTGAAAGAATTGATGAACTTCTTCAAGAAACCAGAAAAAAGTTCACTAAAGCACAGCATGAAGGAAAGGAGGGGAAAAGATTAAACTGGAGAAATCACAAGAAGGGAACAATTAAAATCATTGTCATGTTAGGATTTCGATTTATACTAAATGTAATGGGAAACAGTTGAAGAGTCCATGACCCCAACACAGGTCCACAAACTTTTTTTTTTGGACTTTCTAAATCCAGAAAACTCACGAATTCACTTGCTGTTGTTTTTAATTTGTTGCCGAAACTCATTTGGCAAATCTGATCTGAAGAGGTAAGGACTCAAAAGTGTCACAGAGCTCTTACTGGTGACATGTGCATCTGTAGTTTCAATATATATAAACATACAAACATACGTATGCATGTGTAAATACACACAGATTTCAAATACTGTGCATGTATATATTTTTGATGTTTTTGTATTTATGTTTAAATGAACTATGAAAAATAAAAAATAAAGAAAAATCCTTGTGTTTAATAAAATGAGATGAATAGAAAGCATTTTTAAAATAATAATTTTTTTTTTAAGTTCTGGGTACATGTGCAGGATGTACAGGTTTGTTACACAGGTAAACATGTGCCATGGTGGTTTGCTGCAGCTATCAACCCATTACCTAGGTATTAAGCCCAGCACGCATTGGCTCTTTTCCCTAATGTTCTCCCCAGCTCTGCCCTCCCCCAGCAGACCCCAGTAAGTGTTGTTCTCCTCCCTGTGTCCATGTGTTCTCATTGTTTAGCTCCCATTTATATGTGAGAACATGCGGTGTTTGGTTTCCTGTTTCTGTGTTAATTTGCTGAGGATAATGGCTTCCAGCTTCATCCATGTCTCTGCAAAGGACGTGATCTCATTCCTCTTTATGGCTGCATAGTATTCCGTGGTGTATATGTACCACAGTGAATAGAAAGCATCTTACATTATCAGTAGTATAAAATGTAGAATTACTGCAGAAATCTGAAGCATTTTACTGAAAAATATTTGGGATAGTCGTCACCATTTATGACTTATAATTACCAGTTGTTGAAAGTTAATAGAGATAGTAATTATCAAGAACACATCAAAATTTTGAAATAAACTGCATAACGCAAAAAAGTAAAAATGAAAATCTTGAACCTGCATTGATTGAATGGATTCATCAAGAAAGCAGTGAATTTATGCAACTGTCTAGTTTTTTTTTTTTTTTTTTTTGGCAATGAAACAAGCAAAACTAAGCCATGAAGAGCTGAACTAAGAGATAAATGTGTTTTAAAAGTGTGAGTCTAGAATTTTTAGAAGAAACACAATGTAAACCAGTGTTCTCAGCCTTGGCACTATTGACATTTTGGACTAGATAATATTTTCTTGGTGAGAGGAGCTGTCTACTAGGGTCCCTAGCTTCTACTTGTTACATGTCAGAAGAAACTCCTGGTGTGACAACCAAAAATGGCTCCAGACATTGCCAAATGTTCCCTAGGGAGTTGGGAGAGGGAAGGGAGGGACAGAGGGGTGGTGAACTATCCCTGGGTGAGACCCACTAGTGTAACCATCTGAAAAATCTATGGTTAAAAAGCCGCTATTAATTATGGAATATTTGAGATTTACACTGAAAACTCTGCCAATATTCTATCTATTTAAAATCTTGGTCCTACATAAAACTTAGGATTTTTAGGAATCTAGTCCCAGTGCAGAGCTATTTTTCTAGCAAAATTAATTCATTCAGAACCAAGGTTTACTGATTTATTTGCCTTCCCAGTCGCCAAGTCATATTCTTAATTTCTGTGTCACTGGTCCACTACTCACTGCCTCAGCTAATTCATTTTCTAACTTTCAGTTTCCTACTCCCAACAATACAAGGAGGCATCAAATTACCAACCTTGGACAGAGGCAGAACTCTCATTTCTGTAGTTAAGCCTTCTCAGAAGGGGAGTGCTATGGTTTGGCTGCGTAAGCATTTCAATCTTGTCTTGAATTGTAGCTCCCACAATTCCCACGTGTTGTGGGAGGGACCAGGTGGGAGATAGTTGAGTCATGGGGGCAGGTCTTTCCCCATGCTGTTCTCATGACAGTGAATAAGTCTTATGAGATCTGATGGTTTTATAAAGGGAAAAACCCTTTCGCTTGCTGTCATTCTTCTCTTGCCTGCCATCATGTGAGACATGCCTTTCACCTTCCGCTGTGATTGTGAGATCTCCCCAGCCACATGGAACTGTGAGTCTATTATAGCCCTTTTTCCTTATAAATTATCCAGTCTTGGGTATGTCTTTATCCGCAGCCTGAAAACAGACTAATACAGGGAGAAACTAAGAAGATGGCATTCTCTCATAGATAGTTTCCAAAAAACGAGCAAGTCCCCAGATTTTGCGTAGAGACTTTCACAAGCTCCCTTCACCCTTCAGAAATGATAGCAGAGAGGAGAGCACTTTGGATGAGATAAGGTCTATCTTATTATTCCTAAATTCTCTGAGCACCTTCTTCACAGATAAGAATGTTGAAAAATAAAAATATGTGAAGTTGCCGTCACTGTAGCTTGCATAGTTAGCACTGCAGTCTATGCTCATGTGCCAAGCTTAGATTGCCATATTTAGCAAATAAAAATAGAGGGTGCCTAGTTAAATTTGGATTTCAAATACATTATTGTTGTTTATCTGAAGTTCGGATTTAACTGGGTATCCTGTACTTTATTTGGCAACCTTAGCCCAACTTGCTAATAATGCTCAGAAGGAGTGAATTTAATACTTCTTTGTTTTCTTTAACACATGCCTATGACAGCGTGCACATAGGGAAGTTTTCAAATGATAAATGCAAAATGAATGAAAGTTTCTCCTTTACATTGGGACTAGCAGACCTTGCATCTCTCTCCCACCCTGAGACACACCCTGTACATAAGAAATTCTATCAATAATTCAGACTCAGTCTAGTCACTATTCACTAATGGTGGTTGTAAGCTCAGGCTCTAGAATCAGGAAATCTGAATTTAAACATGACCCCTTCTACTTGGGTTAATTTTAACAATCATTAACCTTTAAATATATATATAAAATGGATCCAACAGTAATATATTCCTCACAGGATTATTGTTGAGGGTAAAACTAAGCAGTGGCTCTTCTTAGTGCTGATAATATAATAATCACTCTAATATATTACCATTTTATTTTTACAATCCCTATAAAGGAAAGCTTCATTATTTTTCTATTCCTTAACTTCTAAAGCAAGTAACGTCTACATCATGATTTGGCAATTGTCTTTTATTAATTTAGCACTAATTACCATTTTAAACACATGAGGACAGAAACACTGGTTTATATATAATAATTCACATGCCTAAACCTCACACAAAAGGAGATTGCTGATATCGAAGAGAGGGACTTCATATATACTCAGATTTAAATTGCAATCGGATTTCTAGCACTAACTTTGTGACAGTGGGTAAGTTCATTATACCCTTTGAATTTTAGATTCCAAAGATGTATATGCTTTTAAATACCAAAGATATGATAGGATAGGTATTAGATTTCCATACCAAAATTTATAAGCCTGGTAATTAGTCACTGCAAAATATTACAATACTCCACGCTAATACAGACCAGATTTGCTTTGTTTATTACTCCATTCTCATCACCCAAGGTAATAACTAGTATATTCTAAGTCACTAATAAATATTGGCTGTATGAACTAATAGCCTTTTGCATAACCTGTCACCACTGTACACAGGGGCCTTCTAGTGCTTCACTGCCAATGACTGAGCATCTGTCTCTGGTTCACAGGTCATCCAGCTTCTTTGTTCATTTTCTTTAGATCCAGCTGGCTCCCTGATCCCAGAGCATAGTCTTTCCCTGAGGCTCGCTACTCAAAAGAGTCAAACTTCATCCAGCCCTCACTTCTTCCACCCGCTCTTCAACTGGTCCAATCCACTTTCCATCCTGGATACTCCACTGACTGCAAATACCAACTCCTCCAAACCCAGTACTTGCGTCTCTGTCACGTTCTTACTTCACTCACCTGTCAGTGGTTCTCACCACAACTGGCCACTCCCTCGCCTCGAAAAAATCATTTTTCTTTGATTCCCATGCATCACATTCCTTGGGTTTTTTTTCTCCAGCATCTCTGGGGAATCTTCTCAGTCCCTTATGCTGTCCTGTGGCCCTCTGATATTTTTTCTACACAAAAATCTATCTCCCTCTGCAACCTCTTCCACTTCCCTGGAATTTAACACAGAACCTGCATCGACCCCAACATAAATACCTCCAGCCCTGGCCTCACCCTGAACTCCTCTCTTATATTCAGTTGACTTCCTGATTGCTTCATGTGAGTTCAAAAATCATCTCAATTTTAATAAACACAATTGTCATTTCTAATCACCCACTTCAAATCATTTCCTCCCATATTCTTCCCTATTTCAATAAGCAGCACCACCATCCACCTATTTATCAAGGCAAAATACTTAGAAATAAGTTACATTTAATCCATTAACAAGTCATGCAAAAAGACATCCCAAGTCTGTTCACTTTATCTGGATCTGTCTTTGTCACTACTACACTACATGAAGCCAAAAATTTGTCTTCCCTGGAGAATTCTGCTGTTCTCCACTTGTGAACCCCAACAATCCAATCTCCACATAGTAGCTAGAATTATTTTTAAAATTGAATATTATCGGGGGACCTGCCCGGATAATCACGTAGTTTCTTTTCTATTTTCCTAAGCATCGGCCGGCTTGAGAAATAAAGGGACAGAGTACAAAAGAGAGAAATTTTAAAGCTGGGGGAGACATCACACGTTGGTAGGATCCACAGTGCCCCACAAGCCACAAAAACCAGCAAGTTTTTATTAGGGATTTTCAAAAGGGGAGGGAGTGTGCGAATAGGTGTGGGTGACAGACATCAAGTACTTAACAGGGTAATAGAATATCACAAGGTAAGTGGAGGCAGGGCGAGATCACAGGACCACAGGACCGAGGCGAAATTAAAATTGCTAATGAAGTTTCAGGCACCATTGTCATCAATAACATCTTATCAGGAGACATGGTTTTGAGATCAACCGATCTGATCAAAATTTATTAGGTGGGAATTTCCTCTTCCTAATAAGCCTGGGAGTGCTATGGGAGACTGGAATCTATCTCACCTCTGCAATCTCGACCAGAAGAGATAGGTACGCCCCGGGGGGGCCAGTTCAGAGACCTACCCCTAGGTGCGCATTCTCTTTCTCAGGGACATTCCATGCTGAGAAAAAGAATTCAGCAATATTTCTCCCATTTGCTTTTGAAAGAAGAGAAATATGGCTCTGTTCTGCCTGGCTCACCGGCAGTCAGAGTTTAAGGTTATCTCTCTTATTCCCTGAACAATTGCTGTTATCCTGTTCTTTTTTCAAGGTGCCCACATTTCATATTGCTCAAACACACATACTGTACAATTTGTGCAGTTAATGCAATTATCACATAGTCCTGAGGCGACGTACATCCTCCTCGGCTGATAGGATTAAGAGATTAAAGTAAAGGCAGGCATAGGAAATCACAAGGGTATTGATTGGGGAAGTGATAAGTGTCCATGAAATCTTTACAATTTATGTTTAGAGATTGCAGTAAAGACAGGCATAAGAAATTACAAAAGTATTAATTTGGGGAACTAATAAATGTGCATAAAATCTTCACAATCCACATTCTTCTGTTCTGGCTTCAGCCGGTCCCTCTGTTTGGGGTCCCTGACTTCCCGCAACATAATATTAATGGACTCTCCTTGTAACCTCCCAGGAGCTTCCAATATGTTTAAATAAAACTTAATTCCTTACTATGGCCACCAAGGCCGAATATGATGCAGCTCCTGACTTTCTCTCTCTCTTACCTCATCTTCTGCCACTCCACCCCTTGCTTTCCATCCTTCAGCCCCTCTAACCTTCTTTCTGTCTCTTCAACACAGCACACGCCTTCCCATTCCTTGGCCTTTCCCCTTTTCTGTCTGTCTGGAACACTTGTCCCTTAGATCTTCACATGGCTGTCTTATTGTTCTTGTCTCAGCTAAATGTGAGCTCTCCTCAGGGAGGGCTCCCAAACTACCTGTGAATCCAATGTGAAGTTGGGTGAATCCAATTCTCTCTGTCCTATCACCCTGATGTCTTTTTTTAAAGGCATTATTGCTCTCTGAATTTTTCTTTTTTGTTAAATATTTATTGGGATATTGTCTGTCTCCTCTGGTATTGAGTTCCATGAGAGTAGGGATCTTTTTTATCCTATTCAAGTAGAAATCTCTGAGCCTAGAACAGAGACCAGAACAAAACTTTTGCTCAGAAACATACCTGTGGTCTAAATGAATAAACCGAAGTTCTGGGAACTGATCACTCTGGGTATTCTAGAAAGCAGAAAAGGGCTCAAGCTCCTGCACCCTTTCATTCTAATGACATGCTATATCCCTTCTCCTCCCTGTGAGAAATTAAGGCAAACTTCTTTTCTCTCCTCTTTCTAGTTGGAAGAAGGATTCACAGATAAGGAAACAGTGATTGTAAGAAAGAAAAAAATTTTCATTAAGAATTACCTCTTTTCTGCCGGGCGCAGTGGCTCACGCCTGTAATCCTAGCACTTTGGGAGGCTGAGGCAGGCGGATCATGAGGTAAGGAGTTTGAGAACAGCCTGGCCAACATGGTGAAACCCCGTCTCTACTAAAAATACAAAAATTACCTGGGAGGTGGAGGTTGCAGTGAGCTGAGACTGCACCATTGCACTCCAGCCTGGGCAACAGAGCGAGACTCCATCTCAAAAAAAAAAAAAAAAGAATTATCGGTTTTTTTTTTTTAATAGTTTAAGTTCTAGGGTACATGTGCACAATGTGCAGGTTTGTTACATATGTATACATGTGCCACGTGGTGTGCTGCACCCATTAACTCTTCATTTACATTAGGTATATCTCCTAATGCTATCCCTCCCCCCTTCCTCCACCCCACAACAGGCCCCGGTGTGTAAAGTTCCCCTTCCTGTGTCCATGTGTTCTCATTGTTCAATTCCCACCTATGAGTGAGAACATGCGGTGTTTGGTTTTTTGTCCTTGCAATAGTTTGTTGAGAATGATGGTTTCCAGCTTCATCCATGTCCCTGCAAAGGACACGAACTTATCCTTTTTTATGGCTGCATAGTATTCCATGGTGTATATGTGCCACATTTTCTTAATCCAGCCTATCATTGTTGGACATTTGGGTTGGTTCCAAGTCTTTGCTATTGTGAATAGTGCCACAATAAACATACATGTGCATGTGTCTTTATAGCAGCATGATTTATAATCTTTTGGGTATATATCCAGTAATGGGATTGCTGGGTCAAATGGTATTTCTAGTTCTAGATCATTGAGGAATCGCCACACTGATTTCCACAATGGTTGAACTAGTTTACAGCCCCACCAACAGTGTAAAAGTGTTCCTATTTCTCCACATCCTCTCCAGCACCTGTTGTTTCCTGACTTTTTAATGATCTCCATTCTAACAGGTGTGAGATGGTATCTCATTGTGGTTTTGATTTGCATTTCTCTGATGGCCAGTGTTGATGAGCATTTTTTCATGTGTCTTTTGGCTGCATAAATGTCTTCTTTTGAGAAGTGTCTGTTCATATCCTTCACCCACATGTTGCTTTGGTTGTTTGTTTTTTTCTTGTAAATTTGTTTGAGTTTTTTGTAGTTTCTGGATATTAGCCCTTTGTCAGATGAGTAGATTGGAAACATTTTCTCCCATTCTGTAGGTTGCCTGTTCACTCTGATGGTAGTTTCTTTTGCTGTGCAGAAGCTCTTTAGTTTAATTAGATCCCATTTGTCCATTTTGGCTTTTGTTGCCATTGCTTTTGGTGTTTTAGACATGAAGTCCTTGCCCATGCCTATGTCCTGAATGGTATTGCCTAGGTTTTCTTCTAGGGTTTTTATGGTTTTAGGTCTAACATTTAAGTCTTTACTCCATCTTGAATTAATTTTTGTATAAGGTGTAAGGAAGGGATCCAGTTTCAGCTTTCTACATATGGCTAGCCAGTTTTCCCAGCACCATTTATTAAATAGGGAATCCTTTCCCCATTTCTTGTTTTTGTAAGGTTTGTCAGAGATCAGATAGTTGTAGATATGTGGCATTATTTCTGAGGGCTCTGTTCTGTTCCCTTGATCTATATCTCTGTTTTGGTACCAGTACCATGCTGTTTTGGTTACTGTAGCCTTGTAGTATAGTTTGAAGTCAGGTAGCATGATGCCTCCAGCTTTGTTCTTTTGGCTTAGGATTGACTTGGCAATGAGGGCTCTTTTTTGGTTCCATATGAACTTTAAAGTAGTTTTTTCCAATTCTGTGAAGAAAGTCATTGGTAGCTTGATGAGGATGGCATTGAATCTATAAATTACCTTGGGCAGTATGGCCATTTTCATGATATTGATTCTTCCTACCCATGAGCATGGAATATTCTTCCATTTGTTTGTGTCCTCTTTTATTTCATTGAGCAGCAGTTTGTAGTTCTCCTTGAAGAGATCCTTCACATCCCTTGTAAGTTGGATTCTTAGATATTTTATTCTCTTTGAAGCAATTGTGAATGGGAGTTCACTCATGATTTGGCTCTCTGTCTGTTATTGGTGTATAAGAATGCTTGTGATTTTTGCACATTGATTTTGTATCCTGAGACTTTGCTGAAGTTGCTTATCAGCTTAAGGAGATTTTGGGCTGAGACGATGGGGTTTTCTAGATATACAATCATGTCATCTGCAAACAGGGACAATTTGACTTCCTCTTTTCCTAATTGAATACCCTTTATTTCCTTCTCCTGCCTGATTGCCCTGGCTAGAACTTCCAACACTATGTTGAATAGGAGTGGTGAGAGAGGGCATCTTTGTCTTGTGCCCGTTTTCAAAGGGAAAGCTTTCAGTTTTTGCCCATTCAGTATGATATTGGCTGTGGGTTTGTCATAAATAGCTCTTATTATTTTGAGATACATCCCATCAATACCTAATTTATTGAGAGTTTTTAGCATGAAGGGTTGTTGAATTTTGTCAAAGGCCTTTTCTGCATCTATTGAGATAATCATGTGGTTTTTGTCGTTGGTTCTGTTTATGTGCTGGATTACCTTTATTGATTAGCATTTGTTGAACCAGCCTTGCATCCCAGGGATGAAGCCCACTTGATCATGGTGGATAAGCTTTTTGATGTGCTGGTGGATTCGGTTTGCCAGTATTTTATTGAGGATCTTTGCATCGATGTTCATCAGGGATATTGGTCTAAAATTCTCTTTTTTTTTCGTTGTGTCTCTGCCCGGCTTTGGTATCAGGATGATGCTGGCCTCATAAAATGAGTTAGGGAGGATTCCCTCTTTTTCTATTGATTGGAATAGTTTCAGAAGGAATGGTACCAGTTCCTCCTTGTACCTCTGATAGAATTCGGCTGTGAATCTGTCTGGTCCTGGACTTTTTGGTTGGTAAGCTATTAATTATTGCCTCAATTTCAGAGCCTGTTATTGGTCTATTCAGAGATTCAACTTCTTCCTGGTTTAGTCTTGGGAGAGTGTATGTGTCGAGGAATTTATCCATTTCTTCTAGATTTTCAAGTTTATTTGCGTAGAGGTGTTTATAGTATTCTCTGATGGTAGTTTGTATTTCTGTGGGATCGGTGGTGATACCCCTTTATCATTTTTTATTGCATCTATTTGATTCTTCTCTCTTTTCTTCTTTATTAGTCTTATTAGCGGTCTATCAATTTTGTTGATCTTTTCAAAAAACAAGCTCCTGGATTCATTGACTTTTTTGAAGGGTTTTTTGTGTCTCTATTTCCTTCAGTTCTGCTCCGATCTTAGTTATTTCTTGCCTTCTGCTAGCTTTTGAATGTGATCGCTCTTGCTTCTCTAGTTATTTTAATTTTGATGTTAGGTTGTCAGTTTTAGATCTTTCCTGCTTTCTCTTGTGGGCATTTAGTGCTATAAATTTCCCTCTACTTTAAAGCTAGAATTAGTTTCTAAAACTGAACATGAATTGACTCTCCTTGTAACCATCCAGTAGTGTCTCACATCTATTTAAATAAAATTCAGGCTGGGTACGGAGACTAATGACTGTAATCCCAGCAGTTTGGGAAGCCAAGGCAGGCAGATTACCGGAGGTCAGGAGTTCGAGACCAGCGTGGCCAACATGGTAAAACCCTGTCTCTACTAAAAATACTAAAAAATTAGCCTGGCATGGTGGCAGGCGCCTGTAGTCCCAGCTACTCGGGAGGCTGAGGCAGGAAAATCACGTGAGCCCAGGAGGCAGAGGTTGTAGTGAGCCGAGGCCACGCCATTGCATCCAGCCTGGGCAACAAGAACGAAACTCCATCTCAAAAAATAAATAATGAAATAAAAAAATGAAAATAAATAAAATAAAATTCAAATTTCTTACCATGGACATCAGAGCCTAATATAATGAGGCTCCTGACTTCCTCTCTGCTTCCTACCTCATCCTCTGCCTCTGCATTTCCTTGAATGCTATAGTTCAGTGTCTCTAGCTTTCTTTCTGTCCCTGCACGTAATTTCCCACACCAGGGCTTCCTGCTCCCCCTGCCCCCACATTCTGTCTCCCTGGAACTTTCGTCCCTTAGATCTTCACATGGCTCTCTACTTATTTTGTTGTCTCAGCTGAATGTCACTTTCTCAGGCAGAGCTTTCTAAACACATGAGCTAAAGTTGGGTGAATCCATTTCTCTCTTTTCCACAAACCTGATGTCTTTTCTTCAGTGCACTATTACTCTCTAACGTTATCTTCTTTGTTAATTGCATATTGGGTTAATGTCTGTCTCCTCTATTGTTGTGTAACTTCCATGAGAGTCGGGACCCTCTCTATCTTAATCAAATACAATGATTTGAACTTGGAATGGAGCCGAGTACACAGTAGCTGCTGAGAAAAATAAGTGTGGTTTACATGAATAAACCAGGGATCTGGGAACTGATCACTGTTTGGATCCTGGAAAGCAAGAAGGGGCTCAAACTCCAGCACTCTTTCATTTTGATGTCACACTAGACCCCTTCTCCTCCCGGTGTGAAATACAGGCAAAGTTCTTCTTTCTCCTCCTTCTAGTTGTAAGAATTCACAGATAAAGATTAACAGTGATTTAAGAAATAATAAATTTTTAAATTAAGATTCATCTATTTTTTGCCTGGGTGCGGTGGCTCAAACCTATAACCCTAGCATGTTGGGAGGTCAAGGCTGGAGGATTGCTTGAGTCCAGCAGTTTAAGACCAGCCTGGGTAACATAGCAAAGTCTCATCTCTAGCAAAATTACAAAAATCAGCTGGGCATGGTTTCCTGCCTGTAGTCTCCACTACTCTGGAGGCTGAGGAGGGAGGCTCGCTTGAGCCTGGGAGGCAGAGGTTGCAGTAAGCCTAGATCATAACACGGAACTACAGCATGGGTGACAGAGCCAGGCCTTGTCTCAAAAAAAGGAAAAAATCTCTTTCAATGGATCTCATAGTGCTCTGGGTCTGTGCAAGCTTTAGGAATTTCTGGAAATGATGACAACATAGCTGGGGAAAAATAAAAACTGGAGGAAGAGGTAAGCAGACATGGCTAATTAAGGAAAGCTGAGGGCATAATGGGTGAACCTATGAAATTTAAGACAAGACCCCAGTAAGACAATGAGTTCCCAGGACTTGCTCATTGACTTTCAGCCCTATGGGATGTGAACAATGTCCACATTGTCTCTATAACCCCACACAGTATATAGTTTGAACATTATTAAATTTCTGATATTTGACTGTTTTTGACTTACAAAAATAGAATTTCATATAATTTATCCTACGTTAGTTGAATATCTTCTTGTTATGTCTAGTTAGAGCATGTAGGACATGTAGGAGAAATTTCTATAGAAAGGTTAGAAGAGATTCGTAATAAACACTAAGCTGGGCCAGGTTTTCCGAGGATGCCTTAAGTTCTTTAGGCACGAAAGAACACCCCAGAGATGCTCTTTATCTGTAGGGTGACTCCAAGTACTAAAGATCTTAGCTTCAGTTCCAGGGATTTTTCCCCATAAGAAAGACAGAGCACTAAGTATAACTTCTGTCAGAGAACCTACATACACTACAGGGATATAGGCTTTATAAACATTGGAGTTAGAAAGAAAAAGAAAGGAGATAATGGGGAGGCCATTGGTACATCCTCACATTTGAGGAAGAGGGGCCAACACCAAAGTTCCTGTGGAGGACATAACCCAGGATCCTCTAGAAGAGACCCTTTGAATTCCCTTGACTCCCACAAAATTTTCAGTAAAAACGTCATTTTGTCTGACGTAAGTCAACATAATAAAGGGAAGTGCCGTATGGGGAAATTATTTTAGCATCCTTATTTCCAAATCCTCTAAACACCCTGAGGACATGTGATGCAAAGGTTTTATTGGTGGAGATTTGAAAAGAAATGATCTGTACGAAGGCCCCTTACACAGTCTCATGGACTGTGTCATGAGCAAGTAGTCAAGCTCCTTTCGTGGAGGAGATAATTTGGGATCCAATAATACAGATGCACAATCTCTGACCAAAAAGTCACAAAGTCTTAAGGGACATGGCCTGGGCACAATGTTAACAAAACTCCCTATTTTCCCCACCCCATAGTAGCTCAACACCCACAATGTGCACTTATATCCGGTGTCCCCAGCCAAAGCCAGTGGGAAGCTCAGCACCATCAGTGTCACTGTCAGCGCTGCCATGCGGGAGCCTCCAGGGAGCTTCACACACCATGCTGGAGAACAGGAAAGGACCAGGGGCCAGAGGAGGAGGCAAGTCTTACTCAGGAAGAACTATGAACCCCTCCACCCACATTCCAAATTATGGGGAGGAGGTTACTGACTTCCTTGCTCCTGGGTTGGGTAATCTCGTGTTGGAGAACCAATCAGCATCTGAGTTCAATAGCATCATCAGTTGCTGGTCAGAGATGCTGTATGAAGGTCCTCTTCTGAAACAGAATTTCCTTCTTTAAAGGATTGTTTTTAAATTAGTACTTGAAAGATTTGATCCAGTTGCATGTAAAACACTTTAATTGGGTCCGATTGTGAGCCAGCTCTGTGCTGGTCAGTGATGTGTTCATAAGTTTGAGCCTTGTAAGAGCATTCATTTCCCACTTAACAAGACAACTGTTTGCAGAAGTGAGTGTGTGAGTGTGTTTAGGAGTAAAGGAGATGGAAGGAACATGGTTGTAAATCCGGAGACATTTAAACTGGTCCTTATTGCACCATATCTTAATGTTGTAGATTTGGGAAAATTATTTCATGTCTCACAGTTGAAATGAAGGCACTGTGATCTTTCAGGTCTTTCGATACTGGAAAATGCTGTGATTCTGTGGACGCCTGAAGGAGCAGCAGCCCCGGGTATCTGATAATATGACAGAATGACAGCTATTGACTAGAGAGCTTAATCCGTACCTGTTTACAGGTAGGGATGTCTTTAATAAGTTAAAGGAAATTGAAAGTTTGTTAATAATTTAATCTGAGTAAGAATATCTTTTTCAAGTGTGTCTCCTGATGCTGCCCCCAGGTTTAGTGGCCCCTCCAGAACACACACAGGCAAGGGGCTAACAGGGGCCACCTATGTGCAATGGAGGGTCTGAAGGTGCCTTTGTATGGCATTTACCCTAACAATGTGATAAGGTCAACTGTGCAATCCAAGTATTCATGGGTCTGAGAGATCGATCGAAGACTGTGAAAGTTAGCTGTTCATAGAACAACTCTTTTTTTTTTGAGACGGAGTCTGTCTCTGTTGCCCAGGCTGGAGTGCAGTGGAGCGATCTCAGCTCACTGCAACATCTGCCTCCTCGGTTCAAAGATTCTCCTGCCTCAACCTCCCAAGTAACTCTGACTACAGGCACTTGCCACCATGCTTGGTTAATTTTTTGTATTTTTAGTGGAGATGGGTTTCACTGTGTTAGCCAAGATGGTCTCGATCTCCTGACCTCATGTTCTTCCTGCCTCGGCCTCCCAAACTGCTGGGGTTACAGGCGTGAGCCATCGTGCCTGGCCACATTATGTTTTAAAATAATGAATATTTTATGTGAAGAGTGTTCAATCCCTCATTCTTGGTTCCCATTATGATTTCCTCATTTGATTGAGGCTATAGCACTTTATATTATGTTTCTCTTGTTTTATCATAAGGGAAGATAAAAGACGACTTTGCTAACTAATACATTTCAGAATATTCAGGAAAGAGAACACTAGGGAAAACTATGAATTACATCAGTTGATGTAACTATGTAATATTAAACATATTATTATACATTTAGATAATTACTATGCTTTTTATTAATATAAATATAACATCTAAGATTCAGAATGGACTTCAGAATACAACTATGCTTATAAAGTTCTGCATTAATTCACATGCTACCACATAGGCACTCATTTGTCTTTTTTTTTGTTTGTTTGTTTGTTTGTTTGTTTTGAGATGGAGACTCGTTCTGTCGCCCAGGCTGGAGTGCAGTGGCGCGATCTCTGCTCACTGCAAGCTCAGCCCCCCAGGTTCATGCCATTCTCCTGCCTCAGCCTCCTGGGTAGCTGGGACTACAGGCGCCCGCCACAACTCCCGGCTAATTTTTTTGTATTTTTAGTAGAAACAGGGTTTCACCGTGTTCGCCAGGATGGTCTCAATCTCCTGACCTTGTGGTCTGCCTGCCTCGGCCTCCGAAAGTGCTGGGATTACAGGCGTGAGCCACCGCGGCTGGACTAAAGTCTGTAACCTGTCTTTATGGAGAACTACTTTTGAGGCCGTACACTTCTTTCAGTAACAATATTGTCTAAGTAATGGTATGGCAAAGTTGTTTCTACCTTTTCTGGAGCTATTTTGACATTCCATTTAGTTAAAGCCTACTTTGTTTCTTAGAATAACCGATGTAAGATTTGATCTGTAGGAGTGGCCAAAAGAATGTCATCCATAAAATGAATGATGTAAGCAGTAGGAAACATATTTCGAGGCTCCTTTAATGCCTGTCCTACAAAATGCTGACATAACGTAGGACTGTTAAGCATGCCTTGGGATAAAACTCTCCATTGATAGCAAGAAACAGGTTCTTTTTGATTAATAGAAGGCACAGAGAGGGCAAATCGAGGCTTATCCTTCTTGTGTAATGGTATAGTGAAGAAACAATCCTTAAGATGTATTACTACAAGAAGCCAATCTCTAGGAATGACCACTGGAGTTGGCAAACCTTGCTGTAATGGACCCATTGGTTCAATTTGTGCATTAACTCCAAACATGCAGCAGTCACCACCTTCCGGACTTTTTTGGAATAACAAACACTGGTGAATTCTGGGGGCTTACTGACTCCTCTACATGTCCTGTGTCCTGTTGTTCTTATACTAGCTGCTGAAGTTGTGTCAGCTTCTCCTGAGATAGGGGCCATTGATCCACACATACAGGTTTGTCACTGGCCATTCTAATGGTAAGGCAGAGGGTGGAGGAGAAATATCAATGACCCTCATCAGAAATCCTGACGTCCTAGCCCTCTTCTATCTGTTTTTTCCAGTTATTGATGTTGGGTTAGCTTTTCCTCGTAGGAATTTCCCTAAACCTTTCCCACTCTGATATCCCATGTCCTTCAACATTTTAAATTCTGGGTTATCAAAGTTTTCATTTGTAAGTCTCATATTCCATGCTGTAAGTAAGTCTCGATCCCATAAATTGATTGCCATATTTGCAACATAAGGCTGAAAAGTACATGGCTGTCCATCCGGACCAAGACAAGGTAAAATGTCAGCACTCTGTTGAACACTTTTAGCTGCTCCTACTCCCACTAGGGATGTGGAGGTTAGTCTGAGAGACCATACTGGGGGTCAGTCCTTACTGGATATTACTGACACTTCAGCTCCTCTATCCATAAGTCCTATGGGCTATGGGATGGGATAGATAGATTTCCCTTGTAGTTGTGCTCTCAAACCCTTTATTTCCTCGTTTCTCCTTTCGTGGAGAAGGATTTAATTTGCAGGGAATAAGCAACGACCGAGCAATATATTCTCCCAGTTCAAAAATGCAAAGATTTTCGACATTAAAACTACTTGAATTTCTCCTTCATAAATGGAATCAACTATTCCAGGGACTACAGTCATGCCTTGCAAGTTAAGGGGGCTTTTGCCTAAAATTAGTCCTATGTATCCTGTTGGTAAATATCCCCAAATGCCAGTGGGAACCTTGGTAGGTTTGTCTCCTCCAACTAATGTAGTTCTTTCTCTGGTGGGGATATCTAATCCTGCACTTCCTGGTGTTCCTGAGGTGAGGAACACCAGGAATCAATGTTTTTCCTGAGACCCATCCCTGAAGTGGGACTGTGGTCTGAACTGGAAATGCCCTCATTGCTTGAGGGGCCCGGGTCCACGCCCCCTTCTAGTTTCGTGACAGGTGGGTGCTGTTTTGATGAAATTTTGAGCGGCACTGATTAGCCTAGTGATTTCCTTTGTTACAGTGAGGACAAAGTCCTGGTGTTTTTTTCTGCTGGGTGGGGCACTGCATCGTAATGTCCTTTCTGTCCTGAGATCTGGCGGAATTCCTTTTTAAAATGTCCAGTTTTGGCTGGACACGGTGGCTCATGCCTGTAATCCAAGCACTTCGGGAGGCAGAGGTGGGCGGATTACAAGGTCAGGAGATCGAGACCATCCTGGCTAACATGGTGAAACCCCATCTCTTAAACAAATACAAAAAATTAGCTGGGCGTAGTGGCAGGTGCCTGTAGCCCCAGCTACTTGGGAGGCTGAGGCAGGAGAATGGCGTGAACCTGGGAGGAGGAGCTTGCAGTGAGCCGAGGTTGCACCACTGCACTCCAGCCTGGACGACAGAGCGAGACTCCATCTCAAAAAAAAAAAAAAAAAAAGTACAGTTTTTCCACGGTTATAACATTTTCCCATTTTAGGGTTTGACCCTTGGTTCCTTTTAGATTTGTCAACTGCTAAATTAGCCATTGCCTGCACTAATATTGTAGAGCAATGAAGCTCATTTCCCACATCTTGACAAGCTCTGAGAAAATTTCCCAAGTTTTTTGTACACCTCACAGGTGCCGATGCACGTTTACAATCTGCATTTGCATTCTCAAAAGCTAGAGTTAAGGTTAGCATCTCTGCAGCAGTGGTGTGATAAATCTGATGCTTCATTGCCTTCTATAGTCATGCAAGAAATTGTGCATAAGGTTCTTGTGACCCTTGCATGATATGTAAAAAGGATTGCACTGGGACTCCCTCTTCTGGAATTGTGGCCCAGTCACATTTAGCAGCCTGTGCACACTGCTGGCATTTGGGAGTGCCATTTGATGTTCCAGGTCTGAATAAGGGCCATTACCTAAGAGCATGTCCTCTGTAATGTCTCTGTGTCCAGCCACACAATTCCGTCTAGCCTGGTCTGCACACATTTCTTGCCAATTTAAATTCCATGTCAGGTATGCACTAGGAGACAAACAAGTGTGAGCCAAATTCTTTACATTGAAGGGTAGAAGGCGCACAGCACCAAATACAGATACTAGCAATCCTAAAGTGAACAGGCTCTGTACACCATTATTTACCACACTCCTTTCAATTCCTTCAACAACTTAAACTCTAGTGGAGTGTGTTCATGAATAAGCTGCTATGGATTATTTGGATCAGGCCTTACAGAAATAGGAAAAGTGCAAGGTCCTAAGGGCTCTCCAGCTATGGCAGCAAGGTGTAAAATTCTCTGTATTGGGGTCTCTATTTCTGCTACCGAAGGAGGCAGTACAGATGTTTCTGCTATTGGAGGAGGTGGTATAGGCCAATTTTTATCCTCCTTCTCCTGTTTTTTATTTTCAATTGGAGCTGTGGGTGGGACAACAGATTTTTTCAGATTTTTAGACTCAGAACATCACTCCTGCTGTCCAGCAGAATAAGAAGGAGATAATGGCAGAAGGACAGTATGGACTAAACTCCAAGTGGAGAAAATGGAAGGATCAACTTTGAGACCTTTTTACTGAGCCCGTTTTAATCCTTCTGCTCTGTCCCAATTTTCCATATCAAGAGTGCCTGTCTGTGGGAACCATGGGTTATGCATAATAACCTCCTGCAGCATTGTAGTTAATGTCTGAGATCTAACCTGAGCACCAGATTATTTCAACAAAACTTTAAGCAACTGCACATAATGTTTTTCTTCGATAGACAAATTCTGCCTCATGTTACTCTGATTCAGAAAACTTCCCATTCCCAATACTTCTTTAGAGCACTGACCTTATATTGCTCCCAGTACCTCTTTAGGGCACTGACCTTATATCAGCTGCCAGCAGACTCATCTCGGGATCCCCATTCATCTTGTCAAATTCAGTTCCTCTGCTCCACCAGATCTTCTTTGTTCACATTCTCATGTCCCTGTGTTTAGAAACCACTATGGTGTCGCCCTGTCGCTGTTTGAACATCACTATGCCATGGACCCTGTTGGACTGAACAGAGGAGGATGAACGTGGAAATAAAGACAAAAGAGTATATTTGGAAGAAGGGGTCAGGGGCACCTTGCTCTTTGTGAACAAAGGCCCTGAGCCTTGAGCTTCCTTTGTATTTACTGAGAAGAGATAGCAAGAAGGGGGTCGTTGTCGGTCTGCTGCTTGCTCCAGAGCAGCCTTCCAAGACTGCATTCCTTGAACAATAGATTCTAGAAGTCCCAGTAGATAACCTGAAGGAGCTCAGCGCCAGGGAGTGATTGCCCTCAGCAAACCTTCTGGTGGCCAGCACAGAGGAGAGTTTGCCCCTGCTCTGTATTCATGATAAACAGTTTGCTGTTTGATCATATTGCCTCAGTGGAAATTCTGAGTTGGTCATGATTCTCCAGCCTCTGGCTCTCTACACTGAATGGATTCAACAAGAAAGTGGTTGAATTTATGCAACTGTCTAGTTATTTATAATGAAACAAGCAAAAATTAGCCATAAAGAAGTGAATTGGGTGATGATTGTATAAAAGATGTGAGTCTAGGCCAGGCATGGTGGCTCTCGCCTGTAATCCCAGCAATTTGGGAGTCTGAGGCGGGCAGATCATGAGGTCAGAAGATCGAGACCATCCTGGCTAACACAGTGAAAACCAGTCTCTATTAAAAAAATACAAAAAAATTAGCCAGGCGCAGTGTCAGGCACCTGTAGTCCCAGCTACTCGGGAGGCTGAGGCAGGAGAATGGCATGAACCCAGAGGCAGAGCTGGCAGTGAGCCGAGATTGTGCCACTGCACTCCAGCCTGGGTGACAGAGCGAGACTCCATCTCAAAAAAACAAAACAAAACAAAACAAAAAGATGTAAGTCTAGACTTTTCAGAAAGAGCACAGTGTGAACCAGTGCCCTCAACCTCAGCACTATTGACATTTTGGACCAGGTAATTCTTTGTTGGTGATGGAGGCTGTTGTGTACATTGCAGGTTCTCTAGAAGTGTCCCTGGCTTCTACTCATTAAATATCAGAAGAAATCCCTGTTATGACAACCAAAAATTCCTCCAAACATTGCCACATGTTCCCCAAGGGTGATGGGAGGGAAGGGAGGGGTGGTGAACTATCCCTGGGTAAGAACCATGGGTGTGAACCATTTGAAAAAATCTGTGTTGAACAAGCCACTATTAGTTATGGAGCAGCTGAGAATTACTTTGAAAAACATCTGTTGAAAATCTTGGTCCTACAGAAAATGAAAATGTTGTAGAATTCTGGTCCCAATACAGTGCTATGTTTCCAGAAAATGAACTTGTGGAGAACCAAGATTTACTGATTTCCTTGCCTTTATAATCAGTCATCAAATCATATCATTTATCTTCCATAGCATCTTCTTTCTTAATTTCTGTGCCACTGGTCCACTAATTATCTGTAGTAATGAATCACAACCAGAGCCATTTTATTCCCATTTAATGCCCCAACTAACTCATTTCTCTCAGTCTTCCACTCCCAACAATACTAGCAGGCATCAAATTTCCAGCCTTGGCCAGAGGTAGAACTCTTGGTTTTGTAGTCAATTCCCCTCAGAAAGGGAGAAACCAAGAAAATGACATTCTCATACAGACAGTTTGCAAAAATGAGCAGGTCCCAGACTTTGAGTACGACCTTTGCAAAGCTCTCTTTGTCCTTTAGAAACGATGCCCTGGATCAAAAATGTCTGTCTTTTTATTCTTAAATTATCTAAGCACTTTCTTTACAGAGAGAAAGTTAAAAAATAAACATGTGTGAAGTCGCTGTCACTGTGGTTTGCATGACTAGCACTGTAATCCATGCTCATGTGTCCCAGTTAGGGTCAAAAGGTTTGGCAAATAAAACCAGAGGATGCCCACTTAAATTTGGATTTCCAATAAATTATGGTGTGTATCTGAAATTCAGATTTAACTAGGAACCTGTATTTTATTTGGCAACCTCAGGCCAACTTGCTAGTCAAACCTCAGAACAAGGAGTGATTTAATACTTCCTTGTGTTCTTCAACACATGCCCAGGAGAGACATATAGAACTTTTAAAATGATAAATGCAAAATGAATGAAAATTTCTCCTATACATTGGAATTAGCAGCCCTTGCATCTCTGCTCCCACTTCAAGAAACAACCTGATACATATGAATATCAGGAATTCTGTCAATAATTCAGACACAATCTGGTCACTACTCACTAATAATGGGCAGACTCTCAATCTCTAGAATCAGAGAATCTGAATAGAAACATAATCTCTTCTACTTGGGTCAATTTTTACTAACCAAAGCCTTTTTGTAATCTATCAAATGCATTTAATAATAGCATCATCTTCACAGGATTATTTTTAAGTGTAAAATTAAATAATGACTTCTTAGCACTGATCACATAACAAACACTCAAAAATATTTTCATTTTAATTTTTTATGATCCCTTTAACTGCAGCTCACATTATTTTTCTTATTCCTTGATTCTAAAGCAATTAGTATCTTCATCATGATTTTGCAATTGTTTTCTGTTCTTCTATTAGTTTCATAAAGAATTGTCATTCTGAAAACATAGGGCAGAAATACTAGCTTATGTCTAATAATGCAGTATACCTAAACAAACCTCACACAAAAGGCATCTGCTGACATAGGAGAAAGGGACTTTCTACATGCTCAGATTTAAACTGCAATCTGATTTCTAGCACTACATTTGGGATACTGGGTTTTACTTATATCTTCTCAATTTTAGATTCCAGAGATGTATATGTTTTTAAACACCACAGATAAAATAGGATCATTATTGAAATTGTATACTGAAAATCAAAGGCCTGGTACGCAGTCACTGCAAAATGTTATACGGCATGTACTGATGGAGACCAGATTCATTTTATTCATCACTCCATTCTCATGATTTAGAGTAGTAGCTGGCATATTCTAAGTCACTAATAAATATGGGCTGTGTGAAATATTGGCTGTGTGATGTTTTGCATGAACATTCACCACTGCACACAGGGACCCTCTCGTATTTCCTTGCCAATGATGACTGAGCATCTCTGGTTCACAGATCCTCCTGCTTCTCTTCAGCCTTTTTAGCCTTCTCCTTTAGATTCAGCTGGCTCCCTGAACCCAGAGCGCAGTCCTTCCCTGAAGCTCTCTACTCAGAACAGTCAACCTTAACCTCATCCTCACTTCTATTTGCTCTTCAAATGGTCCAATCCATTTTCCATCCTGGATACTCCATTGACTGCAAATACCAACTCCAGCAAACCCAGCACTTGCTTCTCTCTCACATTCTCACTTCACCCACTTTGTGATACTCATTGGCTTCTCCCTTCTTCTTGAAAAAAATCTATTTTCCTTGACTTACATGCATTGTGTTCTCTTGGTTTTTCTTCAACATCCCTGGGGCTCCCTCTCAGTCCCCTTTGCTGGCCTGTGACTTCTTCTTTTTTCTACACACAAGCTATTACCCTATGTATCCTCTTCCACTCCCTGGAATTTAACAGAGTACACGTATTGATGCCATCAACATAAACACCTCCAGCCCTGAACTCACCATGAGTCTCTTAAATTCCCTTGACCTTCTGATTGTTCCACATAAATGTCAATAAATCATTTCCAACCACCCACTTCAAATAATTTCCTCCCACAATTTTCCCTATCTCAATAAACAACACCACCATCCGCTTATTTGTCAAGACAAAATCCTTAGAAATAAGCTTGATTGTTCTATCCCCTTTACAGTAATCCATTAACAGGCTAAGCAAATTACATGCCGAGTGTGTCCCCAAGTTTAGTGGCACCTCCAGAACACACACAGGAAGGGGCTTGCAGGGACCACCTATGTGCAATGGAGGGTCTGAAGGTGCCTTTGTATAGCACTTACCCTAACAATGTGATAAGGTCAACTGTGCAATCGAAGTATTCAGGGGTCTGAGAGATTGATCAAGGACTCAAAGTCAGCTGTTGACAGAAAAACACTGCTGTAAAATAATTAATATTTTATGTGAAGAGTGTTCAATCCCTCATTCCTGGTTCCCATTAGGATTTCCTCATTTGATTGAGGTTATGGCCCTTTACTATTATGCTTCTTTTGATTTATCATAAGGGAAGATATAAGAAGACTGTGCTAACTAATACGTTACAGAATGTTCAGGAAAGAGAACCCTAGGGAAAAACTATGAATTACATCAGCTGATGTAATCATGTAATTTTAAACATATAATTCTACATTTAGATAATTATTATGCTTTATATTAATATAAATGTGACATCTAAGATTCAGAATGGACTTCAAAGTACAACTATACATATAAAGCTCTGCATTAATTCACACTGTACCACAGTTGAGATAGGCACTCCTTCCTTATGTGCCTTAGTGTTTCCAGGAGCAGGATTCTCACCATGCTGCAATAAAAATGCGCATTTGACTTTGTACTCAGAATTGTACTAAAAGCTTTCTATGCTTCATATTTTTATTTAATTCTCACATCAGCTCAGTAAAATAAACACCGTTTTCATGCTTACAGGTGGAGAGACTAAAACGATGGAAATAAAACAAATTTTGCCAAGATACACTAGTAAACAGTACACTATAGATTGAGCCAAATTATATACCTCTCAAGCTCAGCCATTAGATCATACTCCTTCAGAAAGAAGGGGAAAAGCAAAAGAAAAAGAAAAAAGAAACAAATTTGTGAAAAAAAGAAATTAATTGTGATAGTAGTAATCCAGGAAATCCAGCTAAGGTTCATGTTAGTATTTCAGGATAAAAGGGTGGTGATGCTGGCAGTGGCGAGCTGTCCAGAGTGGCCGGCTGCTGCGGGAAGTTGCAAGCGGTGGCGGCAGCAGCCACTGAGGGAGTAGTGGCCGTGGTGGGACCCTTGTGCCCCATATCCCCTGTGCCTCGCGTCACTGAGGCAGCTGACTGCACTGACCCCACTCTTGAACAGCCAGCAGGACCGCCTCCAGGCCCAGAGCCTTCACTCCTGCGTTGCTGCTCTCACCCTGCAGTTGTGGGGAGGGCATGGAGCTGGGGCCACCCTTCAGTGACCCGGGGTGGGACATGGGAGTGGCCTCACTTTGAGGACCCGGCCAGCGGCAAGGCCGCTCTCCCGCCCTGCCAAGGGCGCCCAGTTCCTGCGCCTCAGGAAGAGGCTCTGCTTGAGGCCGTCCAGGGTTTTGTCCCCGCGGGTGGCCACCCAGCCTGATGCTCCTGACAGCCAGGCCCGGGCTGGGATCTGTTCCCCAAGGTGCCTCCCCCGCCCCATCCAGGCGAGAAGGAGCCCCGGGCACCCTGAGTGCTAGCAGAATAACTTGCAGAGACATCACCCTTGCCCCACATGCTGGCCTGCGCCCAGCGAGGGGAGCTGCCCACCCCAGGCTGCCAGAAGGTGTGACAGGGGATACCTGCAGGCTCCACGGAATGGGTTGGAAACCCCACCCTCCCGGCCCTCCCCGCAGGCAACAGGATCCAGGCCTCTCTACACTCCACTCCCTCAAGGCTGAGAAGGCCCTCCTGTCCATGCAGCCTTGGGGGTGTCTGTTCCCACTTTCTGGCCTCTCCCTTGGCCTCACTCGGGTCCCAGGTGCCCACTCTGATCTCAGAGTGGAGTTGGGGCAAAGCCCCAGTGCTGTCACAGACTGGCTGGGTGTGTGCACGCTCAGGGCAGTGTTGACACACCAGCCTTTTGCCACCTCAGTCACAGGGAAGCCAAGGGAAGATGGGCATGTAATATTTGAAGTAAGTTTCTTATAGGGAGCATGTCGAAGAGTCATTGCTTTTCACTCTGGCATTTGTCTTTTTACACACTTTACATGTAATGCAGTTATTAATATGTGAGCTCTTATGACTGCCATCTGTTTTTTGTTTTCTTTTTTGTTTCCTTTGGTTTTTTCTTCTCTGGTTTCTTTTCCTATTTTCCAATGTGTTCCTTAAGCAATTTTTAGAATTCCATTTTTGAATCAATCTTTTTTTGGTGTATCTCATTGTATAGTTTTCGTGATTTATCTGTCTGTTAACATAACTTATCATAGTCTACTGGTGCTGACATTTTACCAATTTGACTAAAGTGTGGAAACTTTACCTCCTTTATATCCCTTTCCACTTCTGCATGTGTAATATATATGTTTTATTTTCTCTACTTGCATCAAAACCACATCTATCAATGTTGTAATTTTTGCCTCAACCATCAAGTTAATTTACAAAACTGAAGAAGTCTGTTGTATCTAACCATATTTTTACTCATTTGTTGTTTACTTTTTTCCCAATTGTCCAAGATTTCTTCCATTATCATTTCTATTCCAGTTAAAGCACTTCCTTTAGCCCTTGTTTTAACATAAGTCTCCTAGCATGAAATTCTCTTGATTTTCCTTCCTTTAAGTATGTCATGGCCAGGCGCAGTGGCTCACGCCTGTAATCCCAGCACTTTGAAAGGCCAAGGCAGGCGGATCCCATGAGCTCAGGAATTCGAGACAAGCCTGGGCAACATGGCAAAACCCTGTCTCTGCCAAAAATACAAAAAATTAGCCAGGCGTGGTGGTGTGTGTCTGTAATTCCATCTACTCAGGAGGCTGAGGTGTGAGGATCACATGAGCCTGGGACGCAAAGGCTGCAGTGAGCCGTGGTCGCGCCACTGCACTCTAGCCTGGGTTTTTTTTTTTTAGATGGATGAAAACTCCATCTAAAAAACAAAAAACAAACAAAAAAAGAAAAGTAAAAGGAAAAAAAAGTCATGATAGAACATTTTATAATAATGTTTTTACTGGATATACATTCTAGGTTAACATTCCTTTCAACCATTAAAATATCTTGTGCCACTTCTGTCTGGTCTGCCTGATTTCTAATGAGCAATCCACTGTCATTTAATATATTTTCTCCTGTGCATGAGATGTCCTTTCTCTCTTGTTGCTTTTGAGATTTTTTTTGGCATAAATTTCTTTGGATTTATTTTCATTTGGGTTTGCACAGATTCTTGAATTTTTACATTTAAGCCTTTGTCCAAATTTGGAAAGTAGTCAGTCTTCCTTCAAGCACTCTTTGGGCATCACCCATTTGTCATTTCCCTCTAAGACTCCAGTAACACAAATTTCATACCTTTTGTTATAATCTTACAGATTTATCAGCATGAAATCATACTAAATATTATGAAAAACTTTACAACATAAATATGCATGTAATAAATAATTCAAAATGTACAATGTACTGTGCATGTAATGAATAAATTATTCAAAATGTACAATGTACTGAAGCTGACAAATAACATAAAATAGGAACAGTTCCACATCTCGTAGAGAAAGTAAGTCCATTCTATAAAGCTTTCCCAAGACAAAACCCTAGGTTCATCTAGCTTCAGTAACTACTTAAAAATATTTAAGGAACAAACAACATTAACTTTATACAAACTTCAAACATATTTGAAAAAAGGAAAAGCACTTGCAATTACGTTTGATGAGATCTGTGTAAACTTTACTTCAAGACCTGAAGGGAACTCTATAACAAATAGGAATTAAGAGACCAATAACTCTTATGAGCCAAGTTCTTAAGGAAATATTAGCCAAGTGAATTCAGTGATATAAAAGATGGCTACTATATCATGACCAAGTGGAGGTTATTCCAGAAATGTAAGGTTGTTTGAGCATTTGAGAATCAGTTAGTGTGATTCATGACATTAACTGAAGGAAGGAGAATACACATGCAACCAACTGAATAGAGTCATGAAATACGATTTGACAGAATTCAGCACTTGGCCTTAATTTTCCCCCACTTTCGCTGTGCTCCTGCTCTCACCATGTGATACCCGGGCTCCCCTTTCCTTCCCCCATGATTGTTAGTTTCCTGAGGCCCTCACCAGAAGCAATTGCCAGCACCACACCTCCTGTACAGCCTGCAGAACCCTGAACCAGTGAAACCTCTTTTCTTTATGAATTACCCAGCCCCAGGTATTTCTTTCTGGCAATGTAAGAATGGACTAACATAATTATGCTCTATCATGGACAAATAGAAAACAAAACCAAGAAAATAATTTTATCAACTTCCTCACCTCTTTGCTTTTTTCTTCTACTTTTTTCAACTTAAATTTGCTTCTTTTTATTATTAAAAGTTTACACCTTTGATTTTTACATATTTATCCCTTTATAATACAGGCATTTAAAACTAAATATTTTTCTCTAAGGACTGCCTTGGTTGCATCTTGAAAATTTTTAAAATTCATTTTAATATTATTTTATTTAAAATTATTTTCTAATTTCCTTCTGATTTCCTCTTTGACAAGCCATAAATTATTTAGAAATGTATTATTTTAGTTCCAAAAATTTAGGCAGTTTTCTCAATCTTACTAATTTGTAATTTGATAAGATTGTGTTCAGAGAATATACTCTGTATGATTTTATTCTTGTAAAAGTACTGAGTCTAGTTCTATAGTCATAGTATTTGTTCTATTTCATGAATTATCTTTGTGCAATGCAAATAAATAAATATTTTGTAGTTATCAGATGTTGTCAATTTATGTCAATTATAAATGCCAACTAAGTCAAGATGGTTGAAAGTATTGTTCCTATCTTGATTTCCTTCCTGATCTTTGCATGAAGCTAGAGAGATGTTTGTTGTCTTCTGTCTACGTCCCTAGTTCCCACACAACCAGCATGAAGTCAGAAAAAGTTCTGGAAAGAGAATCAGCTGACAGGGTAAAGTAGATATGTATTATTCAGGGGCCCTCTATAGATTGTAATGCATCACACAAGCCCACGGGGCTATTTACAACTCAGCTGGTTTGTCCTTGCTCCCTCACAATCTCCCTTTCTCAGCCAGGCTTAATCTTCCACCCATGTTAAGATTCAGTAGATGGACCAAAGAATAAGAGTGGACACTTGTCCCTGCTCACCTAAGTGGGATTTGTTCATCTCTGGAATTTGGAATTTTTATACTTTTTGATCCACAGCTGGTTAAAATTTTAAAAATAAGATTATTTTCCAGTTTATCCATTTAGTTTAGTCTATATATCTTTTTGCTCTTATAGTAACAGTGACAATTCTTATAATTTTCCACCTCCTCACTGCATTGTGGTTTAATATTTTTTCCAATCTATGTTGATAGTCCTACATAATTTACTTAAAGCCCTGAATATTTTTCCTTTGTATGGCTATACCACAGTTTACCTTTCTTATATCTAAATGTAGAGAATGTTTCTTTTCTCCCCTGTTACATTTTTTTTATGTCATCATGGATATATGAGGAAGAATTTACTGAGACTGTAACAACCTAGAGTGGAAATACTGTATTATCCAAACTACTCACAGGGTTACACCAATATATGCTCACCGTGCCCCATACAGCACCAGATGTCATCCTGCAGTGTGCTGTCACTTCACATGCTGCATAGTTTTTAGGATGTACAAAATTTTTATAATCAAGACAAATTAATCAGTTTTTCTTTTTGAATCTGGAAATGTTTTTGTTATTCCAAACCGTGGCTCAACAAACGACCAATTTTATGTCTCCTTGGGCTCATGTAGGATTGTTCTTTAAGACGGATGTTAAAATGAGATTTTTGTTGTTTTCATCAGCATATAATAACTGTATTTTGAGTTTTAATAGACACTACTACACTGCCATAACTCAAAATCCTAATAATATGAGAGAGTCTATTCCCTTAGAATCTTGATTTTAAAACAAACTATTGTACTTGTCAATTGTGGAGTGGGAGAAATAGTTTATTACACTGCTGTTTGAATTTGGATTTTTCTGTTCATTGGTGCGTTTGAGCAAATATTTATATTTATTGGCTATTTGAATATTCTCTTCTATAGTGAGTCTATATCCTTTGCCCAATTATCTATGGCATTTCCATGAATTTGTTTATTGATTAGTTAACAATTTTTCTAAGAAAGTTAGCCCATTGTCTGCCTTACGTGATCAAATTTTTCCTGAGCGTCATATACTTCTTTTAATTTTGTTATTTTCTTCATGCAAATAAATCAGTAATCTTCTTCAAATATTTTTTCATTTGTATCTTTTGGATTTTATCTTGCTTACAAAGTCTTATTTTTAAAAAAAGAATTATTTTAACACGCTTACTAAAGCATAATTTACATACTACAAAATTCACTCATTGTGTTCACAGCCACGGTTTGGAATACTACAAAATTCACTCACTGTATATGTAAAATTGAATGATTTGAGTAAATTAATAGATTTGTGCAATTATCACAACAATCCACTTTTAGAACATTTCTGTCATGTCCCAAATTTCTCTATTTATAGTTAAGTCCCACTGAGACCCCAAACCCTAGGCACCCAGTGATCTGCTTTTGTGTCTATAAATTTACCTTTTCTAGATATTTCAAGTAAATGAAATCATATGACATGTAATCTTTCGTGTCCAATTTCTTTCACTTAGCTAACATTATTGAAGTTCACAAGTTTTGTAGTATGTATCATCATTTTGTGTTTTCATTTCTTTTTGTCTTTTTTCATGTGTGTAAATTTATAAGGTACAAGTGTAGTTTTGGTACCTGCATAGATTGCATAGTGGTGAAGTCGGTGTTTCCACAGTATCCATCACCCAAATCACATGCATTGTATCCATTAAGTAATGTCTCATCATCCGGAGTGCAAGGGTGGAAACCTGCTTTGGGAAAACTACCGTGATGTTCATGGTATCTCCGCTGCCAGATGAGTCTAGTTTTGCCCCCTTTTATTGTTGAATGACATTGCCTTGCCTGGATGTAGTTGAATTTTGTTTATCTATTTACTAGTTGAAGGATATTTGGATTGTTTTCAGTTTTGGCCTACTATGGCTAAGGCTGTTCTGAACCCTAACATATATCTTTGTGAGGACATACGTTTTTATGTCTCTTAGGTAGATTCCAAGGAATGAGATTGCTGGGTCATAAGGCAAACATATGTTAAACTATTTAAGAAATTGCCAAATTATCAGGTATTTGTAAACTCATATACTCCCACCAGCAACGCATAAGGGTTTAGAAAGTCTATTTGTCTTCAAACATAATTATAATGATGATGACAGTATTAGAAATAACATCTGTCTTGGTAATTTTATATTTTCTCTTTATGTTTCAAGTTTTATTTATCCAGGATCTATTTAGTGAAAGAAATGAGTTTGGAATACAACTTACAAAAACTGAAACTAAATCTCAACTCTTTCTGTTTCTAATTCTAGACTCTGTTTTATTAACATATTTAATTAAAAAAATCAGTAACAAATGCATTTCTAAAAGTAAATGTATAGTGTGTTTTAGTGCCTTACAGAGCTATTCATTCCTTATTCTACTTTTTTTCAATAATTTCCCTGGAAAATACATTTACCTCATAAAATAACATGTCAGAATACTTAATTGAGTTCTAAAAACAATCCTATTTGCTTGCTTTTTTGTTCTATTGTAATTGAGTTAATGGCTGACATTTAATAACTCTCTCTATATGTGTGTGTGTATATATATGTGTATATATGTGTGTGTATACATATATATACACACATATATATTTGCATATGTATGTGTGTGTATATATATGTATACACACACACATATATACACACACAGATATATATATATATATATATGCACACACACATATATATATATATATAAAGACCCAAAACCCTGAATTGAGGGTGCCTGTCAGGAATCTATAGGCCTTCGTGTGGAAGTTAACTCAAATACTTACGACCTGATAGTACCACAATCTATCATTTCCCTACCCTGAAATCAATTTCTGCTACTCCAGCCACCATTTCTTTATTTTTAAAAATATTTGATTTTGCTCCTTTTCTTCCCATGTGCATCAGGCCGACTCTGCAAAGGTTGCATCCTGGCTTGTCTGAGCCCGTGTGATCCCACAGTCGTTCCAATGCATGAGAAAGTGGGTACTGGGAACAATCTGGAAACAGTTTAGTTGCTCCTTCTAAAGGCACACAGGAGAAAGGAGTATCCTTTTCCTGCCTCTGGGAGTTGTTGTGAATGAATAACAAACCTAAAGCTGCTGCAGGGGTCACCCTACCATCTCAGGAAAGCTGAGATACTGTGTGTGATAGAGAGATGAGCTATGAAGTTTCAGGATTGCTGGTGATGCCACTGGCCTGCTGAGTTGAGCAACCCTGAAGACGCCCAGTCTTGGATCTATCAGCTATGTGAGATAATGGGTTAAAGAAAAATAAAGCCCACTAGATGTAATTTCCTGTTATTAGCAGCAGAAGGCATCTTCATTGAAATATTCATTCCACACATTTTGGTTCTACCTTGTAATTCCACACCACGAGTCTCATATAAAATGAGAAAATCATTTCCTCAACTTAGGAAATGAGGTCTCTTTGTTGCATCTCTGTGATCAAACAGAACAGACATAATTATCAGCTTAATATATTTCTATAGGATTTATACTCTTACAGGATTTATATGTACTTGTACTGCTACTTATGTACAAGTAACATATAACTAAAAATAAAATATGCATAAAAACTTTTGATTGAAAATAAAATAACAGTCGTCTCTGTCAGTGGAGAAATTATGCTCAAATGATTATTACTTTGAAATAGACCTCTGAATTATGTACTTTTATATTTGACATTTCATACTGACTCTCAGGTAGAACATAATGGAGACTCCATTCTCCGTCTTCTAAATGTGTCTTTCTCTGAAATCTGTACAAGTCCTTTGATAACACTATATTATTGAAGTCTCTGGAGTGAAACACTATACACTAATTTACAGTTATAAATACAAAATATTGTAGATGGGGTGAAGAGTTCTGATTGACTTGCTGGCTGGTTTCTCATCGGTTTGCCAAGTTTGTTTCAGTTGTTATAGTCTGTTCTCAGTTTTTATGCACTGCCTTTTTAAATGTTAGCATTACTTTTTTAATTGACAAGTAAAAATTGTATAGCATATTTATGTGGAAGCATGAAGTTTTGTTATATGCCTATAGTGTGGAATGACTAAATCATGGTATTTAACATATACATTACCTCACATACTCATGACACACACGTGAAAATCATTATTCTGTTAGGAAATAATCTTCCCTTTTTCTTTTCTTTTCTTTTCATTTTTTGTCTTTGGAGCCAAATGGACCAGATGATATTTAACTCCATCTTTGAGAAACATTTAATAATGTAATGTGTTTGTGGTACAGGGTGAGTACAGATGCACAGGAGGCCATAGGGTTTAGGCAAAGGGGAGCACAAAAGTTGAAGATGAGGCGCTGCCATCAATGCTGGGACTTCAGGCCAAGGGCAGGAACTGAGGAAGCCACAAGGGAGGACATTTTCTGCAGTTGCTGAACCAGTAGCAACTAGGTCCTGAGAAAGCCCTCTCTCGTGGAAGAATAACAGCCAGGCGGGAAAGCTTTTCATCCTGCAAAGCTGGGGAAGAAGATTCTTCCTTAAATTGTCATCTGCACTTCAGCTCAGGAATCCTGCAAAAGACAGAGGAGAGTGTTGTTTTCAACCTGGCTCTACTAACGTTTCTTTCCCCCTCTTTGAAGGACTCAGATGAGAACACTGCAGGAAGAAGAAAAACAAGTTCCTGAGTCTCCCAGAGCCAATAGTCCTGCAGAGCACAGGCCTTTTTTAAGTGGAGAGGAGGAGTTTTGGTGTAAATTGCCTGATCAGAAATTTGGATCCAAAGTCTTTCCTATTATTTCTGTCTCATGCCTTATCACCTCTACCATCATTCTAGTGTGTCCTGAGTTTGTTCCTTCCGGTAGGTTCAGGGTCTGGCTGACTTCAAGAGTGAAGCCACAGACCCTTGCAGTGAGTGTTATAGCTCTTAAAGGTGGCACGGACCCAAAGAGTGAGCACAAGATTTATTGTGAAGAGTGAAAGAACAGACCTTCCACAGCATAGAAAAGGACCTAAGCAGGTTGCCGGTGCTGGCTAGGGTGACCAGCTTTTATTCCCTTATTTGTCCCCGCCCGTATCCTGCTGATTGGTCCATTTTAAAGAGTGCTGATTGGTCCATTTTACAGAGTGTGGATTGGTCCATTTTACAGAGTGCTGATTGGTCCATCTTACAAACATCTAGCGAGCCACAGAGTGTCAATTTTTACAGAGCACTCATTGGTGTGTTTTTACAGAGCACTCATTGGTGCATTTAGAAACCTCTTGTAAGACAGAAAAGTTCTCCAAGTCCCCACCCAACCCAGAAGTCCAGCTGGCTTCACCTCTCACTGGAGAAACTGAATCTGTGTCTAAAAGAGGATTAAAAGGTATTACCTGTTGGCTGAAGTCCAGAGTGTCCTGGGAAAAAGAGGAAAAGATATACACTTAAAAGATATTGAAGCAAATCTGTCCTCCAACACAATATCCCAGTCCCAGATCTCCCACCGGAGAGTTCTAACACCAAAACCCACACCAACCAGGGCAGAGAGGAGCAGAAACAGACCATGTGACCCATGAAGCATGAAGTGTCTGTCACAGGATCCAGTGTAATTCCATTAACTTTAGTGGCTCTTCCTTAATTTGCTCCAAGATCTCAAACCAAAGGACCCCTACTTGTTAACCTTCCTCTTGTCTCTGCAGGCCACAAGCTATTATGCTTTCACATAGTAACCATGCACTGATGATTTCTGGATTAGCAGGACATTAGAGCCGTTTGGGGAAAGAAAGGCTTTATTCAGGGCCACTCATATACTGAGAACTAACCTCAGCAAAGCCATAGTTCCTCCTCCAGAAAAGCCTATGGAGAGAGCCAGCTACCAAAGACTCCTTACCTTTCTGATTCCTGAAGTAGATGAACAGCCCGGCCCCAAGGAAGAGCAGGCCCAGCACAAAGCCCCCGACTCCACTCAGCATCTTGCTCTGTGCAGATTCAGACCGTGCACCTGAGAGAGGAAGCCAGGTTTAGTGATGCTTATTCCAGATTGAACCTCTTTACTTGAGACTCTAAGATTCAGAGCTTTGAAAATGGGGAAGAAGGCTGCCCCACAAGAACTAAAATAACTAGCCATTTCGGGAGAAAAAAAGGATTTCAAATCACACTGAACAGTTACAAGGTTCCGACATCAAACTCATTCAAATATTACAGCCTTGATGTAAGGCAAGAGTTCAACATCTGATCCACAGAAAGCCTGAGACTCAATGAAGCTAAGTAGTTTGTCTAGAGTGACAGAGCTAATAAAAGGTAGAGCTGAGATTGGACTCCCCTCATGTCAGGTAGGCCCCTATGCTTCCCCTCTTCCCAGATCAAAACAAGTAACTCAGAGCAGCAGCACCAGAAACTCAGTCTCAGACCCAGAAGCAGGGCCTGGAGCTTGGGGAGATCGGGTGACCCTGACCTGTGACATCATGGGGAGGTTCAAAAAAAAAAAATGCATGACTGATTCCACAGGGAGTACAGGTGTTTCTACACACTGTTACAGGGCTATCCCCAGTGACCTGTGCTGATGGAGATGAGAACATGGAGCAAATGAAAATAGGACGTGGGAGAGGAGAAACCTGACACTCAGGGATTAGCACAGTCCCCTTCTTGGTGGGTGAGAAATGTATGAAATCAGAAAGCTGCTCACTCCATTCCACTGTGAGAGGGCTCGTTACGCTTGGGTGCTCCACTTGGCAGGTGTAAACCTCTCCACTCCGAGGAACTGTTTCTAGCATCACCAGGGTCTGGAAGGTCCAGTCTCCATTCTGGATCAGGCCCGTGGACACCACCCCAGCCTTCTCTTCCTGGCCGTTCCGGAACCACCTGACTTCAATGCTGCCTGGATAGAAACCACTCACAGAGCAGACCAGGAGGTTGTGGTGCTGCAGGGGCTGGGTCTTTGCAGGATACACAGTCACCTGAGGATGGACTAGGAGAAAAAAAGGTAGAGGGAATGAGTCAGGAAGACAGAGTAATTCTGCTGGTTTGGCTGTTTGTCTGCTTCTCTGCAAACCCAGGCTCTGACCTTGACCAGGCCTCCAGCACAGCTGGCCATGTGGCCTTACAGTGTCATCAGCCTGGAATTTAATCTTGATAGTGAGGACCCATTAGATTTGAGAGATGTGAAAAATTGCGTTTGCTTCTTCATAACTTGAAATTGGCATGCATTGTCAAAGTGTTTACAAATTTTTGAAAGTACAGAGTGTAGTAATTAAAACTGATATCTGAGCCAGGTTGCCTGGTTCAAATCCAAGGTCTGCCTTTTACTGGTTGATCCTGGAAGAGTTGATTCTTCTGTGTCTCAACTTTGTCACCCCCAATGAAGGATAATTATACTAATTTACCTCTTGGGGTTACATGAGGATTAATTTATGTAAAATACATAATGACTGAAGATAGCCTTCAATTTATGAGATCAGAAAGCTTCTCACTCCATTCCACCGTAAGGGGGCTCATCACACTTGGGTGCTCCACTTGGCACCTATTTATCATCCTTGTACTCCGTGACAGAAAAATATGATTTAAAGCAATGTACATAGACAAAGGGACAGAGTTGGGTACATGAGAAAACCGAGTATGAATTTTTAGGAATACTACTGCCATGCACTCACACCTTAGAACACCACAGAAATGGTTCTGCCCCTGGGAAGGTGGGACAGACAGAAATGATTCTCCAAATTTTTACGTTCCTAGAAAAGCATGAGTCCTAAAGCAGACAGAAGGATTTAGGAGCGTCATTTTAGTTTTGAAAGTTCTTATATTTTCATTCAGCTGCTCAATGTATCCCCCGTGCAACACAAGCAGAATTATTATCAGGCCAGTTGTAAAATGATTTTTCTTTCCAGAATCACATTTGGATTAAGGCAGGGTCTGGAACTCATTACTTGTGGTGCTTATGCCCAGGAAAATCCCCGACATTAGCATACTCTCAATAAATACAATGTTTTTAGAAGTAAGGAGAAACCTAGAGACAAAAATACCACAAAATGGCAGATTTAAGATGGATTGTAAATCATTAATAAAATTTTTGCAATACATTTTATTAAATAAAAATGTTCAAATTCTTAACATGGAAAAGAATTTTCAAAATCAACATACAAACCACAAACTGGAGCAAATGCTGAATCAAATATCAATAAAGTGTTAATAATCTTACAGTACAAAGAACCCACAAAGTCACTGAGAAAAATACTAAGCCCTAGAGATATTAGGCAGTAGATCATTGTCCATTACCTACCAAATAAAATAGGGAATTCTTAGAGCAGTTATTAAAATTGACCAATAAATCGGTCAAAATAATTCAAAAGAACTCTTTTGAATGAAAAACAGACCTCTCCACATTTTTTCAAATGAAAAAATATAAATTAAAAATTAACCAGAAACATACATTTTCAACTTTTGGTGAATGTCATAATAAAGGTCAACAAAGGGGAAAGTGATCCCTAAGTTGTGTCACAACTATTATATATAAAAGAATAATATGTAACTACTAGAAAACTATTAGCATTATAATAATACAGTAATTGTGTTAAAACTTTAATTCAAAAGTTAGTTTCACTGTCATTTCTACTATGTAAAAATATACACACTAGAAAAACAAAAAACTAGCAAGAAATTTATACCTAAAGAAGTTTCAGAGGTGCCTTAGAGGTCTACTCAATTCCCCTAGAACTTAATCTAATGCTTTTACAAACAGCACAAACTTTTATTTCAGAGATTACATGAAGGGTGTGTGCCAGGGACAGTCTGGAACCGGCCTCCTCACATTATCCCAAACCTTCCTTACCCCTCAGCTCTCCTCCCCTAAACCTTCACCCCACCCACACACACCTTACACTTTCCTTCCCTGCATCTCTAAGGACCCAGGACAATCAAGGTCTCCTCTCTCTCCAGCCGCCCGCACCGACCTCCCTTGTCACCTCTCCACAGAAGTCTCCAAGGATAAGAAGCAGCCCCCTCCTGCTTCCCCTCCCACAACAGGCACACAGACACAGACAAATCCACACTCTACACACACACCTGTGCCTTCAGAACTGCTTGCTCGGGATTGAGAGGATTCTAAATGCTCACAGATGGCGCGCTCCCTCTCTCTGTCTCTCTCTTCCTCTCTCTCTCTCTCTCTCTCTCTCTCTCTCTCTCTCTCACACACACACACACACACACACACACACACACACACTCTCAGATTTCCAGCTCACAGGGACCCAGGCCCCGCCCCCCGACATGCTCACCTCGCCGCTGCACTGTGAAGCTCTCACCAACCCCGTAGTTGTGTCTGCAGTAATTGTCCACCTGGCCCCGCTTCTGCTCCAGGAGGTCCTTCTGGCTGTTCCAGTACTCGGCATCAGGCCGCCCCAGCTCCCTCACCGCCCGGTACTCCCCCACGTCGCTGTCGAAGCGCGCGTACTCCTCCTGGTTATGGAAGTGTCTCTCCAGGAACCGCACCCGCTCCGTCCCATTGAAGAAATGACACTCAGACTTAAGCAGCTCCAAGAAACGTGCTGTGGGGACACGAATGCTCCGGTCACACAGGCGGCCTCCTGAGAAGACACTGACAGCGACGCCGCCATCCGGGGCCCCCTGGGCCGGGTGCGGGCACTGGGAACCTTAACCGGCCCCCCCCGCAACGCCCACCACCAGCAGCCCAGGAGCTCATCCTCCGTTTTCCTGAGGCGAACGGGGGCCTGGGGGACTATGCGGGGAAACCCCTTCTCATCCCCAGGCTTTTGGGACCCCCCATCCCTGCCTCCAGCTTGTTCTGGAGACCTCCAAGCAGGAGCTGGAGGAGGATCCGCCCAGCACCGCAGCCCGCCCCTCCTCCTCCTGGGAGCCTCCACCCGAAAAACACTCTCTGCTCCTTCTCTCATCCCACATGTTTACCGGTTCCTTAAACAGCACCCACCGCGTTCATCCTGTGAACACTTTCTTAGTGATGACCTTGTGTCTGGCCTGCGCTGCCTCTAGGAATCCAAACAAGGGAAAACAGACCTCTCCACTCCGCTGGGGGAGCTTAAAGAGCAGTGAAAGCGATGGCCAAACACCAAACACACAAGAGGTTAGACAGGAATGAGAAATCTCGGAAGTGGGAAGTTCTAGAGCAGAGAATAATAGGATGATCTCAATTACATTAGGGTGCCAGAGAAGGACCCTCTAAAGAGTGACAGTTCAGATGTGACTTGACGGGTTAAGCAGGTGTGAGCCAGGGGGCAGAGTGGAGCCCGTGTCTGTTTGGACAAAACGGGAGGCACATTTCAGGTTTAGGAAATCCCATCTACAAAAGCTTGAATTGATGAACTTCTTCAAAAAACTAGGAGAAAGTTCACTAAAGCAGAGAGGCTGAGGGGAAGGAGGGTAAAAGATTAGCCTGGAGAAATCACAAGAAGCCAGGTATTTAAAGCCTCGTGGGTGGGGTTAGGATTTTGGATTTATAGTAAGACAATGGTAAAGTATCGAAGAGTTTAAAGGACAATAAAACCATGATCCCTGTAAATGTCCACAAACTTTCCTTTGCATTTCTAAATTCACAAAGCTCAGAAATTCAGTTTAAAAAACTTGTTTCCACAACTCATTTGGCAAATCTCATCTGATAAGGGTAAGTGGTCAAAGGTGTCTCAGAGCTCTTATTGGCGACATGTGCTTCTGTAGTTTCCATACATATAAACATACATACATATATGTGTGAAAATAGACACCTATGTAAAACACAGTATATATTTTTGATGTTTTTGTCTTTATGTTTGAAGTGTGTAAATGACAAAAATAACTTAAAAATAATCCTTGGGTAAAAGTGAAATGAGTACATAGAAGCATTTTACATTGTGAATAATATAAAATGTAGAATCACTACAGAAATCTGAGGCATGTTAGTGAGAAATAATTTCAGCAGCATCACTATTTGTGACTTACAAGAGCAAGTTGTTGAAAGTTAATAGAGATGGTGATGACCAACAACTCATGAAAATGTTGAAAAATATTGCATAAGGCAAAAACTAAATATGAAAATACTGAGCTTGCATTGACTAAATGGATTCAACAAGAAAGTGGTTAAATTTATGCAACTGTCTAATTTTTTATAATGGAAGAAGCAAAAATAAACTATGAAAAACTGAACTGTGTGGTGAGTGTATAACAGATGTGAGTGTAGAATTTTCAGAAAGAGCACAGCGTGAAGCAGTGCTCTCAGCCTCAGCACTATTGACATTTTGGACCAGATAATTCTTTGTTGATGGCGGAGGCTGTTCTGAACATTGTAGGTTCTCTAGCAGTGTTCCTGGCTTCTACTCATTAAATATCAGAAGAAACCCCTGTTGTGACAACCAAAAATTTTTCCAAACATTGTCACTGTTCCCCAAGGATGATGGGAGGGAAGGGAGGGGTGGTGAACTATCCCTGGGTAAGAACCACAGGTGTGAACCATCTAAAAAAATCTGTGTTGAACAAGCTACTATTAGTTATGGAGCAGCTGAGAATTGTATTGAAAAATATTTCTTGAAAATCTTGGTCCTATGTAAAAAGAATGTTTTGTAGAATTCTGGTCCCAATGCAGTGCTATCTTTTCAGAAAATGAACTTGATGAGAACCAAGATTTAATGATTTCCTTGCCTTACCAAGCAGTCACTAATCATATCATTTATCGTTCACATCATCTTTTTTCTTAATTTCTCCGCCACTGGTCCACTAATTATCTATAGTAATGAATCACAACCACAGCTATTTTATTCCCGTTAAATGCCCCAACTAACTCATTTCTCTCAGTCTCCCACTCCCAACAATACTAGCAGGCATCACATTTCCAGCCTTGGCCAGAGGCAGAACTCTTGGTTTTGTAGTCAAGTCCCCTCAGAAAGGGAGAAACCAAGAAAATGACATTCTGATACAGACAGTTTCAAAACATGAGCAGGTCCCCAGACTGTGAGCAAGACCTGCAGAAATCTCCGTTTGCCCTTTAGAAACGATGGCAGAGAGGTGTCCACCCTGGATCAAACAATGGCTATCTTTTTATCACCAAATTATCTAAGCACTTTCTTACAGAGAGAAAGTTAAAATGTAAACATGTGTGAAGTTGCTGTCACTGTGGCTTGCATGGGTAGCACTGTAATCCATGTCCATGTGTCTCACTTAGAGTTGACAGATTTGGCAAATAAAACCAGAGGGTGCCCAATTAAATTTGGATTTCCAATAAATTATGGTCGTGTATCTGAAATTCAGATTTAACTAGGAACATGTATTTTATTTGGTAACTCTTGCCCAATTTGCTAGTCAAACCTCAGAAGGAGGAGTGATTTAATACTTCCTTGTGTTTGTCAACACATGACCATTATAGACATACTGAACTTTTAAAATGATAAATGCAAAATGATTAAAAGTTTCTCCTGTACATTGGAACTAGCAGCCCTTGCATCTCTGTCCCCACTCAAAGAAACAACCTGGTATATATGAATATCAGAAATTCTGTCAATAATTCAGACACAATATAGTCACTACTCCCTAATGATGGAAAAACTCTCAAACTCTACAATCAGAAAATCTGAATAAAAAGGTGACCTCTTCTACTTGGGTCAATTTTTGCCAACAGTAAGCCTTTTTGTAATCTATCAAATGCATTTAATAATAGCATAATCCTCACAGGATTACTGTTAAGTGTCAAATTAAATGATGACTCTTCTTAGCACTGATCACATAATAAACACTCAAATACATTCCCATTTTCACTTTTATGATCCCTATAACTGTAACTCACATTATTTTTTGTATTCCTTAATTCTAAAGCAATTAGTATCTTCATCATGATTTTGCAATTGTCTTCTGTTCTTCTATGAGTTTCATAAAGAATTGTCATTCTGAAAACATAGGGCAGAAACACTGGTTTATGTCTAATAATGTAGTATACCTAAGCCTCACATAAAAGGCATCTGCTGACATAGAAGAAAGGGACTTTCTATATGCTCAGATTTAAACTGCAATCTGATTTCCAGCACTAAATTTCTAATACTGGGTTTTACTTATAATCCCTCAATTTTAGATTCCAGAGATGTATATGTTTTTAAATACCACAGATACAGCAGGATCATTATTGAAATTGCATACAGAAATTCACAGGCCTGGTACACAGTCACTGCAAACTGTTACATGGCATATACTGATGGCGAGCGGATTCATTTTATTTATCACCATTCTCATGACCTAGACTAATAACTGGTATATTCTATGTCACTAATAAATATTGGCTGTGTGACCTTTTGCATGAGTAGTCACCACTGCACACAGGGGATCTCCAGTATTTCCTTGCTAATGACTGAGCATCTCTTGTTCACAGGTCCTCCTCTGTCTCTTTAGCTTCTTTAGCCTTTTCCTTTAGATTCAGCGGGCTTCCTGAACCCAGAGCACAGTCCTTCCGGAAGTTCTACTCAAAACAGTCAACCTTAACCTCGTCCTCACTTCTACTCGCTCTTCAAATGGTCCAATCCAGTTTCCTCCCTGGATACTCCATTGACTGCAAATATCAACTCCAGCAAACCCAGCACTTGCTTCTCTGTCAAGTTCTCACTTCCCCCTCCGCTTAGTGGTACTCACCACAATTGGCCTCTCCCTTCTCCTTGAAAAAAATCTATTTTCCTTGACTTACACTCATTATGTTCTCTTGGTTTTTCTCCAACATCCCTGGGCTCTGTCTCAGCTGCCTTTGCTGGCCTGTGCCCTCTTCTTTTTTCTCCACACAATCCATCTCCCTATGTATCCTCTTCCACTCCCTAGAATTTAACACACTACACGTATTGATGCTGCCAACATAAATATCTGAAGCCCTAGCCTCACCATGAGTCTCTTAAATGCCACTGACCTTCTGATTGCTCTACATAAATGTCAATAAATCATCTCAAATTTAAACAAAACTTTTATTTCCAACCACCCACTTCAAATCATTTCCTCCCATAGTTTTTCCTATCTCAATAAACAAAACTACCACCCACTTATTTGTCAAAACAAAATCCTCAGGAATAAACTTGATTGTTCCACCCCCTTTACAGTAATTCATTAACAAGCTAAGCAAAAATACATGCGAAGTCTGTCCACTTTATCTTTTTCACCGTCTTTATCACTAATGCACTCCATGAAGCCACAAGCCTGTTTTCCCTGGAGAATTCCCTGCTGTGCTCCTAAATAGTCTTCCTAACCACTTGTGAACCCCAACAATCCAATCCCCACAAAGTAGCTAGAATTAATTGTAATAATTGAATATAAGCTGGGCGCAGTGGCTCATGCCTGTAATCCCAGCACTTTGGGAGGCCGAGGCGGGTGGATCACAAGGTCAGGAGATCGAGCCCATCTTGGCTAACATGGTGAAACCCCATCCCTACTAAAAATACAAAAAGTAGCCGACTGTGGTGGCATGCACCTGTGGTCCCAGCTACTCAGGAGGCTGAGGCAGGATAATTTCTTGAACCCGGGAGGCAGAGGTTGCAGTGAGCCGAGATTGTGCCACTGCAATCGAGCCTGGGCAACAGAGTGAGACTCCATCACACACACACACAAAAGTTGAATATAAATTGACTCTCCTTGTAACCATACAGCAGCTTCTCATATCTATTTAAATAAAATTCAGTCCGGGCGTGGTGGCTCACGCCTGTAATCCCAGCACTTTGGGAGGCCAAGGCAGACAGATTATCTGAGGTCAGGAGTTCAAGATCAACCTGGTCAACATGGTGATACCCCATCTATACTAAAAATACAAAAAAATTAGCCAGGTATGGTGGTGAGTGCCTGTAATCCCAGTTACTTGGGAAGCTGAGGCAGGAGAATCACTTGAACCCAGGAGGTGGAGGTTGCAGTGAGCAGAGATTGCGCCATGGCATGCCAGCCTGGGCAACAAGAATGAAACTCCATCTCAAAATAAATAAATAAATAAAATTTAAAAATAAATAAAAATAAAATAAAATTCAAATTTTTTACCGTGGACATCAGAGCCTATAATGATGAGGCTCCTGATTTCCTCTCCTTGTCCTACCTCATCTTCTGCCTCTCCATTTCCTTGCTTTCTATACCTCAGCCCTTCTAGCCTTCTTTCTCTCCCTCCACATAATTTCCCACACCAGTGCTTTCCCTCGATTCGGTCTCCCTGAATCTTTCGTCCGTTAGATCTTTATGACTGTCTACTTATTTTGTTGTCTCAGCTGAATATCACTTTCTCAGGTAGAGCTCCCTAAACATACAAACTAAAGTAGGTGAATCCATTTCTCTCTTTCAACACACATCTGATGTCTTTTCTTCAGTGCACTATGACTCTCTAACATTATCTTCTTTGTTAAATGCTTATTGGGTTAGTGTCTGTCTCCTCTACTCTTGTAACTTCCTTGAGAGTCGGGACCCTCTCTATCTTAATCAAATAGAATGATTTGAACCTAGAATGGAGCCCAGTACACAGTAGCTGCTGAGAAAAATAAGTGTGGTTTACATGAATAAACCAGGGTATGGGAACTGATCACTGTGGGGATCCTGGAAAGCAAGAAGGGGCTCAAGTTCCAGCACTCTTTCATTTTGATGTCACACTAGACCCCTTCTCCTCCCGGTGATAAATACAGGCAAACTTCTTTCTCCTCCTTCTAGTTGGAAGAAGAATTCACGGATAAAGAAACAGTGATTTAAGAAAAAGGAAATCTTTTTATTAAGAGTCATCTCTTTTGCCTGGGCACAGTGGCTCACATCTATAATCCTAGCATGTTGGGAGGCTAAGGCAGGAGGATTGCTTGAGTTCAGCAGTTTAAGACCAGCCTGGGCAATATGGCAAAATCTCCTCTCTACCAAAATTGCAAAAATTAGCTGGGCGTGGTTGCCTGCCTGTATTCTCAGCTACTCTGGAGCCTGAGGAGGGAGGATTGCTTGAGCATGGGAGGCAGAGGTTGCAGTGAGCCTCGATCACACCACTGAGCTACAGCCTGGGTGACAGAGGCAGGCCCTATCTCAAAGAGAAAAATATTATCTCTTTCAATGGATCTCATAGTGCTAAGGATCTGTGCAAGCTTTAGAGATTTCTGGAAATGATGACAACATAGTTGGGGAAAAATAGAGAGAAATGGGAGGAAGAGGTAAGCAGACATGGCTAATTAAGGAAAGCTGAGGGCATGATGGGTGAACCTATGAAACTGAGGACAAGACCGCAGTAAGACAATGAGCTTCCAGGACTTGCCCATTGACTTTCAGCCCTATGAGATGTGAACAATGTCCACATTGTCTCGGTAACCCCACACAGTATATAGTTTGAACATTATTAAATTTCTGATATTTGATTATTTTTGACTTATAAAAATAGAATTTCATATAATTTATACTACATTAGTTAAATCTCTTCTGTCATGTCTAGTTAGAGCATGTAGGAGATGTAGGAGAAACAAGTATAGAAAGGTTAAAAAGATTCATAATAAACACTAACCTGGGCCAGTTTTTCAGAGGATGCCTTAAGTTCTTTAGGCACCAAAGAATACCTCATAAATGCTCTGTATCTGTAAGGTGATTCCAAGTACTAATGATCTCAGCTTCAGTTCCAGGGATTTTTCCCCATAAGAAAGAAAGAGCACTAAGTATAACTTCTGTCAGACAACCTACATACACTACAGGGATACAGGCTTTATAAACATTGGAGTTCAGAAAGAAAAGAAAGGAGATACTAGGGAGGCCACTGGGTCCATCCTCACATATGAGGAAGAGGGGCCAACACCACAGGTCCTGTGGAGGACATAACCCAGGATCGTCTAGGAGAGACCCATTGAATTCCCTTGACTCCCACAAAATTTTCAGTAAAAACCTCCTTTTGTCTGACATAAGTCAACATAATAAAGGGAATTGCTGTTTGGGGAATTTATTTTAGCATCCTTATTTCCAAATCCTCTAAAGACCCTGAGGACATGTGATGCAAAGGTTTTATTGGTGGAGATTTGAGAAGAAATGGCCTGTACAAAGGCCCCTTACACAAGTCTCATGGAGAGGGCAAGTAGCCAAGTTCCTTTTGTGGAGGAAATAATTAGCGATCCCTTGATAAAGATGAGCAATCTCTGAAGAAAACCTCACAATTTCTTAAGGGACATGGCCTGGGCACAATGTTAACACAACTCCCTATATTCCCCCACCCCATAGTAGCTCAGCACCCACAATGTGCTCTTACGTCGGGTGTCCCCAGCGAAAGCCAGTCGGGAGCTCAGCACCATCAGTGTCACTGTCAACGCTGCCAAGCTGGAGCCTCCAGGGAGCTTCAGACACACCATGCTGGAGAAGAGGACAGGACCAGGGGCCAGAGGAGCAGGCAAGTCTCACTCAGGGAGAACTATGACCCCCCTCCACCCACATTCCAAATTATAGGGAGGAAGTTACTGATTTCCTTGCTCCTGGATTGGGTAATCTCGTGTCGGAGAACCAATCAGCATCTGAGTTCAACAGCATCATCAGTTGCTGCTCAGAGATGCTGTATGAAGGTCCTCTTCTGAAATAATTTCATTCTTTAAAGGAATGTTTTAATTTAGTACTTGAAAGGTTTGAACCAGTTGCATGTAAAACACTTTAATTGGGGAGCTATTGTGAGCCAGCTCTGTGCTGGTCAGTGATGTGTTCACAAGTTTGAGCCTTGTAAGAGCATTCATTTCCCACTTGACAAGACAACTGTTTGCAGAAGTGAGTGTGTGAGTGTGTTTAAGAGTAAAGGAGACGGAGGGAACATGGTTGTAAATCCGGAGTCCTTTAATCTTGTCTTTATTGTACCATATCTTAATGTCACAGATTTGGGAAAATTACTTCATGTCTCACAGTTGAAATGAAGGCACTGCGATCTTTCAGGTCTTTCAATACTGGAAAATTCTGTGATTCTCTAGACGCCTCAAGGAGCGGCAGCCCCAGGTATCTGGTAATATGACAGAATGACAGCTATTGACTAGAGAGTGTAATCTGTACCTATTTCCAGGTAGTGATGTCTTTAATAAGTTAAAGGAAATTGAAAGTCTGTTAATAATTTAATCTGAGTAAAAATATCTTTTTCAAGCGTGTCTCCTGATGCTGCCCCCAGGTTTAGCGGCACCTCCAGAACACACACAGGAATGGGCTAACAGGGGCCACCTATGTGCAATGGAGGGTCTGAAGGTGCCTTTGTACAGCACTTACCCTAACAATGTGATAAGGTCAAGTGTGCAATCCAGGTATTAATGGGTCTGAGAGATCGATCAAAGACTCTCAAAGTCAGCCGTTCACAGAACAACTCTTTTTTTTTTTCTTCTTTTTTGAGACAGAGCCTTGCTCTGTTGCCCTGGCTGGAGTGCAGTGGCATGATCTTGGCTCACTGCAACCTCCGCCTCCTCGGTTCAAACAATTCTCCTGCCACAGCCTCCCGAGTAACTCTGACTACAGGCACGTGCCTCCACGCTTGGCTAATTTTTTGTATTTTTAGTGGAGATGGGGTTTCACCGTGTTAGCCAGGATGGTCTCGATCTCCTGACTTCGTGTTCTACACCAGCAGTGTAACCCCAAACTGCTGGGGTTACTGGCGTGAGCCATCATGCCTGGTCACAATTCTGTTTTAAAATAATGAATATTTTATATGAAGAGTGTTCAGTCCCTCATTCCTGGTTCCCATTATGATTTCCTCATTTGATTGAGGCTATAGCACTTTACTATTATGTTTCTCTTGTTTTATCATAAGGGAGGCTATAAGACGACTTTGCTAACTAATACATTTTAGAATGTTCAGGAAAGAGAACACTAGGGAAAACTATGAATTACATCAGTTGATGTAACCATATAATATTAAACATATTATATACATTTAGATAATTATTATGCTTTTTATTAATATAAATGTAACATCTAAGATTCAGAATGGACTTCAAAGTACAACTATACTTATAGCGTTCTGCATTAATTCACATGCTACCACATAGGCACTCATTCCTTATAGGCCTTAGTGTTTCCAGGGGCAGGATTCTCATCATGCTGCCGTAAAAATGAGCATTTTACTTTATACTCAGAGTTGCACTAAGTGCTTTTTATACTTCATATTTTTATTTCATTCTCACATCAACTCACTAAAATAAATACCCTTTTCATGCTTACAGGTAGAGAGAATAAAACAATGGAGATGAAACAACTTTTGCAAAGATACAAAGCTAGTAAATGGTACACTATAGATTGAACCAAATTATATATCCCTCAGGCTCAGCCACTATATCATAATCCTTCACATCCTATTTCTGAGAATAATGTCCTATGTATTAAAATTATTTATATTCCTATAATTTATGGATGCACATAGCAATATGGCTACTTATGTTAATGAATGGCAGCAGTATACAATTTGAGGAAGATACTGTGTAGCAATTCTAGTTCCTTCAAAAGAATCACCTCATTATCATCCTTACCCTCCTCTGGAAATGGCAACATTTGCATTTATCTTATGTGATGACACCCATAGCTCCTGAGAAGTCTCCTTCTTATTAAAGGTAACAGTGACCTCAAAATTCCCAAATATAAACTATTGCTCAGAATTATTATTGCAGATTTCTCATCATAAAGTAGTAAATTTGATCATCTCAAAATAGAAGAAAAAAAGTGCCTCACTTACTTTGGAAAAACATACTTCTATTAATATAAAAAGTTCAAAATTTCATGGGAAAAAGTCACTACTGTCCCTGGATTTGAGAATAAACTATGTCTCTATACCACAATAATAATTCAATACTATGGGAATTTGTGAAATTGCAACCAGAATATCACATTTAATTTGGTCAACAGAAAATAATAATTTACTTAGAAGCTAATTTAATCCCAGCTACTCGGGAGGTGGGTGGATTGCTTGAACCTGGAAGGTCCACGCTGCAGTGATCCAAGATCATGCCACTGCATTCCAGCCTGGGTGGCAGATGGCAAACCCTGTAAAGAAAAAAAAAAAAAAAAGGAAAAGAAAGAAAGAAAAAAAAAGGAAAAGAAAGAAAGAAAAAAAAGAAAAGAAAAGAAGGAACAAACTGTGAAAAAAGAAACTAATTGAGATGATGGTAATCTAGGAAATCTGGCTAAGGTTCAGCTTAGTATTTTAGGATAAAAGGGTGGTGATGCTGGCAGTGGTGAGCTGTCCAGAGTGGCCGACTGCAGTGGGAAGTTGCAAGCAGTGGTGGCAGGAACGACTGCGGGAGCAATGGCCATGGTGGAACCCCTGTGCCCCATGTCCCCTGTGCCTCACGCCCCTGAGGCAGCTGACTGTGCTGCCCCAACCCTTGAGCAGCTGGCGGGACCGCCCCCAGGCCAGGAGCCTCCCACTCCTGCTTTGCTGCTCTCACCCTGCAGCTGTGGGGAGGGCATGGAGCTGGGGCCAGGCTTGTTGGGCCTGGTTTGGGAAGTGGGAGTGGCCTCGCTATGGGGACCCAGCCAGCGGCATGGTCACTGTCCCACCCTGCTGAGGAAGCCCAGTTCCTGAGCCTCAGGAGGAGGTTCTGCCTGAGGTGGCCCAGAGCGGTGTCCCCGGGGTGGCCACCAAGCTTGATTTTCCCGACGGCCAGGCTTGGGTGTGATCTGCTCCACCACCCCATCCAGGCAAGGGGGAACCCCGGGCACCTCTGAGTGCTAGGGGATGAACTTGCAGACACATCATCCTTGCCCCAGATGCTGGCATGGGCACAGGTGAGGGGAGCTGCCCACCCCAGGCTGTAAGAAGGTGTGACAGGGGCTACCTGCAGACTCCAAGGATTGAGTAGGAATCCTGCCCTCCATGCAGCAAGATCCAGGCCTCTCTGCACGCCACGCTCTCAAGGACGTGAAGCACCCCCTGTCCCTGCAGGCTTGCAGGTGTCTGCTCCCACTGCCTTGCCTCTCACCTGGCCTCTCCAAGCTCCCGGATGCCTGCTCTGATCTCAGAGTGGAGTTGGGGCCAAGCCCCAGTGCTGTTACAGCCTAGCCGGGTGTGTGCATGCTCAGGGCAAAGTTGACACACTAGCCTCCTGCCACCTCAGCCACGGGGAAGCCGAGGGAAGATGGGCTGAGGGCAACTGGTGCTGGCCTACAGGCCCCTTGCCATGAGCAGCCTAGGTGCCATGGATGGTGCTGGGAGGCAGACAGTCTCCTGGGCAGAAGGGGGCAAGTCCCCAGTGAAGCCCCTCCTTCTGGCCAGGGAGGGTCTGAAGGCTGTGGGCTGGGCTGCCAGTCCTGCTGACACGAGTGGGAACTTGTGCCTTTTCTGGGCCTGCCCCATGGCCATCCATGGTGCCCACTTTCTCCCCTCTGAGGCCTGTAAAAGCCCTGGGCTCAGGCGAGTTGAACAGAGGATGGAGAGAGCAGAGAGAGAGGCCAGGAGCATGAGGGATGAGTTGCTGAGGAGAGGGGTTACCCTCTCCAGGGTCTCCTCTCAGCTGCAGAGTGAAGCTGCCCTCACCAGGGTCTCCTCTCTGCTGAGAACTGAGGAGAGGACAGGACAATCAGCTGCAGAGAGGAGCCACCCTCTCTGTTGATAGCTGAACAGATGTCGGGGCAACCTGGCAGTGGAGAGGAGCTGCCCACTGTGGCTCTCTGAGCTGTTCTATTGCTTAATAAAGCTCCTCTTTGTCCTGCTAACCCTCTACTTGTCTGCGTACCTCATTCTTCCTGGACGCAGGACAGGAACCTGGGATCTGCCTAATGATGAGGCTAAAAAAGCTGTAACACAAACAGGTTGTAGATGAGCAATAGAGAATGTAGTCAAATGCAGACAAACATGGAATGAAAAAGCAAAAATAAATCCATATCATTCCATGTAACAAGACCATTTTTTAAAAGTAGTTTTAAGTGGACAGAAAAATTGCAGAGAAAGTTCATGGAGCCCTTCTTCCCTAAAGCAGCCCTCTGCTTAATTTCTCCTATTCTTAACATCCTGCATCGGTGTGGTATACTTGTTACCACTGATGAAGCAATACTGATACTTGTTGTTAACTGAGATCCATAGTGAAATTAGGGATCATTCTTATTATACAGTTCTATGGGTTCTGATAAATATATTACGTCATATATCCACCATTTAGTGGAACTGACCCAAGAGTCCCATAGGCAGTTTTTTTTTTTTTTAAATAAACATAGAAATGGACACTTCTGGTCTTAAAGCTTGAAACTTACATTTGTTTTATTTGAGTTCCTTTCCAAAAAAATATTCTCCCAGGCCTCTCAAAAAGTATCAAAGAACTGGAACTCACCAGATCGTCTCATCTAGTCAATGAGACTCCAGGTTCCCCATTCATTATGATTGCTCCCTTACCCCTCCCTAGTTCCTGTTTTCTCATACATAGGTAAATTTTTCCCTGCTAGATAAACTCCCAATTTTAGTCAGTCACAGAGATGGATTTGACACTGGTCTCCCATCTCCTCAGCTGCACCACCTGATTAAAGATTAAAGCCTTCTTCTTTGGCAACACTCATTGTCATCTCAGTGATTGGCTTTCTGTGTGGTGAGCAGCAAGACCCAGACTGAAGCCCTTGTGTGCAAGACTTAGACTGAACCTCTGGTGTTTCAGTGACAAAATTATCCTATGAAGTAGTTTCGCTCACCTAAAATTGTCCCAGGCTCCACCTACTCATGCACTCCTCTTCCTCCTGAATCCCTGGAAACCACTATTTACTGTCACTGTATTTATGCCTTTTCCAGAATGTTATATAGTTGTAATCATATGGTGTATAGTTTTTTCAGACTGGCTTCTTCACATAACAATATGCATATAGGTTTTCTCCATGTCTTTTCCTAGCTTGATAGCTTATTCCTCTTTAATGTTGAATAACAACCCATGGTATGGATCTACCACAATTTATCCACTCACTTACTGGAGGACATCTTGGTTGCTTTGAATTTTTGGCAATTATAAATAAAGCTGCTATAAACATTGGTGTACACTTTTTTGTGTGGACAGAAGTTTTCCACTTATTTGGGCAAATATTTAGGATTGCAATTGCTGAATCTTGTGGTAGAGTATGTTTGGCTTTGGAAGAAACAGCCAAAGTGTCTTCCAGACAAGCCAGGGGAACAGGGTCTGGAGGCAGGGAAACTAAGGCCGTTTCATGTTGACATCCGAATGGAACTAAACTGAAAGGAAAACTCAAACTTCCTATGCCTAAGTAGCAGAAGGATCAAAGACTACTCCCTTTGTAACCCGCCCCCCATTTTCTGCGTGGTAAATGTGAAATTCAAAGTACCTCTGATTGGTTGTTTTTTGCAACCAGTCAGATATTTGCATAGGAGTGTAGCTTTGTAACTTCATTTCGGTCTCTGATTGGTTGCGGAATTGTTTTCCTCAAAATTTCTACAGCCTAGCGATAAAAATCCTAGAAAAGCAAAATAAGCACAAACCAAGGTGGCATAACCTTGTAAGACTTAATGAATAAATAACGAGTTTCTTTACCCATGGTTTAGAGAAAGCAGACTCTTGAGAATGTTGCAAATAGAATAAGTGTTTGCTAACATATCTATAATTTTAATATAAAATAAATAGGTGAACAATAGAGAACACAATTGTGGGGAAAAGAAAGAGAGATCAGATTGTTACTGTGTCTGTGTAGAAAGAAGTAGACATAAGAGACTCCATATTGTTCCGTACTAAGAAAAATTCTTCTGCCTTGAGATGCTGTTAATCTGTAACCCTACCCCCAACCCTGTGCTCCCTAAGACATGTGCTGTGTCAACTCAGGGTTAAATGGATTAAGGGCTGTGCAGGGTGTGCCTTGTTAAACAAATGCTTGAAGGCAGCATGCTTGTTGAGAGTCATCACCACTCCCTAATCTCAAGTACCCAGAGACACAAAACACTTCAGAAGGCCGCAGGGACCTCTGCCTAGGAAAGCCAGATATTGTCCAAGGTTTCTCCCCATGTGATAGTCTGAAATATGGCCTCGTGGGAAGGGAAAGACCTGACCGTCCCCCAGCCTGACACCCGTAAAGGGTCTGTGCTGAGGAGGATTAGTGAAAGAGGAAGGAACTCCTCTTTGCAGTTGAGATAAGAGGAAGGCATCTGTCTCCTGCTCGTCCCTGGGCAATGGAATGTCTCAGTGTAAAGCCCGATTGTATATTCCGTCTGCTGAGATGGGGGAAAACCGCCATAGGGCTGGAGGTGGGACATGCTGGCAGCAATACTGCTCTTTAAGGCATTGAGATGTTTATGTATATGCACATCAAAAGCACAACACTTTTTTCTTTACCTTGTTTATGATGCAGAGACATTTGTTCATGTGTTTACCTGCTGATCTTCTCTCCACTATTATCCTATTGTCCTGCCATATCCCCCTCTCCGGGAAACGCCCGATAATGATCAATAAATACTAAGGGAACTCAGAGGCCCGTGCCGGCGTGGGTCCTCCGTATGCTGAACGCCGGTCCCCTGGGCCCATTTTTCTTTCTCTATACTTTGTCTCTGTGTCTCTTTCTTTTCCAAGTCTCTCGTTCTACCCGATGAGGAACGCCCACAGGTGTGGAGGGGCAACCCATCCCTTCATACACTCAAACTCAGACAAGTATGGAATGAAAAGCAAAAGTAAGTCCATATCCTCCCATGTAACAAGACCATTTTTAAAGCAGTTTCAAGTGTACAAAAAACTTTCAAGAAAGTTTAGGGAGTTCCCACATACCTCCTTCCCTAAAACAGCCCTCTGTTCAGTTTCTTCTATTATTAACATCCTGCATTAGTGTGGCACACTAGTATTAATGAACCAATACTGATACTTATTGTTAACTAAGGTTCATAGTTATATTAGAGTTCACTCTATTACACAGTTCTATGGGTTCTGATAAATACATAATGTCATGTGTTTACCATTAAAGTGAAACCAATGCAATAGTCCCATAGATAATTATTTGGATAAACATAGAAATTATTGTATGGTAAGTGTGTGTTTAGCTTTGTAAGAAACAGCGAGTGTCTTCCAAAGTGGCTATACTGTTTTGCATTCCCAACAGCAATGAATCAGAGTCCCCATTGTTCTATATCCTTGCCAACATTTGGTTTTGTGAGAGTTTTGGATTTTGGCCAGGAAAAAAAAAGCTTTTTAAAAATTTTTACTTGAAAATCATTATAGATTCACAGGAAATTGGCAAAGACAGTACAAAGGACGTATGCATACCCTTTCACGGAGCTTTTCCAAATGTTTATGTTAAGCAGCTCTAGCACAGTAGCAAAACCAGGAAACTGACTTCGATATGATATGTGTTCATAGTTCTATGCCTGTGTCTTATCATATTTGCAGATTTATGTATCCACCACGCAATCCAGTGGAGAGCTATTCCATTCCACAGAGATCTCCCCTCATGTTGCTTTTTAGAGTCACACACTAATCCCTACACATCATCACCCTGACAACTACTAGTCTCTTCTCCACCAATCTCTATAATAGCGTCACTTTGAAAATGTTACATAAATAGAATCACACAGTATGTGACTTTTGTGACTGGCATTTTCCCCACAGCATAATGTCCTTGAGATCCATCCAAGTTGTTGCATGTATCAACAATTTTTTTTTTTTATTGCTAAGGAATACTCCATCAGATGAATGCACTGCAGTTTAACTATTTGCCTGTTGAGGGACATTTGGCTGTTTCTAGTTTTGGGGTTATTACAAATAAAGCTGTTGTGAACATTTGTGTAAGATTTTTGTGTGAATATGTGTTTTTATTTCTCTGATATAAATGTCTCAGAATGTTATTCCTGACTCATATGGCAAATATATGTGTAGTTCTTCAAGACACTGCCAAACAACTTTCTAGAAGTGAGAGGTGAAGCCAGCTGGGCTTCTGAGTTGGGTAGGGACTTGGAGAACTTTTGTGTCTAGCTAAAGGATTGTAAACACACCAATCAGCACTCTGTAAAAACGCACCAATCAGCACTCTGTAAAATGGACCAATCAGCTCTCTGTAAAATGGACCAATCAGCAGGATGTGGGTGGGGCCAAATAAGGGAATAAAAGCTGGCCACTCGAGCCAGCACCAGCATCTGGCTTGGGTCGCCTTCTATGCTGTGGAAGCTTTGTTCTTTTGCTCTTCATGATAAATCTTGCTGCTGCTCGCTGTTTGGGTCTGCACTACCTTTATGAGCTGTAACATGCACCACAAGGGTCTACAGCTTCATTCCTGAAGTCAGCGAGACGATGAACCCATCAGAAGGAAGAAACTCCAGACACATCTGAACATTGGAAGGAAGAAACTCCGGACACACCATCTTTAAGAGCTGTAACACTCACTGCGAAGGTCTGTGGCTTCATTCTTGAAATCAGCAAGACCAAGAACCCACGAGAAGGAATAAATTCTGGACACATTTGGCAACCCAGATGGGACACATTTTGGCGACCACAAAGGGACACATTTTGGCACCCCACATGGGACAGTCACCTATCGCCAAGCTGTGAGTACCTTCAGACCCCTTTCACTTGCTATTCTGCCCTATTTTTCCTTAGAATTTGGGGGCTAAATACCAGGCACCTGTTGGCCAGTTAAAAGTGACTAGTGTGGCCACTGGACTAAAGACACGGGTATCAGGCTTTCTGGGAAAGGGCTCTCTAACAACCCTTGACTATTTGGAGTTGGGAGCATTGGTTTGCATGGAACCAACTTCTGCTTTTCCTGTACTTCTGGGCTGAGCCAAAGGTCAACAGAGAGGAAAGCCATTCAGCTCAGGGGTCCCAACAACAAGTTGGTCGACGCTGCAGCCATGAGCAGAACTCTCAAAGTTACTTGCCTGAGTGAGACTCGCCTGTCTATCCTATCTATCCTGACCCTTGCCCATGGGTCCTAATGCCTGTCAGACAAACTTCCTCTTGCCTCTCTTCTCTGAGGTGAGTCCTGCTTCTAAAAACCACTCCCTGTTTCTGGAATTTCTAGTTTCTCCTATAAGAATTATTTCTAGTACAAACTCCAGGACTCTATTCCCTTCTTTAGGCACTCAGGCTCATCAATCAGAAAGACATAATTTTTGCCCAAAACCTCATTGGGTGGGGAGACCAACTATCCTTTTAGGATTCTTCCTCAGACTAACAGGCTTAACAAAAGCTATTCCTGAAGCTAGGATATGGGGAGCTTCAGAAATGATATCCTTTGTATTCGAGTGAGGACAAAAGGCATCACTCTTCCAACCCTGGAGATCTCTTCTCTCCCTCAGGGTGTGGCCCTCCATTTCATTTTTGGGGCATAACATCTTTATAGGACAGAGGTAAAGTCTCAGTGTTAACAGGAGAATGCTTAGGACTCTAACAAGTTTTCGATCAGTGCATCAGTAAGGGCCACTAAATCCTATTTTTCTTGGTCCTCTTTGTGATCTAGGAGGACAGGCAAGGGTGAAGTTTTTCGAGAATGCGTCTGTAAGGGCCACTAAATCTGACCTTCCTCAGTCCTCCTTGTGGTCTAGGAGGAAAACTAGTGTTTCTGCTGCTGCGTTGGTGAGTGCAACTATTCCAATCAGCAGGGTCCAGGGACCGCTGCAGGATCTTGGGCAAGAGGTATTTCTGCTCCTGCATTGGTGAGTGCAACTATTCCGATCAGTGGTTCCAGGGACCATTGCAGGTTCTTGGGCAAGAGGGAGAAACAAACAAACCAAAACCATGGATGGTTTTGTCTTTCAGATGAGAAACACTCAGGCACCAACATACTCACCCTTGAAATGCATCCTAAGCCATTGGGACCAATTTGACCCACTAACCCTGAAAAAGAGGTGGCTCATTTTTTTCTGCACTACAGCTTGGCCCCAATATTCACTCTCTGATGGGGAGAAATGGCCACCTGAGGGAAGTATAAATCACAATACTATCCTACAGCTTGACCTTTTCTGTAAGAGGGAAGGCAAATGGAGTGAAATACCTTATGGTATGGGGTTATGTCCCCTTCAAGCTGTAAGGGGAGGGGAATTTGGCCCAGCCCAGGTACATGTCCCCTTCTCACTCTCTGATTTAAAGCAGATCAAGGCAAGGCAGACCTGGGAAGTTTTCAGATGATCCTGATAGGTACATAGATGTCCTACAGGGTCTAGGGCAAACGTTCAATCTCACTTGGAGAGATGTCATGCTATTGTTAGGTCAAACCCCGGCCTTTAATGAAAAGAATGAGGCTTTAGCTACAGCCCAAGAGTTTGGAGATACCTGGTATCTTAGTTAAGTAAATGATAGAATGACAGCTGAAGAATGGGACAAATTCCCTACCGGTTGGCAAGCCATCCCCAGTATGGATCCCCACTGGGACCTTGACTCAGATCATGGGGACTGAAGTCATAAACATCTGCTGACCTGTGTTCTAGAAGGACTAAGGAGAATTAGGAAAAAGTCCATGAATTATTCAATGATGTCTACCATAACTCAGGAAAAGAAAGAGAATCCTTCTCCTTTCCTTGAGCGGCTATGGGAGGGCTTAAGAAAATATACTCCCCTGTCACCCAACTCAACTCACTAGAGGGTCAATTGATCCTAAAACATAAGTTTATTACCCAGTCAGCCACAGATATCAGGAGAGAGCTCCAAAAAGCGAGCCCTGGGCCCTGAATAAAATCTAGAGGCATTATTAAACCTGGCAACCTCGGTGTTCTATAATAGGGACCAAGAGGAACAGGCCCAAAAGGAAAAGTGAGATCAGAGAAAAGCCACAGCCTTAGTCATGGCCCTCAGACAAATAGAACTTGGTGGTTCAGAGAGAACAAAAAATGGAGCAGGCTAATCACCCAGTAGGGCTTGTTATCAGTGTGGTTTACAAGGACACTTTAAAGAAGATTGTCCAATGAGAAACAAGCGGCCCCCTTGCCCATGTCCACTATGCTGAGGCAATCACTAGAAGGTGCACTGCCCCAGAGGACAAAGGTTCTCTGGGCCAGAAGCCCCCAACCAGATGATCCAACAATAGGACTGAGGATGCCTGGGGCAAGTGCCAGCTCATGTCATCACCCTCACTGAGCCCCGGGTATGTTTAACCATTGAAGGCCATGAAATTGGCTTCCTCCTGGACACTGGCACAGCTTTCTCAGTGTTAATCTCTGGTCCTGGACAGCTGTCTACCATCCAAGGAATCCTGGGATGGCCTATAATAAGGTATTTCTCCCACCTCCTTGGTTGTAATTGGGAGACTTTGCTCTTTTCACATGCCTTTCTTGTTATGCCTGAAAGTCCCATACCATTTTAGGGAGGGACATATTAGCCAAAGCTGGAGCCATTATCTACATGAATATGGGGAACAAGTTACGCATTTGTAGCCTCCTGCTTGAGGAGGGAATCAACCCTGAAGTCTGGGCACTGGAAGAACAATTCAGAAGGGCAAAAAATGCCCGCCTAGTCCAAATCAGGCTAAAAGCCCCCAACACTAATGAATGCCTTCTCATCCCCTCTTTCAATCACTCTCTCAAATGGTTCCTAGTAGATACAAAACTTTTTTTCTCCAATGAGAAAATAGAACACAGGGAGCCACTCAGTTTGCTCCCAGCACCCCTTTCCAGCCACTCACCGGAGCTACACTGGCAAGTACTCTAGGAGTATGGGAAAATGAAAACAACAAACTCACACACATTTCCACATACACAACCAGTTCTGTCTATCCAGCCAAGGTATATTCTTCTTATGTGGAATGTCAACCTATATCTGCCTCCCCAATATTTGGACAGGCATCTACACCTTAGTCTTTCTAAGACCCAACATTAACATTGCCCCAGGAAATCAGACCCTATCAGTACCCCTCAAAGCTCAAGTTCATCAGCACAGAGCCATACAACTAGTACCCCTACTTATAGGGTTAGGAATGGCTACTGCTAGAGGAACCAGAGTAGCCAGTTTATCTACTTCATTATCCTACTACCACACACTCTCAAAGGATTTCTCAGACAGTTTGCAAGAAATAACGAAATCTATCCTTACTCTACAATACTCCCAAATAGACTCTTTGGCAGCAGTGACTCTTCAAAACCACCGAGGCCTAGACCTCTTCACTGCTGAGAAAGGAGAACTCTGCACTTTCTTAGGGGAAGAATATTGTTTTTACACTAACCAGTCAGGGATAGTACAAGATGCCACCCAGTGTTTACAGGAAAAGTCTTGTGAAATCAGACAATGCCTTTGAAACTCTTATACCAACCTCTGGAGTTGGGCAACATGGCTTCTCCCCTTTCTAGGTCCTGTGACAGCCATCTTACTATTACTCGCCTTCAGGCCCTGTATTTTTAACCTCCTTGTCAAATTTGTTTCCTCTAGGATCGAGGCCATCAAGCTACAGATGGTCTTACAAAGGGACCCCAAATGAGCTCAACTAACAACTTCTACCAAGAACCCCTGGACTGAGCCACTGACCCTTTCACTGGCCTAAAGAGTTCCCTTCTGGAGGACACTACAACTGCAGGGCCCCTTCTTCACCCCTATCCAGCAGGAAGTAGCTAGAGAGGTCATCGCCCAATACCCAACAGCCGTTGGGGTGTCCTGTTTAGAGTGGGGATTGAGAGTTGAAGACCGCTGGGCTTCTGGGTCAGGTGGGGACTTGGAGAACTTTTCTGTTTAGCTAGAGGATTATAAATACATCAATCAGCACTCTGTGTCTAGCTAAAGGACTGTAAATGCACCAATCAGCACTGTGTAAAAACACACCAATCAGCACTCCGTGTCTAGCTAAAGGATTGTAAACACACCAATCAGCGCTCTGTAAAAAGGATCCATCAGCACACTGTAAAATTGACCAATCAATACTCTGTAAAATGGACCAATCAGCAGGATGTGGGCAGGGCCAAATAAGGAAATAAACGCTGGCCCCCCCAAACCAGCAGTGGCAGCCGCTCAGATCCCCTTCCAAGCTGTAGAAGCTTTGTTCTTTTGCTCTTCACAATAAATTTTGCTGCTGCTCACTCTTTGGGTCCGGACTACCTTTATGAACTGTAATACTCACTGCGAGAGTCTGTGGCTTCATTCCTGAAGTCAGCGAGACCACAAACCCATCAGGAGGAACTAACAACTCCGGACGTGCCACTTTAAGAGTTGTAACGCTCACTGCGAAGGTCTGCGACTTCACTCCTGAAGTCAGCGAGACCACAAATCCACCGGAAGGAAGAAACTCTGGACACATCTGAACATCTGAAGGAAAAAACTCCGGACACACCATCTTTAAGAGCTGTAACATTCACCGCGAAGGTCCGTGGCTTCATTCTGGAAGTCAGCAAGACCAAGAACCCACCGGAAGGAATAAATTCCAGACACAGAAGGATAGTCCCATTTTACATTCTCGCCATCAGTGTATGAGAAATTCAGTTTTTCTGCATTCTCAGCAGCATTTACCATTGTCATATTTTTTAGAGATTTTAGCTGTATTAAGAGTTGTGTGGTACTATTAGATCAAGTTCTTAATTTGCATTTCCCTGATGGCTAGTGATTTGCATGTCATTCATTGTGCTTATTTGCCATGTACATGTATCCTCTTTGATAAAATGTCTCTTCATATCTTTTGCCCATTTTGTAATTAAATTTTTTTTATTTTTGAGATGGAGTCTTGCTCTATTGCCCAGGCTGGAGTGCAGTGGCACGATCTTGGCTCACTGCAAACTCTGCCTCCTGGGTTCACGCCATTCTCCTGTCTCAGCCTCCTGAGTAGCTGGGACTACAGGCACTCACCAAAATGCCCGGCTAATTTTTTTTTTGTATTGTTAGTAGAGACGGGATTTCACCGTGTTAGCCAGGATGGTCTCGATCTCCTGACCTCGTGATCCGCCCACCTCGGCCTCCCAAAGTGCTGGGATTACAGGCGTGAGCCACTGTGCCTGGCCACAATTAAATGTTATAGTCTGCACTCTGCTATATATTTTATAGAAGAGCTTTTATAGTTGATTATATATTTTCGACAATGTATTCTTGGTAATATATGTGTTTTAAATATTTTCTCCGTATCTCTAACTTACTTTTCATTTCTTAACAGGATACTTTACAGAACAAAAGTTTTAAACTCTGAAGAAGCCTTATTTATTGTTTTTTTTGTTTGTTTGTTTTTGTCTTTTTGTTTTTTACACGTAGTGCTTTTGATGTCATGTCTGAGAACTCAGAATTCAGACAGCAGGCCCTAGGTTCTGATGATTTTCTCGTGTTTTCTTCTAAACGTTTTACATGTAGACATGATTTCATTGGGGTAAATGTTTTCATACGGTGTGAGAATTTGTTATTTCTTTCTTGCTTCTGTTTTGTTTTTTGTTTGGTTTTGTTTTTGTCTATGAATTTCCACTTTCTCCTGGACCATTGTTTGAAAAGACTGTAGCCTATATTACCTCCATTGAATTATTTTGCACCTTTGTCAAAATGAGTTCGCATATGTGTATTTCTGGATTCTCTATGCTGCTCCACCAATCTATGTCTATCCCTGCACTAATGTCGATCAGTATTGATTACTATAGCTATAAAAATTCTGAAATTTGGTAATAGTTATTTCATCTCTTTCCCTGTGAAATTTTTTTTTACCTATGCTAGTTCCCTTGGTTCTCCATATGCATTTTATAATAACTTTGTCTACAACTATTACAAATCTTGCTGGAATTTAGGGAGAAATTGTGTTAAACCTCGATATCAAATTGAGGAGAATTGACATCTTTACTATATTTAGTTTTCTAGTTTATGAACACAGTAAATCTCTTCATTTCTTCAGATTTTTTTATTTATCAGCATTTCAGCATATGGATTGTGTACATGTTCTGTTGGTATACTTATGAGGTTTTTTGAATGAAAATAATTCATGTTGTATTTTTAGTATTTGTTTTGATTTCTTTATTACTGTATATTCAAATAAAATTGATTTTTTTTGTTGATCTTGAATTCTGTGACCTTGCGAATTTCCTTAGTAGCTGAAGCAGAAGAGGAAAAGCACTCAGACTTTCACTATTAAGTATAATTTAGCCGCAACGTTTTTGTAGAAGTTATTTATCCAGTTGAGGAGGTCATCCTCAGTTCCTACTATTTTGAGGGGTTTTTTTAAATCATAAATTAATGTTGAATTATGTCAAAGGCCTTTTCTATGTCAATTGATATAACCATGCGATGTTTCTTCTTTAGCTTCTTAATAAGAAGGATGACACTGATTGATTTCAAACATAAACCAGACTTGCGTCCCTAAAATAAACGCTACTTGGCATACTTTACATATATTTTTAGTTTGGCAGATTTTTTACTTGCTAACATTTTGTTAGGGAGTTTTGCATGTATAGTCATGCAGGTATATTGCTTTTTAATTTTCTTTTGCTGTACTGTTTTTGTGTGCTTTTTATTTTAGGAAATGCTGGCCTCATAAAGTAAGTTGGGATGTCTTCCCCTCTCTTCTGTTTTCTGGAGGAAATTTTGCAGAGTTGTGTTAATTCTACTGAAATGTTTGGTAGATTTCTCCTGTAAAACTATTCTAACCTAGAGATTTCTCCTATAAGTTCAGTTCTTTTTATAATTACAGAGCTTTTCAATTTATCTATTTCATATTGAGTTAATTGTAATAGTGTGTACTTCTGTACTTTTAAAGGATTCTTTTCCATTTCACCTAAGTGTTTTTGGTGTATTCCTTTGGTGTACTATTGATGTCGAAGAATCTGTAGTGATATAATATGTTTCAACCCCAATATTGGTGTTTTTTCTCCTTTTTCCTTTTATTTTGTCCTAGAAATTTGTCAGTTCTATTAATATTTTCTAAGAACAAACTTTTTTTCCACTAATTTTGTCTCTGCCTCTTTTTTTTTTTTTTTTTTTTGAGACGGAGTTTTGCTCTTGTTGCCCAGGCTGGAGGGCAATGGCGCCATCTGGGCTCACTGCAACCCCCGCCTCCCAGGTTCAAGTGATTCTCCTCCCTCAGCCTCACGAGTAGCTGGGATTACAGGACTGCGCCACCATGCTCAGCTAATTTTGTATTTTTAGCAGAGACAGGGTTTCTCCATGTTGGTCAGGCTTAAACTCCCGACCTCAGGTGATCCGCCCGCTTCAGCCTTGCAAAGTGCTGGGATTACAGGCGTGAGCCACCGAGTTCTGCCTTTATATCAGTTTTTTTTTTCTCCTTCTTCTTCTTGCTTTAGGTTATTTTTGACAATTTTCCAGATTTTTGAGGTGGGAACTGAGATTATTGGTTTCTGAGGTTTTCTCTTTTTCAGTGTATACATTTTGTACTATGCATAGTAGTTCAAATTACTCCTTTAGCTATGTGCCAAACATTTTGATATGTTGTATTTTCATTATCACTTAGTTGAACATACTTTTTATTTTCTTAAGACATCTTTTTTTTTTTGAGATGGAGTCTCGCACTGTCTCCCAGGCTGGAGTGCAGTGGCGTGATCTCAGCTCACTGCAAGCTCCGCCTCCCGAGTAGCTGGGACTACAGGCGCCCGCCACCACGCCCGGCTAATTTTTTGTAATTTTAGTAGAGATGGGGTTTCACCGTGTTAGCCAGGATGGTCTCGATCTCCTGACCTCGTGATCCACCTGCCTCAGCCTCCCAAAGTGCTGGGATTACAGGCGTGAGCCGCCATGCGGCGTCTCCAGCTGGAGTGCAGTGGCGCCTTGTCGGCTCACTGCAAGCTCTGCCTCCCGGGTTCAAGTGATTCTCCTGCCTCAGCCTCCCGAATAGCTGGTACTACAGGCGCCCGCCACCACACCTGGCTAATTTTTTGTATTTTTAGTAGAGACGGGGTTTCAGCATGTTGGCCATGATGGCCTCGATCTCTTGACTTCGTGATCCACCCACCTCTGCCTCCCAAAGTTCTGGGATTACAGGCATGAGCCACCTCGCCAGGCCCTTTTTTTTTTTAGATGGAGTCTCGCTCTGTGGTCCATGCTGGAGTGTAGTGGCGCAATCTCCCCTGACTGCAACTTCAGCCTTCCCGTGTTCCAGCCATTCTCGTGCCTCAGCCTCCTGAGTAGCTGGGATTATAGGCAAGTGCCACTACGCCCAGCTAATTTTTTTTGTATTTTTGGTAGAGCTGGGGGTTTCACCATGTTGGTCTGGCTGGTCTCGAACAACTGACCTCGTGATCCACCCGCCTCAGCCTCCCAAAGTGCTGGGATTACAGGCGTGAGCCACCACACCTGGCCAAGACATTTTTTGATCCAAGGGTAATTTAAATGTATGTTACTAAGTTTCCATGTGTTTGGAGTTATACTGATTTTCTTCATGTTACTGATTTCTGGTTCAGCTCCGTTGCTTCCAGGGAGCACAGTCTGTATGATTTCAATTCTTTACATTTGTTGAGGTTCCTTTTATGGTCCAGGGTATGAGAGATGTTGGTAAATATTCCATGGACAGTTAAAAAATGTGTATTCTTCTGTCTGGTGTGGTGGTCTGCCAATGTCCATTAGATCTTATTGGTGGATAGTTTTGTTGGGTTTCATTATCTTGCTGAGTTTTTATCCAGTTGTTTTATTAACTTTTCAGAGTTGGTTTGTGGAGTCCCAAAGTTTAACTGTGTATTTGTCTATTTCTCCTTCCAGTTCTGACCATTTTTTGCTCTACTTATAAGTAACTTAGTTGTATGGTGTACATACTTTTAGAGTTGCTATGTCTTCTTTCTGAATTAACATTTTTATGATTATGTAGTGTTTCTGTTTGTCTCTCAGAATATTCTTTGCTCTGTGCATTTTATGTTATCTGATATTATAGCCATTTCTGCTTTCTTTGACAAAAGTAAGTACGATTTTTTTTTTCCATTCTTCTATTTCAGGCTTCCACTCTTGTAATATTTGTGGTAAGTTTCTCATAGGTAGCATATCAGCGGGTCATTATGTTTCACTCTGACATTTGTCTTTTTAGACAATTTACATGTCATGCAATTATTAATATGTGAGCTCTCATGACTGCCATTTGGTTTTTGTTTCTTCTGGTTTTTGCTTCTCTGTTTTCTTTCCCTGTTTTTCGATGTGTCCCTTAAGCAATATTTAGAATTCCATTTTTTAATCAATCACTTTTTGGTGTATCACATTGTAGAGTTTTTGTGTTTTATCTATCTATTAACGTAACTTACAGTCTACTTGTGCTGAGATTTTTTCAATTTGACTACAGTGTAAAAACTTTACCTTTTTATCCCTTTCGCTCCTGCATTTATAATATATATTTTTTATTTTCTCTACTTGCATCAAAACCCAGATCTGACAATGTCGTAATTTTTGCCTCAACCATCAAACTAATTTATAAAACTGAAGAAGAGAAGTCTGTTGTATTGACCCATATCTTTACTCATTCTAGTTTCTTTTTTTCCTGATTGTCCAAGATTTCTTCCCTTACCATTTCTATTCCAGTTCAAGCACTTCCTTTACCCTTGTTTTAGGATAAGTCTGCTAGCATCAAATTCTCTTGATTTTCCTTCCTCTAAGAATGTCATGGCCGGGTGCAGTGGCTCACACCTGTAATCCCAGCACTTTGGAAGGCCGAGGCAGGTGCATCCCCTAAGCTCAGGAGTTTGAGACCAGCTTGGGCATCATGGCAAAACCCTGTCTCTGCCAAAAATACAAAAAGTTAGCCAGGCTTGGTGGTGTGTGTCTGTAATTCCAGCTACTCAGGAGGCAGAGGTGTGAGGATCATATAAGCCTGAGAGGCAGAGGCTGCAGTGAGCCATGGATGTGCCACTTCCCTCCAGCCTGGGTGACAGAGCAAGACTCCATCTAAAAAACAAAAAAAAAAGAAAAGAAAAAAAGAATGTCATGATAGAACCTTCATTTTATAATAATATTTTTCTGGATGCACATTCTAGGTTAACATTACTTTCAGCCATTAAAATATCTTGTGGCACTTCTCTCTGGTCTGCATGATTTCTAATGAGGAATACACTGTCATTTAATTTATTTCCTCCTGTACATGAGATGTCATTTCTCTCTTGTTGCTTTCAAGATTTTTTGACATAAATTTCTTTGGATTTATCTTCCTTTAGATTTGCACAGATTCTTGAATTTTTACTTTAAAGTCTTTATCCAAATTTGGAAAATAGTCAATCTTCCTTCAAAGACTCTTTGGGCATCACCCATTTGTCATCTTTCTCTAAGACTCTAGAGACACAAATTTCATATCTTTTTTTATAGTCTTACAGATTTATCAGCATGAAATAATACTGAATATTATGAATAATTTTACAAAAACAAATTTGCATGCAATGAATAAATTACTCAAAATGTGCAATGTACTGAAGCTAACAAATAACATAAAATATGAAGAGTTCCACATCTCATAGAGAAAGCCAATTCTATAAAGCTTTCCCAAGACAAAACCCCAGGTTCATTTAGCTTCAGTAAATATTTTAAAATATTTAAGGAACAAACAACACTAACTTTATGCAAACTTCAAACATTTGAAAAAGTGGAAAACACTTGCAGTTAGGTTTGATGAGATCTGTGTAAAATTTACTTCAAGATCTGAAAAGAACTCTACAACAAATAGGAATTTATGGACCAATAATTCTTATGAGCCAAGTTCTTAAGAAAATAATAGCCAACTGAATTCATTGATATAAAAGATGGCTACTACATTATGACCAAGTGGAGTTTATTCCAGAAATGCAAGGTTGTTTGAGCATTTGAGAATCCATTAGTGTGATTCACTACATTAACTGAAGGAGGGAGAATACACATGCAACCACCTGGATAGAGTCTTGAAATATGATTTGACAGAATTCAGCACTTGGCCTTAATTTTTTAAAAATCTATTTGCAAACTTGTATTAAAAAGTTATTTCTTCAGTCTGAGAAATGATAGTAACCTTATTGCACATATTAGTCTCAGCCGTGAAATATTTAAAACTGTCTCCTTCATATCTGGAGTACTAGAGGAGTTAGGCAATGAAAACGGCAAGAAAAATAAATAAAAGAGATGATAATTGCATCCAGGTGAAATGGTCATTATTTACTCTCAACATAATCAGCTACTTGGAAAATAAAATTAGTAAACAAACTCATAGTTTTAATAAGTGAATTTAAATAATGTTGCTGAATACGAAGTCAGTATACATTAAAGCAATTATGTTATTGATATAGTTTGGATGTTTGTCCCGTCCAAATCTCGTGTTGAAACATAGCCTCCAGTGTTGGAGGCGAGGCCTGGTGAGAGGTATTTTGGTGGGGGGCAGATCCTTCATTGATGGCTTGGTGCCATCTTAGCTGTAATGCATGAGTTCTCACTCAGTTCACAGGAGATCTGGTTGTTTAAAAGAGTGCGACTCTTCCCCACTTTCTCTGTGCTCCTGCTCTCACCATGTGATACCCAGGCTCCCCTTTCCTTCCCCCATGATTGTTAGCTTCCTGAGGGCCCTCACCAGAAGCAATTGCCAGCACCACACCTCCTGTACAGTGCGCAAAACCCTGAGCCAGTTAAACCTCTTTTCTTTATGAATTACCCAGCCTCAGGTATTTCTTTTTAGCAATGTAAGAATGGACTAACACAATAATGTTCTACCATAAACAAATAGAAAACAAAACCAAGAAAATAATTTTATCAATTTCCTCACCTCTTTGTTTTTTTGTTGTGGTTGTTTTTTGTTTTTGAGACAGAGTCTTGCTCTGTCTCCCAGGCTGGGGTGCAATGGTGTGACCTCGGCTCCCCACAGCCACCGTCTCCTGCTCACAAGCGATTCTCCTGCCTCAGCCTCTTGAGTAGCTGGGATTACAGGCATGCACCACCACGTCCGGCTAATTTTTGTATTTTTAGTAGAGGCAGGGTTTCACTATTTTGGCCAGGCTGGTCTTGAACTCTTGACCACGTGATCTGCCCACCTCAGCCTCTCAAAGTGCTGGGACTACAGGCTTGAGCCACCATGCACAGCCCTGTTTTTGTTTGTTTGTTTGTTTGTTTTTTAGACGGAGTCTCACTCTGTCGCCCAGGCTGGAGTGCAGTGGCGCGATCTTGGCTCACTGCAACCTCCACCTCCCGGCTTCACGCCATTCTCTGCCTCAGCCTCCCAAGTAGCTGGGATTACAGGCACCTGCCACCATGCCCTGCTAATGTTTTTGTATTTTTAGTAGAGACGAGGTTTCACCATCTTGGCCAGGCTGGTCTTCAAGTCCTGACCTCGTGATCCACCCGCCTTGGCCTCCCAAAGTTCTGGGATTACAGGTGTGAACCATCACACCTAGCGACAATGTCTTATTTTTTTAAAAAAGAATTATTTTAACAGGTTTACTGAAGCATAATTTACATACTGCAAAATTTACTCATTGTCTATATAAAATTTAATGATTTTAGTAAATTAATGGATTTGTGCAATTATCACAATGATCCAGTTTTATAACATTTCTATCGTGTCCAAAATTTATCTGTTTATAGTTAATTCCCGCCGATACCCCAAGTCCTAGGCACCCAATGATCTGCTGTTTGTGTCTATAATTTACCTTCTCTAGATATTTTAAGTAAATGAAATCATACAACATGTAATCTTTTGTGTCTAGTTTCCTTCACTTAGTTAACATTATTGAAGTTTACCAGTTTTGTAGTATGTATCATCAATTTTGTTTCGTTTCTTTTCATTCCTTTTTATTCATGTTGTCTTCTTTCATTTGTGTGAATTTATAAGGTACAAGTGTAGTTTTGTTACCTGCATAGATTGCTTAGTGGTGAAGTCAGTGTTTCTGCAGTATCCATCACCCCAATCACGTGCATTGTCCCCATTAAGTAATGTCTCATCATCTGGAGTGCAAGGATCGAAACTTGCCTTGGGAAAACTACCCTCATGTTCATGGTATCTCCCCTGCCATATAAGTCTATTTTTGTCCCCTTTTATTGTTGAATGATATTGCCTTGCATGGATGTAGTACCATTTTGTTTATCCATTTACTAGTTGAAGGATATTTGGATTGTTTTCAGTATGGGCCTACTATGGCTAACGCTGTTCTGAACACTCAAACACATATCTTTGTGAGGACATATGTTTTTATGTCTCTTAGGTAGATTCCAAGGAGTGAAATTGCTGGGTCATATGGTAAATGTATGTTAAACTTGCTAGGAAATTGCCAATTTCCAGGTATTTGTAAAATTATACACTCCCACCAGTACTACATAAGGGTTTAAAAGGTCTGTTTGTCTTCAAACATAATTATAATGTTGATGATACTATTAGAAATAACATCTGTCAGCCGAACACGGTGGCTCACGCCTATAGTCCCAGCATTTTGGGAGGCCAAGGCAGGCAGATCATGAGGTCAGGAGTTCGAGACCAGCCTGCCCAACACAGTGAAACCCTGTCTCTGCTAAAAACGTAAAAATTAGCCAGGCACGGTGGCATGCACCTGTAGTCGCAGCTACTCAGTAGGGTGAGGCAGGAGAATCGCTTGAACCAAGGAGTCGAAGGTTGTGCGGAGCAGGGAACACACCACTGCACTTCAGCCTGGACAACAGAGCGAGACCCCATCTCAAAAAAGAAAAATAAATAAATAAATAACATCTGTCTTGTTAATTTTATATTTTCTCTTTATGTTTCAATTTTTATTTATCCAGGATCTATTTAGTGAAAAAAATGAGTTTGGAGTACACCTTACCAAAAACTGAAACTAAATCTCAACTCTTTCTAATTCTAGACTCTGTTTTACTAGTATTTAATGAAAAAAAAATCAGTAACAAATGCCTTTTTAAAAATAAATGTATAGTGTGTTTTAAAACAGCACCTTACAGAGCTAGTCATTCCTTTTTCTGCTTTTTTTTCAAAAATTTCCCTAGAAAATATATTTACCTCATAAAATAACATGTCAGCATACTTGAGTTCTAAAAACAATCCTTTTTACTTGCTTTTTTGTTTTATTGTAATTGAGTTAATGGCTGACATTTAATACTCAATGTGAGTATATTATATATGTTTATATGTTTTTAAAATATATATATATTTAAATATATGTATAATAAATATATATGTATTTAAAAAGACCCAGAAACCCTGAATTGAGGATGCCTATCGGGAATCTCTAGGCCTTCACGTGGAATTTAACTATGAATACTAACAACCTAATAATACCACAATCTTTCATTGCCCTACCCAGAAATCAATCTCTCCTACTCCATCCACCATTTCTTTATTTTTAAAAATATATGATTTTGCTCTTTTTCTTCCCATGTGCATCAGGCCCACTCTACAAAGGTTGAATCCTGGCTTATCTGAGCCCATGTGATCCCACGGTCATTCCATTGTTTGAGAAAGTGGGTACTGGGAACACTCTAGAAACTGTTTAGTAGATTCTTATAAAGACACACAGGAAAAAGTCATATCCTTTTCCTGCCTTTGGGAGTTGTGAAAGAATAAGAAAACTAAAGCTGCTGCAGGGGTCCTCCTACCATCTCAGGAAAGCTGACGTGCTGTGTGTGATAGAGAGATGAGCTATGAAGTTCCAGAATCGCTGATGATGACACTGGCCTGCTGAGTTGAGCAACCCTGATGATGCCCAGACTTGGATGTATCGGCAATATGAGATAATGGGTTAAAGAAAAGAAAAGCCCACTAGATGGGATTTCCTGCTATTTGCAGCAGAAGGCATCTTCATTCAGATATTCATCCCACACATTTTAGTACTACCTTAGAATTCCACACCACAAGTCTCATATAAAATGAGACAAATCATTTCCTCAACTTAAGGAACAAAGCATATTTGTGGCAACTCTGGGATCAAACAGAATAAACATAATTATCAGCTTAGTATATTCCTATAGGATTTATATTCTTATAGGATATATACATACATGTATTGCTATGTATGTACAATAACATGTAACTAAAAACAAAATATGCATAAAATAAACCTTGAATTTGATTGAAAATAAAATAACAGTTGTCTCTGACGGATAAATTATGTTCAGATGATTATTACTTTGAAGTAAACTTTTGAATTGATTATGTACTTTCAGATTTGACATATTTGATGCTGACTCTCAGATAGAACACAATGGAGAACCCTCCATCTTCTAAATTTGCCTTTCTCTGAAATCTGTACAGGTCCTTTGATAATACTATATAACTGAAGTCTCTGGAATGAAAAACTATATACTAATTTAAAGGTATAGATTCACAATATCGTAGACGGGGTTAAGAAAAAGTTCTGATTGACTTGCTGGCTGGTTTCTCATCTCATGTTTGACAAGTTTGTTTCAGTTGTTATAGTCTGTTCTCAGTTTTTATGCATTGCCTTTTTGAACATTAGGTTTACTTTTTTAATTGGAAAGTAAAAATTGTATATTATATTTATGTTGTAGAGCATGAAGTTTTGATATATGCCTATAGTGTGGAATGTCTAAATCAAGCTATTTAACATGTGCATTTACCTCATATACTTATTATATATACATGAAAACCATTATTCTATTGGGAAATAATCTTCCCTTTCTCTTGTTTTTTGTCCTTGCAGCCAAATGGACCAGATAATTTTTAACTCTGTTTGAGAAACATTTAATAATGCAATGTGTTTGTGGCACAAGGGGAGTACAGATGCAGGGGAGGCAGGAAAGTTTAGGTAAAGAGAAGCACAAAAGTTGAAGATGAGGCGCTGCCATCAAAGCTGTGGGGCTTCAGGCCAAGAACAGGAGCTGCGGAAGCCACAAGGGAGGACATTTTCTGCAGAGTTGCTGAACCAGTAACAACCTAGTCCTGACAAAGCTCTTGTGGAAGAATAACAGCCAAGTGGGAAAGCTTTTCATCCTGCAAAGCTGGGGCAGAAGGTTCTTCCTTGAATGTGGTCATCTGCACTTCAGCTCGAGTCCTGCGGAGACAGAGGAAATTGTTTTCAGACCTGGCTTTACTAAAACTTCTTTTCCCCGCTTTCAACGACTCAGATGAGAGCACTGCAGGAAGAAGAAAAACAAGTTCCTAAGTCTCCCTGAGCCAATGATCCTGCAAAGCACAGGCCTTTTCTAAGTGGAGAGGAGGAGTTTTGGTGTAAATTGCCTGATCAGAAATCTGGATCCAAAGTCTTTCCTATTATTTCTGTCTCACGCCTTATCACCTCTGCCATCATTCTAGGGAAACCGAATCTCTTTCTGAAAGAAGATTAAAAGGTATTACCTTTTGGGTGAAGTCCAGAGTGTCCTGGGAAAAAGAGGAAAATATATATACTTAAAAGGTATGGAAGCAAATCTGTCTTCCAATGCAATGTCCCAGCCCCAGATCTCCCACCTGAGATTTCTCTAACACCACAACCCCCACCAACCACGGCAGAGAAGAGCAGAAACAGACCATGTGACCCATGAAGCATGAGGTGTCTGTCACAGGATCCAGTGTAATTGCATTAGCCTTAGTGGCTCTTCCTTAATTTGCTTCAGGATCTCGAAGCAAAGGACCCCTACTTGTTAACCTTTCTCTTATCTCTGCAGGCCACAAGCTATTATGCTTTGACATAGTAACCATGCACTGATGATTTCTGGATTATCAGGACATTGGAGGTCATTTGGGGAAAGAAAGGCTTTATCCAGGGCCACTGATATACTGAGAACTAATCCTAGCAAAGCCATATTTCCTCCTCCAGAAAAGCCTATGGAGATACTCAGCTCCCAAAAGCTCCTCACCTTTCTGATTCTTGAAGTAGATGAACAGCCCCGTCCCAAGGAAGAGCAGGCCCAGCACGAAGCCCCCGACTCCACTCAGCATCTTGCTCTGTGCAGATTCAGACCGTGCTCCTGAGAGAGGAAGCCAGGTTTAGTGACGTTTATTCCAAATTGAACCTCTTTACTTGAGACCCTAAGATTCAGAGCTTTCAAAATGGGGAAGAAGGCTACCCTGTAAGAACTAAAATAACTAGCTGTTTCTGGGGGAAAAAACGTTTTTCAAATCACACTGAACAGTTACAAGGTCCAGGCATCAACCTCATTCAAATATTACAGCCTTGATGTAAGGCACAACTTCAAAATCTGATCAACAGAAAGCCTGAGTCTCAGTGAGGTTAAGTAGTTTGTCTAGAGTGACAGAGCTAATAAAAGACAGAGCTGAGATTGGACTCCCCTCATGTCAGGAAGGTCGCTGCAGTTCTCCTCTTCTCAGATCACAACAAACAACTCAGATCAAAAGCACCAGAAACACAGTCTCAGACCCAGAGGCCCAGAGCCCAGGGAGACCGCGTGACCCTGACCTGTGCTATCATGTGGAGGTTCAAAAGAGGGACAGCCTCTCCTGCGTGGCAGGTATGACTGCTTCTCCAGGAGGTACAGGTTTCTAGAAACCTGTTTCTAGAAATCGTTTCTAGAAACCTGTTTCTAGAAATCGTTTCTAGAAACCTGTTTCTAGAAATCGTTTCTAGAAACGATTACAGGGCTACCCCCAGTGACCTGTGCTGATGGAGATGAGAACATGGAGCAAATGCAAATAGGATGTGGGAGAGGAGAAACCTGACACTCAGGGATTGGCACAGTCCCCTTCTTGGTGGGTGAGAAATTTAGGAAGTCAGAAAACTGCTCACTCCATTGCACTGTGAGAGGGCTCGTCATGCTTGGATGCTCCTCCACTCCGAGGAACTGTTTCCAGCATCACCAGGGTCTGGAAAGTCCAGTCTCCATTCTGGATCAGGCCTATGGAGACCACCGCAGCCTTCTCTTCCTGACCATTCCGGAACCACCTGACTTCAATGCTGCCTGGATAGAAACCACTCACACAGCAGACCAGGAGGTTGCTGTGAGGCAGGGGCTGGGTCTTTGCAGGATACATAGTCCCCTTAGGTTGGACTAGGAGAAAAACAGGTAGAGAGAATGAATCAGGAAGTTAGAGTCTCGTTGTTCAGCTGTTTGTTTGCTTCTCTGTAAACCCAGGCTCTGGCCTTGACCAGGCCTCCAACACAGCTGGCCATATGCCCTCACAGTGTCATCAGCCTGGAATTTAATCGTGATAGTGTGGACCCACTAGATTTGCGAGATGTTGTAAAAATTTTATTTGTTTCTTCATAGCTTGAAATTGTCATGCATTATTTAAGTGTTTACAAATCTTTGAAAGTACAGAGTGTATTAATTAAAACTGATACCTGAGCCAGGTTGCCTGGTTCAAATCCAAGGTCTGCCTTTTAGTGGTTGATCCTGGAAGAGTTTTTTGATTCTTTTGTGTCTCAACTTTCTCACGTATAATGTAGGTTAAATTATACTAATTTACCTCTTGGGGTTATATGAGGATTAATTTACGTAAAATATATAAAACAATGACTGAAGATAGCCTTCAACTTATGAGGTCAGAAAGCTTCTCACTCCATTCCATTGTGAGAGGGCTCATCACACTTGGGTGCTCCACTTGGCACCTATTTATCATCCTCTTACACCTTGAGAGAAGAATATGTCTTAAAGCAATGTGGATAGATAAAGGCACAGAGTTGGGTACATGAGGAAACCGAGTATGAATTTTTAGGAATAGTACCTCCATGCACTCACACCTTAGAACACCAGAGAAATGGTTCTGCCCCTGGGAAGGCGGGACAGACAGAAATGATTCTCCGAATCTTTATATTCGTAGAAAAGCCTGAGTCCTAAAGCAGAGATTTAGGAATTAAGGAACGTCATTTTAGTTTTGAAAGTTCTTACATTCACATTTAGCTGATCAATGCATCTCCTGTGCAAAACAAGCAGAAATGATTCTCCAAATATATATATATATATATATATATATATATATTTTTTTTTTTTTTTTTTTTTTTTGAGATGGAGTCTCACTCTGTTGACCAGGCTGAAATGCAGTGGTGCCATCTTGGCTCACTGCAACCCCCGCCTCCTGGATTCAAGTGATTCTCCTGCCTCAGCCTCCTGAGTAGGTGGGACTACAGGCGGTAAATCCACCAGATCTTTCCAATGTCCTTTTTCTGGGGATTTCCATAACACTTTCGGAAAACCTCTTCTCTTTTTCTCTAAGAGTGGCCAATGTCTTTCCACTGGAGTCTTAACATCCGTACCAGGAGTCAAAAAATTTAAAGTAAATAAGGCTAAATATAACTTTGATTGCAGTGGTAACTTGTCTCCTACTCCTCCGTTTTGTCTTTTCAACATGTGTTGTAATGTTTGATGTGCCTGCTCTATAATGCCTTGTCCTCTAGGATTATAAGGAATTCCTGTTTTATGGGTTATGACCCAAAGCTACAGGAAATTTTGAAAAGCATGACTAGCATAAGCAGGTCCATTGTCAGTTTTTAATTGTTTAGGTATCCCCATATGAGCAAATGATGACAGAAATGTTGCCGCACATGACCAGCTGTCTCAGCTGTTTGGCATGTAGCATGCAGCATATGAGAATAAGTGTCTATAGGCACATGAACATAGCTAAGCTTACCAAAGGCTGCTATGTGTGTAAATCCATTTGCCAAATTTCATTTAGAGCCAAACCTCGTGGATTACATCCTTCTACAGGTGTGGCTCCAGGGACATGCTGGCAAGTTGGACACGACTGTATTATAGACCTAGCTTGGCTGTGAGGCAAGCTAAACGTACAAGTAAGGGCAGAAGTGTTTTGATGCAGTAATACATGAGAGGTTTGAGCTTGCTGAAACACAGAACCAATCAATTTATTTGCTCTATCATTACCTAGAGATAGGGCTCCAGGAAGTTGTGTGTGAGAGCAAATAAGAGAAAAATGAAAAGGAGCTGCACAAGACCGAATAGTTTGTTGAAGTCTTAGGAAAAAATTAAGCAGTTCTGGTTCTAGGGTACTTTTAATTGTAGCAGTTTCTATGCAACTGGCTACATTTACAACATAAGCTGAATCACAGACAATGTTGATAGCATCTGAAGCTGTGAGCTGTAAAACCTGTATGACTGCAATCAACTCTGAGTATTGAGCTGAAACCCCAGAGGTCATTATTGTTTGAGTATGCTTGGGTCCATAAACAGCTGTACCACCTTTGGAAGAGCCATCAGTAAAATAGGTTTGTCCACCTGGAATAGGCTTGTGATGAGTAATCACAGGAAGAATGAAAGAATAGACTTTATAAAACTGCACAATTTTGTCTGAAGGATGGTGAAAGCAAAGGTTTCTGTGGCTGTAGCTGGGAGGCATGCCGTTGCTGAAGCATCTGTTCCACAGGCTGTAACTCAGCTTCTGCCTCTTTGGTCAATTGCTGCGGGGAATCTAATGAAGAATCTCCTTGTAGGGTTTGAGAAGGTTGTGTCAGTTGATAAGTGGCAATATCTAGCATTGGGTGCAGCCAATTAATATCCCCTAACAACTGTTGAAAATCATTTAAAGTCTGTAACCTGTCTTTAAGGAGAACTACTTTTTGAGGCCGTACACGTCTTTCAGTAACAATATTATCTAAGTAACGATATGGCGAAGTTGTTTGTACCTTTTCTGGAGCTATTTTTAGATTCCATTTAGTTAAAGCCTGCTTTGTTTCTCAGAATAACTGATGTAAGATTTGATCTGTAGGAGCAGCCAAAAGAATGTCATCCATAAAATGAATGATGTAAGCAGTAGGAAACATATTTCGAGGCTCCTTTAATGCCTGTCCTACAAAATGCTGACATAACGTAGGACTGTTAAGCATGTCTTGGGGTAAAACTCTCCATTGATAGCAAGAAAGAGGTTCTCTTTGATTAATAGAAGGCACAGAGAAGGCAAATTGAGGCTTATCCTTCTCATGTAATGGTATAGTAAAGAAACAATCCTTAAGATCTATTACTGCAAGAGGCCAATCTCTAGGAATGACCACTGGAGTTGGCACACCTTGCTGTAATGGACCCATTGGTTTAATTTGTGCATTAATAGCTCTCAAATCATGCAGCAGTCGCCATCTTCCAGACTTTTTTGGAATAACAAACACTGGTGAATTCTGGGGGCTAACTGACTCCTCTATATGTCCTGTGTCCACTTGTTCTTATACTAGCTGCTGAAGTTGTGTCAGCTTCTCCTGAGATAGGGGCCATTGATCCACCCATACGGGTTTGCCATTGGCCATTCTAATGGTGAGGCAGAGGGTGGAGGAGAAATATCAATGACCGCCATCAGAAATCCTGATGTCATAGCCCTTTTCTATCTGTTTTTCCAGTTATTGATATTGGGTTAGGTTTTCCTCGTAGGAATTTCCCTAAACCTTTCCCACTCTGATATCCCATGTCTTTCAATGTTTTAAATCCTGGGTTATCAAAGTTTTCATTTGTAAGTCTCATATTCAATGCTGTAAGTAAGTCTCGATCCCATAAATTGATTGGTATATTTGCAACATAAGGCTAAAAAGTACATGACTGTCCATCCGGACCAAGACAAGATAAAATCTCAGCACTCTGTTGAACACTTTTAGCCACTCCTACTCCCACTAGGGATGTGGAGGTTAGTTTGAGAGACCATACTGGAGGCCAGTCCTTACTGGATATTACTGCCACATCAGCTCCTGTATCCATAAGCCCATAAAATTTCTTTCTTTTAATTTGTACTACACAGGTGGATCTATTAGAGGCTATGGGCTGGGATAGATAGATTTCCCATGTAGTTGTGCTTCCAAACCCTTTATTTCCTCATTTCTCCTTTTGTGGAGAAGGATGTAATTTGCGGGGAATAAGCAACAACTGAGCAATATATTCTCCCAGTTCAAAAACCCAAAGACATTTTGACATTAAAACTACTTGAATTTCTCCTTCATAATCAGAGTCAACTACTCCAGGGACTACAGTCATGCCTTGCAAGTTAAGGGGGCTTTTACCTAAAATTAGTCCTATGTATCCTGTTGGTAAAGGCCCCCAAATGCCAGTGGGAACTTTGGTAGGTTTGTCTCCTCCAACTAATGTAGTTCTTTCTCTGGTGGGGAGATCTAATCCTGCACTTCCTGGTGTTCCTGAGGTGAGGAATACCAGGAATCAATCTTTCTCCTGGGACCCATCCCTGAAGTGGGCCTGTGGTCTGAACTGGAAATGCCCTCGTTGTTTGAGGGGCACGCGTACAGGCCCCCTTCTAGTTTCCCGACAGGTGGGTGCTGTTTTCATGAAATTTTGAATGGCTGATTACCCCAGTGACTTCCTTGGTTACAGCGAGGACAAAGTCCTGGTGTTTTTTCTGCTAGGTGGGGCACTGCATTGTAAGTTCCTTTCTGTCCTGAGATCTGGCGGCATTCCTTTTTAAAATGTCCAGTTTTTCCACAATTATAACATTTTCCCATTTTAGGGTTTGACCCTTGGCTCCTTTTACATTTGTCAACTGCTAAATTAGCCATTGCCTGCGCTAATATTGTAGAGCAATGAAGCTCAGTTCCCACAACCTGACAGGCTCTGAGAAAATTTCCCAAGTTTTTTATACACCTCACAGGTGCCAATGCACGTTTACAATCTGCGTTTACATTCTCAAAAGCTAGAGTTAAGGTTAGCATTTCTGCAGCATCGGTATGAGGAATCTGATGCTTCATTGCATCTTGTCATCATGCAAGAAATTGTGCACAAGGTTCCTGCAACACTTGCATGATATGTAAAAAGGATTGCACTGGGACTCCCTCTTCTGGAATTGTGGCCCTGTCGCATTTAGCAGCCTATGCACACTGCTGGCATTTGGGAGTGCCATTTGATGTTCCAGGTCTGAATAGGGCCATTACCTAACAGCATGTCCTCTGTAATGTCTCTGTGTCCAGCTACACGATTCTGTCTAGCATTGTCTGCACACATTTCTTGCCAATTTAAATTCAATGTCAGGTATGCACAAGGAGACAAACAAGCATGAGCTGAATGCTTTCCATCAAAGGGTAGAAGGCGCACAGCACCAAATACAGGTTCTAGCAGTCCTAAAGTGAATGGGCTCTGTATACCATTGTTTACCACACTCATTTTAATTCCTTCAACAACTTAAACTCTAGTGGAGTGTGTTCATGAGTGAGCTGCTATGGATTATTTGGATCAGGCCTTACAGAAATAGGAAAAGTGCAAGGTCCTATGGGCTCTTTAGCCATGGCAGCAGAGTGTAAAATGCTCTGTATTGGGGTCTCTATTTCTGCTACCGAAGGAGGCGGTACAGATGTTTCTGCTATTGGAGGAGGCAGTATAGGCCAATTTTTTTCCTCCCTCTCCTGTTTTTTATTTTAAATTGGAGCTGTGAGTGGTACAACAGATTCTTTCAGATTTTTAGACTCAGAACATCACTCCTACTGTCCAGCAGAATAAGAAGGAGATAATGGCAGAAGGACAGTACGGACTAAACTCCAAGTGGAGAAAAGAGAAGGATCAACTTTGAGACCTTTTTGATGAGCCCATTTTAATCCTTCTGCTCTGTCCCAATTTTCCATATCAAGAGTGCCTGTCTGTGGGAACTATGGGTTATGCGTAATAACCTCCTGCAGCATTTTTGTTAATGTCTGAGATCTAACCTGAGCACCAGATTGTTTCAACAAAACTTTAAGCAACTGCACATAATGTTTTTCTTCAATACACAAATTCTGCCCCATGTTACCCTGATTCAGAAAACTTTCTGTTCCCAATACTTCTTTAGAACACTGACCTTATATTGCTCCCAGTACCTCTTTAGGGCACTGACCTTATATCTGCTGCCAGCAGACTCATCCCGGGGTCCCCATACGTCTTGTCAATTTCAGTTCCTCTGCTCCAGCAGACCTTCTTTGTTCACATCCTCGTGTCCCTGTGTTGTGAAACCACTATGGCGTTGCCCTGTCGCTGTTTGAATGTCACTATGCCATGGACCCTGTTGGACTGAACAAAGGAGGACGAACGGGGGGAATAAAGACAAGAGAGTTCATTTGGAAGAAGGGGTCGGGGGCACCTTGCTCTTAGTGAACAAGGGCCCTGAACTTTGAGCTTTCTTTGTTGAAAGAAGCTCAACAAAGTGAAAAGAGATAGTGAGAAGGGGGTGGTTGTTGGTCTGCTGCTTGCTCCAGAGCAGCCTTGCAAGACTGCATTCCTCGAACAATAGGCTCTAGATGTCCCAGTAGATAAACTCAAGGAGCCCAGTGCCAGGGAGTGATTGCCCTCAGCAAAACTTCTGGCGGCCAGCAAAGAAGAGAGTTTGCCCCTATTCTGTATTCCTGATAAACAGTTTGCTGTTTGATCATATAGCATCAGTGGAATGCTGAGTTGGTCACGATTCTCCGGCCTCCGGTTCTCTACACCAAATGGATTCAACAAGAAAGTGGTTGAATTTATGCAACTCTGTAGTTTTTTCTAATGAAACAAGCAAAAATTAACCATAAAGAAATGATTGGGTGGTGAGTGTATAAAAGATATGAGTCAGGCCGGGTGCGGTGGCTCATACCTGTAATCCCAGCACTTTGGGAGGCTGAGGTGGGCGGATCACGAGGTCAGAAGATCGAGACCATCCTGGCTAACATGGTGCAACCCTGTCTCTACTAAAAATACAAAAAATTAGGCAGGCGTGGTGGCGGGCACCTGTAGTCCCAGCTACTCGGGAGGCTGAGGCAGGAGAATGGCATGAACCCGGGAGGTGGAGCTTGCAGTGAGCCAAGATCCCGCCACTGCATTCTAGCCTGGGTGACAGAGTGAGACTCCGTCACAGAAAAAAAAAAACAGATGTGAGTCTAGACTTTTCAGAAAGAGCACAGTGTGAACCAGTGCTCTCAGCCTGCACTATTGACATTTTGGACCAGATAATAATTTGTTGGTGATGGAGGCTGTTGTGTACATTGCAGGTTCTCTAAAAGTATCCCTGGCATCTGCTCATTAAACATCAGAAGAAATCCCTGTTGTGACAACCAAAAATTCCTCCAAACATTGCCACACATTCCCCAAGGGTGATGGGAGGGAAGGGAGGGTTGGCGAACTATCCCTGGGTAAAAACCATGGGTGTGAACCATCTGAAAAAAATCTGTGTTGAACAAGCCACTATTAGTTATGGAGCAGCTGAGAATTATTTTGAAAAATATCTGTTGAAAATCTTGGTCCTACATAAAATGAAAATATTGTAGAATTCTGGTCTCAATACATGCTATGTTTCCAGAAAATGAACTTGTGGAGAACCAAGATTTACTGATTTCCTTGCCTTACCAATCAGTCACCAAATCATATCATTTATCTTTCATAGCATCTTCTTTCTTAATTTCTGTGCCACTGGTACACTAATTATCTGTGGTAATGCATCACAACCACAGCTATTTTATTCCCATTAAATGCCCCAACAAACTCATTTCTCTCAGTCTCCCACTCCCAACAGTACTAGCAGGCATCAAATTTCCAGCCTTGGCCAGAGGTAGAACTCTCGGTTTTGTAGTTAAGTCCCCTCAGAAAGGGAGAAACCAAAAAAATGACATTCTCATACGGACAGTTTACAAAAAATGAGCAGGTCCCCAGACTTTGAGTATGACCTTCATAAAGCTTCCTTTGCCCTTTAGAAAAGATGCCCTGGATCAAAAATGTCTGTCTTTTTATTCTTAAATTATCTAAGCACTTTCTTTACAGAGAGAAAGTTAAAAAATAAAAATGTGTGAAGTCACTGTCACTGTGACTTGCATGGCTCGCCCTGTAATCCATGCTCATGTGTCCCAGTTAGGGTTGAAAGGTTTGACAAATAAAACCAGAGGATGCCCACTTAAATTTGGATTTCCAATAAATTATGGTGTGTATCTGAAATTCAGATTTAACTAGGGACTTGTATTTTATTTGGTAACCCCAGGCCAACTTGCTAGTCAAACTTCAGAACAAGGAGTGATTTAATACTTCCTTGTGTTCTTCAACATATGCCCAGGAGAGACATATAGAACTTTTAAAATGATAAATGCAAAATGAATGAAAGTTTTGCCTATACATTGGAACTAGCAGCCCTTGCATCTCTGCTCCCACTTCAAGAAACAACCTGGTACATTTGAATATCAGAAATTCCGTCAATAATTCAGACACAGTCTGGTCACTACTCACTAATGATGGCCAGACTTTCAATCTCTAGAATCAGAAAATCTGAATGGAAACATGATCTATTCTACTTGGGTCAATTTTTACCAACCATAAGCCTTTTTGTAATCTATCAAATGCATTTAATAATAGCGTAATCCTCACAGGATTTTTGTTTGTTTGTTTGTTTTTGAGACGGAGTCTCGCTCTGTCGCCCAGGCTGGAGTGCAGTGGCGTGATCTCGGCTCACTGCAAACTCCGCCTCCTGGGTTCACCCCATTCTCCTGCCTCAGCCTCCCAAGTAGCTGGGACTACAGGCACCCACGACCAAGCCCGGCTAATTTTTCTGTATTTTTAGAAGAGACGGGGTTTCACCATGTTAGCCAGGATGGTCTCAATCTCCTGACCTCGTGATCCACCCTCCTCGGCCTCCCAAAGTGCTGGGATTACAGGCTTGAGCCACCGCGCCCGGCCAGGATTATTTTTAAGTATAAAATTAAATAATGATTTTTCGTAGCACTGACCACATAATAAACAGTCAAATATATTTCCATTTTAATTTTTATGATCCCTTTAACTGCAGCTCACATTATTTTTCCTATTCCTTGATTCTAAAGCAATTTGTATCTTCATCATGATTTTGCAATTGTCTTCTGTTCTTTTATTAGTTTCATAAAAAATTGTCATTCTGAAAACATAGGGCAGAAACACTAGCTTATGTCTAATAATGCAGTATACCTAAACCTCACACAAAAGGGATCTGCTGACATAGGAGAAAGGGACTTTCTACATGCTCAGATTTAAACTGCAATCTGATTTCTAGCACTACATTTGGGATACTGGGTTTTATTTACATCTTCTCAATTTTAGACTCCTGAGATGTATATGTTTTTAAACACTACAGATACAATAGGATCATTGTTGAAACTGAATACTGAAATTCATAGACCTGGTACACAGTTACTGCAGAATGTTATATGGCATGTACTGATGGAGACTAGATTTATTTCATTCATCACTCCATTCTCATGACTTAGAGTAATAACTGGTATATTCTAAGTCACTAATAAATACGGGTTGTGTGAAATATTGGCTGTGTGATGTTTTGCATGAGCAGTCACCACTGCACACAGGGACCCTCTCGTATTTCCTTGCCATTAATGACTGAGCATCTCTGGTTCACAGGTCCTCCTGCTTCTCTTCGGCCTCTTTAGCCTTTTCCTTTAGATTCAGCTGTCTCCCTAAATCCAGAGTGCAGTCCTTCCCTGAAGCTCTCTACTCAAAACAGTCAACCTTAACCTCATCCTCACTTCTACTTGCTCTTCAAATGGTCCATTCCATTTTCCATCCTGGATGCTCCATTGACTGCAGATATCAACTCCAGCAAACCCAGCACTTGCTTCTCTCTCACATTCTCACTTCACCCACTTAATGATACTCATTGGCTTCTCCCCGCTTCTTGAAAAAAATCTGTTTTCCTTGACTTACAAGCATTATGTTCTCTTGGTTTTTCTCCTACATCCCTGGGGCTCCCTCTCAGTCCCCTTTGCTGGCCTGTGCCTTCTTCTTTTTTCTACACACAAGCTATTACCCTATGTATCCTCTTCCACTCCCTGGAATTTAACAGAGTACACGTATTGATGCCATCAACATAAATACTTCCAGCCCTGGACTCACCGTGAGTCTCTTAAATTCCATTGACCTTCTGATTGTTCCACATAAACGTCAATAAATCATTTCCAACCACCCACTTCAAATAATTTCCTCCCACAGTTTTCCCTATCTCAATAAACAACACCACCATCCACTTATTTGTCAAGACAAAATCCTTAGGAATAAGCTTGATTGTTCTATCCCCTTTACAGTAATCCATTAACAACCTGAGCAAAATACATGCCGAGTCTGTCCACTTCATGTTTTTCACTGTCTTTATCACTAATGCACACCAGGAAGCCATGAGCTGTTTTCCCTGAGGATTCCCTGCTGTGCTCCTAAAAAGTCTTCCTTTTTACTTGTGAACCCCAGCAATCCAATCCCCACAAAGTAGCTAGAATTAGTTTTAAAAATTGAATATAAATTGACTCTCCTTGTAACCATCCAATAGCTTCCCATATCTGTTTAAATAAAATTAAAATTTCTTACTGTGAACATCAGGGCCTAATATGATGAGGCTCCTGACCTCCTCTCTGCATCCTACCTCATCATCTGCCTCTCCATTTCCTTGCTTCCTTTACGTCAGTCCCTCTAGCCTTCTTTCTCTCCCTGCATATAAATTCCCACACCAGGGTTTTCCCCCAATTTGTGTCTCTCTGGAACATTTGACCCTTACATCTTCACATGGCTGTTTACTTATTTTGTTGTCTCAGCTGAATGTCACTTTCTCAGGTAGAGCTGCCTAAGCATATGAACCAAAATTGGGTGAATCCAATTCTCTCTTTCCACAAACCTGATGTCTTTTCTTCAGTGCATGATGACTCTCTGAAATTTTCTTCTTTGTTAAATGATTATTGGGTTATTGTCTATCTCCTCTATGATTGTGTAACTTCCATGAGTAGGGACCAACCCACTCTATCTTACTCAAATAGAATGATTTGAACCTAGAAGGGAGGCCAGTACACAGTAGCTGCTGATAAAAATAACTGTGGTTTACATGAATAAACCAGCATTCTCGGAACTCATCACTGTGTGGATCCTGAAAAGCAAGAAGGGGCTCAAGCTCCAGCACTTTTTCATTTTGATGTCACACTAGACCCCTTCTCTTCCCTGTGAGAAATACAGGCAAACTTCTTCTTTCTCCTCCTCCTAGTTGGAAGAATTCACAGATAAGGAAACAGTAATTTTTTTCTTTTTTTTTATATTTGGGACAGAGTCTAGCTCTGTTGCCAGGCTGGAGTGCAGTGGTGTGATCTGGGCTCACTGCAACCTCTGCCTCCCAGGTTCAAGCGACTCTCCTGCCTCAGCCTCCCGAGTAGCTGGGATTACAGGCAAGTGCCACCACGCTCAGCTAATTTTTTTTATTTTTAGTAAAGACGGGTTTCACCATGTTGGCCAGGATGATCTCGATCTCCTGGCTTCGTGTTCCGCCCACCTCCGCCTCCCAAAGTGCTGGGATTACAGGCATGAGTCACTGCAACCGGCCAAGGAAACAGTAATTTTAAGAAAAAAGAATTTTTTGTTGTTGTTGTTAAGATTCATGTATTTTCAGCAGGGCACGGTGGTTCACATCTGTAATCCTGGCATGTTGGGAGGTAGGAGGATCACCTGAGCCCAGGAGTTTAAGACCAGCCTTGGCAATATGGCAAAACACAGTCTCTGCCAAAATTACAATAATTAGCTGGGTGTGGTTGCCTGCCTGTAGTCCCAGCTACTCTGGAGGCTGAGGAGGGAGGATCACTTGAGCTTTGGTGGCAGAGGTTGCAGTGAGCCTCTATCACACTACTGCACTACAGCCTGGGTGACAGAGCCAGGCTCTGTCTCAAAAAAAGAAGAAATTATCTCTTGTGATAAACCTCATAGTTCTCTGGGTCTGTGCAAGCTTTAAGGATTTCAGGAAATAATGACAACATAGCTGGGGAAAAACAGAGAGAAACTGGAGGAAGAGGTAAGCAGAAATGGCTAAATAAGAAAAGCCGAGAGCATGATGGGTGAACCTATGAAATTTAGGACAAGACCCGAGTAAGAGAATGAGTTCCCAGGACTTGCTCATTGACTTTCAGCCCTGTGAGATGTGAACAATGTCCACATTGTCTCGGTAACTCCACTCAGAGTATATCGTTTGAATCTTAGCAAATTTCTGATATTTGACTATTTTTGACTTAACAAAAATAGAATTTCATATAATTTTTCCTACATTGACTGAATCTCTTCTTGTGGAGTCTAGTTAGAGCATGTAGGCGAAGGTAATATACAAAGGTTAAAAGAGATTCATAATAAACACTAACCTGGGCCGGGTTTTCAGAGGATGCCTTAAGTTCTTTAGGCACCAAAGAACACCCCATAGGTATTATTTGCCTGTAGGGTGACGCCAAGTACTAAAGATCTCAGCTTCAGTTCCAGGGATTTTTCCCCATAAGAAAGAAAGAGCAGTAAGTATAACTTTTGTCAGAGAACCTACATACGCTACAGGGATACAGGCTTTATAAAGATTGTGCTTCAGAAAGAAAAGAAAGGAGATAATGGGGAGGCCACTGAATACATCCTCACATATGAGGAAGAGGGGCCAATACCAGAGGTTCTGTGGAGGACATAACACTGGATCATCTAGGAGAGACCCTTTGAATTCCCTTGACTCCCACAAAATTTTCAGTAAAAACCTCCTTTTGTCTGACATAAGTCAACATAATAAAGGGAAGTGCTGTATGGGGAATTTATTTTAGCATCCTTATTTCTAAATCTTCTAAAGACCCTGAGGACATGTGATGCAAAGGTTTTATTGGTGGAGATTTGAGAAGAAATGGCCTGTACACAGGCCCCTTATATGGAGAGGGCAAGTAGTGAAGCTCCTTTTGTGGAGGAAATAATTTGGGATCCATATGATAAAGATGGGCAATCCCTGTTGAAAACGTCACATATTCTTAAGGGACATGGCCTGGGCATAGTGACAAATTTAGCTCCCTACTTTACCCACTTTATAGTAGCTCAGCACCCACAGTGTGCACTTAGGTCGGGTGCCCACAGCCAAAGCCAGTGGGGAGCTCAGCACCATCAGTGTCACTGTCAGAGGTGCCATGCAAGAGCCTCCAGCCAGGCAGCCTGAGGCACACCATGCTGGAGAACAGCACAGGACCAGGTGCCAGGGTAGCAGGCAAGTCTCACATTCATGGAGAACTATGACCCCCACCACTCACATCCCAAACATAGGGAGGAAGTTACTAATTTCTTTGCTCCTGGATTGGGTAATCCCGCGTTGGAGAACCAATCAGCATCTGAGTTCAGTATCATCATCAGTTGCTGCTCAGAGATGCAGTATGAAGGTCCTCTTCTGAAATAATTTCCTTCTTTAAAAGATTGTTTTAATTTAGTACTTGGAAGGTTCGACCCAGTTGCATGGGAAACACTTTAATTGGGTCCTTATTGTGAGCCACCTCTGAGCTGGTCAGTGATGTGTTCACAACTTTGAGTCTTGTAAGAACATTCATTTCCCACTTGACAACAGAAGTATTTGCAGCAGTGACTGTGTTTAGGAGTAAATGAGATGGAGGGAACATGGTTGAAAATCAGGACACCTTTAATCTGGTCCTTATTGCACCATATCTTAATGTCGTAGATTTGGGAAAATTACTTCATGTCTCACAGTTGATATGAAGGCACCATGATCTTTCAGGTCTTTCAATACTGGAAAATGCTGTGATTCTGTGGACGCCTCAAGTAGCAACAGCCCCTGGGTATCTGATGATATGACAGAATGACAGCTGTTGACTGGAGAGTGTAATCTGTACCTATTTCCAGGTAGGGATGTCCTTAATAAGTTAAAGGAAATGGAAAGTTTGTTAATAATTTAATCTGAGTAAAAGGTTTTATATAAAGTGTGTCTCCTGATGCTGCCCCCAAGTTTAGTGGCACCTCCAGAGCACACACAGGAAGGGGCTTGCAGGGACCACCTATGTGCAATGGAGGGTCTGAAGGTGCCTTTGTATAGCACTTGCCCTAACAATGTGATAAGGTCAACTGTCCAATCGAAGTATTCAGGGGTCTGGGAGATCGGTCAAGGACTCAAAGTCAGCTGTTGACAGAACAACTCTGTTTCAAAATAATTAATATTTTACGTGAAAAGTGTTCAATCCCTCATTCCCGGTTCCCATTAGGATTTCCTCATTTGATTGAGGTTATGGCCCTTTACTATTATGCTTCTTTTGATTTATCATAAGGGAAGATATAAGAAGACTGTGCTAAGTAATATGTTACAGAATGTTCAGGAAAGAGAACCCTAGGGAAAAACTATGAATTACATCAGCTGATGTAATCATGTAATTTTAGACATATAATTCTACATTTAGATAATTATTATGCTTTATATTAATATAAATGTGACATCTAAGATTCAGAATGGACTTCACAGTATAACTGTACATGTAAAACTCTGCATTAATTCACACTGTACCACAGTTCTGATGGGCACTCCTTCCTTATGTGCCTTAGTGTTTCCAGAAGCAGGATTCTCACCATGCTGCAATAAAAATAAGCATTTTACTTTGTACTCAGAATTGTATTAAAAGCTTTCTATACTTCATATTTTTATTTAATTCTCACATCAGCTCAGTAAAATAAACACCCTTTTCATGCTTACAGGTGGAGAGACTACAACGATGGAGATAACACAACTTTTGCAAAGATACACTAGTAAATGGTACACTGTAGATAGAACCAAATTATATACCCCTCAAGCTCAGCCACTAGATCATACTCCTTCAGAAAGAAGGAGAAAAGAAAAAGAAACACACAAAAAAGAAACAAATTATGAAAAAAAGAAACTAATTGTGATGATAGTAATCTAGGAAAACCAGCTGAGGTTCACATTAGTATTTTAAGATAAATGGTGATGCTGGCAGTGGTGAGCTGTCCAGAGTGGCCGGCTGCTGCGGGAAGTTGCAAGCGGTGGCGGCAGCATCCACTGCCGGAGCAGTGGCCGTGGTGGGACTCTTGTACCCCATGTCCCCTGTGCCTCGCGTCACTGAGGCATCTGACTGCACTGCCCCGACCCTTGAGCAGCTGGCGGGACCGCCCCCAGGCCCAGAGCCTTCACCACTCCTGCGTTGCTGCTCTCACCCTGCAGTTGTGGGGAGGGCATGGAGCTGGGGCCACCCTTCAGTGGCCTGGGGTGGGATGTGGGAGTGGCCTCACTTTGAGGACCAGGCCAGCGGCAAGGCCACTGTCCCACCCTGCCGAGGGCGCCCAGTTTCTGCGCCTCAGGAAGAGGCTCTACCTGAGGCCTCCCAGGGTTTTATCTCCGCGGGTGGCGACCAAGCCTGATGCTCCTGACAGCCAGGCCCCGGCTGGGATCTGTTCCCCAAGGTGCCTCCCCCGCCATATCCCGGCGAGAGAGAGCCCGGGGCACCCTGAGTGCTACGGGAATAATTTGCAGAGACATCACCCTTGCCCCATATGCCAGCCTGGGCCCAGCGGGGGGAGCCGCGCACCTCAGGCTGCCAGAAGGTGTGACAGGGGCTACCTGCAGGCTCCACGGAATGGGTTGGAAGCCCCGCCCTCCCGGCCCTCCCGGCCCTCCCTGCAGGCAGCAGGAGCCAGGCCTCTCTACGCTCTCAAGGCTGAGAAGGCCCCCCTGTCCATGCAGGCTTGGGGGTGTCTGCTCCCACTTTCTGGCCTCTCCCTTGGCCTCACCCGGGTCCCGGGTGCCCACTCTGATCTCAGAGTGGAGTTGGGGCAAAGCCCCAGTGCTGTCACAGACTGGCTGGGTGTGTGCACGCTCAGGGAAGTGTTGACACACCAGCCTTTTGCCACCTCAGTCACAGGGAAGCCAAGGGAAGATGGGCAGGTAATATTTGCAGTAAGTTTCTTATAGGAAGCATGTCGATGGGTCATTGTTTTTCACTCTGACATTTGTCTTTTTACACACTTTACATGTAATGCAATTATTAATATGTGAGCTCTTATGACTGCCATCTGCTTTTTGTTTTCTTTTTTGTTTCCTTTGGTTTTTTCTTCTCTGGTTTCTTTTCCTATGTTCCAATGTGTTCCTTAAGCAATTTTTAGAATTCCATTTTTAAATCAATCATTTTTTGGTTTATCTCATTGTATAGTTTTTGTGATTTATCTATCTATTAACATAACTTATCATAGTCTACTGGTGCTGACATTTTACCAATTTGACTAAAGTGTAGAAACTTTGCCTCCTTTATATCCCTTTCCACTTCCGCATGTATAATATATATTTTTAATTTTCTCTACTTGCATCAAAACCACATCTGTCAATGTTGCAGTTTTTGCCTCAACCATCAAATTAATTTACAAAACTGAAGAAGTCTGTTGTATCTAACCATATTTTTACTCACTTATTGTTTACTTTTTTCCCAATTATCCAGGATTCCTTCCATTATCATTTCTATTCCAGTTCAAACACTTCCTTTAGCCCTTGTTTTAACATAAGTCTGCTAGCATGAAATTCTCTTGATTTTCCTTCCTCTAAGTGTGTCATGGCCAGGCATGGTGGCTCACACCTGTAATCCCAGCACTTTGGAAGGCCAAGGCAGGCAGATCTCATGAGCTCAGGGATTCGAGACTACCCTGGGCAACATGGCAAAACCCTGTCTCTGCCAGAAATACAAAAAATTAGCCAGGCGTGGTGGTGCGTGTCTATAATTCCAGCTATTCAGGAGGCTGATGTGTGAGGATTACAGGAGCCTGGGAAGCAGAGGCTGCAGTGAGCCATGGTCGCACCACTGCCCTCCAGCCTGGGTGACACAGCAAGACTCCATCTAAAAAACAAACAAAAAAAGAAAAAAAAGAAAAAGAAAAAAAAAGAATGTCATGATGGAACATTTTATAATAATGTTTTTACTGGATATACATTCTAGGTTAACATTCTTTTCAGCCATTAAAATATCTTGTGCCACTTTTGTCTGGTCTGCATGATTTCTATTGAACAATCCACTGTCATTTAATTTATTTTCTCCTGTGCATGAGATGTCATTTCTCTCTTGTTGCTTTCGAGATTTTTTTTGGCATAAATTTCTTTGGATTTATTTTCGTTTGGGTTTGCACAGATTCTTGAATTTTTACATTTAAGTCTTTGTCCGAATTTGGAAAATAGTCAGTCTTTCTTCAAACACTCTTTGTGCATCACCCATTTGTCATCTCCCTCTAAGACTCCAGTTACACAAATTTCATAGCTTTTGTTATAGTCTTACAGATTTATCAGCATGAAATAATACTAAATATTATGAACAACTTTACAAAAATAAATGTGCATGTAATAAATAAATTATTCAAAATGTACAATGTACTGAAGCTGACAAATAACATAAAACAGGAAGAGTTCCACATGTCATAGAGAAAGTAAGTCCATTCTATAATGCTTTCCCAAGACAAAACCCCAGGTTCATCTAGCTTCAGTAACTATTTAAAAATATTTAAGGAACAAACAACACTAACTTTATACAAACTTCAAACATATTTGAAAAAAGGAAAAGCACTTGCAGTTACGTTTGATGAGATCTGTGTAAACTTTACTTCAAGACCTGAAGGGAACTCTACAACGAATAGGAATTAAGAGACCAATAACTCTTATGAGCCAAGTTCTTAAGAAAATGTTAGCCAAGTGAATTCAGTGATATAAAAGATGGCTACTATATCACGACCAAGTGGAGTTTATTCCTGAAATGCAAGGTTATGTAAGCATTTGAGAATCAATTAGTGTGATTCACTACGTTAACTGAAGGAAGGAGAATACACATGCAACCACCTTGATAGTCATGAAATATGATTTGACAGAATTCAGCACTTGGCCTTAATTTTTAAAAAATCTGTTTTCAAACTTGTTTTAAAAAAATATTTCTCAATCTGAGAAATGATAGCTACCCAATTGCACACATTAGTCTCAGCAGTGAAATGTTTAAAACTGTCTCCTTCATATCTGGAGTACTAGACGAGTTAGAGAATGATAACAGCAAGAAAAATATATCAAAGAGATAATTGCATCCAGGTAAGATGGTCATTATTTACTCTTGACATAATCAGGTACTTAGGAAATAAAAACAATAGACAAGCTCATAGATTTAATAAGTAAATTTAAGTAATGTTGCTGATTACAAAGTCAGTATACATTAAACCAATTATTTTATTGATATAGTTTGGATGTTTGTCCCCTCCAGATCTCATGTTAAAATGTAACCTCCATCGTTGGAGGTGAGGCCTGGTGAGAGGTATTTTGGTCGGGGGGTGGGGCAGATCCTTCATCAATGACTTGGTGCCATCCTAGCTGTAATGAGTGAGTTCTCACTCAGTTCACATGAGATCTGGTTGTTTAAAGAAGTGCGACTCTTCCCCACTTTCTCTGTGCTTCTGCTCTCACCATGTGATACCTGGGCCCCCCTTTCCTTCCCCCATAATTGTTAGCTTCCTGAGGCCCTCACCAGAAGCAATTGCCAGCACCACACCTCCTGTACAGCCTGCAGAACCCTGAGTCAGTTAAACTTCTTTTCTTCATGAATTACCCAACCTCAGGTGTTTATTTCTGGCAATGTAAGAAGGGACTAACACAATTATGCTCTATAGTAAACAAATAGGAAACAAAACCAAGAAAATAATGTTATCGATTTCCTCACCCCTTTGCTTTTTTCTTCTACTTTTTTCAACTTAAATTTGTTTCTTTTTATTATTAAGTTAAAAGTTTACACCTTTGATTTTTACATATTTATCTTTTTATAATACAGGCATTTAAAACTAAATATTTTTCTCTAAGGACTGCCTTGGTTGCATCTCGAAAATTTTAAAAATTCATTGTAGTATTATTTTATTTAAAATTATTTTCTAATTTCCTTCTGATATCCTCTTTGACAAGCCACAGATTATTTAGAAATGTATTATTTTACTTCCAAAAATTTAGGCAGTTTTCTCAATCTTACTAATTTGTAATTTGATAAGATTGTGTTCAGAGAATATACTCTGGGTGATTTTATTCTTATGAAAGTAATTAAGACTAGTTTTATAGTCATAGTATGTGTTCCATTTCATGGATAATCTTTGTGCAATGTAAAAAAATAAATATTCTGTAGTTATGAGATGTTGTCAATTTATATGTCAATTATAAATGCCAAATAAGTCAAGATGGTTGAAAGCATTGTTCCTATCTTGATTTCCTTCCTGATCTTTGTTTGCACAAAGCTACAGAGATGTTCGTTGTCTTGTATCTACCTCCTTAGTTCCCACAGCAACAGTATGAAGTCAGAAAAAGTTCTGGAAGGAGAATCAGCTGACAGGGCAAAGTAGATATGTATTATTCAGGGGCCCTCTATAGATTGTAATGCATCACACAAGCCCACAGCGTTATTTACAACTCAGCTGGTTTGTCTTTACTCCCTCACAATCTCCCTTTCTCAGCCAGGCTCAATCTTCCACCCATGTTAAGATTCAGTAGATAGACCAAAGAATAAGAGTGGACACTTGACCCTGCTCGCATATGTGGAATTTGTTCATCTCTGGAATTTGGAATTTTTATACTTTTTGATCCACAGCTGGTTAAAATTTTAAAAATAAGATTATTTTCCAGTTTATCCATTTAGTTTAGTCTATATGTCTTTTTGCTCTTATGGTAACAGTGACAATTCTCATAATTTTCCATCTCCTAACTGGCATTATGGTTTATGATTTTTTTCCAATCCATGTTGATAGTCCTACATAATTTACTTAAAGCCCTGAATATTATTGCTTTCTGTGGTTATACCACAGTTTACCTTTTTTCTATCTAAATGTAGAGAGTGTTTCTTTTCTCCCCTGTTACATTTTTTATATGTCATCATGGACATATGAGGAAAAATTTACCGAGACTGTAACAATCCAGAGTGGAAATACTGTATTATCCCAACTACTCACAGGGTTACACCAATATATGCTCACAGTGCCCCACACAGCACCAAATGTCATCCTGCAGTGGCAGTGTGCTGTCACTTCACATGCTGCATAGTTTTTAGGATGTACAAAATTTTTATAATCAAGACAAATTAATCAGTTTTTCTTTTTGAATCTGGAAATGTTTTTGTTATTCCAAACTGTGGCTCAACAAACGACCAATTTTATGTCTCCTTGGGCTCATGTACGATTGTTCTTTAAGATGGATGTTTAGAATGGGATTTTTGTTGCTTTCATCAAGCGTGTGACAATTGTATTTTGAGTTTTAATAGATACTACTACACTGCCATAACTCAAAATCCTAATAATATGAGAGAGTCTATTCCCTTAGAATCTTCTAAATCCTTGAGTTTAAAACAAACTATTGTACTTGTTAATTTTGGAGTAGGAGAACTAGTTTATTACATTGCTGTTCGAATTTGGATTTTTCTGTTCATTGGTGAGTTTGAGCAAATATTTATATTTATCGACTATTAGGAAATTCTCTTCTATAGTGAGTCTATATCCTTTGCCCAATTGTCTATGGCATTTCCATGAATTTATTTATTGATAGTTAACAATTTTTCATAAGAAAGTTAGCCCATTGTCTGCCTTACGTGATCAAAATTTTTCCTGAGCGTCATATACTTCTTTTAATTTTGTTATTTTCTTCATGCAATGAAATCAGTAATTTTCTTCAAATATTTTTTCATTTGTGTCTTCTGGATTTTGTCTTGCTTACGAAGTCTTATTTTTTAAAAAAGAATTATTTTAACAGATTTACTGAAACATAATTTTCATACTACAAAATTCACTCACTGTATATGTAAAATTTAATGATTTGAGTAAATTAATAGATTTGAGCAATTATCACAACAATCCAGTTTTAGAACATTTCTGTCATGTCCCAAATTTCTCTATTTATATTTAAGTCCCACTGAGACCCCAAACCCTAGGCACCCAATGATCTGCCTTTTGTGTACATAAATTTACCTTTTCTAGATATTTCAAGTAAATGAAATCACACAACATGTAATCTTTTGTATCCAATTTCCTTCACTTAGTTAACATTATTGAAGTTCACAAGTTTTGTGGTATGTATCATCATTTTGTTTGTTTTCATTTCTTTTTGTCTTTTTTCATTTGTGTAAATGCATAAGGTAAAGTGTAGTTTTGGTACATGCATAAATTGCATAGTGGTGACGTCAGTGTTTCTACAGTATCCATTACCCAAATCACATGCATTGTACCCATTAAGTAATCTCATCATCTAGAGTGCAAGGGTTGAAACTTGCCTTGGGAAAACTATCCTCATGTTCATGGTGTCTCCCCTGCCAGATAAGTCTAGTTTTGTCCCCTTTTATTGTTGAATGATATTGCCTTGCCTGGATGTAGTTGAATTTTGTTTATCTGTTTACTAGTTGATGGAAATTTGGATTGTTTTCAGTTTGGGCCTACTACGGCTAAGGCTGTTCTGAACACTTGAACACATATCTTCGTGAGGACATATGTTTTTCTGTCTCTTAGGTAGATTCCAAGGAGTGAAATTGGTGGGTCATAGGGCAAACATATGTTAAACTTTTTAAGAAATTGCCAAATTATCAGGTATTTGTAGAATCATACACTCCCACCAGCAACACATAAGAAATTAGAAAGTCTATTTGTCTTCAAACATAATTATAATGATGATGATAGTATTAGAAATAACATCTGTCTTGTGAATTTTATATTTTCTCTTTATGTTTCAAGTTTTATTTATCCAGGATTTATTTAGTGAAAGAAATGAGTTTGGAATACAACTTACAAAAACTGAAACTAAATCTCAACTCTGTTTCTAATTCTAGACTCTGTCTTACTAGCATATTTAATTTAAAAAAAAGCAGTTACAAATGCATTTTTAAAAGTAAATGTATAGTATGTTTTAGAGCTTTATAGAGCTAGTCATTCCTTATTCTACTTTTTTTTCAATTTCCCTGGAAAATACATTTACCTCATAAAATAACATGTCAGCATAAATTGAGTTCTAAAAACAATTCTGTTTGCTTTTTTGTTTGATTGTAATTGAGTTAATGGCTGACATTTAATACTCTCTATATGTGTGTGTGTATATACACCTATATATACATATATACGTGTGTGTGTGTGTGTGTGTGTGTATGTATATAAAGACCCAAAGCCCTGAATTGAGGGTGCCTATCAGGAATCTATAGGCCTTCGTGTGGAAGTTAACTCAAATACTTACAACCTGATAGTACCACAATCTATCATTTCCCTATGATGAAATCAATCTCTGCTACTCCATCCACCATTTCTTTGTTTTTAAAAATATATGATTTTGCTCCTTTTCTTCCCATGTGCATCAGGCCCACTCTACAAAGGTTGAATCCTGGCTTGTCTGAGCCTGTGTGATCCCACGGTCATTCCAATGTATAAGAAAGTGGGTACTGGGAACACTCTGGAAACAGTTTAGTTGCTCCTTATAAAGGCACACAGGAGAAAGGAGTATCCTTTTCCTGCCTTTGGGAGTTGTTGTGAATGAATAACAAACCTAAAGCTGCTGCATGGGTCACCCTACCATCTCAGGAAAGCTGACGTGCTGTGTGTGATAGAGAGATGAGCTACGAAGTTCCAGGATCACTGGTGATGACACTGGCCTGCTGAGTTGAGCATCCCTGGAGATGCCCAGCCTTGGATCTATCGGCTATGTGAGATAATGGGTTAAAGAAAAATAAAGCCACTAGATGTAATTTCCTGTTATTAGCAGCAGAACACATCTTCACTGAAATACTCATTCCACACATTTTGGTTCTACCTTGTAATTCCACACCACGAGTCTCATATAAAATGAGAAAATCATTTCCTCAACTTAGGAAATGAGGCCTCTTTGTTGCAACTCTGTGATCAAACAGAACAGACATAATTATCAACTTAATATATTTCTATAGGATTTATACTCATAGGGTTTATATGTATGTATTGTGCTGCTACTTATGTACAAGTAACATATAACTAAAAATAAGATATGCATAAAAACAAGTTTTAATTTGATTGAAAATAAAATAACAGTCGTCTCTGACAGTGGAGAAACTATGCTCAAATGATTACTTTGAAATAGACCTCTAAATTATGTACTTTTGGATTTGACATTTCATACTGACTCTCAGATAGCACATAATAGAGAATCCTCCGTCTTCTAAATTTGTCTTTCTCTGAAATCTGTACAAGTCCTTTGATAACACTATATTATTGAAGTCTCTGGAGTGAAACACTATACACTAATTTACAGTTATAAATACAAAATATTGTAGACGGGGTGAAAAAAAGTTCTGATTGACTTGCTAGCTGGTTTCTCATCTCATGGTTGCCAAGTTTGTTTCAGTTGTTATAGTCTGTTCTCAGTTTTTATGCATTGCCTTTTTAAACATTAGGATTACTTTTTTGATTGACAAGTAAAAATTGTATAGTGTATTTATATTGTACAGAATGAAGTTTTGATATATGCCTATAGTGTGGAATGTCTAAATCAAGTTATTTTACATATGCATTACCTCACATACTCATGACATATACATGAAAATCATTATTCTATTGGGAAATAATCTTCCTTCCCTTTTTCTTTTCTTTTCATTTTTTGTCTTTGGAGCCAAATGGACCAGATGATATTTAACTCCATCTTTGAGAAACATTTAATAATGTAATGTGTTTGTGGTACAGGGTGAGTACAGATGCACAGGAGGCCATAGGGTTTAGGCAAAGGGGAGCACAAAAGTTGAAGATGAGGCACTGCCATCAAAGCTGTGGGGCTTCAGGCCAAGAACAGGAGCTGAGGAAGCCACAAGGGAGGACATTTTCTGCAGTTGCTGAACCAGTAGCAACCAGGTCCTGAGAAAGCCCTCTCTTGTGGAAGAATAACAGCCAGGAGGGAAAGCTTTTCATCCTGCAAAGCTGGGGCAGAAAGTTCTTCTTTGAATGTGTCATCTGCACTTCAGCTCAGGAATCCTGCAAAAGACAGAGGAGAGTGTTGTTTTCAACCTGACTCTACTAACAGTTTCTTTTCCTCTCTTTCAGGGACTCAGATGAGAGCACTGCAGGAAGAAGAAAAACAAGTTCCTGAGTCTCCCAGAGCCAATAGTCCCACAGAGCACAGGCCTTTTCTAAGTGGAGAGGAGGAGTTTTGGTGTAAATTGCCTGATCAGAAATTTGGATCCAAAGTCTTTCCTATTATTTCTGTCTCATGCCTTATCACCTCTACCATCAATTCTAGTGTGTCCAGAGTTTGTTCCTTCCGGTGGGTTCGTGGTTTCGCTGACTTCAAGAATGAAGCCGCGAATCTTCACAGTGAGTGTTACAGCTCTTAAAGGTGGCACAGACCCGAAGAGTGAGCAACAGCAAGATTTATTGTGAAGAGCAAAAGAACAAAGCTTCCACAGCATGGAAGGCGACCTGAGCGGGTTGCTGCTGCTGGCTGGGGTGGCCAGCTTGTATTCCCTTATTTGTCCCCGCCCATGTCCTGCTGATTGGTCCATTTTAAAGAGCATTGATTGGTCCATTTTACAGAGTGTGGATTGCTCCATTTTACAGAGTGCTGATTAGTCCATTTTACAAACATCTATCTAGCCACAGAGTGCCAATTGGTGTGTTTTTACAGAGCACTGATTGGTGCATTTAGAAACCTCTCCTAAGACAGGAAAGTTCTGCAAGTCCCTACCCGACCCAGAAGTCCAGCTGGCTTCACCTCTCACTAGGGAAACCGTATCTGTTTCTAAAAGAGGATTAAAAGGTATTACCTCTTGGCTGAAGTCCAGAGTGTCCTGGGAAAAAGAGGAAAATATATACACTTAAAATTTATGGAAGCAAATCTGTCTTCCAACACAATGTCCCAGCCCCAGATCTCCCACCGGAGAGTTCTCTGTCACTACAACCCACACCAGCCAGGGCAGAGAGGAGCAGAAACAGACCATGTGACCCATGAAGGGTAAAGTGTCTGTCACAGGATCCAGTGTAATTCCATTAGTCTTAGTGGCTCTTCCTTAATCTGCTCCAAGATCTCAAACCAAAGGACCCCTACTTGTTAACCTTCCTCTTGTCTCTGCAGGCCACAAGCTATTATGCTTTCACATAGTAACCATGCACTGATGATTTCTGGATTAGCAGGACATTAGAGCCGTTTGGGGAAAGAAAGGCTTTATTCAGGGCCACTCATATACTGAGAACTAACCTCAGCAAAGCCATAGTTCCTCCTCCAGAAAAGCCTATGGAGAGAGCCAGCTACCAAAGGCTCCTCACCTTTCTGATTCCTGAAGTAGATGAACAGCCCGGCCCCAAGGAAGAGCAGGCCCAGCACAAAGCCCCCGACTCCACTCAGCATCTTGCTCTGTGCAGATTCAGACCGTGCTCCTGAGAGAGGAAGCCAGGTTTAGTGTTTATTCCAAATTGAACCTCTTTAATTGAGACTCTAAGATTCAGAGCTTTGAAAATGGGGAAGAAGTCTGACCCACAAGAACTAAAATAACTAGCCATTTCTGGAGAAAAAAAGGATTTCAAATCACACTGAACAGTTACAAGGTTCAGACATCAAACTCATTCAAATATTACAGCCTTGATGTAAGGCAAGAGTTCAACATCTGATCCACAGAAAGCCTGAGACTCAATGAGGCTAAGTAGTTTGTCTAGAGTGACAGAGCTAATAAAAGGCAGAGCTGAGATTGGACTCCCCTCATGTCAGGAAGGCCCCTACACTTCTCCTCTTCCCAGATCACAACAAATAACTCAGATCAACAGCACCAGAAACTCAGTCTCAGACCCAGAGGCAGTGCCTGGAGCCCGGGGAGGGTGGGTGACCCTGACCTGTGACATCATGGGGAGGTTCAAAAGAGGGACAGCCTCTCCTGCCTGGCAGGCGAGACTGCTTCTCCAGGAGGTACAGGTGTTTCTAGAAACACCTACAGGGCTACCCCCAGTGACCTGTGCTGATGGAGATGAGAACATGGAGCAAATGAAAATAGGATGTCGGAGAGGAGAAACCTGACACTCAGGGATGAGCACAGTCCCCTTCTTGGTGGGTGAGAAATTTATGAAGTCAGAAAGCTGCTCACTCCATTCCACTGTGAGAGGGCTTGTCACGCTTGGGTGCTCCACTTGGCAGGTGTAAACCTCTCCACTCCGAGGAACTGTTTCCAGCATCACCAGGGTCTGGAAGGTCCAGTCTCCATTGTGGATCAGGCCTGTGGACACCACCCCAGTCTTCTCTTCCTGGCCATTCCGGAACCACCTGACTTCAATGCTGCCTGGATAGAAACCACTCACAGAACAGACCAGGAGGTTATGGTGCTGCAGGGGCTGGGTCTTTGAAGGATACACAGTCACCTTAGGATGGACTAGGAGAAAAAAGGTAGAGGGAATGAGTCATGAAGACAGAGTAAGTCTCCTTGTTTGGCTGTTTGTCTGCTTCTCTGCAAACCCAGGCTCTGACCTTGACCAGGCCTCCAGCACAGCTGGCCATGTGGCCTTACAGTGTCATCAGCCTGGAACTTAATCTTGATAGTGAGGACCTATTAGATTTGAGAGATATTGTGAAAAATTGTGTTTGTTTCTTCATAGCTTGAAATTGTCATGCATTGTCAAAGTGTTTACAAATCTTTGAAAGTACAGAGTGTAGTAATTAAAACTGATATCTGAGCCAGGTTGCCTGGTTCAAATCCAAGGTCTGCCTTAAGAGTTTGATTCTTCTGTGTCTCAACTTTGTCACCTATAATGAAGGATAATTATACTAATTTACCTCTTGGGATTATATGAGGATTAATGCATGTAAAATATATAAAACAATGCCTGAAGATAACCTTCAATTTATGAGGTCATAAAGCTTCACACTCCATTCCACTGTGAGGGGGCTCATCACACTTGGGTGCTCCACTTGGCACCTATTTATCATCCTTGTACACCTTGACAGAAATATATGATTTAAAACAATGTTGATAGATAACGGGACAGAGTTGGGTACATGACGAAACCGAATATGAATTTTTAGGAATACTACCGCCATGCACTCACACCTTAGAACACCACAGAAATGGTTCTGCCCCTGGGAAGGTGGGACAGACAGAAATGATTCTCCAAATTTTTACTTTCCCAGAAAAGCATGAGTCATAAAGCAGAGAGAAGGATTAAGGAACGTCATTTTAGTTTTGAAAGTTCTTATATTTACATTTAGCTGATCAATGCATCTCCCATGCAACACAAGCTTAATTATTATTAGGCCTATCATTGTAAAATGATTTTTCTTTCCAGAATCACATTTGGATTAAGGCAGTGTCTGGGACTCGTCACTTGGGGTGCTTATGCCCAGGAAAATCCCTAACACTAGCAGACTCTCAATAAATGCAATTTTTTTTAGAAGTAAGGAGAAACCTGGAGACAACAATACCACAAAATGGCAGATTTAAGATGGATTGTAAATCATTAATAAAAATTTTGCAACATATTTTATTATATAAAAATGTTCAAATTCTTAACATGGAAAAGAATTTTCAAAATCAACATACAAACCACAAACTGGAGCAAATGCTGAATCAAATATCAATAAAGTGTTAATAATCTCACAGTACAAAGAACCCACAAAGTCACTGAGAAAAATACTAAGCCCTCGAGATATTAGGCAGTAGATCATTGTCCATTCCCTACCAAATACAATAGGGAATTCTTACAGCAGTTATTAAAACTGGCCAATAAATAGGTCAAAATAATTCAAAAGAATTATAAATGAAAAAAATATAAATTAAAAATTAACCAGAAACATACATTTTCAAATTTTGGTGAATGTCATAATAAAGGTCAACAAAGGGGAAAGTGAGGTAAGTTGTGTCACAACTATTATATATAAAAGAATAATATGTAACTACTAGAAAACTATTAGCATTATAATAAAATAGTAACTGTGTTAAAACTTTAATTCAAAAAGTTAGTTTCACAGTCATTTCTACTATGTAAAAATATACACAATAAAAAACAAAAAACTAGCAAGAAATTTAGACCTAAAGAAGCTTCAGAGATGCCTCAGAGGTCTCCTCAATTCCCCTAGAAATTAATCTAATGCTTTTACAAACAAACAGCACACACTTTTATTTCAGAGATTACATGAAGGGTGTGTGCCAGGGACAGTCTGGAACTGGCCTCCTCACATTATCCCAAACCTTCCTTACCCCTCAGCTCTCCTCCCCTAAACCTTCACCCCAACCACACACCCCTTACATTTCCCTTCCCTGCATCTCTAAGGACCCGAGACAATCAAGGTCACCTCTCTCTCCAGCCGCCCGCACCCACCTCCCTTGTCACCTCCCCACAGAGTCCTCCAAGAATAAGAAGCAGCCCCCTCCTGCCTCCCCTCCCACAACAGCCTCACAGACACAGACAAATCCACACTCTACACACACACCTGTGCCCTCAGAACTCCTTGCTCAGGATAGAGAGGATTCTAAATGCTCACAGATGGCGCTCTCTCTCTCTGTCTCTCTGTCTCTCTCTCTCACACACACACACACACACACACACACACACACACACACACACACTCAGATTCCCAGCTCACAGGGACTCAGGCCCCGCCCCGCGCCGCGCTCACCTCGCCGCTGCACTGTGAAGCTCTCCACAACCCCGTAGTTGTGTCTGCAGTAGTTGTCCACCCGGCCCCGCTTCTGCTCCAGGAGGTCCTTCTGGCTGTTCCAGTACTCGGCATCAGGCCGCCCCAGCTCCGTCACCGCCCGGAACTCCCCCACGTCGCTGTCGAAGCGCACGTTCTCCTCCTGGTTATGGAAGTATCTGTCCAGGTACCGCACCCGCTCCGTCCCATTGAAGAAATGACACTCAGACGTAGAGTACTCCAAGAAACGTGCTGTGGGGACACGAACGATCCAGTCACACAGGCGGCCTCCTGAGAAGACACTGACAGTGACGCCGCCATCCGGGGCTCCCTGGGTGGGGTGCGGGCACTGGGAACCTTAACCGGCCCCCGCCGCAACGCCCACCACCAGCAGCCCAGGGGCTCCTCCTCTGTCTTCCTGAGGCGAAAGGGGGCCTGGGGGACCAGGCGGGAAAACCACGTCTGATCCCCAGGCTTTTGGGACCCCCCTCCCTACCTCCAGCCTGTTCTGGAGACCTCCAAGCAGGAGCTGGAGGAGGATCCGCCCAGCACCGCAGCCCGCGCCGCCTCCTCCTGGGAGCCTCCACCCCAAAGACACTCTGCTCCTTCTCTCATCCCACATGTTTACCGGTTCCTTAAACAGCACCCACCGCGTTCATCCTCTGAACCCTTCCTTAGTGCTGACCTTGTGCCTGGTCTGCGCTGCCTCTAGGAATCCAAACGAGGGAAAACAGACCTCTCCACTCCGCTGGGGGAGCTTAAAGAGCAGTGAAAGTGATGGCCCAACACCAAACACACAAGAGCTTAGACAGGAATGAGAAATGTCGGAAGTGTGGAGTTCTAGAACAGAGAATAATAGGATGATCTCAATTACATTAGGGTGCCAGAGAAGGACCCTCTTAATAGTGACGGTTCAGATGTGACTTGACAGGTTAAGCAGGTGTGAGCCAGGGGGCAGAGTGGAGCCCGTGTCTGTTTGGACAAAACGGGAGGCACATTTCAGGTTTAGGAAATCCCATGTACAAAAGCTTGAATTGATGAACTTCTTCAAAAAACTAGGAGAAAGTTCACTAAAGCAGAGAGGCTGAGGGGAAGGAGGGTAACAGATTAGCCCGGAGAAATCACAGGAGCCAGGTATTGAAAAGCCTCTTGGGTGGTGTTAGGATTTTGGATTTATACTAAGGACAATTGGAAAGTACAGAAGAGTTTTAAGGAGAATAAAATCATGATCCCTGTGAATGTCCACAAACCTTCCTTTGCATTTCTAAATCCACAAAGCTCAGAAATTCAGTTAAAAAAACTTGTTTCCACAACTCATCTGATAAGGGTAAGTGGTCGAAGGTGTCTCAGAGCTCTTATTGGTGACATGTGCTTCTGTACTTTCAATACATATAAATATACATACATATATGTGTGAAAATATGCACATATGTAAAACACTATATTTTTGATGTTTTTGTCTTTATGTTTGAAGTGTGAAAATGACAAAAATAACTTAAAAATAATCCTTGGGTAAAAGCGAAATGAATAAATAGAAGCATTTTACATTGTGAATAATATCAAATGTAGAATCACTACAGAAATCTGAGGCATGTTAGTGAGAAATAATTTCAGCAGCATCACTATTTGTGACTTACAAGGGCAAGTTGTTGAAAGTTAATAGAGATAGTGATGACCGACAACTCATGAAAATGTTGAAAAATATTGCATAAGGCAAAAAATAAATATGAAAATATTGAGCTTGCATTGACTAAATGGATTCAACAAGAAAGTGGTTGAATTTATGCAACTGTCTAATTGTTTATAATGAAACAAGCAAAAATAAAAGACTAAACTGTGTGGTGAGTGTATAACAGATGTGAGTCTAGAATTTTCAGAAAGAGCACAGTGTGAACCAGTGCTCTTAGCCTCAGCACTATTGACATTTTGGACCAGATAATTCCTTGTTGATGGCAGAGGCTGTTCTGAACATTGTGGGTTCTCTAGCAGTGTCCCTGGCTTCTACTCATTGAATATCAGAAGAAACCCCTGTTTGTGACAACCAAAAATTGTTCCAAACATTGTCACCGTTCCCCAACGATGATGAGAGGGAAGGGAGGGGTGGTGAACCATCCCTGGGTAAGTACCACAGGTGTGAATCATCTGAAAAAATCTGTGTTGAACAAGCTACTATTAGTTATGGAGCAGCTGAGAATTGCATTGAAAAATATTTGTTGAAAATCTTGGTCCTATGTAAAAAGAAGGTTTTGTAGAATTCTGCTCCCAATACAGTGCTATCTTTCCAGAAAATGAACTTGATGAGAACCAAGATTTAATGATTTCCTTGCCTTACCAAGCAGTCACTAATCATATCATTTATCATTCACATCATCTTTTTTCTTAATTTCTCTGCCACTGGTCCACTAATTATCTGTAGTAATGAGTCACAACCACAGCTATTTTATTCCCGTTAAATGCCCCAACTAACTCATTTCTTTCAGTCTCCCACTCCCAACAATACTAGCAGGCATCAAATTACCAGCCTTGGCCAGAGGCAGAACTCTTGGTTTTGTAGTCAAGTCCCCTCGGAAAGGAGGAAACCAAGAAAATGACATTCTCATACAGACACTTTACAAAAATGAGCAGCTCCCCAGACTGTGAGCAAGACCTGCAGAAATCTCCCTTTGCCCTTTAGAAATGGTGGCAGAGAGGTGTGCACCCTGGATCAAGCAATGTCTATCTTTTTATCCCTAAATTATCTAAGCACTTTCTTACAGAGAAAGTTAAAAATAAACATGTGTGAAGTTGCTGTCACCGTGGCTTGCATGGTTAGCACTGTAATCCATGTCCATGTGTCACACTTAGGGTTGACAGATGTGGCAAATAAAACCAGAGGATGCCCAGTTAAATTTGGATTTTCAATAAATTATGGTTTTGTATCTGAAATTCAGATTTCACTAGGAACATGTATTTTATTTGGTAACTCTAGCCCAACTTGCTAGTCAAACCTTAGAAGAAGGAGTGATTTAATACTTCCTTGTGTTCTTCAACACATGACCATTATAGACATACAGAACTTTTAAAATGATAAATGCAAAATGAATGAAAGTTTCCCCAATACATCGGAACTAGCAGCCCTTGCATCTCTATCCCCACTCTAAGAAACAACCTGGTACATATGAATATCAGAAATTCTGTCAATAATTCAGACACAATATAGTCACTACTCACTAATGATGGACAAACTCTCAAACTCTAGAATCAGAAAACCTGAATAAAAACATGATCTCTTCTACTTGGGTCAATTTTTACCAACCATAAGCCTTTTTGTAATCTATCAAATGCATTTAATAATAGCGTAATCCTCACGAGATTACTGTTAAGTGTAAAATTAAATGATGACTCTTCTTAGCACTGATCACATACTCAAATACATTCCCATTTAAACTTTTATGATCCCTATAACTACAGCTCACATTATTTTTTGTATTCCTTAATTCTAAAGCAATTACTATCTTCATCATGATTTTGCAGTTGTCTTCTGTTCTTCTATGAGTTTCATAAAGAATTGTCATTCTGAAAACATAGGGCAGAAACACTGGTTTATGTCTAATAATGCAGTCCAGCTAAACCTCACACAAAAGGCATCTGCTGACATAGAAGAAAGGGACTTTCTATATGCTCAGATTTAAACTGCAATCTGATTTCCAGCACTCAATTTGTAATACTGGGTTTTACTTATAACCTCTCAATTTTAGATTCCAGAGATGTATATGTTTTTAAACACCACAGATACAGCAGGATCATTATTGAAATTGCATACTGAAATTCACAGGCCTGGTACACAGTCACTGCAAAATGTTACATGGCATATACTGATGGCGACCGGATTCATTTTATTTATCACTCCATTCTCATGACCTAGAGTAATAACTGGTATATTCTATGTCACTAATAAATATTAGCTGTGTGAAATACTGGCTGTGTTAAATATTGGCTGTGTGACCTTCTGCATGAGTAGTCATCACTGCACACAGGGGCTTTCTAGTATTTCCTCGCTAATAATGACTGAGCATCTCTGGTTCACAGGTCCTCCTGCTTCTCTTCAGCCTCTTTAGCCTTTTCCTTTTGATCCAGCTGGCTCCCTGAACCCAGAGTGCAGTCCTTCCCTGAAGCTCTCTACTCAAAACAGTCAATCTTAACCTCATCCTCACTTCTACTCGCTCTTCAAATTGTCCAATCCAGTTTCCTCCCTGGATACTCCACTGACTGCAAATATCAACTCCACCAAACCCAGCACTTGCTTCTCTGTCACGTTCTCACTTCCCCCTCCGCTTAGTGGTACTCACCACAATTGGCCTCTCCCTTCTCCTTGAAAAAAATCTATTTTCCTTGACGTACACGCATCATGTTCTCTTGATTTTTCTCCAACATCCCTGGGCTCTTTCTCAGCCCCCTTTGCTGGCCTGTGCCCTGTTCTTTTTTCTCCACACAATCCATCTCCCTATGTATCCTCTTCCACTCCCTGGAATTTAACACACTACACGTATTGATGCCGCCAACATAAATACTTGAAGCCCTAGCCTCACCATGAGTCTCTTAAATGCCATTGACCTTCTGATTGCTCCACATAAATGTCAATAAATCATCTCAAATTTAAACAAAACTTTTATTTCCAACCACCCACTTCAAATAATTTCCTCCCATAGTTTTTCCTATCTCAATAAACAACACTACCACCCACTTATTTGTCAAAACAAAATCCTTAGGAATAAGCTTGATTGTTCTACCCCCTTTACAGTAATTCATTAACAAGCTAAGGAAAAATACATGCCAAGTCTGTCCACTTTATCTTTTTCACCGTCTTTATCACTAATGCACTCCATGAAGCCACAAGCCTGTTTTCGCTGGAGAATTCCCTGCTGTGCTCCTAAATAGTCTTCCTGACCACTTGTGAACCCCAACATTCCAATCCCCACAGAGTAGCTAGAATTAGTTTTAAAAATTGAATATAGGCCGGGCGCAGTGGCTCAGGCCTGTAATCCCTGCACTTTGGGAGGCCAAGGTGGGTGGATCACGAGATCAGGAGATCGAGACCATCCTGGCTAACATGGTGAAATCCTGTCTCTACTAAAAAATACAAAAACTTAGCCAGGTGTGGTGGCATGTACCTGTGGTCCCAGCTACTCTGGAGGCTGAGTCAGGAGAATCGCCTGAACCCAGAAGGCAGAGGTTGCAGTGAGCCGAGATTGTGCCACTACAATCTAGCCTGGGCAACAGAGCAAGACCCCATCACCAAAAAAATAAAATAAAATAAAAATAAATTGAATATAAATTGACTCTCCTTGTAACCATACAGTAGCTTCTCGTATCTATTTAAATAAAATTCAGTCCGGCCGCGGTGGCTCATGCCTGTAATCCCAGCACTTTGGGAGGCCAAGGCAGACAGATTATCTGAGGTCAGGAGTTCGAGACCAGCATGGTCAACATGGTGATACCCGATGTCTACTAAAAATACAAAAAAATAAAAATTAGCCAGGTATGGTGGTGGGTGCCTGTAATCTCAGATACTTGGGAAGCTGAGGCAGGAGAATCACTTGAACCAGGGAGGCGAAGGTTGCAGTGAGCCGAGATTGCACCATTGCACTCCAGCCTGGGCAACAAGAACGAAACTCCGTCTCAAAAAAAAAAAAAATAGGCCAGGCGTGGTGGCTCACACCTGTAGTCTCAGCACTTTGGGAGGCTGAGGCAGGTGGATCACGAGGTCAGGAGATGGAGACCACCCTGGTTAACATGACAAAATGCCCTCACTACTAAAAATACTAAAAATTAGCCAGGCGTGGTGGCAGGTGCCTGTAGTCCCAGCTACTAGGGAGGCTGAGGCAGGAGAATGGCATGAACCCAGGAGGTGGAGCTTGCAGTGAGCTGAGATCACGCCACTGCACTCCAGCCTGGGCAACAAAGCGAGACTCCATCTTAAAAAAATAAATAAATAAATAAATAAAATAAATAAATAAATAAATAAATAAATAAAATAAAATTCAAATTTTTTACCGTGGACATCAGAGCCTATAATGATGAGGCTCCTGACTTTCTCTCTGTGTCCTACCTCATCTTCTGCCTCTCCATTTCCTTACTTTCTATACATCAGCCCCTCTAGCCGTCTTTCTCTCTCTCCACATAATTTCCCACACCAGGGCTTTCCCCCCATTTGGTCTCTCTGGAGCTTTCGTCCATTAGATCTTCATGACTGTCTACTTATTTTGTTGTCTCAGCTGAATGTCACTTTCTCAGGTAGAGCTCCCTAAACATATGAACTAAAGTAGGTGAATCCATGTCTCTCTTCTTCACAAACCTGATGTCTTTTCTTCAGTGCACTATGACTCTCTAATATTTTATTCTTTGTTAAATGCTTATTGGGTTAGTGTCTGTCTCCTCTATTGTTGTGTAACTTCCATGAGAGTCGGGACCCTCTCTGTCTTAATCAAATAGAATGATCTGAACCTAGAATGGAGCCGAGTACACAGTAGCTGCTAAGAAAAATAAGTGTGGTTTACATGAATAAACCAGGGTATGGGAAGTGATAACTGTGGGGATCTTGGAAAGCAAGAAGGGGCTCAAACTCCAGCACTCTTTCATTCTGATGTCACACTAGACCCCTTCTCCTCCTGGTGAGAAATACAGGCAAACTTCTTTCTCCTCCTTCTAGTTGGAAGAAGAATTCACAGATAAAGAAACAGTGATTTAAGAAAAAGGACTTTTTTTTATTGAGAGTCATCTCTTTTTGCCTGGGCACAGTGGCTCACATCTATAATCCTAGCATGTTGGGAGGCCAAGGCAGGAGGATTGCTTGAGTCCAGCAGTTTAAGACCAGCCTGGGCAACATGGCAAAATCTCATTTCTACCAAAATTACAAAAATTAGCTGGGCGTGGTTGCCTGCCTGTATTCCCAGCTACTCTGGAGCCTGAGGAGGGAGGATCACTTGAGCGTGGGAGGCAGAGGTTGCAGTGAGCCTCGATCGCACCACTGAGCTACAGCCTGGGTGACAGAGCCAGGCCCTATCTCAAAAAGAAAAAAACTATCTCTTTCAATGGATCTCATAGTGCTAAGGATCTGTGCAAGCTTTAGAGATTTCTGGAAATGATAACAACATAGCTGGGGAAAAATAAGAGAGAAACTGGAGGAAGAGGTAAGCAGACATGGCTAATTAAGGAAAGTTGAGGGCATGATGGGTGAACCTATGAAATTTAGGACAAGACCCCAGTAAGACAATGAGTTCCCAGGACTTGCCCATTGACTTTCAGCCCTATGAGATGTGAACAATGTCCACATTGTCTCGGTAACCCCACACAGAGTATATAGTTTGAACATTATTAAATTTTTGATATTTGATTATTTTTGACTTACAAAAATAGAATTTTATATAACTCATACTACGTTAGTTAAATCTCTTCTGTCATGTCTAGTTGGAGCACTTAGGAGATGTAGGAGAAACAAGTATAGAAAGGTTAAAAGAGATTCATAATAAACACTAACCTGGGCCAGGTTTTCAGAGGATGCCTTAAGTTCTTTAGGCACCAAAGAATACCTCATAAATGCTCTGTATCTGTAAGGTGACTCCAAGTACTAAAGATCTCAGCTTCAGTTCCAGGGATTTTTCCCCACAAGAAAGAAAGAGCACTAAGTATAACTTCTGTCAGACAACCTACATACACTACAGGGGTACAGGCTTTATAAACATTGGAGTTCAGAAAGAAAAGAAAGTAGATAATGGGGAGGCCACTGGGTCCATCCTCACATATGAGGAAGAGGGGCCAACACCAAAGGTCCTGTGGGTGACATAACCCAGGATCGTTTAGGAGAGACCCTTTAAATTCCCTTGACTTCCACAAAATTTTCAGAAAAAACCTCCTTTGTCTGACATAAGTCAACATAATAAAGGCAAGTGCTGTATGGGGAATTTATTTTAGCATCCTTATTTCTAAATCCTCTAAAGACCCTGAGGACATGTGATGCAAAGGTTTTATTGGTGGAGATTTGAGTAGAAATGACCTGTATGGAGGCCCCTTACACAAGTCTCATGGAGTGGGCAAGTAGCCAAGCTCCTTTTGTGGTGGGGAAATTATTTGGGATCCATATGATAAAGATGGGCAATCTCTGAAAAATACGTCACAATTTCTTAAGGTACATGGCCTGGGCACAATGTTAACAAAACTCCCTATTTTCCCCACCCCATAGTAGCTCAGCACCCACAATGTGCACTTACGTCTGGTGTCCCCAGCCAAAGCCAGTGGGGAGCTCAGCACCATCAGTGTCACTGTCAGAACTGCCATGCAGGAGCCTCCAGGGAGCCTCAGACACACCATGCTGGAGAACAGGACAGGACCAGGGGCCAGAGCAGCAGGCAAGTCTCACTCAGGGAGAACTATGAACCCCTCCACCCACATTCCAAGTTATAGGGAGTAAGTTACTGATTTCCTTGCTCCTGGATTGGGTAATCTAGTGTTGGAGAACGAATCAGCATCTGAGTTCAATAGCATCATCAGTTGCTGGTCAGAGATGCTGTATGAAGGTCCTCTTCTGAAACAGAATTTCCTTCTTTACAGGATTGTTTTTAGTACTTGAAAGGTTTGAACCAGTTGCATGTAAAACACTTTAATTGGGGCGGTATTTTTAGCCCCAATTATTTTAGCTCTGTGCTGGTCAGTGATGTGTTCACAAGTTTGAGCCTTGTAAGAGCATTCATTTCCCACTTGACAAGAGAACTGTTTGCAGGAGTGAGTGTGTTCAGGAGTAAAGGAGATGGAGGGGACATGGTTGCAAACCAGGAGACCTTAATCTGGTCCTGTTGCACTATATCTTACTGTTGTAGATTTGTGAAAATTACATCATGTCTCACAGTTGAAATGAAGGCACCGTGATCTTTCAGGTCTTTCAATACTGGAAAATGTGATTCTGTGGATGCCTCAGGGAGCAGCAGCCCTGGGTATCTGATGATATGACAGAATGACAGCTGTTGACTGGAGAGTGTAATCTTTACCTATTTACAGGTAGAGATGTCTCTAATAAGTTAAAGGAAATTGAAAGTTAGTTAATAATTTAATCTTAGTAAAAAGAGTTTTTTCAAGTGTATCTCCTGATGCTTCCCCCAAGTTTAGTGGCACCTCCAGAACACACACAGGCAAGGGGTTTGCAGGGGCCACCTATATGCAATGGAGGGTCTGAATGTGCCTTTGTATAGCACTTACCCTAACAATGCGATAAGGTCAACTGTGCAATCCAAGTATTCATGGGTCTGAGAGATCGATCAAGGACTCAAAGTCAGCTGTTGACAGAACAATTTTGTTTTAAAATAATATTTTATGTGAAGAGTGTTCAATCCCTCATTCCTGGTTCCCATTAGGATTTCCTCATTTGATTGAGACTATGGCCCTTTACTATTCCACTTCTCTTGTTTTATCGTAAGGGAATATATAAGAAGACTTTGCTGGCAGGACGTGGTGGGTCATGCCTATAATCCCAGCACTTTGGGAGGCTGAGGTGGGCAGATCACTTGAGGTCAGGAGTTCAAGACCAGCCTGGCCAAGATGGTGAAACCCCGTCTCTACTAAAAAAAAAAAATAGAAAAATCAGCTGGTCTTGGTGGTGCATGCCTGTAATCCCAGCTTCTCGGGAGGCTGAGGCACAAGAATTGCTTGATTCTGGGAGGTAGAGGTTGCAGTGAGTTGGGAGCACGCCACTGCACTCCGGTCTGGTTGATGCGGCGAGACTCAGTTTTAAAAAAAAAAGACTTTGCTAACTAATACGTTACAGAATGTTCAGGAAACAGAACCCTAGGGAAAATCTGTGATTTACATCAGTTGATGTAATCATATAATTTTAAACATACAATTCTACATTTAGATAGCTATTATGCTTTGTATTTATATAAATGTAGCATCTAAGATTCAGAACGGACTTCAAAGTATAACTATGCAGATAAAGTTCTGCATTAATTCACACCCTACCACAGTTCTGATAGGCAGTCATTCCTTATGTGCCTTAGTGTTTCTAGGAATGGGATACTCACCATGCTGCAATAAAAATGACTAAAATTTCTTAGCAATTTTTGAGCATTTTGCTTTGTACTCAGAATTGTACAGAGCTTTCCATACATCATATTTTTAATCAATTCTCACATTAGCTGAATGAGGGATATAACCTTTTCATCCCTACAAGTGAAGAGAATAAAATGATGGAGATTAAACAACTTTTGCAAAGATGCAAGGCTAGTAAACAGTAACTCGGCCTCCCAAAGTGCTGGGATTACAGGCGTGAGCCACCACGTCTGGCCTGCAAAATCTTCTTATATCTTCCCTTACGATAAAACCAGAGAAGTGGAATAGTAAAGGGCCATAGCCTCAAACAAATGAGGAAATCATAATGGGAACCAGGAGTAAGAGACTGAACACTCTTCACATAAAATATTAATTATTTTAAAGCAGAGTTGTTCTGTCAATTCTATTGAACCAAGTTATTATATATGTAATTCCAAACCCCTCAAGCTCTGTCGTTATATTATACTACCTCACATTCAATTTCTAAAGAGAATTATGTCCATTATACTAAAATTATTTTTATCACTTTAATTCATGGCTGTGCAAATCAGTAAGACTACTTCTTTTAATGAATGGCAACATTTTATAGACCTTGGGGTAGATACTTTGTAGCAATTCTAGTTATTTCAAAAGATTCCCCTCATCACCATGGTTACTCTCCTCTGGAAATGACACAATTTGCGTTTATGTTACGTAAGGACATCCATAGCTCCTGCTTTTATCCTGTAATACTAAGGTGAACCTTAGCTTCCTTTCCTAGGTCACCACATCACAATTAGTTAATTAGTTAATTAGGCAAAAATAAGTAATTCTACATCAAGAATGTACTAAAATACAGTTAAAAGGAAACTTTCAAAACTTGTTTATATAAATTTGACACACTATTTATAAATCATACAAATTTATATTTAAAAAGATGGCCAATGGCAATGAACTAAATTCTGTATGTTTTATACATTTATGAGTAACAAAGATGTTGTCTTAGTTTATTTGTGCTGTGATAAAATACAGTAGACTGGGTAATTTATAAAGAACACATGGAGGCTGAGAAGTCCAAGATTAAGGCACCAACAGGTTCAATGTCTGGCAAAGGGCATGGTCGCCACTTCCAAGATGGCGTCTTGCATCCTCCAGAGGGGATGAACGCTGTGTACTTACATTGTAGAAGGTGGAAGGATGAGAGGCTAAAAACTGTGTGAAGCGTGTTTTACAAGGGCCTTAATCCCATTCATGAGTGAGGAGCCCTACCTGAATTTTAAAGGAGACACACTTATACTACAACAGATGTGCTTCTTTAAATTATATATCTCACACTTTCCTTCAATATTCAATATAAGGATAGTTCAGGCTAAACAATGTAGCAACTCTCACCAAACCATCAGTCACATAGGTGGTCTAATAGGCTGAACTTTTTCACGGAAAAAAGAGAATAATCCTCTCAACTCAGCTGGCTGTGAGAGGTGTCAAATATGAGAGCTTATTTCCTGAGGAAATGACAATTAAATTGGTTTCTGGAAGAAAGTGGCTTTCAGTACGGAACTTCCATGGTCTCTGGTCTTGATGCATGAAACCATAGGTTTGGTTTTACGGGAAATAAATCCCAACATTCCCAGGACTAAACAGGTAAAATCGGAAGCACAGACTTTTGTTGAACAACAGGCAGGTTGACATTGGTAGGATTACAGCATGTCTTGAGTCCTACTGATTGTCACAGAATGGGGCTCACTTGTAGTAAGCCTGAAAGCTTGCAACACATTTTGGAAAAATAGGCTCTTTTGGCTATCAGCAAGCCTTAGTTATCATAGAATGTCTGCCACTTGTCCAAGTAGTCTCAAAATGTTCTCAGGGGTTTTCAGAAAGCAACCACCACTAATCTGGAATTTAAAGTAAAAAGCAGGTTACTAATCCTTATATCTAAAGAAAAAATGATAATAACAATAAATGGATAAACAGGACCAGTTTCTTCTTAGCATGGAAGATATGTATCCTGAAACAGAAAACGGTGCCATTTAAAGGCCTTACTAGTATTCATCACACTTGACAGGACCCTTTCCAGTAAAATTTCAGCAATGTCCTCCATTGAGGAACTTTGGTAGTGCCAATCATTACACCATGACACTATCTAGGTCAGTTGACAGGACTTCTTCAACTTCCAAATGTCATTCTTTGACTCAACTTAGCTGTTTTATAACAGAATGCTTGCCATTGCATAGTTAATAGAGAGAACAACTAGAATTCCCATAGGCCTTTGTACTAATATTGTAAGTACAAAGAATTTTCTTTTTATTTCTGTTTCTAGATCTTATGTTAATTGTACTGCGGTAAGTATCCACCTATCTATCCAGTCCAAAATAGGCCAGATTATTTTTCAAAATTTCATTTTGGTGCTCCACTAGCCCACTCCCCAGTGACTGCAGTGTGGACAGTGAAGAAATTGATGAACCTGTTGAACTGTACCAACTTCTCAATCTGTCCTATAAAGTGTGTGCCTGGTTTGTTGCTTATTTTATTTAAAATAAATAATAAAATCTTTTAGCAGTTATTTTTCTAACAGTTCATCCTTGTAGACAATTTATTATCTTGAAAAAGTAAACTTACTAGTACTTATTTATGTTAACAATATTTTACCTAAATAAAATCAACTTATATATGTGCAAAAAAATTAACGATTCCTTTTGTCATGACATCTCTTCCTACCCTGTGTGCCTGTCAAACAAAGCAACTCTCAGTATCATACAGCAGTTTTGAGAAAAATAAAGCATAAGAACCACACTAACTATTGCTAGCATCCCTGTTTTGGTCTTGTGTTCATTCAAGGGGTACACTAGCAAGATAAAGGTGGAAAACTTGGTACTACTACGTATCAATCTAGAGATGCTAAAGATGATCTGGGTGCAAACAAAAGCCTGTCAGTATCCACAGTTCAGAATTTTGGATTTGACCTTAAGGAGGTGTCTAGTCAATTGTTAGAATAAGAAAAAAGGTATCAGCTAGTAAAAAATAATCTAAGCCATAGCTATATAATTAACCAGAAGAAAATACTTTATAATAACCACAGCAGAAGATAATATAAGGATTATTCGAAATTTTTGAGTTTTTCCAGAAGTGAGGAATCTTTATTGCTATTACAAGTTCTAAAGCTATGAAAAACAAAAAAGCATAACAAGAATCAGTTCTAAAAGCAACTGGTTCTTCCACTGAGGCAAAATACATAGACATGGGTTTATTTTCTCTCCAGAACAGGACTTAAACACTTAATTCTTTTTTTTTCTTTTCTTTTTTTCTTTTATTTTTTTTGAGACAGAGTCTCACTCTGTTGCCAGGCTGGAGTGCAGTGGCGTGATCTTGTCTAACTGCAACCTCTGTCTCCTGGGTTCAAGCTATTCTCCTGCCTCAGCCTCCGGGAGTAGCTGGGACTACAGGTGCCCGCCACCACTCCCAGCTAGTTTTTGTATTTTTAGTGGAGATGGGGTTTCACCATGTTTGCTAGGATGGTCTCGATCTCTTGACCTCGGCCTCCCAAAGTGCTGGGATTACAGGCGTGAGCCACCGTGCCCAGCCTCCTAAATTATTTTAACTGTCCACATTTCCTTCAGTGGTATTGCTGATACTAATTGCAATATCATTAATATTGACCATGGTTTTTTCACTTGTAGACTTATAGCCATGACCTAGATAGTGCTATGGTGCAAAGACTGGCTCCACCCAAAGTTCCTCAATGGAGGACATTGCTGAAATCTTACTGGAAAGGGTCCTATCAACTCTGATGAATACTAATATGGCCTTTAAATGGCACAGGCTTCTGTTGAGGATACATATCCTCCATGGTAAGAAGAAATTGATCCTGTTCATCTGTTTATTGTTGTGATTTTTCCTTAGTAACTTTACACCATCAGAAACCAATTTGTGTTCCCATATGGGCAATTAATTGGAGTGTTTATCTAGATAGACTCTAGACCTAATTCCTTCCAAAGGGCCCACCTTCTAATCCTATAATATTGGGGCTTAGTATTTAACATATGATTAGGAGGGAACACAAACATTTAGTCTATAACATCTTTTTCGGAGACACATCTGTTCAAGCCCTTTGCCCATTTTTTAATCAGGTTATTTGTTTGTTTGGTTGGTTGTTTTGCTCTTGAGTTGTATGAGTTCCTTATACATTTTTGAAATTAGCCCCTTATCAAATATATGGTTTGCAAATATTTTCTTCCATTCTGCAGGTTATCTTTTCATTCTGTTTATTGTTTTCTTTGCTATGCAAAAGCTTTTTAATTTCGCTTATGCTGAGTGAAATAAGCCAGTTACAGGAAGACAAATATTGCAGAATTCCTCTTATATGAGGTAACTAAAATACTCAAGCTCATAGAAGCAGAGAATACAATAGTAGTTAACAAGAGTTGGGGGCTGGGGGAAATGGAGCGCTGTCACTAAAAGGGTATAAAGTGTTAGTTATGCTGGATGAATAAGTTCTAGAGATCTGCTATTTAACATAGTGCCTATAGTTAACAAAATAATGTTGTGCACTTCAAAATTTGTTTAGACTTTTTTTGTGGCCTTTTTTTTTCTCATCTGTCCTGGAGAAAGTTCAATGTGTGCTTGAGAAGAATGTGTATTATATCTAAAACATGCTAAAAAAATTCACCAAAACGCTATTAGAACTAATAAATGAATACAGTAAAGTTGCAGCATATAAAATCAACACACAAAAATCAGTAGTATTTCTATACACTAACAATGAACTATTCAAAAAACAAATCAAGAAAACAATCCCATTTACAATATCTATGAACAATATAAAATTCATATGGAACCACACAAAAAGCCTGAATAGCTAAGACAATCTTGAGCAAAAAGAGCAAAACTGGAGACATTACACCACTTGACTTCAAACTATATTACAAAGCTATAGTACTTAAAACAGCATGGCTGGGCACAGTGGCTCATGCTTGTAATCCCAGCACTTTGGGAGGCTGAGGCAGGTGGATCACAAGGTCAGGACTTCAAGACCAGCCTGGCCAAGATGGTGAAACCCCATCACTACTAAAAATACAAAAATTAGCTGGGCATGGTGGCAGCCACCTGTAATTCCAGCTACGCAGGTGGATGAGGCAGAGAATTGCTTGAACCCAGGAGGCGGAGGTTGCAGTGAGCCAAGATCACACCACTGCACTCCAGCCTGGGAAACAGAGCATGACTCCATCTAAAAACAATAACAACAACAACAACAAAACCCAGCATGGTACTGGCATAACAGTAGACACATCTACTGATGAAACAGTATAGAAAGCCCAGAAATGAATCTACTTATTTATGACCAAGTTATTTTCAATAAAGTTACCAAGAACACACAATGGGAAAAGGACAATCTCTTCAATTAACAGTGCTGAGAAAACTGGATATTCACATGCAGAAGAATAAAATTGGATCTTTATCTCACACCATATACAAAAATCAACTAAAAATGGATTGGAGACTTAAATATAAGACCTGAAACTGTAAAATACTAGAAGAAAACAGAGAGAACCTATACAACATTGGTCTGGACAATGATTTTTATTTTATTTGACCCCAGAATCTTAGGCAACAAAATTTAAAATTAGACAAGTGGGATTACATCACATTAAAAAGCTTCTGCACAACAAAGAAAACAACAGAATGAAGAGACAACCTATCGGCTGGGAGAAAATATTTTCAAGCAATACATCTGATGAAGGGTTAACATTCAAAATACACTAGAAACTCTCAATAGCAAAAAAAATAAAATAAAAAAATAAGATTTAAAAATAAGCAAAGAATATGAATAAACATTTCTCAAAAGAAGACATTGAAGTGGCCAACAGACATATGAAAAAATGCTTAACACTGGTGGGTGCAGTGGCTCACGCCTGTAATCCCAGCACTTTGGGAGGCTGAGGCGGGTGGATCATGAGGTCAAGAGATTGAGACTATCCTGGCTAACACAGTGAAACCCTGTCTCTACAAAAAATGCAAAAATTAGCTGGGCATGGTGGCACACGCGTGTAGTCCTAGCTACTTGGGAAGCTGAGGCAGGAGAATTACTTGGGCCCGGGAAGCGGAGGTTGCAGTGAGCCGAGATTGCACCATTGTACTCCAGCCTGGGCAACAGAGCAAGACTCTGTCTCAAAAAAAAAAAAAAAAAAAAAAAAAAAAAAAAAAAAAAAAAGCTTAACATCACTAATCATTAGGGAAATGCAAATTAAAGCCATAATGAGATATCACCTCACACCGGAAAGAATGGTTCTTATTGAAAAGGTAAAAGATAAGTGTTGGTGAGGATGTGGAGAAAAGGGAACACTTGGCCAGGTGTGGTGGCTCACGCCTGTAATCCTAGCACTTTGGGAGGCTGAGGTGGGCAGATTGCCTGAGCTCAGGAGTTCAAGACCAGCCTGGGCAACATGGTGAAACCCTGTCTCTACTAAAAAATAGAAAAAAAGAAAAAAAAATTAGCTGGGCATGGCAGTGTGTGCCTGTAGTCCCAGTTATTTGGGAGTCTGAGGCAGGAGAATAGCTTGAACCTGTGAGGCAGAAGTTGCAGTGAGCCAAGATCGCACCATTGCACTCCAGCCTGGGTGACAGAGTGAGACGCCATCTGAAAAAAAAAAAAAAAAAGGAAACACTTGTACACTGTTGGTGGGAATGTAAATTGGTATAGCCATTATAAAAAACTGTATGGAAGATCATGAAAAAATTAAAAGTAGAACTACTATATGACTCAGCAATCCCACTTCTAGGTTTACGGACTAAGGACTTAAAATCAGTGTGTTGAAGAGATATCTGCACTCTCATGTTCATTGTAATGTTACTTATAATAGCCAAGATGTTAAGCGTCCATCAACTGACAAATTTTTTAATGTGGTATATATACAGAATATATTCTGTGTAACAGAGTAACATATAGCCTTTTAAAAAAAAAGCTGCTCTGGGTCGGGTGTGGTGGCTCATGCCTGTGATCCCAGCACTTTGGGAGGCCGAAGCAGGCGGATCACGAGGTCAGGAGATTGAGACCATCCTGGCTAATACGGTGAAACCCTGTCTCTACTAAAAATACAAAAAATTAGCCAGGCGTGGTGGCGGGCGCCTGTAGTTCCAGCTACTCAGGAGCCTGAGGCAGGAGAATGGTGTGAACCCAGGAGGCGGAGGTTGCAGTGAGCCAAGATAGCGCCACTGCACTCCAGCCCAGGCAACAGTGTGAGACTCCATCTCAAAAAAAAAAAAAACAAAAAATAAACGCTGTTCTGCCATGTGTAACAACATGAATGAACCTAGAGGACAGTATGCTAAGTGAAATAAGCTAGACGTTTCTAAGTGAAATAAGACAAATACTGCATATTCTTATTTATATATGGAATCAAAAACAATCAAATTCATAGAAGCAGACAGTAGAATAGTGATTATCAGAGGCTGCAGATTGGGAGGAATAGGAAGACATCAGTCAAAGAGTATAAAGTAGCAGACAGACAGGAGGAATAAATGAAAAGTTTTTAAGGTGATGTATATATTAATTAGCTTGAGTCAACTACTCCACATTGTGTATATATATCATAACATTACTTTGTACCCTACAATTATATGCAATTATAATTTGCCAAAAAAATACAATAATTTAAAAAATCATAGGATGGAACAAGGTTCTTATATTTATGGGAGGATCAGGATAAATCTTCAAATACCTTCTAGAGGTATAGTTGAGGTGAGATATGTACTGAAAGCAAAAATGGAGGCTGGGAACTAAACACCAGGCATTTCCTGTGCATGTGTCTATTCAACAATCATGCCAATCGACATTTCTTTCACTGCCTCCCACCCAAATGCAGAGAGTGCATCTGTATTGTGACCAAACAGAGAAGAGGTTGTAAAAAGTAGGGCTACCCTGACATTTATTCACCAATATCCATGAATAAATAAATATGTACACATGAATTTATAGATATATACATCCATACTTACATAAACAATTTTAAAAGTGTCCATTTTTACTTCAAGAGAACTAAGGATACTTTTGTAGACATTAGGGCAGATAAAAGATGGTAATAAAGAAAAGGGAAATGAGAAGGAAACATTTCTGTAAGTGCAAGTGTTGGGGAGAAGGAGTGGGAGCTGGGGGGAAGCTGAGAATTGTATTTTGTGACAAAGAGCATGGTTCATGGACAGTAGCACATGTGAGTCATGGAAGGACAATAAGATAGGGAGAATCAGCCAAGATGGCGCTCCAGCCAGGGTTACCAGTGTCTAGACAGAAAGCAAAGTAATAGCTCAGCAGCCGCATTGAATGGGAACAGTGAATAGTGTGAAAATGAGAAAATATTGGGGCAAGGCCACTGATTCCCACAGGATGCTCTAGTAAAGCTCTTGACTAGGCCTCCAAATTAAACATATGGCTGAGGCTAGCCCCTTCTCACTCAATGGACTCCAGTATTTGGTGAGGAAATGAGGAAAAGAGAGGTCCCGAAGCAAGTAATTGTATGAAATATCAGGATCCAGTTTTGACAAGACTGTTTGTGGATATACCAGAAGAGCAGGAGAGAGTTCCAGAAGACCCAAACATCCAGCATCCAGAAGGTCTTTTGAAACTGGTAATTAAATTATGAAGTGAGGACTGATGGGCATCATTGAGAACATGATTTGGGAGCCGTTTAACCCCTTGCTCACTAGTCAGTTCATCCTCTTGTTTTCTACAAAAATGTAGTTATCTGCTTCTGCATAGGAGAAGTTGTTGTGGGAGCCACACAGAGCAGTAACAGTCAGCGGTAATCTGGTGAAAACAATTTTGTAGAAGGGATTGTCCCTCCTTCACATATTTCCATATATAAATCCTCACAGTCAGAAAAATATTCTTAATATCTATCTCGTATCTTTGCCGCACTTTGAATTCGGTAAATTTTAACTGAGGATCCACCATATGCACGTGTGCATACGCATGCAATCTAGGTGGGGATATTCAATCACAAAAAGTGTGTTCAGTGCTTCCTTTGTGCAAAAGATTCTTCTAATGCTGGGGATACAAAGATTCACATGAATTAGATCCTACTTTTAAGTAGATCCTACACAGACAAAAGAGCGCATAGTAGTAACAGACATATAAAATTCATATAAAAATGTCACAAGATCTACAACAGACATATCTATAAAAAACAATCAAACACAATTTGGTGTTATTAATTTTTAAGACAAAAATTTTAAAACAAAAATGGTTAAAATTAAGTAGAAACTTATATTTACAACAAGAAGGAAGCATTTGTATAGATGTAAGTTCCAGAGGAAGTGAAACTCAGAACACAGAGGAAGGGTTACGTTTCAGGTTGGCTAGAGACTCGCTGGGGAACAGGAACTATCATGAATAACGTGTGTGCAGGAAGCAGGAGGAGTCAGGAAACGGAAATAGAGATAGAGGGGAGTCTGTTAGACTAGAATTGAAAGGCTCCCTTAAATAATGCTGGGAGATCAGAGTGGATGTGCAGAGCTGAAGTTCTAAGAAAGGCATTGAAAATTTGGCAAAGATGTTACATCTTTTAGAAAGATGTGGATGGACGCAGGAAAAAATATCAAGCAGTAAAACTTTTACAATCCAAGGTTAGTTATGAGGGATTGGACACAGAGATCAGTGTGGTGACAACAGAAATGGATGATGGGAATACCATGCTCCTTTTGCATTTCCAGATGTGCATTAGAATTGGTATTTGATGAATAAGGGAGGAACGGAAGGTCTTTTAGAAGGAATATATTTTCTTTCCTTTTGTAGGTAACACCCAAAGGGATCAATCTTCCTATCCATCTGTGTGTTGGTTCTTTCTTTCTGGTTGAGACATTTTGTAGAAAAAAGAGAGAAATTTACTGGAAATCCCCATCCCTTCACAAACAGTTGTTGCTGTTTTTTTCTATAACCAATAGGGATAAAGACTGAAGCAACATCACTTATCTCCGGCAGATACATCTGACCAGAAGGTCTTATATAAAGTCTTGGAGAGAAGGTGCAGGAGAACAGGATGACTAAATTAGGTGTTGATAAGAAAGGCTGATAACTTCCTTTGTGGAATAAATTAGGACATAAGTAGTTAGCAAATAAAGAATATTTGCAGAGTAAAGCAAAATGTGCAGTGAGGATTGGAGGAGCTGGGCATTTAGAGTGATAGAGACATAATGCCTGGTTTTCCATTCCTGTCCCTGGGTAGTATTAAAAGCACAAATAAAAAGCTATCCTGCTGCTATCTGCCTGCTATTCTTGTTATACAAGAGATGGAGACTGTCAGAGAGATCTATTATGCCAACTCTGATTGCCATAGGTTTATGCACAGACAAATGAAGGGAAAATAAAATGATGAGTTATTGTTTATTTTACACCAGGCACTGAATTTTCTACTTCCAGACACTTTGTTTCATTTGATTCTCATCATAACCCTGCAGTGGATGTATGTATCACACTATGTTTTCACTTAACTGCTATATCCCCAACACATTCAATAATGTCCATCACTTATAGTATTTAATAAATATTGATAATGACTGGGTGTGGTGGTTCACACCTGTAATCCCAACACTTTGGAAGGCTGAAGCAGGCAGATCACAAGGTCAGGAGTTCGAGACCAGCCTGACCAATATGGTGAAACCCCGTCTCTACTAAAAATACAAAAATTAGCTAGGCGTGGTGGCGGGCACCTGTAGTCCCAGCTACTCAGGAGGCTGAGGCAGCAGAATCCCTTGAACCCGGGAGGTGGAGGTTGCAGCGAGCTGAGATTGCACCACTGCACTCCAGCCTGGGCAACAGAGCAAGACTCTGTCTCAAATAAATACAAATAAATAAATAAATATTTATTTATTACTGGGATATGATTAGGAAACCAAATGTGTTACATTTTTAACATTGTATAGTGACATAGAACACACATATAGTAAGACATGTAAAGCATAAATGTACAACTTAATCAATCATTACAGTGCCAACATCCATGAACCCACCACCCAAATCAAGAAACAGCATGAGGCCAGCACCAGAAGCTCTCCCCTGCTTCCTCCTGTCTACATTGCTCTCCCTTCCCATCAAGACAACTCACCATCAGACTTCCATAGCAATCCCTTCATTGCTTTTCAATACGCCTTCAAAATCTAATATTTATTCCTAAACATGCTTAGTAACATTATACAAATTAAACTATACAGTATGTTCTCTTTTGTGCCTATTTTGTGATCTATTTCGTGATTGTCAATTTAGTGACCCGGAAAGAATCAGCCTGTCAATAAATGCTGCTGGATCAGTTGTATATCCTTACTGAAAAAAAAAGAAAGAAAGAAATTTGACACCTATCTCACTTTATACACAAAATTAATTCCAGTAGAAAACATATCTATCTATAAAAATCAATACAATAAAACTTCTAGAAGACGATATTAGAGAATATCTTCCTGACCTTGAAGTAGAAAAAGATTTTTAAAATAGAATCCAAAACTCAGAATCATAAGAAAAAGGTTCATCAGTGGTCACAAATATAATGTATCTAAAACAGGGACAGTAAGAAATTACTGGGCATAACTAGCAGGTGCCATGGGATGTGCCTGGAAAGCTTCTCATGACGACCTACCATGAGCCTATCACACTCGTGCCAGGAGCCTCTCACCAGGGGCTTCAGTGTTTGTGGTTAGGAAAACAGAAATAAGAACAACAGCGGAATGCACCCTTAAGTACTTTGGAAGTCACAGAAGGGAAAAGGGCAGGAAAATCGGAAACATCGGCACACATGTTAATGAATGTTTGTTGTAGTTAAATTGAAGTTGAAGGAGAAGATGGAGTGAAGGACACTGGAAGCGGGGGCTCCAGGAATAGTCCTGTGATTCGGCTGGTATTTCTTGTATATAGTTCCAGTTCTTGTCAAACTTTTTGGTCACTAAACTGTTCCTTTCTATATGTTAAGGCAAGTTTCACCTCCTTTCTGACTTTAGAATAAGTTGGTAGAGGTCTTCACAGAGTGACAAACACCCATTGTCTTCTTTAGGAAGGCGATTAACTAAAACATGCACATACTTCCATAAGAAGCACAGAGTATAACTGATTATAACTGATGATATTCAAAGAGCAAATGCTTATTGAACGTCTCCCATGTTTCAAAGAGTGCGGTAGGAGCTAAGGTTCCAGGGTGAAGATCTCATGAAGATCAATATATACCAGGAAAAAAAGACATATACAGCATACACTCCATACACCAGGAACTTTCTGCACTATTCTCTCCTCAGTTCCTAGAAAAATACCGGGTTCAAAATAGTTATTAATAGTTGTTGAATTAATAAACAATATATTAAGTATAAATATAAACATTTATAAATTGCAATGAAAATACAAATGGGGGTTGGGGGTGGTGGCTCACACCTATAATCCTAGCACTTTAGGAGGCCAAGGCAGGCGGATTGCCTGAGCTCAGGAGTTCAAGACCACCCTGGGCAACATGGTGAAATCCCATCTCTACTAAAAATACAAAAAATTAGCCAGGCGTGGTGGCGCACGCCTGAAATCCCAGCTACTTGGGAGGCTGAGGCATAAGAATCGCTTGAACCTAAGAGGCAGAGGTTGTTGTGAACTGAGATCGCGCCATTGCACTCCAGCCTGGGCAACAGAGTGAGGCTATCTTTGAAAAATAAAAATAAAAAAAAAGAAAGAGAGAGAGAGAGAGAAAGAAAGGAAAGAAAGAAAGAGAAAGAAAGAAAGAAAGAAAAAAGAAAGAAGGAAAGAAAGAAAGAGTGGGTATAATTTAAAAGTAACAAAATTCAAGAATAGCAGATAAAGGATATATTCATACAGACTGGAGTATTTGGAGAAAACTTGAAAATATAGTTCGTTTGCAGAAGTAAGACTTGAAGCAGAGAAGAGGAGGAAATGATTCCGAGGAACAGCAGTGGGAAACGAACCATCATGAACTGCATGAGTGAGAGCAGTACTGGCAGCGGGGGTGGGACAGGGAGTGGGTTGATTTAGGGAAAAGCCCAGATTGACTGGAGTGAACATGTAGATTAAAGAATAGTATAGGATAAGAGAAGATGCACAGAGAGGACCTGTTTTTATGAGAGGCCTTAGAAGCTGAGCAGTCACTTCTTAGGAAGGTGATGAACTGAAGTGTGCAAATGTAAAACAGCAAAATCATCTGTTGGTAAGGCAAGTGTCATATAGGTACAGGAGGAGCATCAAGGCTGGGGAGGTGACAGTGAGACTAGGGTACTGGTTTTACTGAGTGCCTTGTGTCCTTCCAAACTTGTGCAAATTATTACTATCTAATGGGTAGAAAGAGAAAATGTGGAATTTTTTTAGACCTCTTTTCTTCTTTCAGAGATAGCATCCAAAGACTGAGTTCTCAAACCCCCAGGTTGGTTATCTATCCTGGTTCCCAGACTCTGTGCTTTAAGATGAAGCAGGTCAGTTTTCTGGACAAAGGGACTTTATAAAAATCTCCATTACTTATCAGTTTTCTTCCTATGCAACCACTGAGTGAAGTAACATCATTTGTCTCCAGCAAATAACACTACTTCAATAGTCCTAGCATTAGTCTGGTTTCGAGACCCTGTGAAAACGTGGAGTAGGGGCAAATTATTAGTTATGTGGTGCGAGAAAGATATAATACCTGAAATTTGTCGAAAGAAACAGGTGATAGCTGTGTGGATTGCCAAGAACTCTCCCCTTTTCAAGTAAGATCCAGCATGCTTAATGAATGTAGAGCGTGAATCAGGATACTTGTTCTTTTTCAGACATAGGTGGAAAGTCCCTGCCCAGGACTAAATGAAAAGAAAATTGCTTTAATGCTAGGATCTCATCACTGGTAGAAAACTAAAATCTGTGGTAGGGACAAAATTGAAAGGAAAGAAGAAACAGATTGATTAAGGGTCATCTCCCCACCTGCTGGTTATAAGAACATGCAGGGACAATGATGGAAAAGAGAATCAATGGTTCCAGGGTCTGGTTAGCTATTTTTCAATTATCTCATTTAATCTTTATAACAACTCTGAAAATAATCTTTTGTACCCCTTTTGGAGGTGATGGTAGAAACATGGGAATTACACCCTGACTTGAAAAAGATAACATTTATTCCTTTGGGGGAACATTAAAAAGTTAATACTGCTGCATTTGTGCAAATCATTCTTCAAGGTTATGCATTATTAGGATAAATAGGATCTGCAGATCTTGTTTCCTAGGAGTTCAAAGCCAACATAAACTTGCTATAATACACTGCAACAAGCGCTACAATTGATTGGTTTATAAAATACAATAAGAGCACAAATTTGTGGGTTTTCAAACATGAGCCAAATTGTTAAAATGGTTTACACACTGACCGGGCGCAGTAGCTCACGACTGTAATCTCGGCACTTTGGGAGGCAGAGACAGGTAGATCACCTGAGGTCAGGAGTTTGTGACCTGCCTGGCCAACATGGCGAAACCCAGTCTCTACTAAAAATACAAAAATTAGCTGGGTGTGGTGGCACACACCTGTAGTCCCAGCTACTTGGGAGGCTAAGGCAGGAGGTTTGCTTGAGCCCGGGAGGCGGAGGTTGCAGTGGGCCGAGATCTCGCCACTGCACTCCAGCCTGGGTGACAGCGAGACTTCGTCTCAAAAATAATAATAATAATAAAATGTTTTACACACCTACATGAACCTTAAAAATTAAAGATTGGAGCTCTCTATGTGCATGAGATAGTAACACTCATTAAAAAGGGCAAGTTTGGTTAATTAAGACAGTAGAAGGGGTAGAGAAAATATAATGAAACGATATGTAAGGGAAACGAAGGATGAAAGATGCAGGCCGGGAGAGGAGTACTGTCTGATGGGAGTGAAGATTCTTCCTTCAGGAATGGAAGGGGATGCACAGAGTGAAGCCACCCAACAAAAACAAGACTTGTATAGCTACAGATGGAAGGGAAATCAACCAGGAAATTATTTTGGAAATCCCAGTGTAGTTACAAGACTAGGAAGTAATGGTTAGAATGAAGAGGTTGGATTTACTGAGCACTAATATTCTCATAATCATGCTAGGAAATATCACTTGATAAAGAGAGAAAGATGAGTCGTTTTAGAAGGAATACATCTCTCTTTTCAGAGGCAGTACCCACAGACAGTTCTCAAACCCAGAATCTGCCTCATCAGTCTCAGTTCAGCTTACTTCTTTTTGGGGAAGGCATTCCAGCTTCTTGCACTAGGCATTTCAAGAAAGAAAAGCATTCCTGGAAATCCCCAACCTGTCACAGGCATGTTTCTTCAACCAATAGGAATAGAGAATGAGGCAGCATCACTTGTCTCCAGCAGATATGTCTGCTAAGAAGGTCTGATCTGATCTCATGTCTTGGGGAGGAGGCAGGGAAGGAGCAGGATGACTCATAAGTAGTGAGAAGAATGGCTACGATGTAGTTTCACGGAAAGAAATAAGATACTCCATGTGGAGAGACAAGATACCATATTTTGTAGTTGTGAAGCAGAGTAAAGACTGAGACTCTTAGTATTTAGTGTTGGTGGGGGAGAAGAGGTTACCTGATATTTTTCATGCCTCTGTGGGAAGTCCCTGGTGAGTTTTAAAAGGGAAGGGCATGACTATGACGCTGGATTCTCTCTGCTAGTGATGCATGAGCACCTGTGGTGAACGAGATGGAAATGGTGAAGAAGCCCATGACCCCACCTGCTGATTGTCATAGGACAATTTGAGGGAAAGTCACATTATTATGTACTGATTATTTTGTTCTAGCAAAGTAGTACTTCTGGGTGTATTATCTCAATTAATCATTATTTTTGTTAACTGCTGAATGTTTAGTTCCCAGCACTCAATAGATATTTGTAAAATTAACAAATATATAAGTAGGTTACTAAGAATTAGCAATTTTAAGAGATCACTAAGAATTAGTGATTTTAAAGAGTGATTTTAAGAAATTGTAGTGATTTAAGAGATAATTATGAGGATTAAAATCCCGTTCTGCCTAAACTCAAAGCCCAGGAATTAAAATTATTAGTTTATTTGAGATCAGCAGGGTATCTAAAGTAAAATTCCAATACCCCTCTCATAAAAAGTCATATTTTACTTTATCAGAGCTCCTTGGGGCTCAGTTAGTGAATATAGTTACATAGTAGAATGGGAATAAAAACACGGTATTCATGGTCATGAGGTCAGAATTCTGGCACCCAACCCGCATCTTGGTCAAGTAATTTTCTCTTTTGAGTGTCTGTTTCTTCATCACTAAAATTAAAGGGTTGAATTGCATAATCTCTCAGGTTAATACTTAACTCATTCCTGGACCATGATAAATACTAAAAAACATTTCATTTTTATTTCACTGTCATTAGTCATTTCAGTAACTGAAAATACAGTTCACCCTGTAAACCAAAAATAAAATTTAAGCCCTTCAACCAACTAAATGGGCCCTTCTGCTTGGCCAAGGACATTTTAAAGTAATCTTGAAACACTAGTTCAGGTCACAATGGGAAGGGGAGGTTGGACTTGCATCACTATACCTTCCTCCCTCTAGAATCGAGGCACATCTGACCCTCATTAACACTAGAACAAAGACCTTAAGACTGACCAGACTCTTTGTAGCAATAAGATACCAACGTGACAGATAGCATGCCCTGAAAGAAATCAAAGTATTTTATCACAAAATATATTTATTTGACATATTTTGAAATGGCCCTGCAAAGCTGTCTCTTGTGGGGAAAATCTACATTCTGTAGAAAATCTTCTTTCCTTTCCAGGTCTTTCCCTTGATCCAGGAGAGAATTATCTAAGCATCTGGCACTTTCTTTTTTTTTTCTTTTCTTTTTTTTTTTTTTTTTTGCGACAGAGTCTCACTCTGTCACCCAGGCTGGAGTGCAGTGGCTCAATCTCGGCTCACTGCAACCTCTGCTGCCTCCTGTGTTCTAAACAATTCTCCTGCCTCAGCCTCCCTAGTAGCTGGAATTACAGGCGCTCAACACCATGCCCGGCTAATTTTGTATTTTTAGTAGAGATGGGGTTTCACCTTGTTGGCCAGGCTGGTCTTGAACTCCTGACCTCAGGTGATCCACTGCCTCGGCCTCCCAAAGTGTTGGGATTACAGGCGTAAGCCACCACGCCTGGCCAATCTGGCACCTTTTTAAGTTTGATAAGAAACATTTACAATCTAGTCTGTCTGAAGCCTGCTACTTGGAGGCTTCATCTGCATGGTAAATAACAACCTTAGTCTCCACAACCTCTTATCTTAACCTAGACACTTCTTTCTATTGAATCCACATCTTTAGATAAATTCTCAAACAATTGCCAACCAGAAAATCTTTGAATCCACCTGTGACCTGGAAGCCCCTACTTCAAGTTGTCTCCTTTCTGGACCAAACCAATGTACATCTTACATGTATTGATTGATGTCTTATGTCTCCCTAAAATGTATAAAACCAAGCTGTAGCCCAACCACCTTGGGCACATGTTCTCAGGATCTTCTAGAACTGTGCCAGAGGCCACTGGTCACTCATATTTGGCTCAAAATAAATCTCTTCAAATATTTTACAGAGTTTGACTCTTTTTGTCAACAACTTAATGCGGGGGTTAAGGACACCAATGCCCAACACAGTCAAAAATCTTCATATAACTTTTGACTCCCTAAAGACTACCAATAGCCTACTGTTGACCAGAGGTTTTACCAATAACATAAACAGTCTAGTCATACATATTTGTATGTTATATTTATTATATACTATATTCTTATAATAAAATGAGCTAGCAAAAAGGAAATATTAAGAAAATAATAAATAAAATAAAATAAATTTACAGTACTGTACTGTGTTTATCGATACTGTAAGTTTACATGAGCTGGTTTACAAGACAAACCATGTGTCTAAAATTGTGAAGAACCGCAGCTGCAGACCTCACTCTATGGTATATATCAAAGAATTCAACTTTTTCCTGTAATGCCAGGACTTTTCTCTGCTCCTTGGGAGCACTTCAGCATCACTAGTGGCACTTTGTATAGATCCCATGATGTTATTCAAGGTTTACAACATAACGCTAAACATGAAAAATATACGAGAACCATAAGAGATCACTTTTTACTGCAATACACAATTTATGATGATTAGCATCAGGAGGCATTTTATGCACATACTTGCAGCACTCGGACTTACCACAGCAGCAACAGAAGGTGGCTATGAAGTTATCACAGTAATGTCCTATGTATTATAGTTATTCAATGCAGTTGTGACTCAATACTGTATCTTTATGTTTGTTTACATGTCTCTCCACTGTGAATGGCATTATGTATGGTCTGTAAGTGCATAACTTTTCATAAGTTTTAATTTTTTATAACAGATTTGTGCATATTTTATGGTAGTAAATTATAAAAACATACTAGTATCTACATATGTTTTATGAGTTCATGACATACCTAACTTTAAGAAAGTTTTCAATATTTCTAGGCTACATGATTCATCTGTGGGTTTTTTTTGCAAACTGTCATATATCTCCAAAAAATTTCAAATATATTTATTTTTAAAAATCAACCCATAAGAGGACCCATGCAATTCAAACCTGTGTTGTTCAAAAGTGAGCTGTAATTACAAAAAGGAGAAAATAATTATCTGAAACTGATTTCAACAAAAATAAAGATAAAATATTTTAATTATCCTAAAGAAAAATAATTCCCCAATATGACTAAACAATGTTAACTAATAAAAACAGTCCTTTGTGGATTCTTTTTCAAGTACTCCTTAGAGGCAAGACAAGAACATTATTTGTTGAAACCATTTTGGGAGTAATTATGCTTAGTGAAATTCAATTAGCCAGTACATTGATAGTACCATTTGCACTTAACATAGAATTATGGAATGGGATCTTTACTCTTTGACTAAGAAATATAAGTCTCACAAATTAGGCAAGAAACATTGTAGCTTAGTTTTTCATCATTATATACTCATGAACTTTCCAACTCACTTCCTGAAAAACTGGCCACATAGCTACAATTATTTGTCACCCCCTTGGTAACTCCATGTGGATACTCTGCTGAAAGCCTGGCATGGTCCCCGTGCTTCCAGTGCACAACTTCCTAATATTCTGTGCTTGCCAATTCCTAAGTAAGGGTGAAAAAGTTGAAACTCCTTGTCTTTTGTATGAAGCAGTAGTTGGAAAAGTGTGTCACACCTCATGTAGGAAGCTATAGACCTAAGTAGGGTTTATTGAGATGTCCTATAGATCTCCCTAGAATATAGAAATTCCTGTCAAGGGAGAAGAGGAATAACCAAGTGATCTGCCATTTTCATTGTTGGAAAAAAATATCAGTATTCATGTAAAAGAGGTCTACTTTATGAGTTAAGTCTTGGTCCAAAAGGAAACCTCCATATACATGCAATGTAAGTAGGGATTGGTCAATACTTTCTCGGGTGAATTCTCAAGTACAAGAGAATATTTTAACTGCAACACTGCCTCATTGGTGTCAATACCCAGCTATCTTTCAGCGGGGCTACTGGTTGTTGGAGCAGGTACAGACTTCCAAAATCCAAGTGAAGAAAAAGTACAGTGAGTCATATTCTTTTTTATTTAAAAAAATAAAAATTAACACACTACTTTTCTTATAATACTAGTAACACCTGCCCAATAAGGAAAGATTAGAAGTCTACAAAATTAATAGAGACAAATTAATCTGTCATTTCTTCATTGTGAGATAATCACTATGGGATCCACTCTCCAATGCAACTGATTTTTAAAAAATTAAAGCCTCTGAAAAGCTTCTTAAGGACAAACAGCAATAATGAGACATCTGTTCAAGAAAATCTCTGAAAATTGGCAAGAAAAGCAAGAGTCTGTGGTATTTGAACCAAGACTATACCCTCCCTCTCTCCTGCATGCCAGCTCAGTGAGGTCAGTAAGGCATAGACTCCACTCTAGATTGCTACAGCCCAGAGCACAGGCCTCCCTCTCCCCACAGCTCCATATCAGAGCGCTTTATTTCTAGGAAGGGCAGGAATTCAGAATCCCTCATCCTGTCCCCAGCTACCTGTTGCTGAGACTATGTCCGAGACAAGTGCAGTTGAGAAGTGAGAGGACCGTTCTTCTGCCCAATTCCCACTTGTGGAATGGAGAGTCTGCCTTGGGTGTGGTATGCTAAGACTACTGGGGCCCTAATAACCCTTTACCTGGCTCATGAGGGAATGGCTCCACTGCAGGAGAGGCAAACCAATAGGACAGCAGGCTGCTGGCCACACCCTCCACTTAGTGCTCAGCTCCTAGAATTGAGGAGTCACTCCGAGAGAAGCTTGCCACAGTTACACCCAGCTCCAGAGCCCTGACTTAGAGAGTTTGCCTGGGAGGAAAGGCAATATATTAGGAATATATTTTAGGAACATAGAATATATTTTATATCTATTCTATATAAAATGGAATAGATATCCTAATGTATTCCCAAAGGAAGTAACTTCATGTGGAACAGAGCATGGAGAAGTTTAAACCTAAGGGCACTCTCAATTACAGTAGAGTTGTGGTGAAAAGCAGTTGGGAGATTTGTGCATCTAATGCAGGTACAGCTTAGACTGTAGGCTGGTTAGTTTACAGAAGAGAACTAGAGAATAAAATAGGTGGGAAGAGCCCTCCCAAAGTAAAACAAATATCAAACACTGACCTCAGAAACTATTTCATAGAAGGACTCACTATTTTATTCGATTACTTTGTAGAGGAATTTTGCCCCAGGGCATTATTGAAAAGAGTGGTAATTAATGGACTTCAGTGGCTGGGTAGGTGAGGGAAAGAATGAAAAAGAGTCCTACAGGACCACTGTCATTCCAGGGTAACCCTGGATATACTCAAAGCTGGGCCTCCTTGAGGTAACATCAAAAGCTTAACACTGTGGGATGAGGAGATGAAGACAGACTTTATTAAAATAATCCAGACAATCATTGTTAATCACATAAACAAACAAGCAAATAAGAATAACAAGCAAAATGTGGGGGTAGTACCCAGAGTTTCTATAATATAGTTCCTAAAATGTTCATTTTTCAACAAAAATTATGAGCTACGCAAAGAAACAAAAAAGTGTGACCAATACACCAGAAAAATAGAAGGCAGAAGAAATTGCTTGAGAGAACAAATTTAACACAAAAATATTTAAAGTAGCTACTATACATATGTTTAAATATATTCAGTATTTTCATCAGGATTCTCCAGAGAAACAGAGACAAAAAGATATGTATGATGATTGACTCGCTCAATTATGGATGCCAAGAAGTGCCACAATATGCCATCTGCAAGTAGGAGACCCAGGAAAGCAGGTGGTGTAATTCAGTGAGAGTCAGAAGGGTTGAGGATCAAGGGAGCCAATGGTACAACTCCCAGTCTGAGGCCAAAGGCCTGAGAACCAGGACATGGGCTGCAGTCATGGCAGGAGGAGGGGAAGAAGGAGCTCTGGTGTCCAGGGGTAGAAGTAGATGTCCCAGCTCAAAGAGAAAGAGAATTCACCCTTCCTCCACCTTTTTGTTCCATTTGGGTCCTCAATGGACTGAATGATGCCCACCCATATTAGTGAGGGATATCTTCTTTATTCAGTCTTCTGATTCAAATACTAAAATATTCTGGAAACACCCTCACAGTCACACTCAGAAACAATGTTTTACCAGCTATCTGGGCATCTCTCAGCCAACCCAAGTTGACACATAACATTATCCATTACATTCATAGACCTAAAGGAAAGGATGGCTAAAGAAGTGAAGGAAGGTGTGATGGCAATGTTTCATCAGAGAGAATAACAATAAGAGGAGGTGCAGCTGGGCTTCCTGGGTCGAGTAGGGGCTCAGAAAGCTGTGAAACTCACTCATTTCCTGCATCAGGACTTACTTCAGTCCTGGATGAATAACACTGAAGCTATATACTTACAATATTCCTAACACCCGGATTTGTATATGTGTTTTCTTCCCCAAGAAAGCTATAAACAGCGAAAATTTTGCTGTAAGTTTCCCTGTGTCTTTCTCTCCCTCTCTCCCTTTCCCCTCCCCAAAACTAAAGATGAAAGGAATGTTAACTGTCCGTTTTTCTGTGACCAGCAAACCTTATCTAACTTCCCAATTCCAGTTCCTTGTGAACATACTTTATAAAGTCCTGGTAAGATCCTGTCTCTTTTGCTATGCCTCTACAAGGTCATAAAGTAAATAAAACCTAGGTTGCAATTCCGGTTTTCCTCAAGATCTAAGACATGGAACAAAATAATTTACTGCCTTTGTTTCTCACTCTGGTAACATCTTCCCACCGCATGTATTTCCCCCCTTAAAGAGTTTAAAAGGCAATTACCCAAAACCAGCAGTGGCTACCCGTTCGAGACCCCTTCCACACTGTGGAAGCTTTGTACTTTCACTCTGCTCAATAAAGCCTACAGCTTTTTCTCTCTATTGGTCCGTGTCTCTATCACTCGCGGCAGGCAGCCGCCACACCAATTCTTTGGCGTGGCTAAGGCAAGAACCTTTGGCATTACAACAACAGCGATAGTAGTTGTCTTAGTCCATTCAGCTGCTATAACAAAATGCCTTAGACTAGGTAATTTATAAACAACAGAAATGTATTCCTCTCAGTTCTGGAGGCTAGGAAATCCAAGATCGAAGAACAAACAGATTCAGTGTTTGGCAAGGGCTTACTGTCTGTTTCCCAGACAGTGCCTTCCACCTGTGTTTTCCTTTTTTTTTTTTTTTTATTATTATACTTTAAGTTTTAGGGTACGTATGCACAATGTGCAGGTTAGTTACATATGTATACATATGCCGTGTTGGTGTGCTGCACCCAGTAACTCGTCATTTAACATTAGGTATATCTCCAAATGCTATCCCTCCCCCCTCACCCCACCCCACAACAGTCCCCTGTGTGTGATGTTCCCCTTCCTGTGTCCATGTGTTCTCATTGTTCAATTCCCACCTATGAGTGACAACATGCGGTGTTTGGTTTTTTGTGCTTGCGATAGTTTGCTGAGAATGATGGTTTCCAGCTTCATCCATGTCCCTACAAAGGGCATGAACTCATCATTTTTCTGTTTTCATACAGTGGAAGTGGTGAATAAGCTCCCTCACCTTCTTTTACAAGAGTACTAATTCCATTAATGAGGACTCTACCCTCATAACCTAATCACCTCCCAAAGACCCCACCTCTTAATACCACACACTAGAAAATGGGAATTGAGCTTCAAAATATAAATCTGGGGGCAGGGGACACAAATATTTAGACAATAGTATAATAAAAAGGAACCAAATAGAAATTATGGAGTTGAAAAGTACAATAATTGAAATAAAAATTCACTAGAGAGGCTTAACCATAGGTTTGACCTAGCAGAAGAAAGAAATGTAGAATAAAGTTTAAACTATATTTCAAAAAAAGATTTTGGTAGGTCTATGCCATGCTTCTTCCTCATCATCTCTGCCTTTTAAAATCCAAAGACATTTTCAAAGTATATTTAATTGTAACATTTCCCTTGAAAGTACGCATTATTCTCCAAATGTACATTATTTTTTTTCTAAGAAACCACCTACTACTTAGCATTATAAATAGGTGCTTCTTTTGTGTTCCATTAGACCATAAGCCCCTTAAGTTTAAGCCTGTTTTCCACAAGTCTGCATCTCCCACCATGCCTAGAAAATGGCCTTGATTCAAAAAATATTTCTTGTGTCTTTAAACAAATTGAGTTGAATTCAACACAGAGGGGCGTTTCTCTACAACTCTACACTGACCCTACATTCTCTAGTGTTTTCATATTACACTTACCTCCAACACATTTATTTGTTCCTGGTCTCGCTCTTCTTCAGTCCTAAGTTACAACTAACAAATGAATTATATAAAAACAATAACTGGCCAGGCGTGGTGGCTCACAACTGTAATCCCAGTACTTTGGAAGGCCGAGGTGGGTGGATCATAATGTCAGGAGATTGAGACCATCCTGGCTAACACAGTGAAACCCTGTCTTTACTAAACATACAAAAAATTAGCCAGGCGTGGTGGCGGGCGCCTGCAGTCCCAGCTACTCGGGAGGCTGAGGCAGGATAATGGCATGAACCTGGGAGGTGGAGCTTGCAGTGAGCCGAGATCGCGCCACTGCACTCCAGCCTGGGTGACAGAGCAAGACTCCATCTCAAAAAACAAACAAACGAACAAACAAAAATAACCACTGCTTCCTATATTACCTCATTCTCATGTGTGCTTTTTCAGGTACAAATTTCTAGAGATTAATTCAAACACAAGGAATTGCATCTGGAAATTTAGAAGCTGGAATTCTCTAATGATAGAGACTGCCTCTTAATTCTTGTCTGGCCAAGACTAGCATTGTCTTCAGTCAAGATGCAAATGTATACTTCCTCGCCCGTTTGTCGATAAGCTCAATCACATGTAGATAAGTCAACTTATCACGTAATATAAATGGTTGCAAAAGAAGGGTACCAGGGCTTTGGAATTAGGCAGAACTTAGTTTAAATTTTACTCTGCTATATCCTGGATGTCTGACTTTGGGCAATTTTAATGGTCTCTCTGAATCTCAACATTTTAACCTACACAATATGTTAAGCAAGTCTTATATGAATAAATAATTGAACAACATTAAAATTAAAGTTAGGTATACTATCTATAAATCTAACAAGTTATAGAGATCTGTTACATCAGGGTTTTACACTGAACTAAATGAAATTGATCAAAATTCTTTTTGATCAAAAACAGATGATTGTTGGTAATTTTAGGTAGTTTAATGTAATTTAACACTTCATTAAAAGACATTAGAGACTGGGCATGGTGGCTTATGCCTGTAATCCCAGCACTTCGGGAGGCCAAGGCGGTGGATCACTTGAGGCCAGGAGTTCAAGACCAGCCTGGCCAACATAGTGAGACCTTGTCTCTACTAAAATTACAAAAATTAGCTGGGCATGATGGTGTGAGCCTGTAATCCCAGCTACTCAGGTGAGTGAGACACAAGACTTGCTGGAACCTGGGAGTTGGAGGTTGCAGTGAGTCCAGATCGTGCCACTGTACTCCAGCCTCCAGGCAGTGTGAGATTCTGTCAAAAAAAAAAAAAAAGACATTAGAGATACCTATGTAAATGGAAAGATATGCTATATTCACAAATAAAATATCCAAAATATAAACACAATTTTTCTCTGAGTTAATCTACAGAACCAATGCAGTTCTACTTAAAATCCCAACATAATATTGTGGAATCACTATGCTGATTGTAAATAATTATAGAAGAGCAATTGTTTAAGACTAGCCTATAAGTTAGTTACACATGCAAATAAACAGTTTGGTTTCTTTACTAGTTATACATAGAAAGAAACAGGTTGGTAAGATTTTGCCCAGCTAGTCCTCAATTTATTATCAGACTTAAGTATAAATAGGAGAGTTGTACTGATGCATGGATAGACCTATAGACAAACGAACAGAAACAGCAGGCCCAGAACCAACTCACTCATATGTAAAATCATATTTATGTTGGAGTTGGCATTGGAATTCGCTTATGAAATAGTGCAGTAAGTCATCCTGAGAGAATTTGTTATCCAGACGGAAAACTCAGTGTTGGATTCATACAACATAGTATCCACAAAAATCAATTCAATTCAGGCTAATCAAATGTGAACAGGAACCACAGTGAACTATCACCTTATCCCAGTTGGAATGCCTACTATCAAAAAGGCAAAAAAAAAAAAAATTGCTGGTAAGGAGGAGGGTAAAAGGGAACTTTTATACACCATTAGTAGAAATGTAAATTAGTACAGCCATTATGGAAAACTGTATGGAGGTTTCTCAAAAAACTAAAAATAGAGCTGTCATATCATCCAGCAATCCCATTACTGACTATTTAGCCAAAGGAAAGGTAATTTTTAAATTTTTAAAATAGAAAATTTAGAAGATTATTTTATGAACTGAAGTAGGGAAGTATTTCTTAACAGGGATGAAATAGCAAAAAAAATTTTTAATTTTTAATAAATATACTTTAATACATATTTTTAAAAACTTAATCAAAATACACTTTAAAAATATGACACAAACTGGAAAAAGTTATTTTTAATACATATAATATAGGAAAATTAAGCTGTAAAAACTAAAATTTAAGTCTTATAAGCTTATATCTATCTATACATATGACATTTTTATATTTATAAAAATAATAAGAAATTCAGTGCCACTCCAGGGATGAGAGCTAGCTTATGAAAAGGAAGCATAGCAGGTCAATACATAATGTGAAAAGATTTCCACGCTTATTAGTAATCAGATAAACACATTTCAAATCACTACGAAGTATCATTTAATTCTCAAGAGATGGGCAAAATGAAGTCTGACAATAATTTATTGGCAAGAAAATTCATTAGTGTGAACAATTAAACACTTCTAGTGGGGGTTGAAATTTATACAGCTAGTTATAGTAAAGTTGTAAACACAAATATAGTGCATAGAACTTCTAGTCTTAGGCATTTGTTCTAAAGAAACATTAGGTATTTGGACAAGGAAGCATGCACAGGGATGTTAACAGAGGTGTAGGTCATAATAGCAAACAGAAAGAAAAGAAATAACCAGAATTCTATCATGGAAAAGGTTCTCAGAAGCAAAATTCCTGCACCCTTGGTTATGGATCCACAGAGGCTTAATGTGAAGGGGGCATTCAGATCAAATGCTCAAAGTGGAGTAAGATATCATTGTCTTTCACAGAATCACTTCATAGACTGCAGCAGATCTCCCTTGACCAACCCCCCGAAACCAGTCAAATTCTTCATTTTCCCCAAAGTGAGGACTCCCACATTAAGAAGCCCTCAGTACTGAGATAACTAGCGATAAATTTATCCATTGCAAGGGTGGTCTTGATGCAGGGCCAGCAAGCCTCAAAACTGGGGCTTCACCCGAGAGTGTTCTTGGCTTCACTCGGGAAAGATTCCAAGGATGAGACAGTGGTGTTAGACAGCAACTTTTATGGAACTAAGCTACTCCTTGAAGAGCAGGGTTACCCTATAGGCAGTGTGCCCAGAATAGTAGCTCAGAGGCAGTTCTGCAGTCATATTTATACCCACTTTTAATTATATGCAAATTAAGAGGTGGACTATGCAGAAGTTTCTAGAAATAGGGTAGAAATTTCTGCATAATCCACCCCTTAATTTATAGATGGTAACTCCAATTACCACTTCAATGACCCCAGTGGGTCATTATTGCCATGGAAAGAAGTGGTAACCTCTGGGTGTTGCCATGGCAATGGTAAACTGACATGGCACACTGGTAGGCATGTCTTATGGAGAGGTGCTTCTGCCCCATCCCTGTTTTAGTTAATTCTCAATTTGATCTGATGTCTGAGCCTCACCTACTACTTCAGTCTTATGACCCCCAGACTCCCCAGCTGATAAGAAGATGCATGAGTAAAGGAGGCAATTGAGAGATGCTTCCTTTCAGTGTCCAAGTGTCAAAAAGAATTCTTAGTCTTAATTAAAATTTAGATATAAGAAATCTACTGAAAGAAAGTGATTACAGAATTTACAAGTTGATTTGGTGATGCCTCAGCAAGAGTGAGAAATATACAATAAACTACAAGACAGAAAATCCATAAGAGCTAAAAATGAGCATTTTGTGGTACCAATCTTGCTGTAAAAATCTTAATATTTTGTGTATCTTTCTCAGCACTAGACTAGAACCTATATGCCAATGGGTAGTGATACACATCTGTCACTGGTAAAGTTGCATACCAATTCACAATCCTATTCTCATACCCAAGTTATTACTACACATTGCTCTTGAGTCAGTAGCTGCATTTGCCACCCTGGCTCAAAATATCAGCCATCACATTTAGTAAATTCTATCATACAAAGCAAATTAGCACTGATTTATCAGATTTACCAATGGGTGGGGTGAGGAGGAGGAGGGCGCTGGCTGACTTAGCCCAGGCCCTGAAGAGCCCTGTTCCAGAGAATATGCTTGTGCTCTTCCTTATGGCCCAGCATATGCACAGGGCTCCAGTCATTTGCCTCCAGCAGGAGGCTCTTCCACACTCATTCACAGTCAGCTGGATTCCAATCTCTGCTCAAGTGTGAGCAATGCAGATCCAGGCCCCTGGTTAATGTAGTCATCACTGTTCAAGCCCAGTCTCTTTCAGATGTTGAGACAGTGGCCCTAACTCTGTGTGGCTGGCCCAGAGCTGTGCACCTACCCTCACTTTCATACCACATTAATTTCAGATCCTTATTGTCACGGGTTTCCCAACTACTTTTTTTTCTTCAGGGGAAACCTCCACAATGTAGTTTCTAATATGTTGAATTCATACTCCAGAAAGTGTCCTGTAGAATAATGTCTTACTGAAAACGGCCATCACAGCCAGGAGTCCTTAACTATGTTCTTCGATACCCTTAGTTACAGTTTGTTGTCATGTTCTTCACATCTTGTGTGAAGATTGTTCAAGTGTTGGCCAAAGGATATGTCACTATCTAAAATTCACATTGAGAACCTCAGAGTAACTAATAATAAGTGTGATGCTTGTAGGAAAAGAAGAGCTATTTGGTCACAGGATGTGGTTATTAGAATAGGGTTGTGGTTGAAGGGGAAGGATGATGACATAAATCTTTGCATAAACCACATTAACATGAAACCTTGATATTATCATTACATACTTTTCTTTTTATCTAATAAGGCAAAGTAGAGAAGTCAGCATCATTTGTCTCTGGCAGACTAAACTGTCAAGAAGGCATACCCAAGGTTGGTGGCAGGGGGAGCTTCATTAGCATTAGGAATAATAGAAAATATCAAAGAATAAGTTTTGTAAGAAATACATAGACTCAACAGAAAGTAAAAAATGTACTTTACTGAAAAGAAAACAAACTATAAATGAATCATGAAGTTGGATGGAGATATAATCTATAGATTTAAAACTATTTTTATTCAAAATAATGAGATTTTAAAAAATAATAAATGTTCTGAAAGTCTAGGATAAGTATACTGTCCTGTATTGTTGATTTTTTAAAGAGTAGTAGAGTGTATTATATAGCATATTATATAAAGGCATGGGCCTGAGTTAGGCAGTCTTTTTGTTTGTTGAGGTAAAATTCATATAACAAAATTAACCCATTTTAAGGTGCACAACTCAGTAGCATTTAGTGCATTCACCCATGTTGTACAACCATCACTTCTATGTAGTTCCATAACATTTTCATCACCTCCAAAGGAGACCTTGTATCCATTAAGCAGTCACTCCCCATTCCCACTTCCTCCTCAGCAACCACAATCTGGTTTTAGACAGGTCTTGTTTTGCATCTAGGGTGGTGATTTCTACATCAATCTATGCAGAAGGAGCTTAGGCCCAGAATTCTGCATGGTGGGTAGGGACTGTGGCTTGTCTTGAAGCTAGATGTGCTTGCATAGCAAATGCTTTATCTTTATTTATGTGTGTTTGGGTTATTTAAAAAAGAATGTCTTATAAATATTATGGCTATATTGTTAATTTTCAAAGTGTTTTTGTTGTTTTACCTATGGAGAAAAGATTAATACCAATTTGATTTGTTTTACAAAGGGACTACATTCTTCAATGTTTGTGAAAATAATAATTAAAATTTTGTTTGGCTGTGTTTTGTGTATATATTTAAAGCTGTCTTGAATTTCTAATCTATCTGTTTTAAGTTTTTCTTTTTGTTTATCCTTATTGCGCTCTTAAAATGTTTTCTGTTTCTTCATATTATTTTACATGTAAGAGCGACTAAAAAATGGTCATGAGTTTGAAGAAATCAGATGGAATTTGGGGCTAATGTTTCAGGGTCTGATTCCTTCACTGGGGGACCATGAAGGCCATAGCGTGGAATTATTTTCTCTGGGCCCATTCAATTTCTTCTGAGAGGAAACTTCATGTATTTTGTTTGAGGGATAGATGCCAGCCACCTATGTGGCAGAGGTCAGAGTGGAAGAGAGGTGGGGTTAGCTGTTCTGCATATAATCTTTCAATTAATCTCCTTAAGTGTCCCCAAGTTTTTTTTTAAAAATGTTTAAATAAATACTCTTTCAAGTATATGGTGAAGTTTTTACAGCCACTAAAAATAAGATTTTATGAAACTGTTTAGTGATGTAGAAAATTGTCTAATCTGTGGGAAATTATCCACAGATTAAGTAAAAAACAAAAAACTACAAAGACTAATACTACAATTCTGTAAATGCATCTATACTGTGATATTTATATTTATAAAAACAGGAAGGATCTTAATGACACTCAGAAGACTATGATTAGATGATAGAAGAACCACTACATTTTTCTCCTCCCAACAGTCTTAATAGGGCCTGCAGGTCTAAGGTGAGTGGCCTTGAAAAATCTCTGTTCAGGGAAATTTGTATGGAACATTTTAATGTGGACATTGTGTAGAACTTTGCCTATACTGTCCCTGTAGTGTCTTTTTTCCTCTTCTGCAGGTCTTCATGGTCCCCTGGGATCATAGCCACAAGGTTTCTGTTCCCAGTTGAGCTCTCAGGTCTACTTTTCAATCCTTTTACATAACTTTACCCATCTCTACCTCTCCCTTCCCTCCAAAGGGTTCCTTTTTATCCACTGTCCTCATGGAAGTAAAACAATGACCTCACCATACCTCACAAATAAACAGAAGAAGAAAGATGTGAATCCTCCCTAAATCTGATGTCTTAAACTTGAAACCCATGAACCCTGTGGTACTCAGGTGAGCAGAGATAGAAGAGCACTACGCAGGTTCACACTCTTTTCCCTGAAGAAGGAAAAATTCAGAAAAAAACTCCAGTCTGTAGTTTTAGAGCAACGTTTTTGTGGGACCCTCCCAGACTGGAAATTTGTGGTCCTCCTCTTCTGGGGTTGGGAGCAAGCCCTGAATCTTCAGTGCCATGTAGCCTGGTCTAAGCTCAGGAACATTTCTTTACGTTTTGATGAAGCTGCAAAGTTTTATTAGCCATAACATGTTTGAATCTGTAAGATTTCTAAGTAAGTCTGACAATAAAATTTCAGATTCTTCAGCTGACCGGAAGACTTCAAAGTGCCTTCACTTTTTAAATCACCTGTAGATGAATTATACTGGACCTGACCAAAAGTGTTTATCTGTGCATAAATCAAATACAGTCAACTTTCCCTATCCAAGGTTCCACATCTGTGGATTCAACCTACCATGGATTTAAATCTGTGGATATGGGTTATTACAGCATTTTATAGAAGAGGCTGAGCATCCACAGATTTTGATATCAGCTGGGTTCCTGGAACCAATCTCCTGGGGGTACAGAGCCACAGTCAAGTATGAGAAACAAAGAGAAGAGGAAGGGCCCATTTCTGCCCATAAGTCATCTACAGAGGAGGGCTTAATCAGCTGCATTAATGCAGATTTCCACCTCAGGGCTGGCCCTGGAGAAACACCTCTAGATGAAGACAATTGGATGTGTAAGTGGCCAGATCCACATGCAATTACTTCTTTAGAATAATAAAGTTGTGGCTTGACAAATGGTCCCTTGTCTGTGATAGGAGTCGTGGCATAAATCCCCTTCTGGGCTACAGTGTAGCACAATTGCCCTCTCTCTAGTGTGTCACTCTGAAGTTAGACTGCCTGGGTTTGAATTCTGGCTCCATTTCTTACTAGTGGTGTAGCTTTAGTCAAGTATCCAACTCATTTCGACTTTCTTTTGATTTCCTTTGCATGGTGTATATTTCCATTCTTTTTACTTTTAATGAAGGTATGTCTTTATATTTAAAATGGGTTGCTGATAGTTTACAGTTCAATATTCCATTTTTATTCAATCTGTTCTTCTCCATTTCCTAATTGGTAAAATGGGGGAGGGAGATATAATAATACACCTACTTAATAGTATCATTCTAAAAATTAAGTCAGTTAATACAAGTATGGTAAAAGCAATTAGAAGAACATCTGGCATGTGGTAAGTACTCAATACATATCAGGCACTATCATCTTACTATCAATTATTATTATCATCATCATGACTGGGAGGTAACATGGCAATTAGTCTTCATTTTCTCACCAGCCTGGCTGATGAACATCCAGTATATCTGAAGAGAAAGTTTCAGAATCAAAAACAAAAAGAGGCCTGGCTTTCTTTATATTGGGTGGAAATAAGGAGGAGGGAAGGAATATGAGAGGAACAGGTAATTTGTCCTTTTAGTTTTATTTTAACTACCTCCAGGAAATTAACCTATTCTCACATATCTGGGGAAACAACCGGGTCCATTCCTTCACTTTAATTCTGATTTTTTCCCAAAATTTACACATCCCAGGATTTCTGGCAGACTTTAAACTGCAAACATCAGGTTCATACCAGTAAGCCAAACTCGTAGTTGATTTGGAGGTTCATTGTCAATTTAGTGAACAGTGCCTAGATCATAAGATTCAACTGGCACATCCTGAAACTCACTGGAGACTGCACAGACTAAAGAAATGAAGCATCCTCTACTTTTTCACAAGTGCAAACACATTAAGATGCTGCTACTTTTTCCCTGTAGACCTGTGGGCATGAGCCGTCCTTGGGTTAAGTCACTTGATAGTGACTCAAAGCACAAAGCACAGGGTAATGCTTGTTCTTTTCTTTCTTTCTTTCTTTTTTTTTGCAACAGAGTTTCACTCTTGTTGCCCAGTCTGGAGTGCAGTGGCATGATCTCGGCTCACTGCAACCTCCACCTCCCAGGTTCAAGCGATACTCCTGCCTCAGCCTCCCAAGTAGCTGGGATTACAGGCATGTGCCACCACACCCAGCTCATTTTGTATTTTTAGTAGAGATGGGGTTTCACCATGTTGGTCAGGCTGGTCTTGAACTCCTGACCTCAGGTGATCCACCCACCTTGGCCTCCCAAAGTGCTGGGATTACAGGCATCAGCCACCATGCCCAGCCTACCTGTTCTTTAACTTGATTGTTGAACCCTTCACTTCTCTGGTTAGTTAATTTTCCAGACAGAGAGCGCTGAAAGGACACCCATGTATCATGTGTTATTTACAATTCCTCACCCCAACCCCCAATCTCCACAACCTCACTCCCTTCTAGTCAGGTTTTGGTGACAATTTGCCCTTGCAGAAGCTGGGTTTAAGTGAAACCAAAATAAGACATTAAATATTTTCCTCTTCAGCAAATCAGAACCCTGTGGGAAGCAGCATTATCTGTCTCTGGCAGACTAAGCCATGAAGACCATAAGAAAAAATATTTAGTGATGGAGGAAGGAAAAAAGTATCCATTAACAAGAGCAAAATAATATAAAAAGTATTTAACAAGGAATATAAAGAATCATCAGAGAAAGTGTTATAAAACTTTTTTGAGACAAGAGAAGATGAATAAGTGGAGAAGAACATGGTGTTCACAGAGAGAAATATAGTAGATAGAATTAATACAGTTTCAAATTATGTATTTTCCTGTTGTTGGGTGGAGTGTTCTGTAAATGTAACTTACAGCTTAGTCAAGTTACTTGTTAGCACTGTTCAGTTATTCTATATCCTTATTGACTTTCTGCTTAATTTTTCTATGAATACTAAGAAATGAGTATAAAATCTCCAATGATAATTTTGGATTTTTCTATTTCTCCTTCCTTTTATGTCAACTTTGTCTCCTGTATTTTGAAGCTCTGTTGTTAGGTGCATATGCATTTAAGATTGTTATGTCTCTTTAGAGAAATAACCCTTTATCATTAAGTGATGTCTGTCTTTATCCCTATTAGCATTTCGGGCTCCAATTTCTACTTTGTCTAGTATTGACATAATCATTCTGACTTTCTTTTGATTTCTTTTGCATAGTATATATTTCCCTTCTTTTTACTTTTAATGAAGGTATGTCGTTATATTTAAAATGGGTTGCTGATATGTTATAGTTCAATATTCCATTTTTATTCAATCTGTTCTTCTCTATCATTTAATTGGTCTGTCTGGACCAATTATATTTAACATCCTTATTAATATGTTGAATTATTTTTGCTAGATATTTCTATTAATTCGATGAAATATTTATTTCTAAAATCATTTTTTTGCTTTCTTTTGGATTAGTTGTTGCCCTAGAATTTTACATATATGTATAATCTATCTTCAAATCTACCTTAGATTAGCATACTCCAGATTTCTCTTATTCACTGTGCAATTGTTGTCATATAATTTCTTTCTCATATTCTGTAAACACACAATACATTGCTACTATTTTTATTTTAGACAGTCTGTTACCTCATAAAGCAATGATTCTTAAATGGGAGCAACTTTCCCCTCAAGTGGCATTTGACAATGTCTGGAGATAGTTTTTGTTGTCACTAATGGGGAGGCTGCTACCGGCATGTATTGGATAGAGGCCAGGGGTGCTGTTAAAAGTCCTGTAACACACATGACAGCCTCCCACAAAAAAATAATTATCATCTGGCTCAAAATATTAATAGTTCTCAGGTTGAGAAACCTCATTTTAGAGATTTTTAAACTTTCATTTTAAGTTCAAGGGTACATGTTCAGGTCTGTTACAAAGGTAAACATGTGTCATAGGGGTTTGTTTTATAGATTATTTCATCACCCAGGTATTAAGCTTAGTAACCAATAGTAATTTTTCCTGATCCTCTCCCTCCTCCCACCCTCCACTCTTCAATAGGTCCCAGTGTGTGTGGTTCCCCTCTATGTGTCCATGTATGTATTATCATAATTTTGCTCCCACTCATAAGTGAGAACATGCAGTATTTGGTTTTCTGTTCCTGCATTAGTCTGCTAAGGATAATGGTCTCTAGCTCCATCCACGTCCCTGCAAAGAACATGATCTCATTACTTTTTTTTTTTTTTTTTGAGACAGAGTCTGGCTCTGTCGCCCAGGCTGGAGAGCAGTGGCACAATCTCTGCTCCCTGCAAGCTCCGCCTCCAGGGTTCACGCCATTCTCCTGCCTCAGCCTCCCAAGTAGCCACCACACCCAGCTAATTTTTTGTATTTTTAGTAGAGACGGGGTTTCACTGTGTTAGCCAGGATGGTCTTAATCTCCTGACCTCATGATCTGCCCACCTTGGCCTTCCGAAGTGCTGGGATTACAGGCGTGAGCCACTGCGCCCGGTCCAATCTCATTCTTTTTTATGGCTGCATAGTATTCCATGGTGTATATTACCAAATTGTTTTTATCCAGTCTATCATTGATGGGTATTTAGGTTGATTCCATGTCTTTGCTATTGTGAATAGTGCTGCAATGAGCATACGTGTACACGTGTCTTTATAATAGAACGATTTACATTCCTTTGGGTATATAACCAGTAATTGGATTGCTGGGTCAAATGGTATGTCTGCCTTTGGGTTTTGAGGTATTGCCACACTGTCTTCCATAATAGTTGAACTAATTTACACTCCTGCCAACAGTGTATAAACGTTCCTTTTTCTCCACAACCTCCCAGCATCTGTTAGTTTTTGACTTTTTAATAATAGCCATTCTGACTGGTGTGAGATGGTATCTCATTGTGGTCTTGATTTGCATTTCTCTAATGATCAGTGATGTTGAGCTGTTTTTCATATGATTGTTGGCTACATGTATGTCTTCTTTTGAGAAGTGTCCATTCATGCCCTTTGCCCACTTTTTTATGGAGTTGTTCATTTTTTTCTTGTACATTTAAGTTTCTTATAGATGCTGGATATTAGACCTTTGTTGGATGCATAGTTTACAAAACTTTTCTCCCATTCTGTATGTTGTCTGTTCACTCTGCTGATAGTTTCTTTTGCTGTGCTCTTTAGTTTAATTAGATCCCATTTGTCAATTTTTGCCCTTGTTGCAATTACTTTTAGCATCTTCCTCATGAAATCTTTGCCCATGTCTATGTCCTGAGTAGTATTGCCTAGGTTGTCTTCCAGGGTTTTTATAGTTTTGGGTTTTACATTTAAGTCTTTAATCCATCTTAAGTTAATTTTTGTATATGGTGTAAGGAAGGGTTGCAGTTTCAACCTTCTGCATATGGCTAGCCAGTTCTCCCAGCACCATTTATTGAATAGGAAATCCTTTCCCCATTGCTTGTTTTTGTCAGGCTTGTTGAAGATCAGATAGTTGTAGGTATGAGGTCTTATTTCTGGTTGTCTATTCTGCTCCACTGGTCTATGTGTCTGTTCTTGTACCAGTACCACGTTGTTCTGGTTACTGTAGCCCTGTAGTATACTTTGAAGTCGGGTAGTGTGATGCCTCCAGCTTTGTTCTTTTTGGTTAGGATTGCCTTGGCTATTCAGGCTCTCTCTAGTTCTGTGAAGAATCTCAATGGTAGTTTTTAATAGGAATAGCATTGAATATATAAATTGCTTTGGGCAGCACTTGCTTTTAAAGTTTTTATTAAAAATTATTTGTCATTAGTTTAATAATTAAGGCTAAGGAAAGGTATCTGTATAGCCAGGTGGGGTGGTGTGCCCCTGTAGTCCCAGCTACTTGGAAGACTGAGGTGGGGCCTGGGAGTTTGAGGCCAGCCTGAGCAACACGGTGAGACCACATCTCTAAAAATAAATAAGTAAATAAAAAGACCTATACAAAGAATGTTTACAATATGCACATTAGGACTGGAGAGTTCCTGGGAAGAGAATCAATCACTACTGGACATGAGGAATATCAGTCTCCAGACAGTCAGCTTTGTAAACTGATTCAGATGATTAAGAATTTCAGTCTAAGTCAACAAGTAGTTATTGATTACATACCATAGTATCTGCAAAGTCTTCATGAAATAACCTATTTGGTTTAGCTGTAGAATACTCAGGAGCTATGGAGAAGGTAGATCTGGACATGGAGGTAATTTTGCATGTTTTTCAGTAGAAGACCATTACAAAGCAATCTTTCCTCATTTTATTATTATTATTTTAAGACGAAGTCTCGCTCTGTTGCCCAGGCTGGAGTGCAGTGGCGCGATTTCGGCTCACTGCAAGCTCTGTCTCCTGGGTTCATGCCATTCTCCTGCCTCAGCCTCCTGAGTAGCTGGGACTACAGGTGTCTGCCACCATGCCTGGCTAATTTTGTTTTTATATTTTTGGTAGAGATGGGGTTTCACCGTGTTAGCCAGGATGGTCTCGATCTCCTGACCTCGTGATCTGCCCACCTTGGCCTCCCAAAGTGCTGGGATTACAGGTGTGAGCCACTGCGCCCGGCCTCCTATTATTTTTTATTGTGCAGTTTATTCAAGTGAGTTATTTAAAACAACTAGTTCATACACATAGGAGTTGTTGCTGACAAAGAATTGGTGGAAATGATATTAAATAACAAACAATTGTTTTTATAAGTTTCCTCTGCTTCATTAATTTTATGATTGTGAGAGACCACGTGACTGGATATCAGCATACAGGACTTTGTATCAGAATATGAGCTTGGCAGTCATAAGAGATTACTTACAATTCTTCACAATTCTGTATTTTCATTTGTAAAACTCCATAAAGTTTTTTATAAGAATAAATTGTAGCACCTTATTCATACTGGAATTCAACAGTTCTTAGTTCAAGTCTCCCTTGAGAAAGCTTCACTGTGTTTTTAGTGCAGATTAGTAAAGACAAGATCTTGACTGGTAGGTGAGTGTGTGGAATTTATTTCAAATATGGGGGCTCTCCAACACTCGCACACCAAATTCATTTACATATTGCCAAAAGCCAGAGGATATTTATGATAAGTTGCAAAAATAGCTACAAATTCTTTGTAGCCCATTCTGTCAAGAAATGCAATCTATTAACCCACCTTTTGATGTGAGCTAGTACTATGACTTGCTTTGAATAATAGAATGTAATGGAAGTGATGTCGTGAGTTTTAAGTTCAGCTCAAGACACCTGCTGTTTCTATCTTGCACAGGAGAGCTTTCCAGCACCTGTGATAAGCCTCAGCCCCCCTGCTGGATAATGAGTCCACATGAATGGAGACAGGCCCCCTATATCTGCCAAACCTATTGATGCTACAGAGATGTGAGGGGGCCCACCTGAGAAAAGCTGAACCTGCCCAGTACATAAAGACCACTCAGGTGGGTTAAGCACAATTTGCTGTCTTACAGAATCATAAGGAGATACTAAACCATTATTTGAAGTCATTAAATTTTGGAATACTTTGTTACATAGAAAATCTGACAGATAAAACAGCCTTCAAAAAAATTGTGTTTTTCAGCAATGTCTTAGTGCTTCTGTGGCTCACAGGCTCCCACATGCCTGGAGTGCTACGGGGAGAAGGTTAAATGAATGAGGAAAAATTGACAGGCTTTCCCAGCCCAAAGCATGATGTTATTATCATTATCATTATTAATATTTGTCTTTATGTAGCAGCTACCACTTGGGAATAGATGCTGTATGTCAGACACCAGATTGTATTTAACTTTATAATTGCACTTATCTATCATTTCATTTTACCATATTAACTATCACCTAATAATTTTCCTTCTGTTTTATAGAAAATAACCTTAAGACTCAGGTATTTTGAGTGACTTGCTCAAGGTGCTGCAGCTGATAAAATCAAAAGCAGCATGGAATACATATTTATCTTATTACAAAACCTATATTCTTTTCACTGTGCTACTCTAGACTCTGTTATTGTTGTGAAGCACCTTTAACCACTGCAAGACAGAAGTCTTGGCCTTCAGAGTAAAACTTTACCAGTGCATAAAGTCAGACTAAAATAATTTGAAAATATACAGAGTCTTAGAGAACGTTATAACTGTTTATTAGAACTAACATAAATTCTACCTAATTTCTTAGAGGGCTCTTAATGATGTGAATTATAATGGCACATCCCATTGCTATTTTAGTTATGGAATCAATGGCATGTCAATAAGTGCTTTCTGAGAAAATTGTTGGACAAAGTACTATTTTGAACTCCAAATTTTATTCCCACTATTAATTTATGAAGAGAACCTTTTCTCTTTCTACTAGACAAAGGTAACAAATTAGCTTTTGTTAAAATGGCATACTGTTCTTCTGAGTTTCATTTACTTATTACTTTACCTTACATTAAAATTATGACCTGAAGACAGAAGGAACTGGAACAATGTTCACTGTGTTATGGCCGGATGAAGCAGGAAGAGGAGAAGAGACAAAACTAGGTTAAAGGTAGAAATGTCATCTGTTGGGCCAGGCGTGGCCTCACGCCTGTAATTCCAGCACTTTGGGAGGCCGAGGCGGGCGGATCATGTGGTCAGGAGGTCGAGACCATCCTGGCTAACACGGTGAAACCCTGTCTCTACTAAAAATACAAAAAATTAGCCAGGCGTGGTGGCAGGTGCTTGTAGTCCCAGCTACTTGCAGTGAGCCGAGATCGCGCCACTGCCCTCCAGCCTGGGCGACAGAGCAAGACTCTGTCTCAAAAAAAAAAAAAGAAAAGAAAAGAAGTGCATCTATAATCTCTTCAATGACTTTGCCTTGGACTTTCCCTTCACCCCACAGGATGTGAGATCTGAAACTGCACCCTCAACTTCCCATCCAAGATGCAATTCTAATCCTACATTTAACACCCTAACTTCTTAACTGGAGTTGAGTTATTTAAACTGTAATTTTAATAGGTGAAATTCTGGACTACCATCCCAAAACATTTTGTTCATTTGCCAAAGTCCTAAGGAATTTCCATTAGATACAAAGCAGGTAAGTCTGGATACAGGAAAAAAAATAAAAACATGTTATTTGCTACACAGCAAAAAGGATATTGAGTGGTAAAGGGAGCACATCTCAAATGGGACCTCAAAAACCCTCTTCATTCACAATGGCAGGAGCTAGAAAGAATAAAGCCACCTATAGGGTCAAATATCTCTCCTAATCATGTTAAGGCACTGGATTCTGAATTCGCACAGAAGGAGACTCTCACCCATCACTCCTCACAAGGACTCATGGCTTGCCCCATAGCATCACATCTGTGCTGCTTACCAGCTGTGTGACCCTGGGAAAAGTCCTTCAACTCTCTGGGATTTAATGTCCTCCTTGGAAAATGAGAATGATATTAAAATATGACAAGTATATGTAAAGAGTCCAGGAATTTTTCATTCCAAGTACAGTATATGTATATTCCTCACAACTGCCTAATGAGGTACCTCAATGCCTCCAGCCAAAGACCAGCAGGAGCATCCAAGCAATGAACAAGTTGACTTTATTATTCATTGCAATGATGGATAAAACTCACCATGAGAATCATGCAGTAAGAGATTGTTGGAACCGAATAAGTAGAACCAGGAGAATACATATATTAAGAGAATGATGCAACGAATTAATTTTTGCATCTGTAGGGGTGGGCTAGGCAAATCAGAGATCCACTGGGTGGTAGTTGTCAGGAAGGGCAGGCTGGAACTCTCAGCACAGGCTGACACGCTGTCCAGAGTGGAATTTCTTTTTCCTCAGAGAAACCTCAGCTCTGCTCTTAAGGCTTTTCAACAGCTTAGATTAAGCTCACCCAGTTTTTCTAGGATAAATTCTTAAAGTCAACTGATTATGAATTTCAATGACATCTACAAAATATCTTCACAGCAACACCTAGATTATTAGTGTTTGATTTGATAACTGGGGATCACAGTCTAGCTGACACATAAAATTGACCATAAATCAATTGTAAGGTTTGTGCTTGTTTTAGGTGATTTTGGGGAGGATTTAAGAATGAGAGATTTTGCTTTTAGTTGGATTCTGACAGAAAGTGGAGGGTTGGGGTGGCAATGTTATGATTGGGTAGCTTCATAAATCCTACCTAGAGGGACAGAAGACTATCCTGAGGCTACAGATGTGATGGTAAAGAAGCAGTAATCACTCCCGAGAGAGACATACCTGGTCATTTTTGTGGTTTGGACAATATTCATGTTTTGTCTGGGTTCAGACATGATGACTGAGCATTCTGGTATTCTGTCTCAATCCACTGTGCTCACAGAATCCACTGTGCTCACAGAGTACTTGTCTGATTCTGATGTTCTGTGAAATCCTTTATCTTCAATAGGAGAACCAAAACCACCTGGGAGTGCCAGCCTAGCTCCTAGCAACCCCAAGGCCTTGTTAATTGCAACCAGGCAGCTCTCAGGGGTCAGGACATTTTTTTTGTTTCACCTTTTTTTTTTTTTTACAGTCTCTGCCAGTGGGAGGTAAAACAGTGTTGAGAATCTCAGAAGGCCATTTATCAAGGACAGAGTGATTCTAAATAGATCTTCCATTAACTTACGGTTTCTATCATATACAGAAAGTAGATGTATCTGAAAAAAATAATAAGTTTTGTTCTAATGACTAACTTTAGCTCAATCCCTAGTCCCTTGCAAATATTTGGAATTTTAGTGTGGTAGGATAACAAATTTTAAAAGATCTGGTAGTTTAAGAAAAGAAAACCATTTTTCTAAGTCAGTGCAATTCTTATTCTACCCTCAACTTTTGACTTGACATTCTTAATTAAAAAAAAAAATTCTTAGAGTAATTGAGCCAGCCAAATTTTAAATGTAATCAATGTCCCTAAATTTCCTTTAAACATATGCAAGAAGCACCAAAACACAGAACGTAAAGATTACTCAATGTAAAGAAAAACTGTATAAAATCTCATACAGTTACTGTAGACAGCACCATCTGGCATTATAACCTTTTTTTATTGCCGTGGCCAAAACCACCTGGATCTTTTGAGAGCTTGAGAATAACTTACCAAACTGGATTTATACAAGTAGAAAAGGCAAAGGTGTTGATCGGCTACCACCAGCAGAGATCCCTAGGTAGGTGGGGTCAACTTAACATTTGGAGAATTCCATATGCACTATGGAAGCAAAAAGAAAAAGCAACTAACCCACATACAGAAGCCAGAGAAAGGGGAGGGGATGGGGACTGCCAGGGAGGGAAATCGACTCAGGGAAAAATTCCTGGAGGTTGTAACTCAGAAAATCCTGAAGGATGCCGTATAATTGATGATGTCATCTATCCACGAGGCTGCTCAGAAATGCCCACCCCTGGCCAGGGCGGTGGCTCATGCCTGTAATCTGAGCACTTTGGGAGGCTGAGATGGGCAGATCACGAATTCAGGAGTTCGAGACCAGCCTGGCCAACATAGTGAAACTCTGTCTCTACTAAAAATACAAAAATTAGCCGGGCGTGGTGGCAGGTGCCTGTAATCCCAGCTACTTGGGAGGGTGAGACAGGAGAATCACTTGAACCCGGGAGTCAAAGTTTGCAGTGAGCCGAGACCATGCCATTGCACCTCAGCCTGGGTGACAGAGTGAGACTACATCTCAAAAAAAAAAAAAAAGAAAGAAAGAAAAAAAGAAAAGAAATGCCCACCCCTCTTGCCACTGGCAGACATGCACACACCAGAGAAGATTCCGATTTCGTGTCCTCCCTCTATTCACAGAACATTTCCTCAAGTCCACTCTGAGTGGAGGCTGCATCACAACAAGGGGATTGCCCTGTCTCCTTCCAGGGCTCTTAATACAAACTCTTCAACTAGTAACTGAGGTGTCATCATAGGGGATTTTTCTAATTAGCCAAAACCTGACTTGGCAGGGTTTGGTTTGGGTGTCTTCAGATTGCCTTGTCTCGAGGTCCTCACAATTGCTCTACAACTCAGAACAGCAACTGCTAAGGCTGCCTTGGGAAGAGGATGATCCTAAACAAAGCTCTGATGCTGGGGGCCCTTGCCCTGACCACCGTGATGAGCCCCTGTGGAGGTGAAGACATTGTGGGTGAGTGTATGAGTGAGGGATGTTCTCTGGAGCTGGAAGAGAGGAAATTGAAGCAAAAGAGAGAAAGCGATTTGCAGAGAAATTGTAGAGATTTCCTAAGGGTCCCTTCAGTATTAAGAGATTTAAAAATTATGGCTGTTCCTCCTTCAGGAAACCAGAGTCCCAACCTACTCTTTTTGTTATCTATGCTGTTGGCGTTCACTAAGGATGCTATTCTGTTTATATTGTATTCAGTGACTATAGCCTGGAGGTCTCTATGTCATTCCATCATGATTGCCTCAAAAATTAGTGAGGTTTCCATCAATGGATAATTTTTTATTATTAAAAATTTGTGAAGTATCATTCTCAAATTTCCCTGAACAACTTTTGAAGCTTTTCGGATGTCTCCTGTAGTAGCGCTTGGGGTAAATGATTCCATCAATTATATACTCTATAGATATTAAGAAAGATGCCCTTTTCTTTCTCTCAGACTTACTAACATTTCCACGTGGGAACTGGCACAGGTGGGGAGTGGGTAAAGGAGTCCAGCAGGCTGAATGCCTTCAACAATCATTTTACCACATGGTCCTCATTTACTCTCAGCTGCCTCATATGTGTCACCTCACAAATAATCAAATAAAATTGGCATGTAGCTAAGCTTTGTAAATAGTGAAAACATGAATGTCAATTTTATTTTTACATATTTCTATTATAGGTATAGCTTCACATTTCTTTTCTTTTGCAAAATAAGGTATCCTTTTATTTTAAAATTGAGAATTTATAGTAGAAAAACTTGGTAAATTAAATCATTTTATTCTCAAATTATCAACCCAAATTACCTGTTCTTCAACTCATCTAATGAAGTCTTATAAAAAGAAAAGTGGGCCAGACATGGTGGCTCATGCCTGTAATCCCAGCACTTTGGGAGGCCGAGGCAGGAGGATCCTTTGAGCCCAGGAGTTGAGACCAGCCTGGGCAACATAGCAAGACCTCATCTCTACAAAAAATAAAAATTAGCCAGGTGTGGTGGTGCATGCCTGTGGTGCCAGCTACTCAGAAGGCTGCAGTGGGAGGACTGCTTGAGTCCAGGAGGCGGAAGCTGCAGTGAGCCATGATGGCACCACTACACTCCAGCCAGGGCAACAGAGAGAAACTCTGTCTCAAAAAGAAAAAGGAAAGAAAGAGAGAAAGGAAGGAAAGAAAGAAAGAAGGAAGGAAGGAAGGAAGGAAGAAGGGGAAGGGAAGGGAAGGAAGGGAAGGAAAGGGGAGGAAAGAAGGAAGGAAAAAAGAAAAAGAAAGAAAAAAGAAAGAAAAAGAAAGAAAGAAAGAAAAGAGGGAAGGAAAGAAAGAAAAAGGAAGGAAGGAAGCACAGATTAATTATTAATCATTTGGTCTCTCTTAGTCTTCTCTGTCTTTGTCATCCATCTATTTCCACCTCTCTTCATGCATTCCTTTCTCCCTCTTCCCTTTCAGGATCCATCTCTGACTCCCTGCTTCTTTATATGGACAGTGGGGTTTGTAAAACAAAAGTTGAAAAATCAGATAGTTAAAAGGTGAAGTGAACTGGAAGGTCTAAACTTCCACAACCTTATTAACCATGGCTGCTCCCATTCTGATTTTGTTCGACGGTGGAAGTTTCACCTCCTTCTCCAGAGCACTTGGCTTCTTTGTTCCAAATTTCCTTTCTTCAACCTCACACCAGAGTGCCCTGGTCAGGCTCGGCTCATCCATTAGGCACAACATGGGCAATGCAGAGAACCCTCCATACTGTAAAGCCACATGAGAATGTTTTAACTCCTTTTAAGATTAGAAAAAAATGAAATTTCAGAGCCTAAGAAAATGTTTTAATTCAGCCTAGATTGTATTGTCTTTATACCAATTCAGTCATAAAATACAATTTTCCATATTTTCATGGAGGAAGGGGCCCACAAAAGCAAGAGTGCTCAGGGCTCACATGTCAGAATGCAGCCCTGGTCATGGCTGATCCTGGCCTTCTTATGATTCTGCTAGTGTGCCTGTCCATCTTCCCCAAAATCTATGTCGTCCTCAAATATAGCAACTGTAATTCAAAACACGTTTGAGCACACAGTAAGCTAAGTTTTAAGGATTCAAAGATGAAAAGTCATGCTGTCTTCCCTGCAGAGGGTGCTCAGACTAGTGACGGAAACGGTATGGGATGCAGGAAAGCAGAAGGCCATTGCTGACCAGGGCAGTGGACTCAGCAGAGGCTGAAACTATACAAATGACTTGGTTCCAGCTGGGCCAGCAGGGTGACATCCTCCAGCAAAACTCGGCACCCAAGACAAGTCCCAGATGAAAAGAAGGATTGCTTTGTGTTTGATAAGGAGTCAAGGTTTATTGCAAGGATAAGGCTTTGTTGGTGGCCTGTTAAGACAATCCAGGGCAGTCATACTGGATAAGGAAGAAGGTGAGCTGGAAGAGGAACAGACAAACAGCCAGATATTGAGGTGGAGGAGCTGGAGGTCATAACGTGGTCAAAAACATGTCGATGAGAGGACTTAGCTACAAAGTTGTTAACTTAAGCAGAAACCTCAAGGATGAATTTTAGGATTTCTCCAGGAAGTCCTAAAAGATAATTTCATTTCAGGGAGAAAAACAACAAACCACTGGAAAGACCAGGGAACATGAAAGGATAATGTAGTTTGGTTTGCTTGGCAGATACTTATGAAGGATGTTGGACTGTAAGGCTGTTGATAGCCTCCTCACAGAACATGCTACAGTACATTGTATCTGCTCCCTTACCTACCTGACTCTTCCACTCTTCAGTTTGTTCCTTAATGGTAGACCATGCCTGATTGGTGTTTTACACATCCCCTGCTATGTCTGACACTTGTGGATGCTCAGAAAGTGGGGAAGGAAGGAAAGATACAACGGTAAAAGGCTTACACGTCTTGACAGGAATGTCCAGTTCGGCTCATTTGGCTGGAGCCACATTGCACGGCTGCCATTCTGCTCTGGCATCCTCAGACAAGCACACTGCCCATTAGAGGAAAAAGGGTTTAATTTACCTGAGTCCTCAAGTGAATATAAGTGTTAAGTCAGAACACTGTAGACATTTAGTAACCTCCTTCAGAGGAAAAAAAAAGGTGGGGGGAAATGACAGAAATCCAAAAACTAGTAGAGCTTCCACTCTTCATTTCAGAAGAAATCAGTTGCTCTCCTCTAAGGACCATTACTATTAACAAAACAGAGACCTTGAAGGAGGCATTGTTTATTTATTATATATTTTGTAATGTTATTACCATTCTTGTTATACTCTTCCTTATACCCTACAATTGTTAGCAGACATTATTTTAAATTAATAAGATCCTGCATGCTTTTCTTTTTTTTAAAAAAAGAAAGACCTCTGTGTAGAGTGTCCTGTTCTGAGCCAGTCCTGAGAGGAAAGAAAATACAATCAGTTTGTTATTAACTGATGAAAGAATTAAGTGAAAGATGAATCTTAGGAAGCAGAAGGAAGTAAACCTAATCTCTGACTAAGAAAGCTAAATACCATAATAACTCATTCATTCCTTCTTTTGTTCAATTACATTATTTAATCATAAGTCCGTGATGTGCCAGGCACTCAGGAAATAGTAAAAACTGGACATGTGATATTCTGCCCTTGTGTAGCGCACATTATAGTGGGAAAGAAAGCGCAATTTTAACCGGACAACTACCAACAATAAGAGTGGAGGAAGCAGGGGTTGGAAATGTCCACAGGCTGTGCCAAAGATGAAGCCCGTAATATTTGAAAGTCAGTTTCTTTCATCATTTTGTGTATTAAGGTTCTTTCTTCCCCTGTTCTCCACCTTCCTGCTTGTCATCTTCACTCATCAGCTGACCACGTCGCCTCTTATGGTGTAAACTTGTACCAGTCTTACGGTCCCTCTGGCCAGTACACCCATGAATTTGATGGAGATGAGCAGTTCTACGTGGACCTGGGGAGGAAGGAGACTGTCTGGTGTTTGCCTGTTCTCAGACAATTTAGATTTGACCCGCAATTTGCACTGACAAACATCGCTGTCCTAAAACATAACTTGAACAGTCTGATTAAACGCTCCAACTCTACCGCTGCTACCAATGGTATGTGTCAACAATTCTGCCCCTCTTTACTGATTTATCCCTTCATACCAATTTTCATTATTTTATTTCCAAGAGGTCCCCAGATCTTCTCATGGCAATTGCTGAAATTTTATCATCTCCCATCTCTAAAATCACATATTCCCATGTAATACAAGGGTCTTTCCATTATCCATTCATTAAATCCTTCTCGGAGAGGTCTCATCAACCTCCTACTTTATTAAACATGCCCACAGAGAGAAGGGCACAGGAATAAAGCGAAGGCAATGTGTCGTTGCTCCCAAGCAGAAGGTAAATAAGACCTCTTTGACTATCAGGTGGTGAAATGCTGGTAGGAGGGCTCTTCCAGGATGTAATGCAGAAGCTCATGGCAGAGCTATTCACACTTCACATCAGTGCTGTTTCCTCACCACAGAGGTTCCTGAGGTCACAGTGTTTTCCAAGTCTCCCGTGACACTGGGTCAGCCCAACATCCTCATCTGTCTTGTGGACAACATCTTTCCTCCTGTGGTCAACATCACATGGCTGAGCAATGGGCACTCAGTCACAGAAGGTGTTTCTGAGACCAGCTTCCTCTCCAAGAGTGATCATTCCTTCTTCAAGATCAGTTACCTCACCCTCCTCCCTTCTGCTGAGGAGAGTTATGACTGCAAGGTGGAGCACTGGGGCCTGGACAAGCCTCTTCTGAAACACTGGGGTAAGGATGAGTTCCACCACTTTTTGATGCTTTCTTGTCTGTCAAGTTCAGAACTTCCTGCCTTTTACTCCTATATCCCAAAACTTGTTTTCCACACTTCATGGGTTTCTTTCTTTCTTTTGAAAGAATAAAGCAACAAAAGCAAAGATTTATTGAAAATGAAAGTACACTTCACAGGGTGGGAACGGGCCTGAGCATAGGGGCTCAAGAGCCACTTCATGGTTTTCTAATGATAGACTTCACTCTCCTCCCTAAGCTGGGGACCTTGAGTCTTTGCAGAGCCAACCCTCCACCCCATCCCATCCCACACACATGCACATGAGCACACTCTGCTTTCTGACCTCAACGACTTCATATCCACAGAGCCTGAGATTCCAGCCCCTATGTCAGAGCTCACAGAGACTGTGGTCTGCGCCCTGGGATTGTCTGTGGGCCTCGTGGGCATTGTGGTGGGCACTGTCTTCATCATCCGAGGCCTGCGTTCAGTTGGTGCTTCCAGACACCAAGGGCCCTTGTGAATCCCATCCTGGAATGGAAGGTAAGATTGAGATTTGTTAGAGCTGAATCCGCAGTATGAGAGGAAGGAAAGTGGAGGAGGCTGTGGACATGAATGGTTGAAAGTTGTAGGGGAATTGGGAAGTGGCATGATGATGACATAGGAGCGGCCTAGGACCCATCCATCTCATGTCTGTCCTGTTGCAGGTGCATCGCCATCTACAGGAGCAGAAGAGTGGACTTGCTACATGACCTAGCATTATTTTCTGGCCCCATTTATCATATCCCTTTTCTCCTCCAAATGTTTCTCCTCTCACCTCTTCTGTGGGACTTAAATTGCTATATCTGCTCAGAGCTCACAAATGCCTTTGAATTATTTCCCTGACTTCCTGATTTTTTTCTTCTTAAGTGTTACCTACTAAGAGTTGCCTGGAGTAAGCCACCCAGCTACCTAATTCCTCAGTAACCTCCATCTATAATCTCCATGGAAGCAACAAATTCCCTTTATGAGATATATGTCAAATTTTTCCATCTTTCATCCAGGGCTGACTGAAACCGTGGCTAAGAATTGGGAGACTCTCTTGTTTCAAGCCAATTTAACATCATTTACCAGATCATTTGTCATGTCCAGTAACACAGAAGCAACCAACTACAGTATAGCCTGATAACATGATTTCTTAGCTGACATTAATATTTCTTTCTTCCTTGTGTTCCCACCCTTGGCATTGCCACCCACCCCTCAATTAAGGCAACAATGAAGTTAATGGATACCCTCTGCCTTTGGCTCAGAAATGTTATAGCAAAAATTTTAAAATAAAAAAGTAAGTCTGTACTAATTTCAATATGACTTTTAAAAGTATGACAGAGAAATGGGTTGGGATAAAGGAAATTTGAATCTCAAAAATATCAATAGTGAAAAGTTATTCTCAAAACTTTAAATTTGTGAAGAATGATGACAGTAGAAGCCTTCCTCTCCCCTCCTCACCCTGAAGGAATAAAATTTCCTTAGGCAGGAAAAGAAATGGAAGTCAGAAAAACATTAGAATAAGACAATAATGTGGGTATCTGAAAAGGAACAAATACTCATTCCTCACATAGGGTTAGTGACAATGGGGAAAGGGATGGGAGTAGAAGCTGCAGACATATCTAGGAGCCCTAGAATAGAGGCACAGTCTGCCCCACCTCCTCAATGAAGCTTTGCTAGATAACCATGTAGCTTTCCCTGTGCCAGCCTGGCATGAAGGAGACAGTATAGTGGATATGGCTGCAAGATGTTTCTAGGAAACATGCCGATAAAAAAACAATACCAATATCTTCAGAAATCCCCAGCCCTTTCCCCTAACCCTCCTGGCTAAGGAAAGCACTAGCTTATGAGAAAAACCCTAGGAAGAACAACACAGTTAAGACAATGTAGCAGCAGCTGTGGGTGCTGTGTCCTCCATTGGATTCGCCAACTCCTAGGAGAAACTCTCACAGAGGAAATGGGTCAGCAGTGATCTCATGGCTCTAAACAGCTATGAAATCTGTAAGGATATTTCTATCCATGCTACCTGCATCAGTGAGTTTAAACTTTAATTGTAGAAAAAAGACAAAACATTAATGCAGTAATTGATACAGTATAGTTTGGTGCAAAGAACCCTAAATCCAAATCCAGGACTCAGTACTTTGAAGCTAGTATTTTAAACTTTATAAGTGGGTAAAGTAACTAACATTTCTGGCCTTATTTTTCTCATCCACAATGTAGGAGTAATAATAATTTCCTTGCAGAGTTATTGATGGAATTTGAATAATCTTGATGTATAGTCAATGCCTTACACATAGTATATAAATACACAAGAAAACATTGTGGTTATATTTATAATTAATTTATTTAAAAGAATGGATCACGTTATATGAAAAGTACTTTTGTTTTTCTCAGCCCCTTAATGATTTAGGAGATTCAAATGTAGAGCTATGGGTGAATTTCTTTTCATATGATCATTGGAGGATATTTTTTTTCTCCAGAATGAGAGAGGCTGAGATCGATTGCTAAGAGAGCTCTTAGGACGAGAAATTGTAATATTTGACTTTGGTTTTCAACTCTCTAAGAAGGGATATATTCCCTCCTTATGGCCCGTAAGTGTTTATTCAAGGTATTTCATATGCAACAGATGTTTATGCATGTTTACTTTGGGAAGGAGGTGAAGAAATTTCAAGGAGAAAATAATTTAAAATGCAGACTAGGAATCAGTAAGCACAGGGAGTCTGAATCAGTGATGATCATGAAAATGTCCATCACAGATCACAGAGGATTTTTAGGGCAATGAAACTACTCTATTTGATACCACAATGGTGAAAAATGTCATTATGCATTTGCCCAAATCCACAGAATGTACAACACCAAGAGTGAGACTTAATGTAAACTATGGACTTTGGGTGATAATGATGTGCCAATGTAAGTACATAAATTATAGCAAATGTACCACTCTGGTGGGAGATGTTGCTAATGGGGGAGGCTACACATGTGTGGGAGCCAAGTGTATCTGGCAGCAGTCCCCAACCTTTTTGGCACCAGGGACCAGTTTTATGGAAGACAATTTTTCCACAGATAGTGGTTGGAATGTGGATATGATTTGGGGATGAAACTGTGAAACTGTTCCACCTCAGATCAAAAAGCATTAGCTAGGTTCTCATAAGGAACATGCAACCTAGATCTCTTGCATGCACAGTTAACAATAGGATTCGCACTCCTATGAGAATCTAATGCCACCACTGATCTGACAGAAGGCGGGGCTCAGTTGGTAATGCTAACTCGCCCACTGTGTGGCCCAATTTCTAACAGGCCACCAGCTGGTACTGGTCCATGGCCCAGGGGGTTGGGGTCCTCTGGGATATCTCTGCACCTTCTGCTCAGTTTTTCTGTGAACCAACAACTGCTTTAAAATAAAGTCTATTGATAGACTGGATTAAGAAAATGTGGCACATATACACCATGGAATACTATGCAGCCATAAAAAATGATGAGTTCATGTCCTTTGTAGGGACATGGATGAAGCTAGAAACCATCATTCTCAGCAAACTATGGCAAGGACAAAAAACCAAACACCGCATGTTCTCACTCGTAGGTGGGAATTGAACAATGAGAACACATGGACACAGGAAGGGGAACATCACACACCGGGGACTGTTGTGGGGTTGGGGGAGGGGGGAGAGATAGCATTAGGAGATATACCTAATGCTAAATGACGAGTTAATGGGTGCAGCACACCAACGTGGCACATATGTACATATGTAACAAACCTGCACATTGTGCACATGTACCCTAAAACTTAAAGTATAATAATAATAAAATAAAAAATAAATAAAAATAAAAATAAAAAGGAGAAGAAAAGGTAACCAATTATGATCCCAAATATATAAAATAAAACTTTTAGTATGAAAAAGTCACATTCAAATGCACAAATGCGCTAAGAAATTTTTAGCAATAAGATTTCAAATAAATTTCATATAAATTTCAATGATTCATGAGGCAAGAATCCAGCATTTTGGAGTTGTGTGCATTTGTGTGCGTGTGTGTGTGTGTGTGTGTGTGTGTAATATAAGGATTATACTGAATGGCAAAATGACTAGAGTCATACAGAAATCTACAAATGCTGCCCAACTCAGACTCAGTCCTCAAGAAATACTGTGGAAAGCAAATTTAATGATATTGCATTTTATTAAAAGGTTGTATTCAAAAAGTATTTATGTAATGTTAAAATAGCAGAATTAAAACTAATTCTAAAAAATAAGAGTAAATTTTTTTGTCAGCTAAAAATGTAGGGTCATTATTGACATTACTATACATAGGGTTACAGATCAACCTGCATGATTTTAAATCATGTGATACTTAAAAATTATTTCAGTTATTTGAATTATTTCAGATTGTATACATAAAGTGTGACTTCATTAATATTTAATATCACACTATTTAAAATTTACAAAATTAGTGGGTCACAGAGGCTCGTGCCTGTGATCTTAACACTTTGGAGGCCAATGGAGGAGGATTGCTTGAAGGCAGGAGTTCAACAGCTGCCTGGGCAACAAAGCAAGACCCCATCTCTACAACATAAAAATAAATTAGTGCATGGTGGCACGCCTGTAATCCCAGCTACTCTGGAGGCTGAGGTGAGAGGAGCGAGCCCAGGAGTTCAGGGCTTCAGTGGGCTAGGATTGTGCCACCGCGCTCGCTCCAGCCTAGGCAACAGAGCAAGACCCCACCTCTAAAAATAAATAAATAAATAAATAAATTTTACAAAATTTTAAAAATCACATGAGATATTTCAGGTTTGTACTTGCCACAAACAAACTAGGGATTTGAAGAATTAAACATTTTATTTTACTTACAGTCTGTACTGGCACATAGTAAGTAGTCAGTAGGTGTTAACAATTAGTGTTATTGTTATTTTCTGGAGACCAACTAACAAATCCCATAGCGGATGACACCACAGGGATGAAACCAACAAGATCCAGAATATGGGAACTTCCACTAGATAACTCCATTTTTTTAGCAACAATTCAAAGACAGACAGAGAGAGAGAGAGAGAGAGAGAGAAAGAAGAGAAGAGAAGAGAAGAGAAGCTATACATTTTTAAAAGGCTGAAGAAATATATGAACCAAATTGATATGAGGCAATCAGAAAAATTGACACCGACTGTATTAAGGAAATAGCTAATTTTAGTGTGGTAATAGCATTGCTGTTATGTTTCTAAAAAGTCATTATACTTTAGATTTTCATAATAAAATAATTATGAATGAAGTATGGTATCTGAAAGTATCTTCAGAATAACCCAGTGTGCATGTATGATTAATTGGGTGGGTTTACAAAATTGCCCATGAATTGATCATTGTTAAAGCTTGGCTGTTAAAACATGGCACTCTTCTCTCTAACACTGTTGAAGTTTTCTGTAATACAAAGTTTTTTAAAAAATGCATTCCAGGAAAGTCCCATAAACATAGGCAGAGAAACATTCTGTTTGAAGTTATGTTAGTTTTTAGGCTTTTCTCATTTTTATCACAGTTGGGAAATCCTAAGTATCCAAATCCTGCCTAAGACTATAGGAACCTCTCAAAAATGCAACTCTAAAGAATGTGTATGCAAGAACTAATAATAGCAAAGGAAAGCAAAGTACTTTTTCCTTTATTATTGGCTGTACTAAGCCCCCAGACTTGTTTATATATTCCTTAATTCATCAAAACTGCAAAAATGGTCTTTGAGTACCATTATAGCAATAAGTACCATACTTTGTTATACGTATCATTAAAATAATGTGAAAAGAGATACATTCATTGTCTTCATAGAACTTACACTCTAGTGGGAAGAAATATACATATATTACATAATTCCACAAACATATAATTACAAACTCTGAATAATTTATAAAGGAAAAGAAAACAAGGTAAAGTGAGAGAGTGTTGCACAGGAACCAGGTATAATTTGGGGGAGATTAGAGGTGGCTCGAAGAAGTGTATCTTGAGATGAAATAAGATGGTATACAGTAGGTAAAGGACAAGGTTGAGGCAGTCAGAGCAAATGTTTGAGAAACTCTTACAACACGAAAGAGAAGATGAGAATAAAATAACATGAAAATTATCACAGATTTAATATGGAAAGCTCATGTAACAGCAAACAAGTTTAAAGTCTTTCTAATTAGAATTCTTAATCTGTAAGAGTAATAATAGAATGCTATAAACAATTGGAAAATTTAATAGGAAGGTTGGAAAACTAAGTCAAGAAATATGAAAAGGCAAAAATTGTACCTACCACACATAGTTTTATTAGAAGTTGACTAAGAATATTACTTAGTAAAGTGGAATTGTTAATCAGGAAATGGGAAGATAAGGAATCCAGAAAACTGAATTTAATGCAGGACCTCACTGAAAAGGGATCCTATTACAGCAGTTCCTTGGCAAGCAAAGAACGTCTGATACATGAGTGATATTTAGAAAATGATAAACTATTTTTTTCAATTTTTAGAATTAAGCTACGAGCAAAGCCCAAGTATGCTTATTGTTACAGCAGAATGTCAAAATGGTCAGCTTTGACAATATTGAAAAAAGGGTGCCTGTATCTCATTTTGGCAAGTGGAAGCATAAAGTGTAGGGGAAAGGAAGGGTATCAATGCCAATAACTTCATCTCCCAAGAAGCAGAAAAGAGACATTGCCCATAGTTAAGGAAGAAATCACAAAGATCACTACATTTAAATTACATTTGTACCAAAAGAATTATGTAAGATGGCTCATGAATTAAAGCAGGGTTTTAGAAAATTGGACTATCATTCAGTCAAAAAGTCTTCAACCTAACCCCCAGGGAGTTCTGAAGCTGTAAGATCCCTTCAGATTTGGCTCAATTTAGGGAAAGGGTTTAGGACATTTATACCCCAACACTGACCAGTCATTATAGGTGGGTTCTTCCTGGGAAGTGGAGTAAAATCTGATGAGGCTGCTTTCATCACCTAAAGCAATTCTGGGGGATGACTGACAGCTAAGGGCTGTCAGCCAGCAACATTCCCAGCAGTGAGAGAATAAATCCTTCAGTCCCAAAGGGAGGAGTTTAGGTAGAACAGAACAGCATCCACAACAGAAACGGTGTTCTAGTTCCTGGGAATACGTATATATTCATGTAGAAGAAAACAAACAAACAAACAAAATATATATATAGTTTTATTTTGCAGTCTCGCTCTGTCACCCAGGCTGGAGTGAAATGGTGTGGTCTCGGCTCACTGCAACCTCCGCCTCCTGGGTTCGAGCAATTCTCCCACCTCAGCCTCCCAAATAGCTGGGACTACAGGAGAATGCCACCATGCCCGGCTAATTTTTGTATTTTTATTTTTATTTTATTTTATTTTTTATTTTTATTTTTATTTTATTTTATTTTTTTTTTTAGTGGACACAGGTGCAGAATGCAACTAAACCTATGTCATGTTAGATTTCGCTAATGTCTTTTTTTTTTCTTTTTTTTTTTTTTTTTGTATTTTTTTTTTTATTTATTTTTATTTTTTTATTGATAATTCTTGGGTGTTTCTCACAGAGGGGGATTTGGCAGGGTCATGGGACAATAGTGGAGGGAAGGTCAGCAGATAAACAAGTGAACAAAGGTCTCTGGTTTTCCTAGGCAGAGGACCCTGCGGCCTTCCGCAGTGTTTGTATCCCTGATTACTTGAGATTAGGGATTGGTGATGACTCTTAACGAGCATGCTGCCTTCAAGCATCTGTTTAACAAAGCACATCTTGCACCGCCCTTAATCCATTTAACCCTGAGTGGACACAGCACATGTTTCAGAGAGCACAGGGTTGGGGGTAAGGTCACAGATCAACAGGATCCCAAGGCAGAGGAATTTTTCTTAGTGCAGAACAAAATGAAAAGTCTCCCATGTCTACTTCTTTCTACACAGACACGGCAACCATCCGATTTCTCAATCTTTTCCCCACCTTTCCCGCCTTTCTATTCCACAAAGCCGCCATTGTCATCCTGGCCCGTTCTCAATGAGCTGTTGGGCACACCTCCCAGACGGGGTGGTGGCCGGGCAGAGGGGCTCCTCACTTCCCAGTAGGGGCGGCCGGGCAGAGGCGCCCCTCACCTCCCGGACGGGGCGGCTGGCCGGGCAGGGGGGCTGACCCCCCCCCACCTCCCTCCCGGACGGGGCGGCTGGCCGGGCAGAGGGGCTCCTCACTTCCCAGTAGGGGCAGCCGGGCAGAGGCGCCCCTCACCTCCCGGACGGGGCGGCTGGCCGGGCGGGGGGGCTGACCCCCCCACCTCCCTCCCGGACGGGGCGGCTGGCCGGGCGGGGGTAATTTTTGTATTTTTAGTAGAGACGGGGTTTCACTATGTTGGCTAGGTTTGTCTTGAACTCCTGACCTAGTGATCCGCCCACCTCGGCCTTCCAAAGTACTGGGATTACAGGCGTGAGCCACGGCGCCCCACCCAAATAAATGTTTTTTTTTTAATTCATCATCTATTTAAAAAATAAAAATAGAACTACCACATCATCCAGCAATTCCACTGCTGGGTACATCTGCAAAGAAAATGAAATCAGTGTATCAAAGAGGTATCTGTACTCCCATGTTCATCGCAGCACTACTCACAATGGCCAGGAGATGTTAACAACTTAAGTCTCAATCAGCAGATGAGTGTATAAGGAAACTGTGGTCCATATACACAATGGAATACTATTCAGCCTTGTAAAGGAAGGAAATCTTTTACATTTTTTACAACATGGATGAACCTGGAAGACATTATGTTAAGTGAAATAAGCCAGGCACGGAAAGACAAATACTGCATGACCTCACTTACCTGTGGAATCTAAAAAAGTCAAAATCATGGCAGGTCGGGGAGTGGGGGTAGCAGGGAGGGGGACAAGGAGGAATGAGAAGATGTTGGTCAAAAGGTACAAAGAAGGGCAGGGTGTGGTGGCTCATGCCTATAATCCCACCACTTTGGGAGGCTGAGGCAGGTAGATTGGTTGAGCACAGGAGTTCAAGACCAGCTGGGCAGCATGGTGAAACCCTATCTTTACAAAAAATGCAAAAACTAGCCAGGCATGGTCACACATGCCAGTAGTCCCGGCTACTCCAGAGACTGAGGTGGGAGGATGGATTGAGCCCGGGAAGTGAAGGCTGCAGTGAGCTGTGATCGTACCACTGCACCCCAGCCAGACCTAGACCCCGTTTCAGAAAAAAAGTACAAAGTTTCAGTTAGGCAGGAGGAATAAGTACTGAAGATCGATTGTACAGCATGGTGACTACGGTTAATAATAATGTACAGTCGTCCCTCGGCACCCACGAGGGATTTGTTCCAGTACCCTCTCTGTATACCAAAATCTGAGAATGCTCAGGTCCCTTATTAAAAACGTCTTAGTTTTTGCATATAAACTAAGCCTATCCTCCTGTATACTTTAAATCATCTCTAGATTATACTTAGAATACCCAATGTAATGTAAATGCTATGAAAATAGTTGTTATGCTTTATTGTTTTTGAATCGGAATTATTTTTATAGTTATATTGTTAGTTTTCATTTTTTTCTAAATATTTTCAACCCACAGTTGAATGAATGAGAGGATGTGAAACCCACAGATATAGAGGGCCAACTGTATTGTATATTTGAAAATTGCAGAGAGAGATTTTAAATATTCATACCACCAAAAAGTGAAGTGATGGATATGTTAATTAGCCTGGTTTAATCACATGTATCAAAAAAATCACACAGTACCCTGTAAATCCACAGTGATTTATCAATTAAAAATAATTAATGAGTTCAAAATTCTTTTGGAGTGTAACATCCTTAACTTTTTCTTGTTCAAATAAAGTTTTCTGTTTTTTTATTTTTTTAATTTGTTTTAAAAAATCATCTCTTAACTTCCATTAACTCAGTTGATTCACCCTATTAACTTAAGGACTCTCTTCTTCCTTAAGTTAAACATTTCATGATAATCAGGAAGGGCAAGGTTATGCTGCAATAAGATCTTAACCCACAGTAAAAAGTAGATCTCAGTGACTTAACTCAATAAGGAGACTTAATTCCACCGTTATTCAAATGACTCAGATTATGGAGTTTCCAGCATCTCATACACCACCATGCACCTACTTGCAAGTTCCATTGGTTACTGTTAGTCAAATGTCCCCAACCTAACAGCGGAAAAGACTGAGAAATGTACAGGAGCTTTGGAATACTGGTAAGCATCACTGTCTCCAAAAGTTATACTGTTATTATCTAAGGTAAGGACAAATGCTCAAGACCAGTAGGTTGTCCTCTAGAACACCCACACGCTTTCCTCCAAGTTATATGCTGAGTAAGACTCAGTTCTTTGTGTTAGCAAACTTATTTATAGACGATGTACTTATTATTTTAATTAATTATCCATTAAAGATTATACTATCCAATGAAATCTGGGTGCAAAACATAGTTGTTTCTATGAAACTGTCAATGGAAGAAAGAGAAGACGATTTTGACCCTCTCGTTAATAAAGAATCTTCCAGCATGTGTGCTCAGTGTGACAATGTTGAACTGTAAGAATGTCCTAGAATATAATCTATCACCCACCCCAATTATAGGGCTTATGCTTCAACTAGAAAAATCAGATCTCGATGTTCCCCTAAACTTTGAGTCTTGTTCAATCCCTAGCCCTGCCTCTTCCCTTTGCAGGGCCAAAAGCCAGGAGCTACACACAGAGACTGAGGACACGCTGGACAACCCAGCACATGCCTTCCCCATTTCCCCAAAAGTGTTACTCCCTTTTGATCCCTATGGTGAATGACAGTGCCCACCCTGAGGAAGAGGACAAAATCGGCACAAAACTTTTGACTCCATTCAGAATTTTGCTTGGGGAAAATTCAGACTATAACCCTGGGGAGCAGAATCTCAAGTGTTGGTGCCTCTTTGTGCGCCAGTGTCCCTGTCTGAGGACCTGCATGACAGCCTGGAGTACAGGAGATGAAGGTCCCAAGGAGACCTAGTTCTCCACTCTGACCTCATCCATAAGAAGGAAGAGCCTGCCAAAGACTCCTCACGCCCAGTGTGTGGGTGAGGGAGAAAGGAAGATGGGATGTCTGCTTTCAGGGTCATGGCCTTACATAACCTCGCAGAAGCTCCCAGACTCTGGCTTCATGACGAAACTCAGAGACTGAGATGTAGACCAGCTTCAGGGCTGGGCCCACATCAAAGGGGCCACAGTGTGTAGTGACCTCCCTCATAACCGGGAAAAGAGTGTCATCAGGAATCAACAGGTTACAACGTCTATGACAAAGGGAGCTCAGACAAGGAGTGGAATGACTATGAACAGGCACCCCCAATGAGGGACCCTAGAACCAGAGGGAGCTCTGCCATTTGTCCTGTGGGCTCCACAAGAAACAAACTGCCCCTTATACCCCTCCACTGTGAGGAGGCTGTGGAGGCTGAGGTGCTCCACATGGCTGGTGTAGACATCTGCACACTGGAAGTCATTTCCAGGACCACAAGGATCTGGAAAATCCAGTCCTCCTTCCTAATAAGAGCGATGGACACAATGCTGGCTGTCAGCATCCCGTGCACAGGACAATGTGTTTGAGAGGTGTGCATGTTACCCAGGCTTGGCCAATCAGAATCTTTCCTAAAGTTGTTAAAACTCTGGTAGACATTCTAGAAACATATATTAACAGAGACAGACAAACAGACACACACACACACACACAGCAAGAGAGAGAGATGAGATAAGATATGAAGTGATAAGGAAGAGAAATGCAGAAAAATAGATGCAAAAAGAAACACGGAGATAGAAAAAATGCAGATAAACAGTGACCATGGATTAGAAAAATAGAAAGGCAACAATGTAGTGAAAGACACAACAAGGGGGCAGAGACAAAGATGCAGAGAGACACGCAGAAAGAACTATACAGGGACAAAGAGACACAGAAAGAGAGGCAGATTCACAGATAGAGATATAACAGAAAGAGAGGTGAAGATCTCATTGTGTATCTGGAACTAGTCACTTCTGAAATCAACTTGACTCTAGGCTTCCTTTGCACCATGAACAAAATATATTTGGGTTTCTATCATTTAGAATCAAAAATAATACTTTTATTGCTGGTTATGCTTTCTTAAAAGTAAAAATTATTCTTGATTGATGTGACTTGCCAGAATGTTTGAAACACCAGTGACCAAGGGTCACTATATCTGCCCCCAAACAATTCCACCATGTTTACTTATATAGCACTCACCAAACCAGAAGAGAGGCTGGGATATTCTCAGGCCACTGCACTGAACATCAATATGAAAGAACCATGAATGATGCAACAACTGAGTTGATTTTCTACCTCCTCTGCCCACCATGACTTTGCACCCCAAATTCTTTCAGTGTCTTTTCAAGGTACAACCCTCCTTCTGGGCACAGGTTGGCTGGGTCACCTCAAGGTATGTTCCTTCATTCTGCAGTGATTTCCTGCCTCTGCTCAATTAAGGAAGTTCAGAATACAGATAACTCAGGATCATGTTTAATTATGTAAAAAAGCTCTAAAGTCAGGTAATGGTTTTCATGTGCTTCTCTTGAGCAGTCTGAGGAGAGAATAGAAACAGAAACCCCTTGGGGCCTGAGTAGATGCAGCTGGCCGTGCACAGGCAGAGGCTGTGGGTCAGTGCAGGAAGTAGGGTCACAGCCATCCGCCTCAAGGTGGGGATGAAAGGAGATGACCTGGTGGCTGCGTGACAGCCACTGTAGGACTCTGATCTCAGGGGGACAGGCTGACACAGACAGCTGGGAATTCTGGGCAGGGACAAGCAGGCGTTACAGAAAAGTGATAACCAATCCCAGTTAAAATAGTCTCAGGAGTCAGTGCAGGAGCCCTGAAGAAGAGAGAAGAGGGATGATCAGCACAGGGTACGCTGGTGGGCCTGCCATCTTCCCCACCCCTCAGGGGCCTCCTGCAGCTTCAGACAGACAAAGCTGAGGTCCAGAGTGTATTGTCATCACCTCCCCCAAGATCTGTGCAAAGGTGAAATCAGCTCATGAAGACACAGAACTTCAGCTTGATGCAGATGTGTGGGAGGTGGGGGAACAGCTGTTACTCTTCTGGTGAATATGAAGGGTTCAATCTTTTTAGGAAATTGGATGATACCTCATCCCTACCACTAGCAGCCTCTTTCAGTCACTGGAAAATGCCTACAGGCAGTAGCCACCATCATGTGGCACAAAGTGGGCATCATCCTAGTGTCTAACATTTAAGCCGTGGTTCTGGCTCCACATTTAACAGGAAGATACCACCAAAGTTAAGGCTTGGTTCTGGGGAACAACCTCTGGAGATTCCTAGAAACTGGCAAACTTCACCCCTAAGTCTTGATCCTCATAGCAGCAAATATACCATGAACAGAGACCACTACTGTCAGGTACACTCAGCTCATGCTCTTCCCTCTTACACCTGTGCCCTCCCCACACTGGATCACGGCTGAAATATTACCTGCTGGTGGAGGCCCTTGAGGTCTTACAAAAGGAAGTTATGCAGAGAAAGGTCTCATTACATGAACAGCCACTCTCTCACCCCAAAGGAAAATGACACATGTGACTTAATTAGAGTTATATTCTCTTCCCATTCATGTTCTTCAAGTCCTTAAGCACCCTAATTTAAAATCCCCTAAAATAAAGGAAATTGTCACTAGAAGGCAAGGAGGCCGAGGCTCTGACCCTCTTAATGGAGGAAGTTTTTGGAAAGGAGCCAGTGAGACAATGATGAATGGTAAGGATGCCCTGGAATAAGCTCTATCAGTCAGCTCTGTGACAGGGCTACCCTTCAGCTAGTAAAATCAGATTCCAATGCCTCCTCCAACCTTGTCCTGTCTCCTTCCACTTCCAGCTCAGCTTTCTTCCTCTCAGGGTCAGGAGGAAAGAGCTACATCTAGAGACAGGACCTCTCTGAACAGAGGGTCTGGGTCACAGGCCATCTTCCCCTTTTCCCCTGGGGTTCCTCACCTTTCTGACTCCTGTGATGGATGATAAGGCCCAGCCCGAGGAAGATCAGCCCCAGCACGAAGCCTCCAATGCCACTCAGCATCTTGCTCTGGGCAGATTCAGATTGAGCCCCTGAGAAGCAGAGCCTGAGTGTCAGTGTTTGTCCCCATACCCCATAGTTTCCCTGATGAGGAGCTGAAGTCCAGTCTGAGATGCAGGAGGTGAAGGCATCAAAGGAACCTAGTTCTCCATTCAGACCACCCCTAAGGGAGGGAAAGGCCAGCCAATAGGTCCTTGGATACAGTGAGTAGGTGACAGAGTGGGGAAGCAGATCTCCACTCCTCAGGAACTCATCCATAAACTTAGACCCTAAGATCCCAGTCACCAGCCCTAATAATCAGTTCCTCAGAGCAATCAGGACTGGGATCCAGAGCAACAGTATGTAGAGTAATTTCCCTAGCATCTGGAAAGGTGATGAGATCAGGATTCTTCTGATGCACTCGCCATGGAACTAGAGGTGCTCTAGTCTCCTGTGATTCCCAGCTCAGCAGTGACATCAGGGATAAGAGATGGGAAGGGATGGGTCAGAAGGAGCTCTGTCCTTTGTCTTGTGGGGCCCACAGTAACAGAAACTCAATATCCCCTTACGCCACTCCACGGTGATGGGGCTCTGGAGGCTGGGGTGCTCCACGTGGCAGGTGTAGACGTCTCCACGCTGGGGAGTCATTTCCAGCATCACCAGGATCTGGAAGGTCCAGTCACCATTCCTAATAAGGGGGGTGGACACAACGCCAGCTGTCTCCTCCTGGTCATTCCGAAACCACCGGACTTTGATCTGGGCTGGATAGAAATCTGTCACCGAGCAGACCAGCAGGTTGTGGTGGTTGAGGGCCTCTGTCCTGGATGGGGAGATGGTCACTGTGGGCTCCACTGAGGGCAGTAACAGACAGGGAAAGATATAGGAGTGAGATGTGAGACCACACAGCATGCCTGCTGTGAGGAAGGTCCCTCCTTGGAACCAGAGTGGAAAGATACTTGGAGTCCAAGTCTTGGATTAAGGTTCCTTCAACAAATATAAATATAACAATCACTGAGAATCCAAAGACAAACAACATACCATGGTCCCTGCCTTTATAAAATGTGCAACCTAGTAACAGACAGCAAAAAACAAAAAGAATGTTATTTCAAAAGTTTGTAATATTTGAAAAAAATTTAGGCAGGCCTTGAAAACAAATAACACTGATCAAACATCATGTTTGCCCGTAACTCGATTCCTTTATCTTCTCAGATTGCTGCTCATAGTAAAAATACTACACCCCTTTACACATCTCATCCTTTACCTTTCAGGCCACTTTATTGCATTTCCTTTATTCTCTTAGTGTGAAACTATAGTAAATATTTAATGTATGCTTTCTTTATTTAGTAATATGTTCTCTCATTTTCTTTTTTCCTTAATTTCTTTTTATCACACAAGTGAGTTTAATTACAGCTGTCTACCCTACTCCATCCCCTTGCTATTGAGAATTACTTTCTTCTTCTGAAATCAGGCATTATTATGTATGTTCTCCATAGAAAATATTCTGAGATCTGTGCAGTGGTCGGTCTGGGTTAATGATCCTGTAATGTGAACACATAAATATAGCTGGGATTTGCTGAGGTCACCAGGTGGCACCCCAATTAAATGGCACTCATGAGCCATCATCTGGAAGAAATCACGGTTTCTGCTTGGACTTGAACTTTTCTTTAGGTTCTCCTTCCTGGAGTCCAACAGAAATAACAGTCAGCTATGTGGCCTTATAAGATTTGTTCATCTTAAACAGATTGGGAGTAAAAATAGAGGGCATAAATTTATGAGAAAAGATGATAAAATAAATTTTATGGAAATGGAACTGAAATAGCAAAAACATAAGTATTTGCTGGCATTAGGATGTGAATCAAAAGAAGGCAAGGGAGTATTAAGTAAACTAAAGGTTTTGCAAACCTGCATAGATAACACTGGGGTCAGACTAGGGATTGATTAATCATGAATTTTCAATGCCTTGAAAGTATCATTTTGTCCCATTAACATGGAAAACACACAGGAATAGACTCATTGCTGCTTCTGGTCAAAACTGGCTTTAACGAGGCTTTACGTCCCTTAGACTCTATGGATGTGTAGTGAAGAACACAAAGAATGTTGTGTACTTTGGGAGGCTTAAGGTCTTGGTGAGCAATTATGGGCTGATTACTTAAAGTGTTTATCATGTACCAATATTAGCCTACAGTGACCATCTCCCCATCCATGACCAATAAAGTGTTTATCATGTACCAATATATAAAGTGGTGATGCTAATCTCTGATGCACAAGTAACTGTGAGATTAAATGACGTAACATAGATGGTATTTGATAAGGCAACTGTCTAGAAATAAATGCTCACTAAATGGGTAAAATTGACTTTCAGAATGTTTATTCCTGAAGTGGATAGTCATGGGGGGAGGGGAGAACCTAGGCCAAAAGCAACCCGAAACTATTTTTATCCAATAATTTAATGGCTTCAATCTATTTATTCCAAAACTTTTGCTCTTTGCATTGTGCCATTTGTTCAGCTTTTCTAAGAAATTAAAAGTGCCGGCCGGGCACTGTGGCTCACACCTGTAATCCCAGCACTTTGGGAGGCCGAGGCGGGCGGATCATGAGGTCAGGAGATCCAGACCATCCTGGCTAACACGGTGAAACCCCGCCTCTACTAAAAATACAAAAAAATTAGCCGGGCGTGGTGGCACGCGCCTGTAATCCCACCTACTCAGGAGGCTGAGGCAGGAGAATGGCGTGAACCCGGGAGGCGGAGCTTGCAGTGAGCCGAGATCGCGCCACTGCACTCCGGCCTGGGCGACAGAGTGAGAATCCGTCTCAAAAAAAAAAAAAAAAGAAAAGAAAAGAAATTTAAACTGCCTTACAATATCTTTCAAGCGTTGTTTTTATTTTTAGCAAAAACTTTTTTCCTCAGATTTTGTATTCACAAACTCTATTAAGATCCAAGTCAATAAGAGTTTACTTTAAAGCATTAAGCAAAATTATAGAAAATAATTAATAAAGTCCATTTTTAAGGCTCTGTTTACCTCTTTTTTTTTCTTGAGCCTAAGTGGATGGGCAGCTGAGTACATTTATTCATTAATTTAACAGAAGATCATTGAGCTCACACCACATACCAGTCAATGTGTCAGGTACTAGGCATGCAATGATTAAAACACCCTCACCTCAAAGATCTCTGCCATGAATGAGAGCCATTTAAGAAAACAGAATTACGATGAATAATGATTTGAAGCCAAAAGTTAAAATATCTTATTTCACAACTGTAATTGCTGAATGTCCTGCGCGCAGTTGTGGAACAGCCCTAACTCCACCAGGCTAAGCCTGAAGCTTCCTGCTGCAAGAGCTGTGCACGTGGGCCTTGCTGGGTGGGGCAGTGCTAGTGGGGCGGGCGGGCGGGCAGGGGAAGAGGGCGGGCATTCTGAGCAGAGAGAGCTGCTTAGCAAAGGTAAGGCAAAAGGAGGCAAATGCATAAGGCACGAGGCAAGAACATGCAGAGCAGAGGACAAGGCCGACGAACGGGTAGGCTGGGGCGACACTAGGCAGCCTGGCCAACTCTGCCTGTCCCCCTGCTCTGCCCTAGGTCCCCGCACCTCCGATGCACCTGCCCCCACCACTCTCGCCGCTGCCTCCTGTCCTCTGGGGTGGAACAAACGGGGCTCAGGTTCCAGAGGCCACGACCCTTCGCCCCTCCTGGCGCAGAGACTTGGGGCCAAGGGTGGGCCTCGCAGAGGGGCGACGCCGCTCACCTCGCCGCTGCAAGGTCGTGCGGAGCTCCAACTGGTAGTTGTGTCTGCACACCCTGTCCACCGCCGCCCGTTTCCTCTCCAGGATGTCCTTCTGGCTGTTCCAGTACTCGGCGGCAGGCAGCCCCAGCAGCGTCACCGCCCGGAACTCCCCCACGTCGCTGTCGAAGCGCACGATCTCTTCTCGGTTATAGATGCTTCTGCTCACAAGACGCACGCGCTCTGTCCCGTTGGTGAAGTAGCACATGCCCTTAAACTGGTACACGAAATCCTCTGCGAGGAATCACCGGCCAGTCAGTGCGGCCCAGCCCGTCCGCCCCCGCAGCCGCCACCCTGACCCGGCCCGGAGCTGTGGAACAGCCCGCGCGACCACAAGTTCCCGCCGGCCCGTGCCTCGCGCTGCAGACCTGGGATCCTCCCGGCGGCTCTGCCCAGCCCTGCCCGCCCTCTCGGGGGTCTTCGGGAATCCGCCTTCCTACAGGCAGGAAAGGGAGGAAAGCCCTGTCCCTGTCTCGGCCTGTGAACCAAGTGAAGAGGCAGTCGGGCTGATTTTACATGGACCTCTGCACTTAGAGGGATCAGGGCGTTCTCGCATGAAATCTCATTTTCCATGGAGCTCCTGGGTACCTCAGAGATAAAGTTATCCACATAAACCTGACAGTTCAAGGGAATGACGAGACAGGTCCAGGAATTAAACCTGTCCTCTTCCGATACGCCTATTCTCTTGGTCCCTGGGTAAAATACCTTCCTTCCCATGCCTGGATTTACCCTCCCAAGTGCCCTGTGAGGTTCACTCACGTCTGTGTTAGAAAGAAGGGAGTCCTAGATCTCTGAGTCCTAGAAAGAAACATTTATTCACCGAAAGAGCACAAGCTTTTGAATTTGATAAACTAGATTCCCATTAAACTGTGGCAGTCACCAGCCCGGGCAGTTTATGTAACAGAATATCCATATCACAAGTATAATTGTGTAAAAGAAAATCATGATATCTACACACAGGATGTTAGAAGGAGTGAGAGAGAATTTATGTAAAGTATTGTTCTGTGTCTGAAATGAGTGGTTTCACAGTATGTGTTATTTCCCTTCTTTACATCCTCCTTTCTACTAAATTTAGTCCATCATCAACTCGGGTATCTGAATCCCACTCAGGTCACCATTTGCCCATAAATCAGTGAAACCTGAAGGCTCTCTTTCTGTGGTCAGCCAGTCAGCTTCCCTCAGTACCAAGATTTTGCCTCCACAAACGCTCCACTGGGTCAGGAATACAGACAACTTTTCCCCAAATACGGAGACTACAGACACCATTGCTGCCTTGCATTTCCCAATGCAGGAAATCATAATATTTAGTCCAGGCAAGTCTTGGGACACGCCTAAATGGCAAATCCTGCTGTGTCTTTGGAGAAATTCATATCTTCAAAAATAACCCCATGCTCACTTTGTCCTATCACTGGTAGTAAATGAACACTTTGTCTCCTCTTTTCTCTCCTCTCTCCTCCTCTTCCAGGCTTAAGCCTGTAGGATGGGATTGGATTGTCCTCACTTCATCATTAAAAGATAAATGGAAATGCAACATAGCTCTCTTTCCCAAAACAGAGGAAATGTTGATAAAAGATTGTGTCCGAGATTATGGAGATCACCATCCCCGTACCCCAGCCCAAGGAGAGCCTGTTCCCAGAGTAGCGGCTCTGGAGAGCAGCTGCCCTGCACTTACCGGGAGAGTCTCTGCCCTCAGCCACTGGGGTGCTCAGCATCGACAGCATCAAGGTCACAGTTGCTGCCCGAAGGCCTCCGGGGATCCGCAAAGCCTTTTTCCAAGACATAATTGAGACGAAGGGAAAAGTGGTAGTCAACACAGCTCGGACCTGATGGATCTGATGTACCTGGCAGAAAGAATAAAAATCTGTGGATGTTTCCATGCGTGGTAGGATTGGATGGTCCCTTGGAAAGGAACCAATCAGCACTGGAGCTGAAGGACCTCATCTGTCTCTGGGCAGATTTTTTTTTTGTGAAGGTTCTGAATCCAGTGCCTGGCACTGTGACGTCTTTCAATTGCACTGGATGAACATTTGAGGTGAAAATTTCCTCTCAATTATGGAAGAGCTGAAGATTGAATGCCTAAGGGATTTTAAGAAGCCAAAGAAAAATGCGATTCAACAGTAAACATCTTTGTAATATTGATTAAAAACCAGTTGTTCTTATACTTGGGATTCTTTCAATAGGGCAAATTAAGTGGGGATCATATTTCAGGGGAGAGAAAATTGCTGTCATAGACATTTTTACTGCTGTTGTCTTAGACACACCCTGAGGAGCCTTAAGTTTTGGTGAAAAGAGCAAAGTTCTTAGAAGGAAATAATGGTGAGTTGCAGTTCCACCACTAATGTGCTTTATGAGAGTCAACAAATTACTGAATTTATTTTTGCCCCAGGCTTCTCTTTGTAAAATGTGGATCATGTTTCATGCATTTTACATCTAGATCTTCACATATACAAATTTAAGATTAATATGACTTGTTTAATGTTACAAAAGGATCCTCAACTGTTATGTGTAACTATCAGGTTAATATGTGGAACAAGAAAACAAGCCAAAAAAAATTGACACCCATCCCTGCTGGTAAATGATTCTTCATTACGCAAGAATATATTGTATTTATACTCTTCGAGTGAAAGTATTTGAAAAGTTAATTAAGTTGACATTCCTTTTCTAAGTTCTTCAGCTGTTTAAATCCTCTCTGAACCATGAAATAGGTGCATCTGATATCAGCAAAGGCACAATACACAAACCTTTACAGTATTCAGATATAGTCATGTCTAGATTTGAGGAGAGAGAGCAAAAGCTGTGGAGAAGCATTTCCTAGGTCCTGAATAGTATTAATGATGGAGAAAATGTTTAGAGTCACAGATTGTACTGTGCCAGCCCTAAACATCAAATCCCAAATGGCAGAGGTATCAATGTGGTTTTTTTCAATTCTATGTATTTTTTATTTAACAGTTCCTCATGGACATATCTACATCAATGTGTTTTTATAAATAAGCATAACTTATCAAGCTCCTCTTGGCAGTGACTAGGGACAGTACTAATGGTTATAAAGCAATTAGAACAATGCCTGGCAAACATTACTTCTGACCCCAACCAAGACAATAAATATCTCCACCTCTCTTCTTCTCTCCCTTTCTCTCTTTCTTTTCCCAAAATTTTAGGTTCTGCTTTTAAAGTAGAGAATACAATCTAAAATCAGAATATAAGTTTACCAGGTAAAAAGAAGCAGGGAAGAGGCAACAGCAAGAGGTTTGCAATAGTGGCACATGAAAGCGTTGAGCCACTCCAATATTCTGTATTATTCACAGCATAATTCTAGAGCACCTGAGACTGGGAAAGTTGCCACTGGGCGTCCAGCAGCAGTGGTTTACTCAGGATCAGGGTAAACCCAGCCTAAGGATGGTCTCCACTGCTGTGATGGACACATAAAGGAGGAACCATACTCACACCTGGAATGGAGTTGGGGCAAGGAAGAGTAGGCAGAGAGACCTGAAGCTGCCCTCAATGTCCTTCCTCAGCCCCCACCTCAGTGTCCCTCAGAATAGAGGCCTCTAATCCATCCTTTCCTTCCTGTCTAAGGGAAAAACTTCCCACAGGTTTATTCTGAGGCAACTGCTACGCCAGACCTGGGGATTCCTCAGTCTCACAGGCCTCTTCGCACAGACTTTTCAGCTAGCAACAAGTGTCACTTTAGAGCCTTTTTCTGATTGGCTAAAACCTCACTGGAAAGGTTTTGCTTTGGGCTTCTGCCAGTTGTGTCTGCCTGGCCCAGCCTTCTGTACAGTTGACTACCCTGGCCCTATCCCTGCTGCATTATTCAGGGCATTCAGGCAGAAGAAGGCCAGAGAAGAAAGAAACTAGGTCAAGCATCCTTATTCCGAGTGTCTCACCTGAATCGCCTGCCCAGCCTCTGTGGAGGCAGAGCAATTAGAGCATTTACCCCATGTGGGTAAATGGGCTAAAAAGCCACTGCCATTAGTAGGGACGGTCAGGGTTACAGTAGGCAGACTCAATTCAAGGGACATCCTCTCTTCCTTCAGGTTGGAAGGAAAAGTTGTGGACTCCTTCTTTGTGAAAATCAAGGGAGAAATCATCTTCTCTGGTCAACATCTCTTGGAATCTGTGCTTGGTCAGTGGAATTGAATGTGAACATAGGAGCCACCCTGTCACCAGAAGGACCATCCAGGACCCTACCCTGCATTTACTTCAGGAATCAAGAATCACTGTATATTCTGAAAGGTTCTGTGGCTTCCTTAATGCCAATGGTAATATAACTAGAAATGCTGCCCCCAGAATATTGTTTTCCTTTAATTAAAATTTATCAAGCAATTATCCTTAAATTTTTAAAAATCTTTGTGAAGCTTCTTACATATTTCTCTTATATCAACTTCTAGGTAACCAGCTATATATAAGAATTTTTCATGGCACATATAAACTAGGTCCTTTCTCTTGGCACAAAGTTATCTCTTTAAAATCTCAGTCTAGAGAATCTGAAGAAAGAGCCAAATCAGTAGCATTCAGGGGCTGTGTTCAGACAGTGCCTCCCACAAGCAAGTGGCCATGGTGAAACTCCAGGGTGGAAGTCATGTCAGAATTGGAGGATGATGGAGCGTGAAGGAGTAGGAGTATGGGAAAAGCTTTAGCAGGAAGGTAGAAAATCAGGTGATACAAAGCATTTGGAACATTTGAGGGCAAATGAGGAACGTGGGTGATCTTGGCACAGAAGCCCAGACCTCACCAGTCCCACGGCTCCTCATGCTCTATGAAAATAGCCCTTGAAGACCGAAGAAGACTGGGACAAAAACCCAAGCTGCCTGCTGTGGGTATGCTGTACAATGAAGCTTTGTTTCCTGATCTATCTTTTCAGGTTCCTTTTTCCTGTCAGTCTCCTCATCCACGCATTGCCTCAGTTGGACCACTGGTGATTAAACCTCCCAGAGCTAGCCTACACATGTCACTCTTTCCAACACACCTCTGCCTGTCTCTACTTCTGGTTCCCTAGTGATGCCTGGGATATTTCCAGAGACAGCTCTTCCCCCAGCCTCTAGATTAGTAGTCACCATGCTCCTTCATTCCCAGAAAAAACTTAAATATTTCTCTGTGAGATCTTTATAATGTCTCCTTTTTCTGTAAGTTCTTACCAGTAAAGAGAGGCCCTAATGTTCAGCCACATAAAAATATATATAGTTCTTGAGTACTTAAATCCATATCCAAGTACTCAAGAACTCATGTGTCCAAGAACTCAGCTCAAGGCCATGGTTCATGCAAAACAGCAACATCAGCAGTAATATTTTGGGGAGAGTACTCTTATATCATCAAATAGGAAAACTTAAGATATTCCATTTAAACCACAATGACATATCACCTCACATCAGTCAGAATGGCTATTATCAAAAAGATAAAAGATAACAAGTGTTAAGGATGTAGACAAAAGGAAACATTTGTACACTGTTGGTGGGGATGCAGATTAGTACAACCATTATGGAAAACAGTATGGAAGTTCCTCAAAAAGTTAAAAATAGAACTATCATATGATGTAGTAATCCCATTTGCAGGATGTAGACAAAGTATTTAAAATTAGCATGTTGAAAATATACCTATACTCCTATGTTCCTTGCAGCATTATTCACAATAGTCAAGGTATAGAATCAACCTGTGTCATTCAGTGGATGAAAAGATAAAGAAAATGTGGTATATATACACAATTAAATCCTATTCAGGCTTTAAAAAGAAGGAAATCCTGTTGTAAGTCAAAAAGTGACTGAGGTAGGTCTCAATCAATTAAAGGTTTATTTTGCCAAGGTTGAGGAATACACCTGGGAAAAACACAAAACACAGGAGCATCTGTGATCCATGCTTTTGCCAAAGAGGGTTTTGAGAACTTCAGTATTTAAAAGAGAAAGAGCAAGCAGGAGGGGAAGGAGAAAAAAAAGGAGGAAGAGTAGGCCATGATACAAGTGGTTACATTCCTGAGTCTTTGATTAGCTTAAGTAAATCTACATTTTACCTGTGAAAAGAGAGTAGAAGAAAAAGTTAATTATAAATTATCTTATGCTCAGTAAATCTACATTTTACATAAAATTAAGGGAACTTGAAAAGGGGGAAGGAGTAGAGGAAACGAGGTTATGACACGGGGTTGTGAAATTACCGTTATCTGTTTGGGAACAAAAGGAAGACAGTATTGGTGCCTCAGTCCTCAAGATTAACTTTCCCTTGGCATAATGAGTTTGGGGTCCCAAGATTCTATTTTTCTTTCACACTGTTATTTTTGACAACATGCATGAACCTAGAGGACATTAAGCTAAGTGAAATAAGCCAGACATGGAAAGACAAGTAATGCATGATCTTACTTATATGAGGAATCTAAAAAATCCCATTTTTGAATTGAATTGTTTATTTTATTTTATTTTGTTTTATGTTCTAGCGTACATGTGTAGGACATGCAGGTTTGTTACATGGGTAAACGTGTGGCATGGCGGTTTGCTGCAGCTATCAACCCATCACCTAGGTATTAAGCCCAGCATGCATGAGCTATTTATCCTGATGCTGTCCCTGCCCCTACCCCTCACAGGCCCCAGTGTGTGTTGTTCCCCTCCCTGTGTCCATGTGTTCTCATTGTTCAGCTCCCAATTATTAGTGAGAACATGCAGTATTTGGTTTTCTGTTCCTTCATTATTTTGCTGAGGACAATGGCTTCCAGCTCCATCCATGTCCCTGCAAAAGACATAATCTCATTCCTTTTTATGGCTGCATAGTATTCCATGGTGTGTATGAACCATATTTTCTTTATCCAGCCTATCACTGATGGACATTTGGGTTGGTTCCATGCCTTTGGTATTGTGAATAATGCTTCAGTAAACATACACATGCATGTATCTTTATAATAGAATGATTTATATTCCTTTGGGTATATACCCAATGATATGGTTTGGCTGTGTCCCCACCCAAATCTCAACTTGAATTGTATCTCCCAGAATTCCCACATGTTGTGGGAGGGACCCAGGGGGAGGTAATTCGATCATGGGAGCCAGTCTTTCCCATGCTATTCTCATAATAGTGAATAAGCCTCACAATATCTGATGGGTTTATCAGGGGTTTCTGCTTTTGCTTCTTCCTCATTTTCTCTTGCCGCAGCCATGTAAAAAGTGCCTTTCACCTCCCACAATGATTCTGAGGCCTCCCCAGTCATGTGGAACTGTAAGTCCAATTAAACCTCTTATTCTTCCCAGTCTCCAGTATGTCTTTATCAGCAGTGTGAAAACGAACTCATATAGTAAATTGGTTCCAGGAGTGGGGTGTTATTGAAAAGATACCTAAAAATGTGGAAGCAACTTTGGACTGGGTAACAGACAGAGGTTGGAGCAGTTTGGAGGGCTCCAAAGAAGACAGGAAAATGTGGGAAAGTTTGGAACCTCCTAGAAATTTGTTGAATAGCTTTGACAAAAATGCTGATAGTGATATGAACAATAAGGTCCAGGCCAAGGTGGTCTCAGATGGAGATAAGAAACTTGTTGGGAACTGGAGCAAAGGTGACTCTTGCTATGTTTCAGCAAACAGACTGGAGGCATTTTGCCCTTGCCCTAGAGATTCGTGGAACTTTGAACTTGAGAGAGATGATTTAGGGTATCTGGCAGAAGAAATTTCTAAGCAGCAAAACATTCAAGAGGTGACTTGGGTACTGTTAAAAGCATTCCGTTTTAAAAGGGAAACAGAGCATAACAGTTCAGAAAAACTGCAGTCTGGTGATGCAGTAGAAAAGAAAAACCCATTTTTTAGGAAAAATTCAAGCCAGCTGCAGAAATCTGCATAAGTAGCAAGGAGCCTAGTATTAATCCCCAAGACCATGGGAAAATGTCTCCAGGCCATGTCAGAGACCTTCACAGCAGCCCCTCCCATCACGGAACCAGAGGCCCAGGAGGAAAAAGTGGTTTTGTGGACCAGGCCCAGCGTCCCCTTGCTGTGTGCAGCCTAGGGACTTGGTGCCCTGTGTTCCAGCTCCTCCAGCCATGGCTGAAAGAGGCCAATGTACAGCTCAGGCTGTGGCTTCAGAGAGTGGAAGCCCCAAGCCTTGGCAGCCTCCATGTGGTGTTGAGCCTGCGGGTGCACAGAAGTCAAGAATTGAGGTTTGGAAACCTCCACCTAGATTTCAGGAGATGTAGGGAAACGCCCAAATGCCCAGGCAAAAGTTTGCTTCAGGAACAGGGACCTCATGGAGAACCTCTGATAGGGCAGTGTGGAAGGGAAATGTGGGGTCATAGCCCCCAAATAAAGTCCCTACTGAGACACTGCCTAGTCGAGCTGTGAGAAGAGGGCCACCATCCTCCAGACCCCAGAATGGTAGATCCACTGACAGCTTGCACTGTGGGCCTGGAAAAGCCACAGACACTCAAAGCCAGCCCTTGAAAGCAGTCAGGAGAGAGGCTGTACCCTGCACAGCCACAGAGGCAGAGCTGCCCAAGACCATGGGAACACACCTCCTGTATTGGCGTGATCTAGATGTGAGACCTGGAGTCAAAGGAGATCATTTTGGAGCTTTAAAATTGACTGCAGCTGGGTGTGGTGGCTCATGCCTGTAATCCCAGCACTTTGAAAGACCAAGGTGGGCGGACCACGAGGTCAGGAGATTGAGACCATCCTGGCTAACACAGTGAAACCCTGTCTCTACTAAAAATACAAAAAAGTTAGCCAGGCATGGTGGCAGGCACCTGCAGTCCTAGCTACTTGGAAGGCTGAGGCAGGAGAATGGCGTGAACCCAGGAGGCAGAGCTTGCAGTGAGCAGAGATGGCGCCACTGCACTCCAGCCTGGACGACAGAGCGAGATTCTGTCTCAAAAAATAAATAAATAAAAATAAAAATAAATAAAATAATAAAATAAAAAAATTTGACTGCCCTGCTGGATTTCAGACTTGTGTGTGCCTTGTAACCCCTTTGTTCTGGCCAATTTCTCCTATTTGGAATGGCTGTATTTACCCAATACCTGTACCTCCATTGTATCTAAAAAGTAACTAGCTTGCTTTTGATTTTACAGGCTCATAGGTGGAAGGGACTTGCCTTGTCTCAGATGAGACTTTGGACTATGGACTTTTGGGTTAATGCTGAAATGAGTTAAGACTTTGGGGAACTGTTGGGAAGGCATGATTGGTTTTGAAATGTGAGGAAATGAGATTTGGAGTGGCCCAGGGGAAGAACAGTATGGTTTGTCTGTGTCCCCACCCAAATCTCAACTTGAATTATATCTCCCAGAAATCCCACGTGTTGTAGGAGGGACCCAATGGGAGGTAACTGAATCATGGGAGCCAGTCTTTCCCTTGCTATTCTTATGATAGTGGATAAGTCGCACGAGATCTGATGGGTTTATCAGGGGTTTCTGCTTTTGCTTCTTCCTCATTTTCTCCTGCCACTGCCATGTAAGAAGTGCCTTTCGCCTCCCGCCATGATTCTGAGGCCTCCCCAGTCATGTGGAACTGTAAGTCCAATGACACCTCTTTTTCTTCCCAGTCTCGGGTATGTCTTTATCAGCAGCATGAAAACGAACTAATACACTCAGTAATAGAATAGTTGGGTCAAATGGTATTTCTGGTTCTAGGTCTGTGAAGAATTGCCACACTGTCTTCCACAATGGTTGAACTAATTTACATTCCCGCCAACAGTATAAAAGTGTTTCTTTTTTCTCTGAAGCCTTGACAGCATCTGTGGTTTCTTGAGTTTTTAGTAATCACCATACTGACTGGCATGAGATGGTATCTCATTGTGATTTTAATTTGCATTTCTCTAATGATCAGTGATGTTAGGCTTTTTTCATATGTTTGGGTGCTACATAAATGTCTTCTTTTGGAAGTGTCTGTTAATGTCCTTTGCCCACTTTTTAATGTTCTTTTTTTCTTGCAAATTTGTTTAAGTTCCTTGTAGACTCTGGATATTAGACCTTTGTAAGATGGATAGGTTACAAAATTTTTCTCACATTCTGTGGGTTGTCTGCTCACTCTGATAATAGTTTATTTTGCTGTAGAGAAGCTCTTCAGTTTAATTAGATCCCATTTGTCAGCATTTGCTTTTGTTGCAATTGCTTTTGATGTTCTTGTCATGAAGTCTTTGCCCATGTCTATGTCCTGAGTGGTGTTGCCTAGATTTTCTTCTAGGGTCTTTATAGTTTTGGGTTTTACATTTAAGTCTTTAATCCATCTTGAGTTAATTTTTGTATAAGGTGTAAGGAAGGGGTCCAGTTTCAACTTTATGCATATGGCTAGCCAGTTCTCCCAGCACCATTTATTAAATAGGGAATCCTTTCCCCATTGCTTGTTTTTATCAGGTTTTTTGAAGATCAGTTGGTTGTAGATGTGTGGTCTTATTTCTGAGTTCTGTGTTCTGTTCCACTGGTCTGTTTTTGTACCAGTACCATGCTGTTTTGGTTACTTTAGCCTTGTAGTGTAGTTTGAAGTCAGGTAGCATGATGTCTCCAACTTTGTTCTTTTTGCTTAGGATGATTGTCTTGGCTAATGGGCTTTTGGTTCCGTGTGAATTTTTAAATAGTTTTCTTCTAATTCTGTGAAGAATGTCAGTGGTAGTTTGACGGGAATAGCATTGAATCCACAAATTACTTTGGGCAGTATGGCCATTTTCATGATATTGATTTTTTGTATTCATGAGCATGGGATATTTGTCCATTTGTTTGTGTCCTCTCTGATTTCCTTGAGCAGTGGTTTGTAAATCTCTTTGAAGAGGGTTTTCCCTTTCCTTGTTGGCTGTATTCCTAGGCATTTACTCTTTGTAGCAATTGTGAATGGGAGTTCATTCATGATTTGGCTCTCTGCTTGTCTGTTGTTGGCGTATAGGAATGCTTGTGATTTCTGCACATTGATTTTGCATCCTGAGACTGCTGAAGTTCCTTATGAGCTTAAGAAGTTTTGGACTGAGACAATGGGATTTTCTAGGATCTAGGATCATGTCATCTGTAAAGAAAGACAATTTGACTTCTTCTCTTCCTATTTAAATATGCTTTATTTCTTTTTCTTGCCTGATTGTCCTGGCCAGAAATTCCAATACCATGTTGAATAGGAGTGGTGAGAGTGGGCATTGTTGTTTTGTGCATGTGTTTAAGGGGAATGCTTTTGGCTTTTGCCCATTCAGTATGATATTGTCTGTGGGCTTGTCATAAGTGACTCTTATTATTATGAGGTATGTTCCTTCAATACCTAGTTTATTGAGAGTTTTTAACATGAAGGGATGTTGAATTTTATTGAAGGCCTTTCCTGTGTCTATTGAGACAATCATGTGGTTTTTGTCTTTAGTTCTGTTTATTTAATGAATTATGTTTATTGATTTGCATATGTTGAAACAGCCTGGCATCCTGGTGATGAAGCCAACTTGATCGTGGTGGATAAACTTTTTGATATGCTGGTGGATTCGGCTTGCCATTATTTTATTGAGGATTTTTTTTTATTAGTGTCCATCAGAGATATTGGCCTGAAGTTTTCTTTTTTTGTTGTATCTGTGTCAGGTTTTGTTATCAGGATGATGCTGGCCTCATAAAATAAGTTAGGGAGGAGTTCCTCCTTTTCAATTATTTGGAATAGCTTCAGAAGAAATGGTACCAGCTCTTCTTTGTACCTCTGGTGGAATTCAGCTGTAAATCTGTCTGGTCCTGGGCTTTTATTTTTGTTGGTAGGCTATTTATTATGCCTCAATTCCAGAACTCGTTATTCGTCTATTGAGGGATTCAACTTCCTGGTTCAATCTTGGGAAGGTGTATGTGTCTAGGAATTTCTTTTAGATTTTTTTAGTTTATGTGCATAGAGGTGTTTATAGTATTCTCTGATGGTTGTTTGTACTTCCATGGGGTCAGTGGTGATATCCCCTTTATCATTTTTTATTGTGTCTATTTGATTTTTCTCTCTATTATTCTTTATTAGTCTAGCTGGCAGTCTGTCTATATTATTAATATTTTCAAAAGACCAGATTCTGGATTCGTTGATTTTTTGAAGAGTTTTTTGGTGTCTCTGTCTTCTTCAGTTCCAGTCTGATTTTGGTTATTTCTTGTCTTCTGCTAGCTTTGGGGTTTGTTTGTTCTTGGTTCTGTAGTTCTTCCAGTTGTGATGTTACGATGTCGACTTGAAATCTTTCTAGCTTTTTGATGTGTGCATTTAGTACTATAAATTTCCCACTTAACACTGCTTTAGCTGCATCCCAGAGATTCTGATACATTGTCTCTTTCTTCTCATTGGTTTCAAAGAACTTCCTGATTTCTGCATTAATTTCATTATTTACCCAGGAGTCATACAGGAGTAGGTTGTTCAATTTCCATGTAGTTGTGTGGTTTTGAATGAATTTCTTAATCCTGAGTTCTAATTTGATTTCACTATGGTTTGAGAGACTGTTTGTTATGATTTCGGTTCTTTTGCATTTGCTGAGGAGTGTTTTACTTCCAAATATGTGAACAATTTTAGAATAAGTGCCATGTGGCACCAAGAAGAATGTATATTCCGTTTTTTTGGGCGGAGAGTTCTGTAGATATCTCTCAGGTCCACTTGATCCAGTGCTGAGTTCAAGTCCTGAATATCTTTGTTTTTTTTTAATTTTATTATTATTATACTTTAAGTTTTAGGGTACATGTGCACAATGTGCAGGTTTGTTATGTATGTATACATGTGCCATGTTGGTGTGCTGCACCCATTAACTCGTCATTTAGCATTAGGTATATCTCCTAATGCTATCCCTCCCCTCTCCCCCCCACCCCACAACAGTCCCCGGTGTGTGATGTTCCCCTTCCTGTGTCCATGTGTTCTCATTGTTCAATTCCCACCTATGAATATCTTTGTTAATTTCCTGTCTCAATGATCTGTCTAATATTGATAGTGGGGTGTTAAAGTCTCCCACTATTATTGTGTGAGAATCTGAGTGTCTCTATAGGTCTCTAAGAATTTGTTTCATGAATCTGGGTGCTCTTGTGTTGGCGGATGTATATCTAGGTTAGTTAGCTCTTCTTGTTGAATTGAACCCTTTACCATTATATAATGCTCTTCTTTGTCTTTTATGATCTTTGTTGGTTTAAAGTCTGTTTTGTCAGTAACTAGGATTGCAACCCCTGCTTTTTTTTCTGCTGTCCATTTGCTTGGTAGATTTTCCTCCATTCCTTTATTTTGAATGTATGCGTGTCTTCGCACATGAGATGGGTCTCTTGCATACAACACACTGATGAGTCTTGACTCTTTATCCAGCTTGTCATTCTGTGTCTTTTAATTGGGGCATTTAGCCTATTTATATTTAAGGTTAATATTGTTATGTGTGAATTTGATCCTGTCATCATGATGCTAGCTGGTTGTTTTGCAGACTTGTTTATGTAGTTGCTTCATAGTGTCATTGGTCTGTGTACTTTAGTGTGTTTTTGTAGTGGCTGGTAATGGTTTTTCCTTTCCACATCCAGTGCTTCCTTCAGGAGCTCTTGCAAGGTAGATCTGGTGGTGACAAATTCCCTCAGCATTTGCTTGACTGAAAAGGATTGTATTTCTCCTTCGCTTATGAAGCTTAGTTTGGCCAGATATGAAATTCTAGATTGGAAATTATTTTCTTTAAGAATGTTGAATATTGGCCACCAATCTCCTCTGGCTTGTAGGGTGTCTGCTGAGAGGTCTGCTGTTACTCTTACGGTCTTCCCTTTGCAGGTGACCTGGCCTTTCACTCTGGCTACCCTTAACATTTTTTCCTTCATTTCGACCTTGGAGAATCTGATGATTATGTGTCTTGGGGTTGATCTTCTCATGGAGTATCTTACTTGGTTTCTCTGAATTTCCTGAATTTGAATATTGGCCTGTCTTGCTGGTGACATCCTGAAGTATGTTTCTCAACTTAGGTAATTTTCCCCGTCTCTTTCAGGCACCCCAATCAGTCATAGCTTCAGTCTCTTTTACATAATCTCATAGTTCTTGGAGGTTTTGTTCATTCCTTTTCATTCTTTTTTTCTGTAATATTGTCTGCCTGTCTTATTTTGGTAAGATGGTCTTTAAGTTCTGAGATTCTTTCTACTGCTTGGTCTATTTGGCTACTGATACTTGTGGGTGGATTGCAAAGTTCTTGTGTTGTGTTTTTCAGCTCCATCAACCTATTTATGTTCCTCTCTAAACTGGTTATTCTGGTTAACTGGTTAACAGCTCCTGTAATGTCTTATCATGGCTCTTAGCTTCTTTGCATTGGGTTGGAACATACTCCTTTTGCTCAGTGAAGTTTATTATTACCCACCTTCTGAAGTCTACCTCTGTCAAGTCATCCATCTCAGCCTCAGCCCAGTTCTGTGCCATTGCTGGAGAGGTGTTGTAATCATTTGGAGGAGAAGAGACGCTATGGATTTTTGTATTTTCAGCATTTGTTGTTGACTTTTTCGCATCTTCATGGGTTTATCTACCTTCAATCTTTGAAAATGCTAACCTTTGGTTGGGGGTTTTGTGGGGTCTTTTGCTGTTGTTGTTGTTATTGTCATTGTTGCTTTCTGATTATTTTTCTTTTAAAAGTTAGGACCCTCTTCTACAGAGTGGCTGTGGCTTGCCGGGGGTCCACTCCAGATCCAACTCACCTGGGTCCCTCCTGCACCTGGAGGTGTCACCAGTGGAGGCTGCAGAACAGCAAAGGTGGCTGCCTGCTCCTTCCTCTGGCAGCTCCATCCCAGGGCACTGACCTGATGCTGGTCAGAACTGTCCTGTATGAACTGTCCAGCAACCCCTGTTGGAAGGTCTCACCTAGTCAGGAGGCATGGGATCATGGGATCAAGGATCTGCTTAAGGAAGCACTCTGGCTGCCCATTGGTGGAGCAGGTGCACCGTGCTGGGGGGAATCCCCCTCCTCTGGATTGCCAGGCTCTTCAGAGCCAACAGGCAGGAAAGAGGAAGTTTTCTGAACTGTGGAGATTGTGGCCACCCCTCCCTCTAGGGGATGGACAGCCACAGTTTCCACAGTTTATGAGCAGAGTTCTGTCCATAAACCCCTAGCTGGAGTTGCTGAAATTCCTGCAGAGAGGCCCCACCAAGCGAAGAAGGATGGATCCGGATCCCACCTACAGAAGCAGTCTGGCCACGATCTGCCACAGCTGCTGTGCTGCACTGTGGGGAGTTCCTGCCAGTCCAAACCATTCAGTCTCCCCAGCAGTGGGACGGGAAAATGGCCAACTGGAGCCACAGCAACGGCAGCCACCCCTCCCCCTAGAAACTCAGTTGTTTTAATCAGTCCCCAACATGCTGCCACTGGCCACAATCCCAGCAGCCATTAAGAGTGTGCACAGTTCTGTGCTTGGGACCCAAGGCTCTGGTGGCATGGGCTCACAAGAACATCTCCTGATCAGGAGTACAGATCAGCTTGTACAGATGCATGAAAAAAGCATGGTTTCCCTGGTGGGGTAGCATAATCATTCACCATCTCCCTTGGCTTGGGGTGGGAGTTCCCCTTACCCCTTGTGACTCCTGGGTGGGCTGTTGCTCCACTCTGCTTTTCTTCACTCTCTGTGAGTTGTGCCAACTGCCTAGTCAATACCAATGAGAAAACCTGGATACCTCAGCAGAAGGTACAGTGTTCATTCGCTGTTTCCATTCTCCTCAGTGGGAGCCACAGACCAGAGCTACTTCTAATCAACATTCTTGGCCTCTCCCTTGTTTTTTTATTGTTGGGTTTTAGAATTTCTTTACAAATCCTGGATTTTTTTTAAGAGACAGTGTCTTTCTTTCTTGCCTACTTGCCTAGGCTGGTCTTGAACTCCTGGGTCTAAGTAATGCTCCTGCCTTAGCCTACCAAGTAGCTGGGATTACAGGTATGAGGCACCATGCCTGACCATATTTTGGATATTGATCTCTTATGAGATATACTATTTGTCAACATCTTCTTTCATTCTGTTGATTACCATGTTTACTCTATTGGCACTGTCCTTTCGTGCACAGAACTTTTAAAGTTTTTATGTCACATTTATTAAAGAGAAAGTTCAAGACATGATATAGAAGAGTAATAGGAACATGTTATGTACATATAGTTGCCATTCAACTAAATTAATTGATTTCTGTAATGTGCCATTTGGGGCAAAAACAATAACATTGTAGAACCTTTCCAAGAGATTAACTTTCTATTTTCAAAGACCAACAATTCCACCCAAGTAAATTACTGCAAAGGCATCCTGACTGGTCTCCTTGCCTCTACTTTACAATGTAGACATTGCTCATAAATCCAAGTTAATCTCTCTGAATGTTAGTTCCTTCAACTGCAAAATGAGAATATCTATTCCATGGAGTAATGCTGGGGATTAAATGAAATGGCAAATATAAAGCATCAAAAATAGTGTTGAACACATAGTAGATAATAATAATTATTTTTAAATATTTTAAATATATTTTTATATCAATAGTTTCTGGGGTACAAATGACTTTTTGTTACATGGATAAATTGTATAGTTGTGAAACCTGAGATTTTAGTGCACCTGTCACCCAAGTAGCATAAATTGTACTCAATATGTAGTTTTTTATCCTTCACCCCCATCCCATCCTCCCCTCTTCTGAGTCTCCAATGTCCATTTTACCACTCTGCATGCCTTTGTGTACCCATAGCCTAGCTCCCACTTGTAAGTGAGAACATACGGTATTTGTTTTTCCTTTCCTGAGTTAGAAGTTTTAAATTTTGATGAAGTCCAATTCATCTATTTTTTCTTTTCTTGTCTATGTCTTTGGTGTTATGTCCAGGAAATCATAGCCTAATCAAATGTCATGAAGATTTTCCTTTATGTTTTTTTCTAATGGTTTGGTAGTTTTAAGTTTTACATTTAGGTTTTTGATTCATTTTGAGTTCATATTGTCTACGATCTAAGGTAAGAATCCAATTTCATTCTTTTGTATGTGGACTTCAGTTTTCCCAGCATCATTGTTGAAAAGGCTGTCCTTTCCTCAATTAATGGCCTTTGCACCCTTGTTGAAAATCGTTTGACAGTATATGTCAGGGTAATTTCCTGGTTTTGATATTGTGCTTTAGTTATATAAGATGTGACAATTGGGGAAAACTGGATGAAGGGTATAGAGAATCTTTCTGTACTATCTTGGTAACTTCCTCTGAATCTATAATGATTTCAAAATACAACATTGAAAAATAAAGTCAACCAAAATAATATGTTTATTTAAAAAGAAAACCAATTCAATAAGGTACCTAATAAAAATTATCCGAAGTGAAATACAAAGAGAAAAGAAGAGTGGGGGATAAAAGCAAAACAGAGCATCCACGAGCTGTAGTACCATATCAAATGGTACTATATTTTTGCCTGAAAAGTGTTAAACACTTATTTATTTGTTTTTAAACAAGGTCTCACTCTGTTGCCCAGACTAGAGTGCAGTGGTGCAGTCATGGCTCACTGCAGCCTTGACCTCCTGGGCTTAAGTGATCCTCCCACCTCATCCTCTCGAGTAGCTGGGACTACAGGTCTGTACCACCACACTCAGTTAATTTTTGTATTTTTTGTAAAGATGGTGTCTCCCCATGTTACCCAGACTGGTCTCAAACTCCTGGGCTCAAGCAATCCTCCAGCCCTGGCCTCCCAAACTGTTGGGATTGCCACACTTGACCTATTTTTTAAATTTACTTTTACTATTTGTTTCTCTTTGTGTTTCACTCTGAATAATTTTTATTGATCTATTTCAAATTCATTGATGCTTCCCAGGGCTGTGTCAAGTTTGCTGATGAGTTTGACAAATGTATTTTTAATTTCTGTTAATGTATTTTTATTTTATTTCAATTTTACTCTTTCTCAGATTTTCTATCTCTGCCGAAATTACCTATCTAATCTAGCATGTTGTCTACTTTTTCATAAGAGATTTTAGTATATTAATCATAGTTTATGAAGCAGGTTTACTAATTACCAACCCCAAAGGAGGACCCCCACTGTGTGGAGAATAGCAAAGATCACTACTATGCCAACCACTAGGAAAAGAAGTCCAGATACTTCTTTCCACTGCATCCTGAGCTACTGTTTAGGTCCACCACACACTGGTTACCTATTATCTGAGTCTGATGAAATAGAACATGCCCACACACAAGTTATGTAAAGCAGGTTTATTACTTACAGATCAGTAGCAAGGGACAGAAGAAGCCTCAGCTCCATTGTGAGTCAGTCCCCTAAAGCTCAAGAAAGTTGTCTGGGATATACAAAGTACTGACTACACCAATTATTATATCATGATCTAAAGTGTAAGTCACAAGTCAAACTCTTGATCACTTCATTCATATTACATGTTCCAGATTATAACCACTGGAAAACTTCTCTAACAGTAATTTTGCATGAACTCATGTGTTCTAAAACTACAACCAAGTGTGCATTTCTTCCTGATAGGCATTTAACACACTAAGTGACCATATGACTTAAATTGTCCATATGATGCTGAGAGTTATAAGATTCATAGACTCTTAAGTTTGGGCATACCAACCACAATCCATCATGCAATTAAAGCAGTACATTTGAAACCAGACTTCAGCAGGTTTAAAAACTAGGTGGTTGTTCTGGTTTGGTGATAGATACTACAATCCCAGAAGGGTTTATGCTCTTGTTTATCTTCTCCTTGATGGAGTATAATTGTTTTAGTGTCTACTGAATTTTCATCTAATTTGGTCTTGAGGTCTCTCTCATGAGAACAGCTATAAACTAGTTTTGCTCTGCTGGAGCTTTAGGGAATTTGGGTGTGGAGTTTACAATGTATCTTCATGGGATGCTTCTTTATTCTGGAAGATGGTCTAATGCCTAAGTGTCTGACCTGTAACCAAGCGCCCCTCTCACAGGAAACTTGTTTATACTGGAAGACACTTTTGTGGCTCTTGTCTGACCTGTGTCCGTTTATTCCTGCCAAAATTTCACTCTCTGGGACAGCTCTGTCTGGGTAAGAAGTTAAATTTGAAGGTGTCAGGTAAGATAGAAAGAAGACAATTCAACAAACCACATGACTCAAAATTCCAAAATTCGTATATTAAAACCTAACCTTGTTGTCCTCAGTGTGATCATTTTAAGAGATGATTAAGTCATGAGGACATGAGCCTCAAAGATGTGATTAGGACCCTTATAAAAGGACTCAAGGTTGAAGGGAATGCTCCCTTGCCCCTCCACCTTCCACCATGTGATTCACTTTCCGCCATGTGAAGACACTGCAAGATGGCCCTTACTAGATGCCAGTACCTTGATCTTGGACTTTCCAGCCTCCAGGACTGTGAGAAAATAAAATTCTGGTCTTTGTAATTTATCCAGTCTGTGGTGTTTTGTTATAGCAACACAAACAGTCAAAGACAACATCCTAGAGGGCAATGTCTTCCAGCCAGCACCATTCAATTATTCTTTTGGACTGACTACATCTAGGTAATGGGTATATATCATTATCCCATTGCTACGTCTTGTTACTAAATGGGTTTTGTAGTCTTGAGCAATATTAAACATAGCATCCCATGAGTGTTTGAATGGCAATGGTTTTGGAGGCAATGTAGGTGAGAATAGCAAATCCATATCCAAAGTGTATACTAATTCCAGAAAGAATAAATCACTTCCCCTCCAAGGTGGAAGATTTTGATACAGTCAACCTGACACCAACTCGCTGGCTGATCTCCTCAAGTAATGGGGCCATATGGTGAGTTCAGTGTTATCCTCTACTGCTGGCAGGGTGGAACTCAGCAATGCTATTAAGAAGATAATCCCTGCTGACTGTAGTCCTGGTTGTTGAGCCCATGCATATTACTTTTCCCTTCATTAGAGGAGGACTACAGTTGATAGCCATTATTACGAGAGATGCCTCAGGAACAAATTAGAGGAAATACAACGATATCTTTTAGTACTTTTATGCATGGTAATGACCATCAGTAGACACTAAAACAATCAATCCAGCAAGGACAGGGTAAATAACTGTATAGACCTTTCTGGAATAGTTGTCTCTGTCACTCAAACAGAAAAACAAACTATACTAAATTCAGAGGATGAGGGGAATCAGGAGCGGCTTGTGACGGAGGGAGATGAATATTAGTTACAGCCATAATGACAACGTAGTGGACACTGTTGTAAATTTCACTAACCGTCTTGCCTTAATCTTCTAGATCACAATTGGCCACTTTTCCTGACCTCCCTATTTGAAGAAAAATTAAAGTATGTTAATTTTCACAGGAAAAAAAATGAGAGGCACCATATTAGAGTATGGCAGCTTGGATCCCTGAATCACCAGCTTGAGAAGAGCTACTCACAAATCATCAGTATCTTCCTACTGTTACATTAGTGAGTTATAAAATTCTACCGTATTTCAGCCTTCATACACTTTCAAGTCTAGTTATTGTAGCAGTCTGGCCTATTCTAATTAATATAAAAAGAAGAAATAATAATTGTAGAAAAAATTAAACAGAGAATATAACAATTTTAATGGTTTCTCCTGAGCTAGACTTACTTGAAATGGTCCTCATTTTTTGTTTTAGTATTACCAGAGATGTAAGACAGAATCTCACGAAAATATTCAAGCTGGTGGATGAGGCCAAATTAGGCAACTAGGTTGTGTGTCTGGAATTCAAACCATATTAAGTACTCCCTGCCCGCCTTTCTCCTATCCTTTAGAGCAGAGCCTGATTCTCACATATTGTCCCATAAGTCTATATCAATCAAATCAATTTTTATTATCCTGAAAGCACCTATGGAAATACTACCTTTTTTGAAGTTAAATACGAGCACTCTGCTCCATGCTGTTTTACTGATATTTAGAACTGTACAAACTTATATTCTTTACATTTGTGGGAAATTATTATATTGTAGATGAGCCTAAAATATTCTGTGAATCAAAACTTACTATAACAAGTTGTAAAGAACAGCTTTAGTGGAAAGTGTGTACATGAAACTAGCAACCAAACACTCAAAGCAAGAAGAATAATAACTAAGTGACCACAAAGGAAATTTTTTTAATCACATGCCTGGCTCTTGCAGGTGGAGAAGGTTGTCTTGCCCAAAGGAAGTGGTTACTAGACCAGAGTGTAACCAAATACGGGATGCTGCTTTAAAAAAAAAAAAAAAAAAAAAAGATTCACAGAAGTTGTGCTTGAGTTAAACCACTAAGTACTTTCCTTGCCAGCCAATGAGAAGAAGTGAAGCAGCATCATTTGTCTCTGGCTGACTGAGCCAGTAAGTCTGTTACAGAAAAAAAAAAATCACTTAAAAGAGCAATAAACATAGAAAATATCAAAGCGTCTACTAGTCATGTGTGCAATCCACAGAAAAGAATAGAAGAAGTTTACTGAAGAAAAGTTTGATAAATAAAAGTACCACATTCTTGAACAAGACAATTTGTGTCAATTTTCCAAACAAAATACATAGACTTTGTGATGCTTTAATCTAAATATCAATAAGATAGTTTTGTTAACAAAATGTTTCTAATTTTTTTCAAGAATAATAAATATAAAAATAGCTATTGATAAAAATGAGGGGGTGTTGCTCTAGTAGATGCTTACAAATAATTATAAAGCTAAACAATTAAAACATGTTTCTACTGCCACTAAAAAAAAAAGTCAACTGTGGAACAACATTGACTGCACAGAAGCCGATCCAAATTTATGTTATGATTAACGAGATCGAAATTGTATTTATAGTAGTCCCCCCTTATTCATGGGGGATACACTGCAAGATCCCACAGTAGATGCCTGAAGCCACGGATTGTACCAAACCCTATACGTACTATGTTTTCATACACATACAAACCTATGATAAAGTGTAATTTATAAATTATTCACAGTCATAGATAAACAAAAACTAATAATAAAATAGAACAATTTTAACAATATACGGTAATAAAACTTAAGTAAATGGGGTCCCCTCTCTTTCTCAAAATGTCTTACTGTACTATACACCCCTATTTTCAAACTGTGATTAACCACAGATAACTGAAACTATGGAAAGTGAAACCATGGATAAGGTGGGGCTACCGTATTTTATTTCTAGAAGTTACTAAACTTTTGAGAAAATTTTGGGATGGGACATAAACATATTTCGAAGAAGCTTCCAGTGTTATAGTTTATATTCTTCATTTCTTTGAGGCACAGAAGAACCCATTTCACTCTTTTGGAGTCAATCCAGGTTTGTGGGGTAAAGGACTGTAGCTGATGAGGATTGGAAGTCCGTGAGATATAAGGGGTTAGGAGGCAAGTTTTTGCAATATACTTGAACAACATGGCACCTATGTGGAATGGAAGAGAAAGCAGCGTAGTGGTGAGGAAATTCTGGTGGGTGAAGACATTCTCAGGTGAAATTTTTAGAAGAAAAAGTTATTTTAAGAGAATTTTAAATCATTTTCCTTGGTATTAGAAACACAATTCTAATTCAATGTTTTTCAAGAGATTGCAATAATGGTTTGGAGTGTTTTAAATGGTGCACTGGGAAGTTTACTCTTGCTTGTTAAAGAATGCCACATTAGAACTGCTTTCAAGAACAGAACAAGTTATCCTGAATTTATGTTGGATAAATTTTTAAAAATGTAGTACATAATAAAAGTGGACTTTTTATTCAGTGGAATGAGGGAAATTTACTAAAAATGATGTTGGGTCTATTGGTTATTTAGTAGGAAAATAAAAAGAGCTCATACATACACACATACAGAGATGATATTGAGTTAGATTAAAAGTTTAAATGTAAATCAAGAAGGAACTCAAAATACAGAAAAAGATACATGTTAATATTTATTTTATTAAAAAGTGTTGGAATGATTTAAATAAAACAAAAGAAAGAAACCATATAGAAAAATATTGTTAGACTATATTTTTAAATCATCATAAATACAACCACAACTTAAATGAAAAATCAAGAGTTAATATGTGAAATGTATATCAATTTTTAAGCATTGCGCTATATTAAAAGAAAGTGCTTATAGTGCAGTACGTGAACCTTAAATGAGCAAAATATATTGTATTAGTTTTCTAGCCACTGTCACAGAAAATTAGTACAAATGCAGAAGCTTAGAACAAAACCCATTTATTACATCAGCTTTCTAAGTCAGAAGTCTAGGCAGAGCTCACCTGGGCTTTCTGCTTAGGATGTCACAAGACTCAAGTCACAGAGACATTGTAATTCTCATCTGAGTTTGGGGTCCTCTTCCAAGCTCACTGCCTGTTGGCAGAATTCATTTCCACGTATGACTGAGGTCCATAGCAACTATAAATATAGGTGCATCTAATAAAATATCCTCAAAGACATGAATCAAAATTGATATAATATTTAGGTAGAAAGCAATAAATCTACCATTTATGGTATGATATTTTAATATATGTTTCTAGGTTCTTTATAAGTCAAGAAGGCAAAAGTAGGATATAAAAGATCTAAACAACACAATTAGTAAGCTTAACCTAATAGACTCAAATATATTATAAAGTTATTGTCTATGTTCTCATCTATGTGCCAGGTGGTAGATTCACCAGTGCCTATTCACCAGTGCCTATTATATTAATTACATTACATTACATTAAAAAACATTAAAAATAATAAACTGGCTGGGCGCGGTGGCTCACAACTGTAATCCCAGCACTTTGGGAGGCAAGGCAGGTGAATCACCTGAAGTCAGGAGTTTGAGACCAGCCTGGCCAACATGGTGAAACCCTGTCTCTACTAAAAAAATACAAAATTACCAGGGTATGGTGGTATGCACCTTAGTCCCAGCTACTCAGGAGACTGAGGCAGGAGAATCGCTTGAACCTGAGAGGTGGAGGTTGCAGTGAGCTGAGATCGCACCACTGCATTTCAGCCTGGGCTATTAAGCAAGACTCTGTTTCAAAAAAAATTAAAATTAAAATTAAAATTAATGTAATAGGTGCTGGTGAATCTACCAGTTCACATAGATGAGAACATAGACAATAACTTTATAATATATTCAAGTCTATTAGGTCAAGCTTACTAATTGTGTTGTTTAGATCTTTTATATCCTACTTTTGCCTTCTTGACTTATAAAGAACCCAGAAACATATATTAAAATATCATACTATAAATGGTAGATTTATTGCTTTCTACCTAAATAGTATATCAATTTTGATTCATGTCTTTGAGGATATTTTATTAGATGCACCTATATTTATAGTTGCTATGTTTTCCTTTTCTTTTCTTTCTTTTTTTAGACAAAGTCTGGCTCTATCGCCCAGGCTGGAGTGCAGTGGTGCAATCTCGGCTCACTGCAACCTACACCTCCTGGACTCAAGCCATCCTCCCACCTCTGCCTTCCAAGTAGCTGGGATTACAGACACGCGCCACCATGCCCAGCTAATTTTTGTTTTTTGCAGAGACAGGTTTTAGCCATGTTGCCTAGACTGGTCTTGAAATCATAAGCTCAAGCGGTCCACCTGCCTCAGCCTCCCAAAGTGCTGGGATTACAGGTGTGAGCCCCTGTGCCCAGCCTTTGTTTTCCTTGACTAGGTGAATGTTTATCATTATATCAGTCTTTCTGTCCTACGATATCTTTTTCCTTAAAATTTGTTTTTGACATTAATAAATAAACACCATTTCTTAGAATTAGTTTTTGCATAATATGTCCTTTCTATGTTTTACACTTAATCTCTGAAATGACTTTTATGCTTTAGGTATGTGTCTTGTAAACAGTATAACCTGAATTTATGTTTTTGCATTCAATTTGTCAGTCTCTGTCTTCTGGTCACAAGTTTAGTCTATTTGCAGTTACTAAAATTAATGAGATGTGTGGACTTTATATTATAATATTTTTCACTTTAATCTTTCCCATGATTTTACTGACTTTTTTATCCTGTTGTCACATGTCTAGAACCCATTCTAACGTGTATCAGGCCTGGGTATGCTGCCTGGAAGGTGGATGTATTTTGCCTCCTACTTTGGGATGCGTTTTCAGTCTCTGTTAAGGTTTTGGTTGCTCATTTCTGGCATCCCCTTCACACAGGAAATACCCAGATTCAGCCATTTGCAGATTTTGAAACATTGTTCTGGTTCGCTGCATATGGCCTGTCTCTGGACTCAACTCAACATCCCATGTCCTCGCTCAGACTATATAACTCTAGACCCAGCCTGTTAATATGGACTGCTTGTATTTTTTCAGAGAAACCTCTAAAAGAAATTATCAATTTCTTCAAAACATTAACTTGATAGGTTCTTTTTAAATCAAGTAATCTGTTGAAAAAAAAATTATATGGGTGCTCTAAACTATATCCCCTGGATAATCTAACCTGTAAATAGTTTGAACAGTTATCTTTTACAGCCAGAATAACAATACTAGTTAATACCAGAGGACTAATCTATGGGTAGCTCGTTTCAAAATTTACTCTGAGAGCTTAAAAGAAAATATATTTTGTAGGGAAACAAAGCATATTTTTCCAAGATCCAGTCAGTAGTGAAGGCATCTTAATAGTATCCAGGATCCTCACATGTGAAGAAAAGTGAACTAGGTAACAAATGAGAAGACTTACATACGCTTAGTTCTTGCAGGAGGAAAGGAACTATCTGGGTATGGAAAAGGTTACTAGGCAAGATTGTGATTGAAGAGAAAGGATAATGATAAAGGGGCTTTGCAGAAGCTCTGGTTAGAAGAAATAACTAATAGTAATGAATATGTATCTCTCCAACCAATGAGAAGCATATGATGAGGCAGAGTCACTTGTCTCTGGCAGTCCAAGCTACTAAGAAGCACAAATAAAATATATAGTAGCAGGGGGAGATGGGAAGGGTGAGAGAATGTAGGATAAATTACCATTCAAACTGCCGGTAGAAATATAAAATTGTAAGGAATAAATTCCACAAAAAAATACAGTGTTTTAATTACAAAAATTTACCATGCAGCATAAAGACATAAATGATTTAAGAAACATGACATGTTCAGAGATGGGAGTGTAATTTTGGGCTTGTATTTTCAAACAAAATTCATATGACAATGAGAATTCAAACAGTTTAGATTATTAAAATTAAATTTAATGAAGTTGGTAGCTATATTCTGGTTATGTACAAGAATGTATCCTTTTCTTAGGAAATACACACTGAAGTACTTAAGGATAAAGAGTTCTGATGAGTGCAATTTCAGAAAAAAAAATATATAAGTACAAAATACTATTCTTATTGCAAGTTTTCTTTAAGTTTACTTTTTTATTTTTTTTTTTGAGCAGAATAGTTGTCCAGGTGCAGTGGCTGACTTATTTATTTATTTATTATTTTTTTAATATATATGTTTTATTATACTTTAAGTTCTAGGGTACATGTACACAACGTGCAGGTTTGTTACATATGTATACATGTGCCATGTTGGTGTGCTGCACCCATTAACTCATCATTTACATTAAGTATATCTCCTAATGCTATCCCTCCCTCCTCCCCCCTCCCCACAACAGGCCCCCATGTGTGTGATGTTCCCCTTCCTGTGTCCAAGTGTTCTCATTGTTCTTTTTTACAAACTAAAATGAAAAAATCTACATGAGGCTATAAAAATATTACCTCTATAAAATAAAAACAAAATGGAATGTAAAAAGAGACTGGACACACCATAATGTGAAGATTCTCCTTTTTTGTGTACTCATATATCCAAAAAGGAAACTTTCCATTTTGTAGTTGGGAAGTAGAGCCAAGATGTAGGAGTAGGAGGGGAGTTGAGAACCAACAATTCAGTAAAAATGCTTTCAGTCAATTCCCATCTGTACTCAAAAAAAAAAAAAATTTTTTTTTTTGAGACAAAGTCTTGCTTTTGTCCCCCAGGCTGGAGTGCAATGGCTCGATCTCGGCTCACTGCAACCTCCGCCTCTTGGGTTCAAGCGATTCTCCTTCCTCAGCCTCCCGAGTAGCTAGGATTACAGGCACCTGCCACCATGCTTGGCTAATTTTTGTATTTTTAGTAGAGACGGGGTTTCACCATGTGGCCAGGCTGGTCTCGAACTCCTGACCTCAGGTGATCTGCCCTCCTCGGCCTCCCAAAGTGCTGGGATTACAGGTGTGAGCCACTGCACCTGGCCTCAAAATTTAAATAATTAGGTAACAAACTATGACACAATTATATACAGTCCTTCAAAACAATGTCTTAGAAAGATATTTAATGACAAAATAGAGTTGTTTGCCATATGTTAAATTTAAAAGGAGTTACAAATTAGCACATTCACTGTGATCTAAAACCTCTAAATCTGTTTATGTTTTTATTTATATCTACATTTATAGCTTTGAAGCCCTCCCAATATCAACTGTCACCCAAGGTTCTAAAATACAATAAAAGTGATCTTGTTTTCTTCTGTTCTTGGTTATAATTCTAAGACGGTCTGACAAGTCTATTGTGATTGACTTTAAAAATACAGATGTTAAATGAAATCTGTATGTGGAACTATTGGTCTCAATGATATATGCAACTCTGGAAGTTGGGTACTCAGCTTTATCTAATCTCTCCCTTTGCTCACCTCCACCAGGCTTGCAACGCCCTCTACAGTCCAGGCAACAGGTACATGGTTTTCAATCCCATTTGAACTGCTTCTGGGTCTCCCTATGTTGCCTAGGCTGGTTTCATACTCCTGAGCTCAAGCAATCCTCCCACCTTGGCCTCTCAAATTGCTCAAGCATCTTCTCTGAACCCAGTTGAATAAAACTGGAAATTAATAAGAAGAGAAATTTGGGAAACTATAAAAATACATGGAAATTAAACAATATGCTCCTGAATGACCAGTGGGTCAATGAAGAAATTAAGAGGGAAATTGAAACATTTATTGAAACAAATGACAATGAAAACACAACATACCAAAACCCATGGGATACAGCAAAAGCAGTAATAAGGAGGAAGTTTATAGCTATAAGTGCCTACATCAGAAAAGGAGAAACTTTAAATTAGCAATCTAATGATGCATCTTAAAAACTAGAAAAGCAAGAGGAAACCAAAGCAAAAATTAGTTGAAGAAAAGAAAAAGTAAAGATCAGAGTGGAAATAAATGAAATTGAAAAAAATACAAAAGATCTATGAAACAAAAATTTGCTTTTTTGAAAAGTTAAACAAAATTGACAAACCTTTAGCAAGACAAACTAAGAAAAAAAGAGAGAAGATCCAGATAAATAAAATCATAAATGGAAAAGGAGACATTACAACTGATACTGCAGAAATTCAAAGGATCATTAGTGGCTACTATGAGCAACTATATGCTATAAATTGGAAAACCTAGAAGAAATGGACAAAGTCCTAGACACATGCAACCTACCAAGATTAAAACAGGAAATAACTCAAAACCTAAAAAGATCAATAACAAGTAACAAGATCAAAGTCACAATAAACAGTCTACCAGTAAATAAATTCCAGGACCTGATGACTTCACTGCTGAATGCTACCAAACATTCAAAGAAGAACTAATACCAATCCTACTCAAATTATTCCAAAAAATAGAGAAGGAGGGAATACTTCTACAAGTATTTTATGAGGGAATACTTCTAAACTCATTCTATGAGCCCAGTATTACCTTGATACCAAAACCAGACAAAGACACATAAAAAAAACCTGTAGGCCAATATCTCTGATGAATATTGATGCAAAAATCCTCAACAAAATATTAGTAAACTGAATTAAACAATACATCAGAAAGATCACTCATAACAATCAAGTGGGATTTATCGCTGGGATGCAAGGATGGTTCAACATACACAAATTAACGTGATACATCACATCAACACAATGAAGATAAAAATAAAATGTTCATTTTAATTGATGCTGAAAAAAGCATTTGATAAAATTTAACATCATTTCATGTTAAAAATTCTCAAAAACTGGGGATATAAAGAACATACTTCAACATAATAAAAGCCATATATGACAGACCCACAGCTAGTATCATACTGAATGGGGAAAAACTGAAAGTCTTTTTTCTAAGATCTGGAACATGACAAGGATGCCACTGTCACCACTGTTATTCAACATAGTACTGGAAGTCCTAGCTAGAGCAATTAGACAAGAGAAAGATATAAATGGCATCCAAATTTAAAAGGAAGAAGTCAAATTATCCTTGTTTGCAGAGGATATGCTCCTATATTTATAAAAACTTAAAGACTCCACAAGAATACTATTAGAACTGATAAATTCAATAAAGTTCCAGGATAGAAAATCAGCACATAAAATCAGTAGAATTTCTATATGCCAATAGTGAACAATGTGAAAAAGAAATTTAAAAAGTAATTCTATTTAAAATAGCCACACACAAAATGAAATACCTAGGAATTAACTTGACCAAGGAAGTGAAAAATCTCTATAATAAAAGAAATTGAGGAATAAGAAATCTCTATAATAAAAGAATTTTTTATAATAAATTCTGTATTCTATTATAATTCTATAATAAAGGAAATTGAGAATAAGAAATCTCTATAATACAAGAAATTTTTTTATAATAAAAAAAGGAAACATGTTCCATGTTCATGGCTTGGAAGAATCAATAGTGTTAAAATGTCCATACTACCCAAAGCAATCTACAGATTCAACACAATCACTATCAAACAACCAATGACATTTCTCACAGAAATGGAAAAAAATCTTAAAATTATATGGAACCACAAGACTCAGAATAGCTAAAGCCATCCTAAGCAAAAAGAATAAAACTAGAAGAATCACATTACTGACTTCAAATTATGCTACAGAGCTATGGTAACCAAAACAGCATGGTACTGGCATAAAAACAGACGTATAGACCAGTGGAATGGACTAGAGAACCCAGAAGCAAATCCACAAGCCTACAGTGCACTCATTTTTGACAAAAGTGCCAAAAACATACACTGGGGAAAAGACAGTCTCTGCAAAAAGTGATGCTGGGAAAACTGGATATTCATATGCAGAAGAATAAAACTAGACTCGTTTCTCTCATCATATACAAAAATCAAATCAAAATGGATTAAGGACTTAAATCTAAGACCTCAAACCATGAAACTACTACACGAAAACATTAGGGAAAATCTCCAGGACATTGGTCTAGGCAAAAATTTCCTGAGTGATACTCTACAAACACAAGCAACCAAAGCACCAATGGAGAAATGGGATTACATCAAGTTAAAAAGCTTCTGAACACAAAGGATACAATCAACAAAGTGAAGAGACAACCCACAGAATGGAAGAAAATATCTCCAAACTACCCATCTGATGAGGGATGAATAACCAGAATATATAAGGATTCAAACAACTCTATAGGAAAAAACTAATAATCCAATCAAAAGTTGGGCAAAAGATTTGAATAGATGTTTCTCAAAATAAGACATACAAATGACAAACAGGCATATGAAAAGGTGCTCAACATCATTGATCATCAGAGAAATGCAAATCAAAACTACAATGAGGTATCATCTCACTCCAGTTAAAAATGGCTGATATCGAAAAGACAGGCAATAGCAAATGCTGGGAAGGATGTGAAATAAAGAACACTTGGACACTATTGGTGGGAACGTAAATTAGTACAACTACTATGGAGAACAATTTGGAGGTTCTTCAAAAAACTAAAAATTGAGCTCTCATATGATCCAGCAATCCCACTGCTGGGTATACACTGAAAAGAAAAAAAAAGTCAGTATATCAAAGTATCCATCAACAGTTGAATGGATAAAGAAAATGTGGTACATATATATAATGGAGTACTATTCAGCCATAAAAAAGAATGAGATCCAGTCATTTGCAACAACAGGCATGGCAGTTCCATAAGTGAAATAAGCTAGGCACAGAAAGACAAATATCGCATGTTCTTAGTTATTTGTAGGATCTAACAATTAAAATGATTGGATTTATGAACATAGAGAGTAGAAGGATGATTACCAGAGGTTGGAAAGGTACTGGGGGATCAGGGAGGGAGGGATATGGGGATGGTTAATGGGAAAAAATTGGAAAGAATGAACAAGATCTACTATTTGATAGCACAACAGGGTGACTATAGTAAATAGTAACTATACATTTAAAATAACTTCAAGAGTGTAACTGGATTGTTTGCAACTCAATGGATAAATGCTTGAGGGTATGGATGCCCATTCTTCATGATTTACTGATTTCACATTGCATCCTTTTTTTCAAAACATCTCATGTACCTGATACATATATACACTTACTATGTGCCCACAAATATTAGTAATAAACACAATTTAAACAAATTAGAGCCCACACATCCCATATACATACTTCCCATATTAAAGCCCAAACATCTCATATAAACACTTTATTATTTGAAATTCTTGGCCATGGAATATCGTATACTTTCATTTAATTTCTTCACCAACTCTATCCAAAAACAAAAAAAACCCTTCAATCCCCATATGCACAGATCTTTGTTAGTCACATCTGCTCATGGACTCAACAAACAGTAATTGAGTCCACTGACTGCATTTCGGAAATCCACACTCATGATCTTCCTCTGTATGTTAAATAAATCAGAGCCATCGTGAGAGCATGTCATCATGGGGAACACAAGTGCCTGAGTTAGATTGATCAAAAAGATAAAATTTGTTATCATAACAAAGGGCTAACTCACAGAAGCCAAAGAAGATATGTAAAAGGATTGATCTAAGGATAGTACACTGTGTGTTATACAAGAAATCCTCTGTATATTTCTTATCTCTAATTTTCTCTGCCTGTCATCTTCATTATTTTATATATCTCTGCTTTCAGATTCACATAGTACAAAATGGTCCCTGCCAAGATGTTCTCAATTCATCTCTCCTTTGCCCTAGGGCTTCTTTTCCTAGACCAGTCAGTTGCTTACTGTACACCACTAAAGTGTTGCCAGGGGATGAGTTCACATTACAGTACATGAACATAGTTACTCCTGATGTGAGCTTATGGAGGGGATGAGGGAGTGGTGCAGGTGATACACAAAGGATCTGCTGGTCTGCACATCAGACTCAATATTCTCTACTACAAGGAGACAGGATATAAGCCCAGTCCATCTGCTTCGTTCTTTGACAGTACATTTCATTCAAAATAAGTACAAGTGCAAAAATCTGTGGTAGTAAATCTACTGCACTTTTCTTATGTCTGACACTAATAACCCAAGAAAAACTATAATAAAATATTTCTGATTTTGAAATTAGCCTGCCACTGTTTGCATGGAAATTTACTACTGGTAAGCCCTTGTTTCTCTATCCCCTTACTCAGCTTTCTTCATTTGTATCTTCATAGCAAGAATCACCACCTAATACTGCATATCTGTATATTATGTGATTATTTTTTCTTTCCTGCTAGAATTAAAACTCATAAAGGTAGGGACATTTTTACCTTGCTGACTATTTTATCTGGAATAGTACATAGCACTTAGTAGGAGCTAAATAATTATTTGACAAATGAATGGATACATTAATTGATGAATTTTATGTCCAAATCTAGGCTGCTTTTGTTTACATAAACCTCTGTTTTCCACTAGTCACATTCTCTGCCTGCTACATGGAGAGAACCATTATTCAGGATTTCAGTTCTGCTCTAAACACTTGGATCCTTTCGCAATCAGGGATCTTCAATTTCTCCACTTGGTGTTTTGCTCAACAAATGAAAGTGCCTTTGAATATTCACATTTGGTCCTCCAAAACCACATCAGCTTTTAGAACAATGTTTCTAGACAATTTATTAGTAACCCTTCAAAGGTGTGCTCCCCAATTTTTATGAATGTGTAATTATATTTAAACTGAAATGACATAATGTTTCTGTGTCAAATATTGTAGAGAAAGTTGACCATCTTTGCATACGCTATTTGCCATTTGAGTTCTTCTGTGAATTGCCGGTTCACCTACTTTCCAACATTGCTATTAGGTTATTTAACTCTTTCTTATTGATTTGAGTAGTACTTTATTTCTTCCCTTGTTTAATATATGTATTTAAAGTATCTAAATATATTTCATGACTATGTTGTCCAACTTTTGTAATACATATCAACAAATATCTACCTGTTATATCCATTTTTAAGAAATACATAAAATGTAATAACTTGTACTTTTCTCACCCTTCTTTGCTTTTCTAAACAGTATTTATGTATTTCAACTTTTTAAAGTTTAAATATAATATACTTAAGTGTAGGTTGTTTTTGTTTTTTTAATCCTGCTTGGTATTCTCCGAGATTTGTAATCGGTGATTCGTTGTCTGTCATTAATTTTGGCAAGTTCTCACCTGGCTTCTACAACATCAGACTCTTGCGGCTTCCTCAGCACCCAGCTTTTGCAGTGTAGAGCAGCCAGCAACACCCAGCAGCTTCGTCAGGCATGCACACCCCCTTTAGCAGTTTTACAGCAGAGAGTGACCACCACCACCCCACTTCCATGAACCTTACAGGAACAGCTTTCCCAACACCCTAGAGGAAGGATTTCTGACAAGTCCCAGAGGGTGGATTACAGCAAACTACCGCTGGAGCAGCAGTTCAACAACTACCTCTCTGCCATTCAGTGAGCCATGGAAGTGCCTCCCTAACAAGGTCTGACCTCACCCTTGGAAAGAAAACTGGAGAAGGCTCCTTCTTGGGTGCTCTATCTTAACCTAGGTGATGGGTTAATATCGAGTGTCAACTTGATTGAATTGAAAGATGCAAAGTATTGTTCCTGGGTGTGTCTGTGAGGGTGTTGCCAAAGGAGATTAACATTTGAGTCAGTGGACTGGGAGAGGCAAGACCCACCCTCAATCTGGGTGGGCACCATCTAATCAGCTGCCAGCACCACTAGGATAAAAGCAGGCAGAGGACCGTAGAAGGACTAGACTAGCGGTCTTCCACCCTTCATTTTTCTCCCTTGCCAGGGGCTCTGAGACCTTCAACCACAGACTGAAGGCTGCACTGTCAGCTTCCCTACTTTTGAGGTTTTGGGACTTGGACTGGCTTCCTTGCTCCTCAGATTGCAGACGGTCTACTGTGGGACTTCACCTTGTGATCATGTGAGTCAACACGCTTTAATAAACTCCCCTTTATACATACATCTATCATATTAGTTCTATCCCTCTAGATAACCCTGACTAATACACTAGGGAAGTAGCCATTTCGTATTATATTATATTATGCACTATTATATCTGCCACTGCTATATTATTTAGAGTTCTCTTTACTTCTTTCTAGCCAATCTCTTATTACTCAGATCTCTTGTTAAGATTCGTATTTCTTTATATTGATCTTTCTCATTTTACATTACTGTGTGATTTCCTCTCTCTCCTGACTAGACCCATACTTATAAACCCATAAAATTTCATTCAGGCACGAATCTAGAATAAAAATTATTCTCAGACATGCAAAGATTAGAAAAATTTGCTTCCAGAATATCCTTTTTTGGATATTAACAGACGGTGTGTCGTAGCAAAATTAGGTAGTCAAAGCAAGTAAGAGGAAGATATCAGATACCTGAAACATTATCTTCTACCAAAGAAAACAATGAAGAGAATCCCAAGATGACATCTGCTCAGCAGTCCTGGAAATCATTTCTTTTAGATTGAAACTAGAGAACTAAGGGCACCAGGAAGTGGATAAACATGATAAGTATGATCCCATAAATTTTACAGTATTGTTGAGATATTCAAAACATCTGAGGATATGATTAAAAAGTAGACTACATATATGAGGGAAAAGAAATTGCAAATAGAACCTTCATAAAAATTAAAAGATGCCCAACAAAGGAAATATATTCTCAATAATGTGCACATACGTGTTTAAAAAATACCTGGTTACAAACAAACCATAAATACTATCGGGTTTGAAAATATTAAAGATAAATTATAAATGCCAGAAGTTGGGATATGAAATAAAGAAAAAAGTAGAGCAGGAAAGAATAGGGTTAGCAGTAGCTTCATCTACAAGGAGAAAACTCAAGAGATCTTGAATATAACTGACAGAATAATAGAGTACTGTGTTTAAAAATACAGGGATTGGCCGGGCGCGGTGGCTCACGCCTGTAATCCCAGCACTTTGGGAGGCCAAGGCGGGCGGATCACGAGGTCACGAGATCGAGACCATCCTGGCTAACACGGTGAAACCCCATCTCTACTAAAAATACAAAAAAAAAAATTAGCCGGGCATGGTGGCGGGCGCCTGTAGTCCCAGCTACTCAGGAGGCTGAGGCAGGAGAATGGCGTGAACCCGGGAGGCGGAGCTTGCAGTGAGCCAGTCGCGCCACTGCACTCCAGCCTGGGGGACAGAGCGAGACTCTGTCTCAAAAATAAATAAATAAATAAATAAATAAATAAATAAATAAATAAATAAAAAATGCAGGGATTACCTACAGAGGAACTAAACATAGTAAGATAATAAAATCACAAGAAAGATGTCAGAGACCTAATTTTTGGTGGTTTAAATTATCTGGTTTCATAACAGGAAGTCAATGGATGTCTAAATTAATACCCCCACATACAAAAACATACGCATATTACTATTAAAGTCATTGAACTGGGGATAATGACAGTGGAGGAAAGGAATGGCATGAAGGGCTCTTGTTTTCATTAAAATACATCTCTATTGTTTAATCTTCAAACTATATACTGATATCCCAATAAATTTAAAATAGTAATTGTAAAGTAAAATATCATTCTTACTGAAATATCAAGAATGCTGCAGATGGTGGCGGAATGTTCAATGTGAAAAAGGATAGTGGCTTGCACTAGAATGACAGCAGTGAAGTTTGTTTTAAGCATGTAATTTTATAGTACCAATCTCTTACCTGTGAGAGCATGTAAAAGACTGAGCTCCTCAGTTCTCAAACAAAAGCAGACTTTAACTCCTGCTCCAGCCATGCTTCTTTGCTTCTCAAACATCCAAAACTGCATCTCAGATTGCATCATATTCTGAGCACATGGAAGGAAGAGTACGGGAAATAAGAGTGGCTGTGTTACCACCCTCAAGGAATCCTGACCCCTCAAATCCAGACCTGCCAAGGGGCAAGGAAAAAAGGGAAAGCGGCAGCTCCCTTGAATTTCTAAAGTGCAATGTCCCCACCTACTGGTGAACATGACCCAGTTAACATCCCTACAGCTGTCCATGTCCTCCTAAAACAAGAACCTTGAACTTCTTCCAGTAGTATAGAATCCGTGTCCTTTAGCACAGTTCTACACCAAAAGATAAACAAAATATTAATCCAAAATTTTTACAATGCAATGAGGGTGTGGGAATGATAATTTTAAAACATGCCACACAAGGTTAGTTTTAAAATAACGCCATCGTTAGCATTCCCATTCCCTACTATCTATCTACTCCTCACAGCTTCTGCTCAGATTGTCTTCTCTCCATTGTCTCTTCCATCTCCCTGTACAAACCTCCTCTCTTACACTGCCTTTCCTGCCAACACACTGCTTCCCCATGTGTTAAGTTGGCAGCCTTTTTTCCCTCTCATTGTTTTCTGGCTTCTGATATTTCAGATAAGAAATTTGATTCCAGTCTGGTTCTCGTCCTTTTATGTGTAAACTGTTTATTTCTTTCTTGGAAGCCAATAGATCATTTTTATTACCATTTTATTTTCTGATTGTGTAGTAAAAATTTTCATCCCTCCAGCTACAGAACTATTTGTATATTTTCATGATTCCACTTGATTCCTTTAAATTGCATGAATCTTATCTAGCCAGAGACTAAAGTCTTCCTTTCCTTCAGAAAAAAAAATCTTCGATTTTTTATTGTATCCTATATTTTTTCTATTTTTCCGGCACACCTATTATACAGCAGTTGGAGATGGCTGTATAGATAGAACTTTCTCAACATATTTTCACAATTTTATGTGTTCCAAGGTAGTTAAAACAGGAATCTGATTTCTTTTGTACTTTCTTTCCCACCCTCCTATTTTTTTTAAGACTCAGAACCACTACTTGAACACTCTAATTGATAACTGCTTAGTTATTTCTCACCTGCCTTAAAGAGTGTTTCTTCATTATGCTCAAGAATGAGAGCAATTTAAAATGAAATCATTTTAACCTGTCTCCTCAGAGACAAGTTCTGTTGGCTTCTTTTTTTCCTATGTATTATGTGTTGGTAAAATTTTCCAGTTTCTTTGCATGTCTTGTAATTTTTGTTTAATATTGATATTTTACATAAATTCTGATTCCACAATCCCTAGGAGTAAGTGCTCTTGCTGTTTGTTGTTTGTGTTAGTGACTTGCTTGGGCTAGTTCTTCCAAGTCTGTTTCCCCCTAGTATGCAGCCTATGGTGTCTCTGCTAAGTTTGTTTAATAATTTTTGTTTTCATTATTAAGCCTGATTTCCTACAATCACCCCTGGTCATCATAGCTTAATGTCAGCCTATGATTGATGAAAGATTCTGCTTAAACAATTGAGTCAGTAAGGCTTCCACACTTTGCCATTGAACTGAGTGGGATGTGGGAAATGCTTTCAAAGTTCCGGGACTTTACAGGTATGTCCCAATTTTTACTTTCTGCCTTCACATGTCCTTATATTCAGCCAGGTCTCTCCTGAGCAGGCTTAACCAAGCTGATGCAGACAGCTTTCCACACCACTGGGGATAAATGAGATTTTAGCAAGGCTATTTTTGACTATCTCATTCTCTGGATCTCCCTGGTAAAATTCCTGACTGGCCTGCCATCATGACTTCAAGCTAGTTGAGATGTTAGCCTTCCATAATTATTTGCCCTGAGGTCTATGCTGTTTTCTACAAAACGCCAAGACGTTATTTTGAGGGTGTGTGTGTGTGTGTGTGTGTGCATGCATGTGCGTGAGCTCTTTTCCAAAAAATGTGTGTGAGCTCCCTCTGGCAGGTTAAGAAGAGCTGTCTAATCCCATGGCCTGTCCTCCCACACAGGTAGAAATTCTGCACCATAAGTTGAGGTGAAGGAAGTTGGTGAAAGCATACTCTGGCCAAAATAATACTGATTTTGCTGTTTTTATTAGGATTCAGTTTAGATTCTCTTAACTAAATGCTTCTCAATGTTCGTATCCTTTGGTCAATTTCCAGAGTCTTTAAATGATTGTTTTTGGCAACGTTGTCCAATGTTCTCACTGCTTTTTAGATTCGTTGAAATGTTTTGATGTCAATATATGTGGTATATTTTTATGTATTTTCTACGTGAATTTGAAAATAAGCTGTATATAGCATTTGGTACATACACACTTAGGATTATATGTCTTTTTGATGTATTGACTCTTTTTCATTATGAAAAATTTATCTCCAGTAATATTCCTTATTTGTAAAGTTTTCTTTGTCTGATATTAATGTAGCCACTCCAGCTTTCTTGCCCAGTGTATATTTTTTCATCCTTATATTTTTAACCTGTGTCTTCATACTTAAAATGCATTTCTTATGGACAGTGTATGGTCAAAAGTCTTGCTTATTTATCCAGTTTAGAAATATGCATTTAATGTAATTACTGAAGTACTGGATTTAAGTCTACCCCCTTGCTGCTTTTTGTTTTTGGTCCATCTGTTCTTTTTCTCTTATTCCTCTTTACTTGCCTTTCTTAGTATATTTTTCTCCCTCCTAATGGTAACTGAGTAGAAAGATGTCAGAACTTAGGTCTTTAAGATTTGTGGAACTTTAAAACAATTTTTATTTTATTTTATTTGAGGCAGAGTCTTGCTCTGTTGCCCAAACTGGAGTGCAGTGGCGCACTATTTGTAGAACTTGAGTGGAAAATCCTAAATAAGAATACCACAGAGGAGAGCCCAAAATTCTGCATTTGAAAGAAATTTGCATGCAGAATAGGGGCCCCTCTTTGAGTTTTCATGGTTTTTGGGGATTTTTCTCCTCAATAGCAACTAATTCTTTCGGCACCAAACTCCAACCTCCGTCTTCTCTTCCTGGTAAGACTGCATCTTTCTGCTTGAGCTTTGTTCTACCATCTACTGCTTTAGACTGAAAAGCACTCTCAGGGGAAACTCACAGTAAACGTTGAACTCACCTAGTTACTTTCCTTTTCTCAATATTTATCTCCTGATGTATTCTGCATGCTTCAAAAGATCTCCAATGATTGCAAATTTTTAAGTCATTTTTATAGATTTCATAATTTTTGTTTCTAGAAAGGCTAGACGTAGACATATGGTTTTTAATATAAGTAAGTAGCTATAGAAATAAATGTATAGATGTTTATGTGTATGTCCACAAATAGGATCTTAGACTTTTGACATTCCCATAGCAATGAGCACACTTAACACACAGATCTTGATCTAGCTTTTTAACCAGACTCTTCTAAAAGAACCCAGAGCTATGACAGATTCTAGAGCTTGAGAAAAAAAATAAAAGATGATCATAGAAAGTAAGGATATTTAAGAATGGTGGATACGGCCAGGCGCGGTGGCTCATGCCTGTAATCCCAGCACTTGGGGAGGCCGAGGCAGGCGGATCACGAGGTCAGGAGATCGACAACATCCTGGCTAACACGGTGAAACCCCGCCTCTACTAAAAAATACAAAAAAAAAATTGCCGGGCGTGGTAGCGGGCGCCTGTAGTCCCAGCTACTTGGGAGGCTGAGGCAGGACAATGGGGTGAACCCTGAAGGCGGAGCTTGCCGTGAGCCGAGATCGCGCCACTGCACTCCAGCCTGGGCGACAGAAGCGAGACTCCTTCTCAAAAAAAAAAAAAAAAAAAAAAAAAAAAAAGAATGATGGATACGTGTCAGGTGTCAGAGATAAGAATATGTTCAAAGAATGGTAGATACATGCTCTTTACACAGATAGGCAAAAAATAACCAGAAGAAAGAATGCATACCACAAATACCTAAATCACAATAAATTCAGTTTGATCATATTAATAACAAAAAAAATCTTCATTAAAAATATGTTTTACCAGGAATAAAAATAAAACTTGAGTCATAATGATGGAAAAACCATAAGAAGAACATAACTTTTCTAAATATGTATGCATCTAATAATATGACTTAAAAATAAATGATACAAAAATTGACAGAAATGAAAATATAGATAAATTTGCAATCGTAATTAGAGATTTTTAAATGCTTCTCCCAATAATTGGTAAAAGAAATGAACAAAAAATCAGGAAAATATATTAAACAGTGGAATAGCACTAATAATTAAATCAACCTAACTGACACTTATAAGACATTAGACTAGAATATGCAATGGCAAAATACATATTATTTCAGGTGTACATGAAATATCCATCAAGATGAACAACATACTGGATCATAAATTTAGTCTCAAGAAATTCAACAGTATGCAAACTGGGTAGGGTATGTTCTCTGACCAAAAAAGATAAAAATAAAAATACCTCAACTAAATTAGAAAGCAGCACCAAACTGATAACCTGGAAATCCCCTAAATATACAGAAATTAATCAACATACTACCAAATAAGCCATAGGTCTAAGAGGAAATTACAAAGAAAATTAGAGAATATTTTAAGTGAATGATCATGAAGTTCATTATATCAAAATGTATGAGATAAAGCTGAAAGAGTGCTTGAAGGGAAATTAGTTTCTTTAAATGTATACATCAGAACTGAAGAGAAGTTTAAAATCAATGGTGTGAGCTTCTACCTTAAGAAGGTAGAAAAAGGAAAGCAAACTAAATCTAAAGAAGATAGAAGGTAGAAAGAAGGAATTAAAAAGCAAAGATGTGGAACCAACCCAAATGCCCATCAGTGATAGACTGGATAAAGAAAATGTGGCACATATTCACCATGGAATACTATGCAGCCATAAAAAAGAATGAGTTCATGTCCTTTGCAGGGACATGGACGAAGCTGGAAACCATCATCCTCAGCAAACTAACACAGGAACAGAAAATCAAACACCGCATGTTCTCACTCATAAGTGGGAGTTGAACAATGAGAGTACATATCCAAGTCTCACATGTCTCAACAATGAGAACACACAAGGAGGGGAACATCACAAACCGGGGCCAGTTGGGGAGTGGAGGGAAAGAGAAGGGTGAGCATTGGACAAATACCTAATGCATGCAGGTCTTAAAACCCAGATGATGGATTGACAGGTGCAGCAAACCACCATAGCGCATGTATACCTATGTAACAAACCTGCATGTTGAGCACATGTATCCCAGAACTTAAAGTAAAATAAATAAAAAAAAGAAATGATTAAATGTGGCAAAGACAAATAAAAGAAAGAAGGAATTAATAAAAATGAAACCAGACAACAATGAAACAGAAAACCAGCAAACAGAAAAATTAACAAAGCTGGGCTGGGTGTGGTGGCTCACACCTGTAATCCCAGCACTTTGGGAGGATGAAGAGGGACGATCATTTGAAGCAATTCTCCTGCTTCAGCCTTCCCAAGTAGCTGGGATTATAGGCATGCGCCACCATGCCCGGCTAATTTTGTATTTTTAGTAGAGACGGGGTTTCTCCATGTTGGTCAGGCTGGTCTCGAACTCCCGACCTCAGGTGATCTGCCCACCTTGGCCTCCCAAAGTGCTGGGATTACAGGGATGAGCCACCATGATGGGCCTAAAATGAAATTTTAATTGGCAAGAAGGCAGATGGTGAGAATTGTTGATCCAATAATAACATGAAGTCCATGAAAGCCTGTGGCTACAAAGAATGTTGAGCCATAGATTCCATCAGAGATAATAAAGGGGCCTCGAAATATTCTGAGACTTGTAGAAGAGTGAAATAGACTCCTAAGAGGATCGTGGTAAGTACTGCTTGAATTATTTGTTTTTGGTTACCTTCTATTAGGCTGTGATGGGCTCAAGTAATTGAAACTCCTGATGCAAGTAATACAGACGTATTTAGGAGAGATACTTCTAAAGGGTTCAGGGGAAGAATACCTGTTGGGGGTCAATGTCCTCCTAATTCTGGGGTCGGTGCTAAACTGGAGTGATAGAATGCCCAGAAAAAAACCAGCGAAGAAGAATACTTCTGAGGTAATAAATAGGAGCATCCCGTATCGGAGGTCTTTTAGGACAATTGTTGTGTGGTGGCCTTGGAATATACTTTCTCGGACAATATCACGTCATCACTGATGTATAGTCAGTGTGTTGGTTAGTAGGCCTAAAGTTAAAAGAGTGGTAGAATTAAAGTGAAATCATATGGCCAGGCCAGATGTTATTAGGAGAGCCGAGAGAGCTCCTGTTAGTGGTCAAGGGCTAGGTACAGCTATATGGTAGGCAAGTGTTTGGTGGGTCATTATGTATTATCATGCAAATAAAGACTTACTAATAGTGTGAAGACATAAGCTTGAATAAGAGCAACAGCAAACTCGAGAATAGTTAGTAGAATTAGAATAATAAGAGATACTGAAGTTGCGGAGACACTAATAATTGATAATATTAGCACTGCACTGCGACTGTGGTCGGCGATTATCCCACTTCCAGGGCCAATCAGGCTAACAAATTATTTCAAACCTATTACAACTCCCTACAATGCTTCAAGCCCCAAGGCCCCGGCATTGGAGGGCCTATAACTAAACACACCCCCCTTTTACAATAAGCCTCACTTTGCTTTTCAGCTTCTGAAGGAAATTTCCCTGTAGGATCCTTCACACCTAACCAATGCAACTGCACTATCATTATTAAACACCCCTCTAACCATCAGACTAACCAAGCTGATTACCAAGTTATCACCTGAAGCAAATGGAACGTTTCTGCATCTGGCTTGTTTTACAGCCTATCCCTTAACCAATGCCTCTGAACTAACTTGTGCTGTCCCTGGTTCCTACCTTTTTCCATGGCTCAATATCAATGATGCAACATCCGATCACATTAAACGTGTAAAAAACAACTCTTGCTATATCTCTACTATAGTGGATGTCTCCCTGGCCTCCTCCTTGTCCATCTGGAGTAAGGAACTGCAGGAAAGAAACAACATCCAATCTTTAACACACTTATTCTCTTTCCATATCTCTGCCTGTATTTACGATGAAGGCTTGTTCTTTTTGTGTGGCACCAACACATATCTTTGTCTCCCCACCAACCGGACCGGAACCTGTTCTCTAGTTTATCTTTCTCCTTCCATTGGACTAGCTCCTCCTAATCAACCTTTGTCTATCCCATCCATCCAATATGTTAGGAAAAGGAGAGCCATCCACATCATTCCTTAATGGCTGCCTTGGGTATAACCTCTGGACTTAGAGAGGGAGCAGGTGGATTAGCCACATACTTTAAGGTTCTTTCAACAGAACTACAGGGATCTCTAGAAGATATAGCCTGAAGCCTTGTAAGAGTCCAAGACCAACTAGACTCCTTAGCTGGTGCAGTCCTCCAGAACAGACAGAGACTAGATCTTATAATGGTTGAAAGAGAGGGCATCTGCCTCTAACTGGGTGAGGAAAGTTGTTTCTATCTCAACCAGTCGGGCGTAGTAAGAGATGCTGCCGAAAAACTTAAAGAAAGGGCTGAAAAGCTAAGGGAATACCAACACAACCAAATAGATTCTTAGTTTGGGAACAAAATCATAGCATGAGTCACCCCATTCCTGGGCCCTCTCCTAATGATATGCCTAGGACTAACTTTCTTACCCTGCCTAATTAATCTTTTCCAAAGATTTTTAACCAACAGGATCATGGCCATTTCACAGACAACTACCCAAAAACATCTACAGACGGCATTACTCCTACAGTCAATCTGAGACCAGAAAACTCTCCACACCCCCCTCAGCAGGAATTAGCCAGAAAGAACACACCATCCTCATCCTTTTATAACTATAGGATCTGGATTGACAGAGCAGGAGCATCGCCATTTTGGACATGCACCACCATTTTAAAGTTCCCCTTGATCAAAAGCCACCTAAATCCAACCCAAAGGGCATCAGCCTAATGGCTAATGGCAGCATGACCTTAAACCACAAATGATACCTCTGCCCAGAAACATTCCAACCCTGAGATAAACCCCTCTCCAACCAGAGACATACCAGCCCCAAGATAACCTCCCCTCTGACCGGAGAGATGCCAACCCCAAGATAACCTCCCCTCCAACCAGAGACATTCCAACCCCACAATAAACTTCTTCTCCACACAGAAACATTCAAGCCTTTCGCCCCAAACCCTTAAATACTCTTAGTCTGTAAGAGAGAGGGCTCCTGACTGAAATCAGCCAGAAGCCCTCTCAGGTTTATTCTCCAAAATAAACCTGTCTTTGACTGTTGAGCCACTTTTTGTGTTTCTTTCCTCTTTCTTTAACTCTTTTTTTTTTTTATGCATTTATGTTTTATATACACTTTATACATATAGCAGCCTGAAGGTAATTTTTTTTTTTCAGGTTGTTTTTTTTTTGTTTTTTTTTTGTTTTTTGTTTTTTTTTAATTATACTCTAAGTTTTAGGGTACATGTGCACATTGTGCAGGTTAGTTACATATGTATACATGTGCCATGCTGGTGCGCTGCACCCACTAATGTGTCATCTAGCATTAGGTATATCTCCCAATGCTATCCCTCCCCCCTCCCCCGACCCCACCACAGTCCCCAGAGTGTGATATTCCCCTTCCTGTGTCCATGTGATCTCATTGTTCAATTCCCACCTATGAGTGAGAATACGCGGTGTTTGGTTTTTTGTTCTTGCGATAGTTTACTGAGAATGATGGTTTCCAATTTCATCCAGGTCCCTACAAAGGATATGAACTCATCATTTTTTATGGCTGCATAACACTGTGTGTATCACTATTTGGATTAACATAAATGAGAAAGGAGAGATAGAGACCGTGAACTAGGTAAATGGATGTGCATCATTTGGTGGTAGTAAAAACACAATCTAAATTTACTCCGTGCTCAAGCTCATAAATTATGATTATTGACAACATTACAATTTAGGCTGTTTTTATTTTGTGGAACTTTGTAGATTAACTAAGATTTCATTAATATAGTATTTTATATTTACATGCAATGTAATCCTTTAGTAACCACAAAGTAGGTTGTTGAGAGGACCCATGATGTAATACATATAAAACACTTAGACCTATTTTATGGCATACATAGGCCTCAAATAATGTTATCTAAGGGTATGACTTATATAATCTGTACTTGGGACTCCAGTTTCAATGCCCAAACTCTGGGAACCAAGTGTGGCTTACACTGAACATCATTTTTGCTTAAACTTGTTAGTCTTATACATCTTTACACCAATTCTAAGCATTAAGCTTTTTCTTTATTTTCTTTCTTTCTTTTCCTTCTTTCTTTCTCTCTCTCTCTCTTTCTTTCTTTCTCTCTCTCTCTTTCTTTCTCTTTCTTCCTTCCTTCCTTCCTTCCTTCCTTCCTTCTCTCCTTAATTGTGGGAAAATATAAATAAACTAAAACTCATCATTTTCACCTTTTTAAGTGTACAGTTCAGTGGCATTAAATATATTCACACTATTGTACACAATAACCACCACAGATCTCCAGAACTTTTCCTCATCCCAAACTGGAACTCTGTAACCATAAACAACTCCTTATTCCCTCCTCCTCCCAGCCACTAGTGACCACCATTCTACTTTCTGTCTCTGTTTGATCACTCAAGGTGGTCTCATAAGGTAGAATCATACAATATCTGCCTTTTTTGTGACTGGCTTATTTCACTTCACATAATGTCTTTACATTTCATCTGAGTTATAGCATATTTTCAGAATTTCCTTCCTTTTTAAGACTGAATAATATTCCATTGTATGTTTATACCACATTTTGCTTTTCCAGGCATCCATTGATGGAGATTTGTTTGTTTGTTTGTTTCACCTTTTGGCTACCATTAACGTTTGTGCTATGAACATGGGTATACTAATGTATGTTCAAGTCTCTCCTTTCAGTTTTTTTGGGTATATGACCAGAAGTGGAATCATGGCATCATATGGTAATTGTATGTTTAAAGTTTTTGAGTTATGACTCTACCTTTTTCCACAACAGCTGCATCATTTTACATTCCCGCCAGCAAGGCACAAGGGTTCCAATTTCTCCACATCCACAGCAACACTTATATTCTCTTTTTTCCTTTTGAATAATAGCCATCCTAACGTGTGTATGCACAACTACACATAAAAAAAGTGGTGAATCTCGTAAAAGCAATATTTATCAAAGGAAAGAAACAAATCCAATACATTATTTTATTTATATAAAATTTAAGACCATACACACATTTTTAAAAAGTAAATAATTAGCACAAAATCAGAGTAATGTTTTCCTCCAAGGGAAAGATGGTAGGTAGAAGGTGCACACACAGGGCTTCTGGGAAGCTGGATAAGCTTTTTAGTCTGTGTCATTAATTATTTATTAAACTCTATATACATGTTTATGCAACTCTGTGCTTAAGTTATGTGTCAGTCTAAAAGAAACGCTACTATTAAATCCTCAATTATGAAAATCTTACTCTTCAATCATGAGCTGAAGAATAGCAATACAAGTTGTTGATTGCTCTTCTGGATAGAAATCCAGGATAAGAAATACAAATTGAATTTACTCTGAGAAATTTATCTTTCAAGACATATGAGGTATTTAAATTTAAGAGAGGTGAAGATCCTTTTTACTAATATAAATTTAAGATCCAATTCCCTTCAAAGATGTGGACTTTAGGGAAAAAATTAATTGTTGTTAAGAATTATGGTGATTCTGCTCCATAGCAACTTCATTAAAGGACCTAGTCTAAGTTCAAGATTAAAAGGTTATATGAGGCATATGTGTATGAGCAGGATAGAGAAAAATAGCAAAAATATCTTCTTTTGAACCATGGGACTCTTTGTGAAGAAGTTTTATGGTGGCAAAGCCTCAACAAGAACATCACCAGTGATGTTTTGTGGCAAGTTATATATATCAAAGTTAGTAAAGATTGGAAATTGAATGTGGTAGGCCTCTTGTGTATGACACAAAGCAAGACAATGAGGAAGAAGTAGGTATTTCATGGAAAAACAAAATACCCTGAGAAGAAAATAAAGAGAGAGGGGAAGTGAATTATTGGTATAGTGAGTTACAGAAAGTGGCAAAATAGAGAATTAAAAATAATAAATAAGGCTTTTGTATCCTGCAGCTCAGAAGGATATGTTTGGTCCAGATTTCACCCCTGCAGATAAGCATTGAAAAAGGCATGAATGTGAAAGTGTGGTTTTGAGTAGCTTAATCAAAATTGTTTTCTCTTGAATTTTACATTGACTAAAACAAATCTGGATCTAAGCAAATTGTTTTATATTGTGTTGTGAAATTGTCAAAGATAAAAACTCGTACACTTGTATAGAGCCCTTATCATGAATGGAGCTTGCAGGACTGGAAGTTGCTCTGGGTGAATCAGCGAGTGAGTGGTGAGTGAATGAAGGTCTAGGCCTTTATTGTACACCATTAAGTATTTCGTAAACACTGTACACAGCCTACACTAAATTACAGAAAAAAAGTCTTTCTTCAATGATGAATTAACCTTAGTTTAGTGTACCCTTTTTACTTTATAAACTTTCTGAATTATTATAAACTTTTTGACTCATGTAATAACACTTAGCTTAAAACACAAACACACTTAGAGTTATACAAATGTATTTTCTTTCTCTATATCTTTATTGTTTAAACTTTTTTCTAAACCTTTTACTTTTTATACTTTTTTTTTTCTAAACAGTTAAGGTTCAAACACACACGTTAGCTCAGGCCTACACAGGGTCAGGATCATCAATATCATTGTCTTGCACTTTCCCATTTTGTCCCATTGGAAGGCCTTTAGGGGCAATAACACAAACACACATGGAGCTGTCACTTCCTATGATAACGATGTTTTCTTCAGGAATACCTCCTTAGGGATCTACCTGAGGCTGTTTTATGGTTAATTTTCTTTTTATAAGGAAGAGTACACTCTAAAATAACAATAAAATGCACTTAGCTGGTGCAGTCCTCCGAAACAAAGACTAGATCTTATAATGGTTGAAAAAAGAGGGCGTCTATATAGTGTATAGTATAGTATATACATATACCAGTACCGTAGTCATTTGTTGTCATTATTGAGTATTGTGTACTGTACATAATTGTATTGCTATACTTTTATGTGACTGGCAGCACAGGAGATTTGTTTGCGCCAGCATCACCACAAACTTGTGAGTAATGCATTATGCTACAATGTTACAATGGCTATTATATAGGGATAGGAAATTTTCAGCTCCATTATAATCTCGTGATGACCAACTTATATATGTTCCTTCCTTGACTGAACTGTCGTTATGTGGTGCATGATTGTATTACACTGTGAGCTCTGGGTCCCATTAAAATTCTAGGAGAAGGTTGAATTTTTTGTTTTAGCAAGAACTAATCTCATCAAGTTTAGAATGCAAGCTGTATCTCGCTTTCTGTGCGCCGTAGTTCTAACGTCATTATAGTTTTCAAAGACTTTGCCATGCTGTTCGTGCCTGCCCTGTGCCTGGGCCTCTCAGCCACTAGTCTGGCACTAGGACTGTGATATTTGTATCATAGTTCAGCTCCTAATGGCTTTGATATGCTGGTGTGAAACTGTCCCCCTCGTGCGGCTTGGGGAGCCCAAGACCCTGAGAGTTATGATGGTTCATGTATAGAATTAGGGATCCCTTTCTCTCACTCTCTCCTCTGAGATTTTTCCCACACTCTCCAGGTCCCATAGGTCCCTCTTACCGGTTCCTCTGGCCAGAAAGGTTGGTTTCTCTCAAAGTATTGTCATGTGATTCTGCACAACTGGGGCTTCCCTTGAGGCAAAGTGGGAAGAGAAAATTGAGCAAAAATATAAAGGGAAATACCCCATATTCCTTAGGCCACAGGGTTCCTTTTCCCTAGTTCTTTTGGGATGTTTCTTTCAGAGTTTTTGATGGTTCCACCACAGCAGCCTTAGTACAGCTTCCTGATTCTGACCACACTCAGGGAAGAACTAGAAGTGAAAAAAGAAGTAAAGTTCCAAAAAAGGAATATTGCTCCACACACTCTCTGGAGACCCCCTTTGCAATCTGTACAGAAAGAGGAGGTGTCTCTTGGAGTTTCTTCTCTCTGCTCTCACTGCACACTACATGTCTGGAGTTACCTTCAAGTCAAAGCCAGGAGACAAAAGAGGAAAAACCCTAGGAACTCACTCCCTTACTATTATTTCTCCAAGTTCTGACTTCCCTCCCTAATATTCATGCTATTTTGTACTTTTCAAGGTCCACAGATAGCTGCCTTTTATATTCTGCCTGATGTTTCCCATTATAATTAGTGTAAGATACAGACTATAGTGGGCTTATTCCAACTTGGCCGTCACAGAAAGATCCTCTTCAGCTTTGTTGCTGAAGGATGTTTTTCTGATTTTAGAATTCTAGGTTTGTGTTAGGGGTAGAAGTTTTCTTAGCGTATTTTAAGGTTTCATTCCATTTTCCTCCAGATTCCAAAGTTTCTATTGAAAGTCAGCCTTAACCTTTTTTGTTCTTTTTTTCCAAAGACAAGACACTTTCGTCTCTGGCTGATTTAAACATTTTCTCTTTATCTTTGGTTTTGAGCAATTTATTATTTTTTTTTACATATGGTTTTATTTCACTAGTCTATGATTGAGGTTGATAAGTTTCTTGTATCTGTGTTTTGACATCGTTAATCAGTTTTGGAAAATTTTCTGCCATTATCTTTTTGTTTTCTCTGCTGCACTCTTTATCCTTTATTTTTATGTACAATTGTAAGTATATTTGACCATTAGATAATGCCTACATGTCTCTGATGCTGATATCTTTCTTCTTCATTTTATCTTGTGCTATGCTTCAGAGTAGATGCTTTCTATTAAACTGTCTTCAAGTTAACTATTACTGCATTTGCCTGTGACCAGTCTGCTGTTAAATTCACCCATTAAGTTTTAATTTTAGATGATGTACTCTGATTTCTTTTATTTAGATTCCGTATCTAAAAGATTCCACATTCATATTCTTTTTTAGATTGTAAATCTTTTTCTTTACTATATATTCCTTGATATTTATGACTATATGGTTAAATAGAGTTAATTTAAAGCTCTTTTGTGCTAAGTGATTAAGTCTAGAAAGAGCTTTGTGTCTCCCAAAAAATTGTTGGTGAGGCTGTTGGCATTCAGAGTATCATGGGATCAAATATATAAAAAGCTCACAACGTTTTTTATTCAGCTGTATTGGTAAAACTGCCACCAGTCTGGACTGAAAGAGACTGAGGTTGTTTAAAATGTAAAAGGGCAATGGATCTGCAACTCTCTATGTAAAAGAAACAGGCTGAGAAAGTTGTTCAAAGTGCCGATCATCCTATGTGCTCTTTAAAGGTGGCCAAGGAGGGAAACAGAAAAGGAAGTACTTTTCAAAGGGAAGAGCACAGAATTCTGAGGACAGGTAGACTAATGAGAAACTCCCAAGGAAAGGAGTCAGGGGCTAATCAAGGAATATTGTCCACCCCTAGAGGGGATGTGCAAGGCAGCATTTGTTCAGTGGAATTTCAGAATTGCCAGGGATCAGTGACTGTTCAGTCCCCCATTCTTTCCGTTTTTGAATGGGCATGTTTACTATCATTATCCTGACCCAGTTTCAGCACTGTGTATTGAGTGCTGATGGAAAGACAACTTTGTTTCTATTGTTGTGGCTTGTATGTCTTAGAATTAACGAAAGAGGAGGCCGGGCGCAGTGGCTCAGGCCTGTAATTCCAGCACTTTGGGAGGCTGAGGCAGGTGGATCATGAGGTCAGGAGATGGAGACCATCCTGGCTAACACGGTGAAACCGTGTGTCTCTACTAAAAATACAAAAAATAAGCCAGGTATGGTGGCACACGCCTGTAATCCCAGCTATTCAGGAGGCTGAGGCAGGAGAATCACTTGAACCCAGAAGGCAGAGGTTGTGGTGAGCCGAGGTGGCGCCACTGCACTCAGTCGACAGAGTGAGACTCCATCTCAAAACAAACAAAAAAAAAAAAAAAGAAAGAAAAAGAAAGAAAGAAAGAAAGAAAAAGAAAGAAAGAGAAAGAAAGAGGAAAGAAACACATGAAAAGGTGGCTCACCAGTCACGGCACACTTATTTTAGAGAAAACAAACCTGAGAGGCGCCTTCTGGCCGAGTTAGGTCAGAGGCACGCTCTCTTATAGACTAAGTTTTTTAAGGATTCAGAGTGGGAGAGTTTATCCAAGGCTTGGACTGCTTCTGTGTCTCTTTGTTGTGCTTATCTAGGAGGGAGAGTTGTGTGTCTGTTCCCATACATCTTTTTTGCAGCTGCAGGCATATCCCCAGAGTCTGCTTTTAGCTTCCCTATCTTAGTGCACCTGAAGGGAAAGGAATGTGCTTATTAAGGCCCACTGTTTTAGGGCCCATTGTATGAGGGTGAAGTTTGGCAGTTACCCAGGGGACCTTCCCCCCACCTTTCTCTGTGCCCAAACTCTCTTATCTGTGTTTTACTGTCTGCTCTTTCTGGCTATTTGTAGTTAGAAGAGAAGTGATTTCCTTGAAATGCATGAGGCTAGAAAGGGAGCTGGAATTTAAAGTGGCGGTGTTTGTCCGAGATGACAGGGCTCCAGCTCTATCAGTATGTTTCTGGATTAAGGAGAACTGCATTCTGACCTGCATCCTGATTGTGAGATTTTGAACTTGATGGCTGATGCCATGATTGCATGAGACTTCTGGTGATCCCAGATTAGGGGTAAGCATATTTTTCATATTGGAAGAATATGAAAAATTGTAGCAATAAAAGTGGACTGTAATAGATTATGATGATGATCCTAATTCATCATCCCTCCCTATATCCACGCCCTTTGCAATCTAACTTTACTATGCTCTCCCATTATGGATGGGTGACTTGAATTGCCTCTCAACATTAGGCCTAACCATGTGTTCCTCTACAGCCAAGGAGTTATTAGCAAATGTCACACACTCTGGGCCTTGAAATTGGCGTATGTATTGGAGCTAACATTTTGCTTGCTTCTGCATTGCCATAAGGACATTTCTAGGCAAGTCCACCGGCCCTAAGAAGAGGATGAGAGGCATGTGAAGAAGAGTCCACCTTGGATACATAAGTGAGCTTGGCCAAGGTTAGCAGTGCCACCTAGCTGACCCAGACATATAAGCATATTGTTATCTGCCACTGGTGATTTGTGTTGTTTGTAATGCAGCATTGTTGTGACAACAGATGACTAATATACTAACTAATGTACCTTTTAAAATGTTGTCTATGATCTGTTCCTAGACCACTAAAATATACGTCCCATGAGGACAGGAATAATTTTTTCTGCCTTATTTCTGTTGTATCTTTAGTACCTCCAACACTTTCTGGCACAAAGCAGTTTTCTCAAATATATATACACACACACATATATATATGTATATATATATATTTAAACAGAGTCTCATTCTGCTGCCCAGGCTGGAGTGCAGTGGTGCAATCTCATTTCACTGCAACCTCTGCCTCCCAGGTTCAAGTGATTCTCCTGCCTCAGCCTCCCAAGTAGCTGGGATTACAAGCATGCACCACAACACCTGGCTAATTTTTGTATTTTTAGTAGAGTCAGGGTTTCACCATGTTGGCCAGGCTGGTCTCGAACTCCTGACCTCAGGTGATCTGCCCGCCTCAGCCTCCCAAAGTGCTGGGATTATAGGTGTGAGCCACCATGCCCAGCCAAAAATATTTTTAATAAATAATGAATTTCAAATTTTAAAAACCTTCTTATGAAAAGACCTCTTGGAGAGTTTAATGTACATACATATTCCAGAGTTTGGACAATTCAGTAGATTGGTACCTGGGGTATGCTGAAGAATGCTGAAGTCCAAGAGTCAACTTAGCTACATGTTTTTGAAACAGAAAAAATTCCCTTGTTCCCCTTGCAGGGAGTGCGATGTGGCTCTCTTCTCCAGTGCCCGCTGCTCAGACCTCCAGGGGAGCATACAGATGGTCAGGCTGTGAGGCTCTGATCCCAGAGCAGTGTCTGGGGGTGAATGTTTACAGCTCCTGAAGCCCCAGTGGGTGTGTTCCTCTGCTGATGTGCTCTCTCTCAACGTCCAGCAGCTTCTGTCCCTGTCTTGCTAGGGTCTCAGGTTTTTATAGGCAGAGGATGGGGCATGGCAGGCCAGAGTGGTCTTGGGAAATGCAACATTTGGACAGGAAATGCCTGTTCTCACCTAGGTCCGTGGGGGTGGAGCCCTAGCCAGGGACCATACCCTCCTCTACCCAGCACTTCTGTTCCCTGCTTCCCTATCATTTAAAGGGACCACACTCTTGCCTTCCTAGCACTCACGTACCATTTTCAAGCAGAGAAAAGAACAAGTAGCTACACTAGGATTTGCCTGACTTCCAGAAGGAAAGAGATTCATCTTTCCTTGGCAATTGACATAGACCAAAAGTAAGGGAAAAGTCTGGGGTCTACTTGTCTTAGTATCTCAAGGCAGCCTCCAAGAGAAACAGATCATAGAAGAAAGAGGCTGCTAGTATTCCAGAGTGCCTAGTGACTGAGAATTCCATGAGAATGGAGATGCAGTAGCCCTCACCGGGCTCTGAACTAGGGGAGTGTGGATTCTCAAAGAATTCATGAAAATGTTCACAATGGAGTCTTCTTATGCATCTGTTTTCCCTAGAGCATTCAATTCAAGCACATGAAATATCAGGCAAGTAAAAACTGTCCTCTTCTGCTCTTCATGCCTCAACTCGCAGGGGTCTGAAACTATATCAGGTAGAAGAAATAGAAGCACAAGCTGTAGAAACAAAAGAAGCTAATTTTGCACCTTCACTGTTTGTGAGCTTCTCATCTGCAACACTCTTGAATAGGCAAGAGTGTGAGGCCTCCGTTTTGAATAAAATATAGAAATTTGACTATTGAATGGGACTAATTGAATACCTTTCTTTTTTTACTTAAACATTATCAGAGAGGTTATGAAGCCTTCCTGAATGCTCATTCAAGGTAAGGAATTGGCTAACCCCAAAGAACACATTGAAAAGAAAAAATGATGATAGGATTAAATTAAATATGTTTTATTACATTGCATCAGTTTAGATGTTCGATATATTCTTTTTTAATAAAGAAAAGTTTATTTGGCTAATGATTTTCAGGTTGTACAAGAAGCATGGCACCAGCATCTGCATCTGATGAGGACCTCAGGGTGCTTCCACTTGTGGCGGAAGAAGGGGAGCCAGCATGTGCAGATACCACACGGCGAGAGATGAAGGAAGAGAAAGAGGAGGAAGGTTCCAGGCTCTTTTTAACAATCAGACCTCACAGGAACTAATAGTGTGAGAAGATGTTTAACATATTCTAATAAGATATTCCTAATAAATTGCCATGAGATAACTGCTGTATTAGTCTGTTGTCACGCTTCTAATAAAGACATATCCAATACTGGGTAATTTATAAAGGAAAGAGTTTTAATAGACGCATAGTTCCACATGGCTGGGGAGGCCTCACAATCATGGTGGGAGGCAAAGGAGAAGCAAAAGCATGTCTTACATGACAGCAGGCAAGAGAGAGCTTGTTCAGGGGAACTCCCATTTACAAAACCATCAGATCTTGTGAGACTATTACAAGAACAGCATGGGAAAGTCCCACTCCCCTGATTCAATTACTTCTGACTGGAACCCTCCCAAGTCACGTGGGAATTATGGGAACTACAGTTCAAGATGAGATTTGGGTGCGGACACAGCCAAACCATATAAACTGCAGTTTATTTTTTAATTATGACTCATATCATAAAGAAAAAGGGTTGCTCCAATAATCTGTACCCCATTTCATATTCATAAGGAAAAGATTCTTTTATTGGCTAATTGTTCATGTTTAAATAAAAATCTTATAATTTTACAAGGTTTTGCCTTTTACACTTGATGCTGAAATCAAGAAGTCTTTTAAAAAATAATTTTCATTTAAACTTTGAGTACAGCTTTTCACTAGGATTGCCAACATGGTGAAACGAAGATTTCTCTTATTTAAAGAATATATTAAAGTGTTTATTATTAATTACTCTTTTAATGTAAAGATTTTTGTCTTTTATGGTAATTTGACTTGTTTTGGTTTGGTTTCCATTTGATACTGAGGATGAAGGGAAATTAGGGCAGAATTGCTTATTTACATTATTTCAAACTTCCAACCATGAAAGGAAAAGGTTTGGGATCTTGTTTGTAAAGCCATGTGTGTGTGTGTATGTGTGTGTGTGTATGTGTGTGTGTGTGTTTGAAAGGGGCTTATTTACACTGGGTTTTACTTTGGTATGGAGGTAACTCTTATCCAAGTGTGGTTGGTTCGAAGGACAAGTAGGGATGATAAGAGGCTGCTTGGCACTAAGGATTAGGTAGAGTTGGGGCTGAGTCATGGTTGTGTGGAAAGCTAGGATCATGGTTGGGGATGGAAGGAGGCTAAATCTGCTACACAATTTGAAACTAGGGCATGATAGTGTGGCAAGGAAGAGATAGAGCTTGAAATAGAAGTAGTTACTTATTTAGCTTGTGTATTAATTACTATATGATTAGTTCAGTGTCATCTGACTAAAATGGAGATTAATGTACTAATGATTAATTTATATGGGTTTTGTTTATATTATTATCTAATACAGGCTATGTAATAATCTAAGTTAGAGAGACAATGTTTTATGAGACAAATAAGGTTGCTGCTATCAAAGAAATCAAATAAATGAAGAATGATTATCATATAGTAATGAGTGCTCTCTGAGGAGAAAAACAAAAGTAATTGGGAGTGATTTGAGGGAACTTCTTTAGGTTGAGTGACTAGAAATTGTTACTCTAGAAATACTCTATTTGAAAAGAGACCTGAATGCTAAGAAAAAGCCAGCTATTCAAAATCTATAGCAAACGACTCCACACAGCAAGAACATAAGTGAAAACTGCTAATGAAGAAACAAATCTGCATGTTAGAGAAACAGATAGGGAGTTAGTGTACTGAAGTTTATTGAGCGGCAAAAGAATGTTATATTGTGGAATAAGTAAAACCATGGAGAAAAACACATTATAGAAGAGCTACTCGGATTGCCCTGTGATTTTCTGGAAACTTCCTGGCCACAGCCGACTGAAAGGGACATTGTGGTAATGCTGGCTTCTCTAGACTGAAACCAAAGCCTATGGCTTGAAAGATTAAAAAGAGATAATGAGCTTACCATTCATTAAAGAAAGCAAGCCATAAAAATAGCTTAAAATATGGAATAAGCGACAGGCATGTCAATTATTTCTCCTTGGCACTGGATTAACAAAAAGTTGTTGTTGTTGGTGGTGGTATATTAAGTAGAAAAGGTCTATTGGGCCTAAAAATTATTGACATGTACATTATCTATTCTGTAATGAGGCCATCCCTCCTAGTTTCCATTGCAGAGGATTGGATCTGGAAATTGTGTTACTAAGAAAAATGCAGGAGAAGGTTTGAGTGTCCCTATTCCCATATGTAGTGGATTGTCATGCAACATACCTCTCAACCTCTTCCGGTGCACTTCTCCTGTACTGCAAAAGGTGTACAACTGAAAAGAACATTTCCTGGATAGCATTTGATGTCATTTAGATTTAGCCAATCAGAGGCATTCTGGTAAATTTTGGACATGCTGAGGGTCTTTTTTTTTTTTTTTTTTTGACCTGAAAAGGCACCAGTGTAGGGGTGCCTTATTTTCTGTGTCAGAATTAGGAGAGATTTTCATGTCTGATAACTGACTTCATGGATATAAAGAGGCAGCATGCCTGTTACTGGTGCAGATTGTAGCAGGTGATCGTGGGGGCTTACTGAATGGAGGAGCTTCCCAAATATGGCTGTTCTGGGCAGCATGAGTTCCTGATTGTAGAAGAGGAGGTGGTTTCCTTGGTTGCCTGATTCAGTTCCTTCTATTGTCCTGATGATTCTCTAAGCTATATTAAGGTCTGTAATAAACTCCTTTCCACTCAAAATCAACTAAGGTAAATTTTGTTCTCTGTAGCTATTCAATACTCCATGTCTACCACTTGAACAGACAGAATAAAAAACCTCTTTGATGGCAACTCAACACCCTCTTCTGTAATAAATAAATAAATTGTGACTTGAACTCCTACTCTAGTTGGCACTATATGTAGGGATATGGATTCTGGGGTCGTGTCTGTTTTCAGTGATCATTTATTACCTTGATCAGAGGAAGTCCTCAGCATCTTTGCCCTCAAGGCCAAGACACGAAGACCCTCCTCCCAATTGCCCCTGAAATTGATCTTCTTCTTGGGAATTTTCGTTCAGCACACTGAGTCCCAATGGGTAACTGATTGCCTCTTTATTTTTTCATGGAGAACCAGAACAGAATGGAAGACTTGAGCAACATCAAAGAGTTAGCTATATTTGAAATCCATATAAAACTTACATTTTGAGTAATGAATAGGATACCATAGAGAACCCATCTCTTCTTGACATGTTTTCCCTGGTTCATAGAAATTAGATAGTAATTATTTTCTCTTGTTTCTGGCATTAAAAACCTAAGACAAAGTCTTAGAATAAGAACTTCAATATTGGCATATCTGGTGGGCTCAAAAACAAAACAAAAATGGCAGCTATAACATCTACTAGGTGTTTATTGTATGTCCCTTCCAATGCAGTACAGACAGAAAAAGAAGAAGCTATAAAGTTTGAAGAGAAAGAAAAGCTATCATTTTTAGCAGATGTTATAACTATGTACAAAGGAAATACACAAAATAATTTCAAAGGTAGACTATGCAATTGATAAGAGTGTGTAGCGAGATTGTTGATTTGAAGGTCTTGTATGATAAAGCATTGTATTTCTGTAGAAAATACAATATTGAAGATTTTTAAAATACCATTTAAACAACATCATTTCATATTCATAAAAGGGAAATGTGGAAAACACAAAAGTTAATACTGAATAATAATGGTGGAATTCTGCCTTATGAAAATATTACCACCACTACCACCATATATGTGTCAATGGACAAAAATAGCCAAGAAAATTTTGCAAAGGAAAATCAAGAATGAGGAAGAGGACACCCTAGATATCAAAGTATATTATAAAATAATAATGTGTGATATTGGCACAGGAGTACCAAAACATTCCCAAGAAAGGACGAAAGATTTGAGAGACAGGTGAATTCCTGAAGAAAAAGTCATCATGTAGTCAACCAGCAAATATTTATTAAGCACCTACTGTATACCAGGCAGTGTTCTAGGTACTTAGAATATTGTTGAACAAAATAGACAAGGTCTCTCTTTTGATTTTATACTCTAAATAAATAGATGAATAAATGATAATGATAGATAATAATTATAGATCAATAGATTGACAGAGACCAGAAAAATAAGAGATTATATGTTTATATTATGATCAATTAAGTGAAAACAAAATGACCAGGTAGAATAGACAATTTCATTGAATTGATTTGTTGGTTTAACTGGCATATTTCATTTCTTCAGTAAACAAGCTGATGCCCGTGACATGCCAACAGCTCACAGCTGTTTTTTGGCCTTCCTGTATATTTCTGCTTCCATTAGTTGAGTTTAATGTTTGCCAAAAGTTGCTGGCGTTTGCTCACAAATCTGTTCATCTCTATTGACTTGTTATTGTAATTATATATTTAAATAAAGTAAATATTTCATTATGAATTAAGAATTAATTTTAAAAGGGAAAATTTAAGTTCTTAAACCATTAAATGCTTTGGAAATAATAAAGATAAGTTGTCTAATAAAATATTATTAAATTGGATATAGGTAAAATAACTTTTAAAATGGAGAAAATGAGGTGAAAATCTAAAGGGTTTCTAAATTCAGAATTCTTTGTAATGTTTCACTCTAAATTCTCATAAACTTTTTAAAAAACTAAAATTTGATACAATAGAAAGTTTGTTATGGGTGTTGTTTAGCCATTTAAGATAACCTAAAACTCTAAACAACAGACACATTCTCCAAGTGAAGGTTTGGTTCTATGTCAACATACTGCCAAACAAATATACATGTATACATGTATTTACTTAAGTTAAAATAAAATGTTTACCACATTATATATTTACAAATCATTCTAATTATTCTCAACTGCAATTGACTTTTAAAAATAATTGTTCAACTACCAGGTCTTACAATTGAATATATGGCTTTCACAAATGTGATAACTGATATGAAGAAAATTAATATTTAACTAAGAATAACTGAGTGGCAACTCCAAATTTGGTCATCAGGAAAATCTTTTCTTAGGTTATATTTAAGCTGAAACAAAAATAACATAAAGGAGCTAGAAATAAGACAATGTACATGTAACAATCAGGAAAAGAAATATTCCAGGCAGAAGGAACCATCCTAACATAGACTAAACCTGAAATGTTAAAAAAAACAGAAATGAAGTCAGTGGCAGAGATGGCTGGATTTCCACCAAAATTTGTGCACTCCTCCTCCTGCTGCTTAGTGATATTGCTCAGAAATGGCAGTCCAAGTAAGGACTCCACTTTCACGCTTTTTCATCTAGGTGGGGTCACATCACTAGTTCTCACCATGAAATGTGACTGAAAGTGAAGTGTGTCGCTGGCACACCAAGGAATTAAGTAATAAGTGTGCCTTCTCCACCCTCTCTCTTTTGCCTTTCATCATTGGAAGCAGAGAGCAGAAAGTCCAGTAAAAGAGCAGAATCACAGCATGTGAAGGGCCTGAGTTCCTGAGTCACTGTGTGGAGAAAAACATCTAGACTATTAACAATCTGGCAATGGACTGTTATGTGAATAAGAAGAGAATGTCTATTTAGCTAGTCCCCTGAAATTTTTATCTTTATTCCGTATAGCAGCTGGTGTTACCCAAACTAATAAAATGAGATAGTTAAAAGGTAGACAGTGAACTCAGTAGTATGGGCAAAGAGCAGATCACAGAAGATTTTATTAGCCAGGCAGAAGATTTGATTAGCCAGGTAAGAAATCTAGGTTTAATTCTAGATGCTATAAGAAAACATGTGAGGTGTTTAATCATGATACAGATGTGGTATAGATTAAGTTGTATAAACATTTCTAGCAGTTGTGTGGAAAATGAATTGTAGGAATCAAGAAGGAAGTAGGGCGATGGGGTAGGCGGCTATTTCAACAATTCAGGAGGAATACGGCAGTATGTTAAAGTCAAGTGGCTACAAAGAAGATGAATAAAATGGACTAAGCTGAGAAATATTTTATCATTTAATTGATAGAATTCACCAACTGGCTGAATGTGGAAGTTGAGAATGTGACAAATCAAGGATAATTCCTCCTTCCCCTGATGCCTTTCTGTTATTTCTTTTATTAAATAAAACCAGTGATGTAAACTAAAAAGTGTGGAAGAAGCTAAAGGCAAGATACTCCCACACATCTGAAGTCATAGATAGGTAGGATCTAGTATTTCATAACTGTCCAATCTGATTATTTAAACCTTAAATAGGGGCAGGACTCCAAGAGCTAAGCTGCTATTGACTCCTCACTAGAAAACCTTAATAACAGAGCATCTTGGGGATCTATACCTGAAAACGTTCATAACAAAAGAGACTCACATGGACATGACAAATCTCAAATAATATTGATATCTGCCCTAATTTTGCCAACCATATTTTCCTTGATGACTCCCTCCAAAATAGACAGTAGTAGCAGACACATGTTGGGGACTGTGTGTGAGGAGTGCCCTGTTACATAACTCCAGCTGCTTTTGCATTTGGGTCCTAGTGACTCGTTCTTTCTCCATAAGAGATTACATCCCCATGAAACAGCAGCGGGCAACAGATTTCACCTAGCGTTTCAATATCTCATCACATTGGGCAGAAGTGATCGTTGATTATGGTTTCATTGTGGTTATGTTATTATTTCCACCTGTATTGAAGGTAGATTTATCTATTATTTCATCATAGTTTGTAGGACAAATAAGAGTCATGTTCAAAGCAGTTAAGGAGAAATTCATATCACCAGAGTTCCTGGAGTTGGAGGTTTTTATAATTTGGGATTTTCTCATTTTAGAATGGGACAAATGAAGCTTCAGTTGTATAAGAACTACATATATTATACTAAAAGGGAGCATCTTCTGAATTTTTTAATGTGAAAAGGAACAGAGAGAAACAGAGAGAGAGAGAAAGAGGGAGAGAGACTTCATATATAAGAGCCTTGTATAATAGATTATGATAGTTATTATTTTTATTGCCACTACTATTATGACCTATCCAGCCTTGGTCTTTTTCCATCTTTGTTTAGGAAAAAGAAAATCTGTATTCCTGACACAGAAGTGGGTTCAAATCTAAGGCCTGGTTAATCAGAGTCCCACATCCCATGGCTAAAGTGATTGGTTGAGAAACTGGAATGCCACTCAAGCTAAGCTTTCGTCAGATTATCAAAATGGAGCTGACATGTTTGATCTGTTGCTATTCAGATGATGAGCTGAAAATATGAGATGTCCATCTTCATAGCCATGTAGGAAATGTTTGACTTCCATAGGAGAAAATAAGGGTAATCAATAGGAAAAAAGCCGAACTCAAAGAGACCTACACAGAGAACACAAGCAAGAGACAAAGAAATACATACACACAAAGAGAAACAGAGACTGAAAGATGCAGGGAAATAAACAACATAAACATAAAATATAGACAAAGAAAAAGACAATGGACAGATGGAATGACAGAGAAAAAATGGCAGTGAGGCACACAGGCCAGTAGAGAGATGGAAGGGGGGAAAAGAGGTGGACAGAGAGACAACCCAAGAGGCAGATAATAAATTATATATACACACACATACATATATATATACACACACACATATATATGTAAGAGAGAGTCACAGAGAGAAAAAGAAACAGCGATTCAGAGAAATGGATATAAGGGAAAATGCAAATCGAAGAAAGAAAAGCTATCAAATATATTAATGGGGAGGAGGTCTTTCAGACAGAGATAGAAAAGAGATTTGAAGAGAAAGGAAGAGACAAACAGTCAGAGAGAAATATAGAGTAGAATGAAACAGAAGTGCACTGACAGAAGGGAATGAGGGCAGAAGGGGGAGAGAAGGGTCAGAGAGAGAGAGGGAGGGAAATGAAAGAGAAGAGAGAAAAAGGTCCCATTTGTGTCCAGTATCTAAGCATTTTTCAGAAGCTAAATTCACCTAGAAACTTTGATTGCATGAGCCCCAAAATTAATTTTTCCCCTTAAGATGGTCTAATAGAGTTTCCATTATAAGCTACCAAAATACTACTTTCTAATAAAACCTCCATTGGTAATTATACAATTGGGTAGGTTGGATGGAATCAACAATCATTGTCTTTTGCCCTGAAGAACACGGTGTACTCACCAGAAGATATCTGTGGTGCCGTTTGGTTAAGTTATGGCATTAGGTACCATGACTGGTGCAAAACAATTCTACTTGCACAAATAAGTGAAACTAATCAGACTATTGCAGAAGCCAGGAAAGACTGCTGCACACAATCCCAACTTCCAAGCCCCACTGTTGATGAAAAATTAAATTTATTTCATATCTCATTTCACATTCTTATGTAGCACCTGACTTAGACCAAGTATGGGGACTCATGATTTTTGAGTGTCCTTCCCTGGACATTGTCTTCTTTGGGGGTCATAACTGAACTAAAGTTCTAGAATCTGATCCCTTTCTTAGCTCAATGTTTCCCACCAACACCACTACCCTACTCAATCAGAATTAGAAACACAAGTGACTCACAAATCTATTTAATTTTGAAAAACTAATTATTGAATTATAAGAAGTTTGACATTTAGTTCATGATCAGTCTTCAGAAACAGAAGAAGGTAGTAAAAGCTTATGAAAGTACTTATGGTCCAAACAGGGACAGCAGACAGCAGAGAGCAGAGCTCTCATTATCATGGTAGTGAGCAAACATTTAGGAAATTTCTTGCAGGCAGGAATTTAGGAAAGACAAGAACAAGCAACAACCTGGCAGCCACTTCTCAGTCACCATGGGAGTCATGTCCTGATGGGTGACACAGCTGGCAGAAATGGCTTGCTCACAGGCCTGACAGAAGAGGAGCTGGGAATTACAGACAAGAGTAAAGCCAAGACAAGACAAGAAAGAGGTGACAGATCCCAGAAAGAAAAATGTTTGCAGTCAATGCGTGAGCCCTCTAGGAGACAGAAGAAACAATCACATGTCACACCAACCCCTGAAGAAACACAGTCCCTCCCTCCCTTGGGGCCTCTCTGCAGTTGTCAGGACACTAAGGTTGAGCTTATGTCAACACCTGCTCCTCGTTACCTTTCCTGGTAACTGAGTAGAGATGGCAACAGGAATGCCTCATTTTATTGTGCTATGCTTTGTTGTGCTTCTCAAATATTGTGGTTTTTTAAAAATTGAAGGGTTGCACCAAGCAAGTCTATCAGCACCATTTCACCAACAGCATGTCCTCACTTTGTGTCTCTGTGTTATATGTTCGTAATTCTTGTAATATTTCACGTTTTCATTACTATTACATGCCGATCTGTGATCAGTGACGTTTGATGTTACTGTTGTAATTGTTTTGGGGCACCATGAACTGAACCCATATAAGACAATCAACTTTATTGTCAGATGTTGTGTATGTTCAGACTGCTCCACTGACCAGCCATCCTCCCTCTCTTTCGCCCTCTCCTCAGGCCTCCCTATTCCCTAAGAACACAAGAACATTAAAATTGGGCCAGTTAGTAACCCTACAATGGCCTCTAAGTAAAGTCACTTGTCTCTCACTTTAAATCAAAAGCTAGACATGATTAAGCTTAGTGAAGAAGACAGGTCAAAAGCCAAGATGGGCTAAAATCTAGGTCTCTTGCTTTCAACAATTAGTCAAGTTGTGAAAGCAAAGGAAAAGGTCTTGAAGGAAAGAAATTAAAACTGCTACTCAAGTGAACATACAAATGATAAGAAAGTAAAACAGTCTTATTGCTGATGTGGAAAAAGTTTGAGTGATCTGGATCGATCAAACCAGCCACAACATTCCCTTAAGCCAAAGTCTAATCCAGAGAAAGGCCCTCATTCTCTTTAGTTCTATGAAGGCTGAGAGATGTGAGGAAGCTGCCGGAAAAAAGTCTGAATCTAGCAGAGGTTGATTCATGAGGCTTAAGGAAAAAAGCCACCTTCATAATACCAAAGTACAAGATGATGTAGCAAGTGGTGATATAGAAGCTGTAGCAATTTATCCAGAAGATCTAGCTAAGATCACTGATGAAGGTGGCTATATTAAATCATAGATTTTCAATAGAGATGAAACAGCCTTCTATTGGAAGAAGGTGTCTTCTAGGATTTTCAGAGTTAGAGAGAAGTCAATGCTGGCTTCAAAACTTCAAAGATCAGGCTGACTCTCTTGCTAGGGACTAATGCAGCAGGTGGCTTTAAATTGAAGCCAGTGCTCATTTACCATTTCAAAAATACTAGGGCCCTTAAGAATTATGCTAAATCTACTCCGCCTGTGCTCTATAAATGAAACAACGAAGCCTGATAACAGCACACCTGTTTAAAATATAGTTGGCTGAATATTTTAAGCCTATGTTGGGACCCATTGCCCAGACAAAGACATTCCTCTCAAAATACTACTACTCATTGACAAGGTACCTAGTCATCCAAGAGCTCTGATGAAGATGTACAAGGAGATGAGTGTTGTTTTCATGCCTGCTAATGCAACATCCATTCTGCAACTCATGGATCAAGGGGTAATTTTAACTTTCAAGTCGTGTTATTTAATATATTACATAAGGCTATTGCTGTCAGAGACAGTGATTCCTCTGATGGATCTGGGGAAAGCAAATTGAAAACCTTCTGAAAAGCCTTCACCATTCTAGTTGTCATTGGGAACATTCATGATTCATGGGAGAAGGTCGAAATATCAACATTAACAGGAGATTGGGAGAAGCTGATTCCAGCCCTCATGGATGACTTTGAGACGTTTAAGACTTCAGTGGAGGAAGGAACTATAGATGTCATGGAAATAGCAAGAGAACTCGAATTAGAAGTGGAACCGGAAGATGTAGCTAAATTGTTGCAATCTTATGATAAAACTTGAATGGATGAGGAACTGCTGCTTGTGGATGAGCAAAGAAAGTGGTTTCTTGAGAGGGAATCTACCCCTGGTGAGATGCTATGAATGTTGTTGAAGTGGCAACAAAGGATTTAGAATATTACATAACTTAGTTGAGAAAGCAGCAGCAGGGTTTGAGAGGATTGACTACAATTTTGAAAGAAGGTCTACTGTGGGTAAAATGCTACCAAACATCATCACATGCTACAAAAAAATATGTCATGAAAGGAAGAGTCAATCTATGCAGCAAACTTCATTGTTCTTTCATTTTAAGAAATTATCACAGCCACATCAAACTGCAGCAGCAGCCATCAACATCAAGGAAAGAACCTTCTATCAGCAAAAAGATTATAACTCACTAAAGGCTCAGAGGATTGTTAGTATTTTTAGCCATAAAATATTTTAATTAAGGTATGCACTTTTTTAGACATAAGGCCATTTCACACTTAATAGACTACTATATATTGTAAACATGACTTTTATATGCACTGGGAAACCAAAAGATACGTTTGACTTTCTTGCAGTGCTGTCTGGAACCAAAATCACAATACATCTGAAGTGCACTTTACTCTGTTAAAGTGAACACAAAACATCAGCTTGAAGGGGCCTGTGGAAGGCAGAAGAGGATGTCGAAATGCTTTGGTGATGCACAGGTCGTGGACTAACTGGAATGGTAACAACTGTAATTCCCTCTCATCTCACCTATCACCAAGTTCAGCAGCACTCTCTGCAATTTGGGGATTTGGGGGCATCATCCAAGCCTCACTGACTGACTGATACCACAGGTTGGGTCTTATTCTGAGGAATAATCCCTGAAGTTTAGAGCAGAGACTTTTCAGAACATTCCAGAATTTTTCCAGAATTTTTTCCAGAATATTCCAGAATTTTGTTTCATGCCACATTCATTCAGGAACAGCAAAATAACTGAAGCATGTTCAGGTGTCCAGAAAAACACACTCAACTCTTTTTTCCACCTTATGTGTGTCATATTTCTGGGCAAGGAGAGCAGGGATCTTACCTGTGAGTGGAGCCCTGTCTATTTAAGAATAACCCTCCACCACTCCCTTCTGTAATGATGCAGACATGACCCAGGCCAGGGAGCTCTCAATGCTCCTAATTTCTGTGATCTATTCCCATCCCCACCTTAGCTGCCTTTCCATTACAGAGTCAGACAGGACGAATTACAACAAAAAGCCTCAGTCCCAGCACCAGTCTCTCCATCTTCTTCAAAGGTGCCTTACCTTTCTTATTCCAAAAATGGCTGGGCCACAAGGCCCAAACCAAGAGAGATCAGCCCCAGCACAAGACCCCAAAGGCCACTCAGCATCTTGCTCTGGGCAGATTCAGACAGTGTCCCTGGGAAGTGAAAGCCTGTGTGTCAGAGCCTGTCCCCACACCCCACAGTGTCCTCATCTGGAAGCCTGGAGTCCTATCCAGGATGTAAGAGACAGAGGTAGTCTGTCACCAAGCAAAGGAGATGACAGGCAGGCAAAGACCCCAAGGGGCAGCATGGATGGATGAGGAGGAGGGGAAAAAGGAGATGACAACTCCTCAAGGATATGTCCTTCTATAACCCCACAGACCATCTCCAAGACATCAGCCCTAAGGTCAAAACCTAGAACTATAACACCTCAGAAGGCACACCGACAAGGCTGACCTATAGTCTGGGAGTCAGGTGATGCAAAGGGGCCACCATAATAAACTGGGAGAAAAGGAGGTCAGTTCTCAGAAAGTGCATTTTGACTTGAGACAATGGGATCTCAGTCTTCCATGACTACTAGTCCAGAAATTATATCGGGATACAGTTGTGTAGGAGAGAAGGTATGAAAATATATAACAAGCAGAGGTTAGTAGTGACCTCACCCCCACAAGACCCAGAACTCCCCCACCCTTCCTTTTTTCCATTGAATTTATGATATCAATAAAGTGCTCCTTACATCATTCTACTGTGATGGGGCTCTGGAGGCTGGGGTGCTCCAGATGGTAGGTGTAGACATCTCCATGCTCGGGTATTATTTCTAGCATTACAAGAATCTGGTAGGTCTAATCCCTATTCTGAATAGGTGTGGATACAACTCCAGCAGTCTGCTCCTGTTTTTTCTGGAACCATCTGAGTTTCACTTGGCAAGGAAAGAAATTTGTCACCAAACAGACCAGCAAATTGTGATGGCTGACCTCTGTCTTAGCTGGGGAGATGGTCACTGCAGGCTCCACTAGGAGGAATGACAACAGGAAAAGAAACTTAGAGGGTAAGGCAGCAAAGAAATCCTCAACATGGGCTCACATCCCTCCTTTGATACTAAAGTGGAAAAGATAGCAGATATTAACTAGTCTTCTACTCCAATCCCAGATCTAGGTTTTAATTAGCTAACTTGTTAGCCTACTCTTTAGAAAAGCAATACTTTTATTCAGTGGTCACTTGTTTATTAAACCAGATCATTCATGTGAAAGCTCTTTGTAACATAGACTGATAATATTTCAAATACTCGTATATACATATATGTGTAGGTATATGTACTTGCCTTCTTATGTCTGGTAAAAATAATAATTAAAAAAGATCTGACAATGTGTAACTATGTGTGATTTCTTACAAAACAAAGATCTTCATGTTTAAGTAAATCTTTAGCTCCATTATTCACAGGTTTTAGGGAAAACTGGCTAGCCATATGCAGAAAACTGAAACTGGACCCCTTCCTTACACCTCATACAAAAAAATTTTGACTTTTCTATTTCTCCTTTCATTTCTATCTGCTTTTGTCTCATGTATTTCGATGCTCTGTTGTTAGGTGCATACACACTTAAGATTGTTATGTGTCTTTGGAGAAATAACCCCTTATCATTAAATAATATCCCTCTTTATCCCTGGTAATATTCCTTGTTCTGACATCTACTTTGTCTAGTATTGACATAATTATCTCATTGTGGTTTTGATTTGCATTTCTCTAATGACCAGTGATGATGAGCTTTTTTTCATATGTTTGTTAGCCACATAAATGTCTTCCTTTTGAGAAGTGTCTGTTCATATATTTTCACCACTGTTTGATGGGGTTGTTTTTTTTCTTGTAAATTTGTTTAAATTCCTTGTAGATTCTGGATATTAGCCCTTTGTCAAATTGATAGATTGCAAAATTTTTCTCCCATTCTGTAGGTTGTCTATTCACTCTGATGATAGTTTCTTTTGCTGTGCAGAAGCTCTTTAGTCTAATTAGATCCCATTTGTCAATTTTGGCATCTGTTGCCATTGTTTTTGATGTTTTAAAGTCTTTGCCCATGCCTATATCCTGACTGGTATTGCCTAGGTTTTCTTCTAGGGTTTTTATGGTTTTAGGTTTTATGTGTAAGTCTTTAATCCATCTTGAGTTAATTTTTGGATGAGGAGGAGGAGAAAAAGGGGCAGCAACTCCTCAGGAGTATGTCTTTTTATAACCCCACAGACCACCTCCAAGACATCAGCCCTAAGGTCAAAGCCCAGAACTTCAACACATCAGAAGGCACACCAACAAGTCTGACCTGCAGCCTGGGAGTCAGGTGATGCAAAGGGGTCACCATAAAAACCTGGGAGAAAAGGAGGTCAGTTCTCAGTATGTCCTTTTGACTTAAGAAAGTGGTCCAATTTCAGTTTCTGCATATGGCTAGCCAGTTTTCCCAACACCATTTATTAAATAGGGAATCCTTTCCCCATTGCTTGTTTTTGTCAGGTTTGTCAAAGATCAGATGGTTGTAGATGTGTGGTGTTACTTCTGGGGCCTCTGTTATGTTCCATTGGTCTATATATCTGTTTTGGTGCCAGTACCATGCTGCTTTGGTTATTGCAGCCTTCTAATATAGTTCAAAGTCAGATAACGTGATGCCTCCAGATTTGCTATTTTTGCTTAGGATTGTCTTGGCTATACGGGCTCTTTTTTGGTTCCATGTGAAATTTAAAGTAGTTTTTTCTAATTCTGTGAAGAAAGTCAATGGTAGCTTGATGAGGATAGCATTGAATCTGTAAATTACTTTGGCCAGTGTGGCCATTATCACAATACTGATTTTTCCTATCCATGAGCATAGAATATTTTTCCATTTGTTTGTGTCCTCTCTTATTTCCTTGAGCAGTGGTTTGTAGTTCCCCTTGAAGAGGTCCTTCACATCCCTTGTAAGTTGTATTCCTAGGTATTTTATTCTCTTTGTAGCAATTATGAATGGGTGTTCACTCATGATTTTGTTCTTTGTTTGTCTGTTATTGGTATATAAGAATGCTTGTGCTTTTTGCACATTGATTTTGTATTCTGAGACTTTGCTGAAATTGCTTGTCAGCTTAAGGAGATTTTGGGCTGAGATGATGGGGTTTTTTAAATATACAATCTCTTGCCAGTCAGAATGGTGATCATTAAAAAGTCAGGAAACAACAGATGCTGGAGAGGATGTGGAGAAGTAGGAACGCTGTACACTGTTGGTGGGGGTGTAAATTAGTCCAACCATTGTGGAAGACAGTGTGGCGATTCTTCAAGGATATAGAACCAGAAATATCATTTGACCCAGCAATTCCATTTTGGTCATATACCCAAAGGATTATAAATCATTCTACTATAAAGATACATGCACATGTATGTTTATTGCAGCACTGTTCACAATAGAAAAGACTTGGAACCAACCCGAATGCCCATCAATGATAGATTGGATTAAGAAAATGTGGCACATATACACCATGGAATACTATGCAGCCATAAAAGAGAATAAGTTCATGTCCTTTGCAGGGAAATGAATGAAGCTGGAAATGATCATTCTCAGCAAACTAACACAGGAACAGAAAACCAAACACCATATGTTCTCACTCATAAGTGGGAGTTGAACAATGAGAACACATGGACACAGGGAGGAGAACATCAAGAAAAAAACACAGAATATTATAACACTGCAACTGTGGTGTGTAAACTACTCTTATTCTAAGTAGTAAGACTACGTGATGAACCAATAAAAAATAATAACTACAACAAGTTTTCAAGACATAGTACAATAAGATATAAATAGAAAAAACAAAAAGTTAAAAAGTGGGGAGATGAAGTTAAGGCAAGTTTTTATTAATTTTCTTTTGATTTTGTTTGCATGGTATACAGTTTCATTCATTTTACTTTTAATGTAGGTATGCCTTTATATTTAAAATGGGTTTCTTGTAGACAGATTATAGTTCAATTGTGCCATTTTTACTGTCTGATCTTCTTTATCATTTAATTGGTGTGTCTAGGCCAATTATATCTATGAAATTATCAACATGGTTGGATTATTTTTGCTAGATATTTTTTATTAATTCTATTAAACGTTTGTTCATTTTCAAAATTGTTTTTCTGCCTTCTTTTGGATTAGTTTTTGCCCTAGGATTTTACATTTATGTATAATATACTTTCAAATATACCTTAGCTCAGTATGCTCCAAATTTCTCTCTCTCTCATTCATTGTGCAATTGTTATCATATACTTTTTTATATTCCATAAACACACAATATATTGCTACTAATTTTGCTCTAGACCCTCTGTTACCTATAAGGTAACCTTTCAAAGACAATTCCGTTTGTTATTTAATATCATCCCCACCAATTCTTTGTCAGTAACAACTCCTATATGAATGAACTAGTTGCTTTAAACAGCTCTCTTAAATAAACTACACAATAACAAAAAAATAGTATGGGGAAAATACTGCTCCCTAATAGTCTTCTGTGGGAAAACACGCAAAATTACTCCCATGTGCAGATCTGCTTTCACCATAGCCCCAGGTTACTCTTCAGCTAAACAGAATAGGTTATTTGATAAAGACTTTGTGCAGAGACTATAGTATGTAATCAATAAATACTTGTTGAGTTGAAGTGAAATTCTTAATTCATCTGAATCAGGTTGTAGAACTGACTACTGGGAAACAGATAATATTCCTCACGCCTAATAGTGATTGATTCTTTTCCTAGGAGCTCTCCAATCCTAATGTACATATTGTGAACGTTCTTTGAATAGATCTTTTCATTTATTTATTTTTAGAGACGGGGTCTTGCTACTGAGACAGCCAGGTGGGAAGGGGTCCCCAGATAAATTCCAGCCAGCCTGAGCACTGGGAGGAGTGCAAACTGGGACGGAGCCACAGAAGTTTGCACCATTTGCGGCAGGGAGGAGACTGACCCCTCTTCTTTGGGTGGAACGTGGAATTCAATCTGTGAGGTGGGAAGCCCACTGGCAGAAAAAAATGCATTCTCTCACTTTGCTAAGAGCCTCTGTTTCCCCTTTTCTTCCTTTTCACCCAATACTCAACCTTCAAGTTGTCCTACTCACCCTTCAAGTTGTCTGTGAACGTAATTTCTTGTGGCTGTGTGGCAAGGACGCTGTCATTAGCTGAACTAAGGAAAAGTCCTGTAACACTATGTTTCCCAGGCTGGCCTCAAACTCCTTGGCTCAAGTGATCTTCCTACCTCAGTCACCTGAATTGCTGGGAGTATAGGCACACACCTCCACAGTCAGCTGTACAGTTATTTTTACTTAGCATTAGTGATTTTAAAATGACAAATAATTTTAAATGGAAACTTTAAAAGCAAGTGTTTATATGAAATTATTCATATGTATTTACCAAAGGTCATCATGTATATGTAAAGCATTTTACCTAGAAATTTTAAGTTGTGATTTTGCCAGAACATTAAAAACAGAAATAATAACACAAGAATAATTCAAATGTTTTAATAACTGACAACTTTAGGGAAAAATGAATCCAGATATGTGTGATGTTTGGGGATTTTGAAAAATACCTCAAACAAAAGAAATATTTTATAAATTATTTACAATGATACAAGTTGAGTAAAAATTATTCTTGCTATAGTATTTCTCTAAAAGTATCCCATTGACTAAAGAAGATTGGCAAGGACAATCTTGCACCTGAGAGATGGTGGAGCTTGAAAGGCTTACAATGGGCACTAAAGAGAGAAGATGGGGGCAGGGGAATGCTTCCACTCTCATTTGTCCTCCTCTCCGCGCCTATGCACTTGAGATAGTCATGCATTCATTATTATCTTTGAGTCGTGGGAATATTGGTGTCCATGGGATTTTTGCACCATAAGAAATGTAAAAGGAAGACCTTCACACGGTAGCCATATGATATCACATAGAAACCTGGATCTATACAAAGAAATAAACGCTGGAAATGAAACATTTTTTCACATTTAAAAAATGGTCTAAAATGAGGCTTCTCAACCTCAGAACTGTTGGCATTTTGTTTCAGGTGATTATTTTCTTGTAGGAGGCTACCATGTGCATTGCAGGATGTGTAACAGCACCCCTGGCCTCTACCCAATACCTGCCAGTAGCACCCTCCCCAGTAATGACAACAAAAGTATCTCCAGACATTGTCAAACATCACTTGCAGGAATTTTCTATTGGCCCCATTTTAGAATGTCTGTCTTACAGAATCATACGAAGATACTAAATCGTTGTTGGAAGTCATTAAGTTTTGGAATAGTTTGTTACATAGAAAAATCTGACAGATACAACAGTCTTCAAAGAAATTCTGTTTCCTAGAAATCTCTTAGTGTTTCTGTGGCTCACAGGCTCCTATATGCCTGGAGTGCCACAGGGAGAAGCTTAAATGAATGAAGAAAAAGTAATAGTCTGTCCCAGCCCAATATGTGATGTTACTATCATTATCATTATTAATATTTGTCTTTATGTAGCAGCTCCCACTTGGGAATAGTTGCTAGGTGTCAGACACTGGCCTGTATTTAACTGTATAATTTGTACCTATCTATCATTTCATCATATTAATTATCTTCTAATAGTTTTCATCCCACATTATAGAAAATAACCCTAAGGCTCAGGTATTCTGAGTGGCTTGCCAAGGGTGATGGAGCTGATAAAATCAAAAGCAGCATGGAATACATATTTATTTTATTACAAAATCTATAATATTTTTATTTTGCTATTCTAGACTCTGTTATTGTTGTGAAGCACCTTTAACTACTGCAAGATAGAAGTCTTGGCCTTCAGAGTAAAATTTCATCAATGCATAAAATTAGACCTAAAGATAGGGTCTTAGAGAATGTTATAACTGCTCCTTAGAACTAACATAATTTCTGCCTAATTTCTTAGAGGGCCCTTAATAATATCAATTGTAATGGCATATCCCATTGATATTTTAGTTACGAAATCAATGGCATGTCAATTAGTGCTTTCTAAGAAAGTTATTAGACAAAGTAGTATTTTGAGCTCCAAATTTTACTCTCATTATTACTTTATGAAAAGGACTTTTTCTTTTTTCTTTTCTCTTTTCTTTTCTTTTTTTTTTTTTTTTTTTTTTTGAGATGGAGTCTCGCCCTGTCACCAGACTGGAGTGCATGGAGTGTAGTGGTGCGATCTCGGCTTACTGCAACCTCCGCCTCCCGGGTTCAAGCGATTCTCCTGCCTCAGCCTCCCGAGTAGTAGCTGGGACTACAGGCGCGTGCCACTACACCCAGCTAATTTTTTTTTGTTTTTGTTTTTGTTTTTGTAGAGATGGGGTTTCACCATGTTGGCCAGGATGGTCTCGATCTCTTGACCTTGTGATTCGCCTGCCTCAGCCTCCCAAACTACTGAGGACCTTTTCTATTTCTACAAGACAAAAGTAAGAAATTGGTTTCTGTTAAAATGGTATACTGTTCTTCTGAGTCTAATTTACTGATTATTCTATCTTGCATTAAAATTATGACCTGAAAACAGAAGCAAATAGAACAAGGTTCGCTGTATTCTGGCTGGATGAAGCAGGAGGAGGAGAGGGACACAAAACCAGTTAAAGATAGAAAGGGCATCTATTATCTTTTAGTCAATGACGTGGCCTTGCTTGGACTTTCCCTCCATCCCACAGGATGTGAGATCTGAGACTGAACCCACGACTTCCCTTCTAAGATACAATTCTGATCCCACATTTAACACCCTAACTTCCTAATTAGAGTTGAGTTTTTTAAACTGTAATATTAATAGGGGAAATTCTGGAGTACTATCAGGAAAGATTTAGTTCATTTGCCAAAATCTTAAGGAATTTCTGTCAGATACAAAGCAGGTAAGTCTGGATACAGGGGAAAAAAGATAGAAATGTGTTATTTACTACACAGCAAAGAGGATGCTGCACGGTGAAGGGAGCAGAGCTCAACTGCAACCTCAAAAACCCTCTTAGTTCACAATGGCAGTGGCTAGAAAGAGTAATAAGGCCATGTATAGTGTCATATATCTCTCCTAATCGTATTAGGGCACTTACTCTGAATCCACACAGAAGGAGACACCCCTCACCCCTCACCCCTCATGAGGAATCATGGCTTGCCCCTGTAGCATCCCATCTCTACTACTTACGAGCCATGTGACCCTGGGAAAAGTCCTTTACCTCTCTGAGTTTTAATGTCCTCCTTGAAAAATGTGGATGATACTAAAGTATGACAAGTATTTATAAAGAGTAATTCATTCCAAGTGCAGTATATGTACATTCCTCACAACTGCCTAATGAGGTACCATCAGTGCCTCCGGCCAAAGACCACGAAGAGCATATCCTTGAATGAACAAGTTGGCTTTATTGTTCATTGCAATGATGGAGAAAAGTCACCATGGGGAATCATGCAGCAGTTCAGTAAGAGATTGTTGGAACCAAAGAAGTAGAACTAGGAGAACACATATATTAAGAGAATGACTGAAAGGAATTAATTTGTGCAACTGTGGGGGTGGACTAGGCAAGTCTAAGACCCACTGGGAGGTGGTCATCAGGAAAGGCAGGTTGAAATTCTTAGCACTGGCTGACGCGCTGTCCACAGTGGAATTTCTGTTTCCTCAGAGAAGCCTCAGCTCTGCTCTTGAGACTTTTCAACTGCTTAGACTAAGCTCACCCAATTTATCTCAGATAAATTCATACTTAAAGTTAACTGATTATGAACTTTAATGACATCTACAAATTATCGTCACAGCAACACCTAGATTATTAGTGTGTGAATAACTGGGGACCACAGTCCAGTCAACACATAAAATTGACCATTAATCAATTGTAAGATTTGTGCTTGTGTTAGGTAATTTTGAGGAGGATTTAAGAAAGAGGGACTTCATTTTTAACTGGATTCTGACAGAAAGCAGGGAGTGGGGATGGCAATACTATGATTGGGTAGCTTCATAAATACTACCTAGAGGGACGGAAGACTATCCTGAGGCTACGGCTGTCATTGGTAAAGAAGCAGCAATCACTCTTTCGAGAGATGTGCCTGGTTATTTTTGTAGTTTGGACAATATTCATGTTTTGTCCGGGTGCAGACGTGATGACTGAGTGGCCTTATTTTCTGTCTCAATCCATCGCACTCACAGACTACCTGTCTGATTCTGATGTTCTATGAAATTGATTATCTTCAACGGGAGAATCAAAACCAGCTGTGAATACAAGGCTAGCTCCTAGCAACCCCAAGGCCTTGTTAATTGCATCCAGGCAGCCCCCAGGTATCAGGACACTTTTTTATTTTACCTTTTTTTAGTCTCTGCCACTGGGAGGCAAGACAACATGCTGAGAATCTCAGAAGGCCATTCGACAAGGACAGAGTGATTCTAAATGAAACCTCCATTACTAACTTGTTGTTTCTATAACATACAGAAAATAGATTCATCTGAAAAAAGGTAAGTTTCCCTGTAATGACTACCTTTTAGCTCATTCCCTAGTCCCTTGCAATATCTGAAATCTTAATGTGGTTGGATAACAAATATGAAAAGATCCAGTAGTTTAAGAAAAGTAAACCTATTTTCTAAGTTAAAGCAATTCTCCTTATTCTACTCTCAATATTTGACTTGACATTCTTAAATTAAAAAAAAAAAAATTACTGGCCGGGCGCGGTGGCTCACATCTGTAATCTCAGGACTTTGGGAGGCCGAGGCGGGCAGATCACGAGGTCAGGAGATCGAGACCATCCTGGCTCACACGGTGAAACCCCATCTCTACTAAAAATACAAAAAATTAGCTGGGCGTGGTGGCGGGCGCCTGTAGTCCCAGCTACTCGGGAGGCTGAGGCAGGAGAATGGCGTGAACCCAGGAGGCAGAGCTTGCAGTGAGCAGAGATAGCACCACTGCAGTCCGGCCTGGGCCAAAGAGCGAGACTCCGTCTTAAAATAAATAAATAAATAAAATAAAATAAAATAAATTATTAGAGTAATTGAGCCAGCCAAAACTTTTTTAATGTAATCAATGTCCCTAAATTTCCTTTAAATATATTCAAGCAGCACCGAAACACAGAGCATAAAGATTACTAGAAGCAAAAGAAAAAACTGTGTAAAAGATCGGTTACTGTAGGCAGCACCGCATGACAGTCTAACCCCTTTAATTGCCCTGGTCAAAAACACCTGGAGCTTTTGAGAACTTACCCAACTGGATTTATACAAGTAGAAAAGGCAAAGGTATTGCTTGGCTACCACCAGCAGAGATCCCTAGGAAGGTGGGGTCAAGTCAAAATTTGGGGAATACCATATACACTATGGAAGCAAAAAGAAAAACAGCTAACCCACATACAGAAGCCAGAGAAAGGGGAGGGGATGGGGACTGCCAGGGAGGAAAACCACTTCAGGGAAGAATTCCTGGAGAATGTAACCCAGAAAACCCTGAAGGATGCCATATTATTGATGACCTTACCTATCCAAGCGGCTGCTCGGAAATTCCCGCCCCTCTTGACACTAGCAGACATGCACACATGACAGAAGATTCAGATTTAGTATCTTCCCTTTATTTATAGAAAATTTCCTCAAGACCATGCTGTGTGGAGGATGTGTCAGAACCAGAGGATGTCCCTGTCTTCTTCCAGGGCTCTTAATATAAACTCTGCAACTGGCAAACAATATGTCACCATAGGGGATTTTTCTGATTGGCCAAAACCTGACCTGGCAGGGTTTGGTTTGGGTGTCTTCAGATTTGCTTGTCTCGAGGTCCTCACAATTGCTCTGCAGCTCAGAGCAGCAACTGCTGAGGCTGCCTTGGGAAGAAGATGATCCTAAACAAAGCTCTGCTGCTGGGGGCCCTCGCCCTGACTGCCGTGATGAGCCCCTGTGGAGGTGAAGACATTGTGGGTGAGTGCATGAGTGAGGAATGTTCTCTGGAGCTGAAAAACAGTAAATTAAAGGAAAAGAAAGAGTGCAATTTGCTAAGAAATAGTAGAAATTTCCCAAGGGTCTTTTCAATATTAAGAAATTTTAAAATTATGGCAGTTCCTCCTTTAGGAAACCAGAGCTCCAACCGACTCTCTTTGCTACCTGTGCTATTGGAGTTTACCAAGGACGTTGTTCTGTTTATATTATATCCAGAGACTATAGCCTGGAGGTCTGTGTGGCATTCCATCATGATTGCCTCAAAAACTAGGGATGTTTCCATGAATGGAGTATTTTTTTGTTATTAAAAATTTCTGAACTGTTACTCCCAAATTTCTCTGAACAACTTTTGAAGCTTTTCATATGCCTCCTATAGCATATGTTGGGGTAGATAGTTCCATGAAGTATGTACACTCTGTAGATATAAAGAAAGAGGTTCTTTTCTTTCTCTCAGACTTACATTTCCACATGGGAATTGGCACAGGTGGGGAGTAGGTGAAAGAGCCCAGCAGGCTGAATGCCTTCAACAATCATTTTACCACGTGGTAAATGTGGTACTTACTCTCTGCTACCTCATATATGTCACCTCGCTTATGATCAAATAAAATGGGCATGTAGATATGCTTTATGAATAGTAAAAACACGAATGTCAACTTTTTTTAACTTATTTCTATTACAGGTATAACTTCTTATTTTTTCTTTAGCAAAGTAAGGAATATATTTTAAAACTGAGAACTTTATGATAAAATGCTTGGTAAATTAAATTATTTTATTCTCAAATTGTCAACCCAAATTACTTGTTCTTCACCTTATCTAATGAAGTCTTATAAAGAGAAAAATGGGCAGGCACAGATTAATTATTTGGTCCCTTAGTCCCCTCTGCCTTTGTCGTCCATCTCTTCCCACCTCTCTTCATGCATCCCTTTCTCCCTCTTCCCTTTCAGGATCCATCTCTGACTCCCTGCTCCTTTACAGACATGGGCAGTGAGTTTGTAAAACAAAAGTTGGAAAGTCAAATAGTTAAAAGGGGAAGTGAACTGGAAGCTACTCGAAACTTCCACAACCTTATTAACCATGGCTGCTCCCATTCTGATTTTGTTTGGCAGTGGAAGTTTCACCTGCTTCTCCAGAGCACTTGGCTTTTTTGTTTCAAATCTCCTTTCTTCAACCTCACACCAGAGTGCCCCGGTCAGGCTCGACTTATCCATTAGGAACAGTGTGGGCAGTGAAGGAGACTCTCCAAACTGTAAAGCTACAAGAGAACGTTTTAACTCGTTTTAAAATTAGAAGAAAAATGAAGTTTTACAGTCTATGAAAATGTTTTAACTTTTTTTTTTTTTTTGACGGAGTCTCGCTCTGTCGCCCAGGCTGGAGGGCAGTGGCGCGATCTCGGCTCACTGCAAGCTCCGCCTCCCGGGTTCACGCCATTCTCCTGCCTCAGCCTCCCGAGTAGCTGGGACTACAGGCGCCCGCCACCGCGCACGGCTAATTTTTTGTATTTTTAGTAGGGACGGGGTTTCACCGTGTGAGCCAGAATGGTCTCGATCTCCTGACCTCATGATCCGCCCGTCTCAACCTCCCAAAGTGCTGGGATTTGTACAGGCGTGATCCACCGCGTCCGGCCTTAACTTTTAATGTAGCCTGGATTGTATTTGTCTTTATACCAATACAATCAGAAGCTGTAATTTTCCGTATTTTTATGGAGGAAGGCGCCCACAAAAGCAACAGTGCTCGGGGCTCACAAGTCAGAATTCAGCCCTGGGCATCCCTGATCCTGGGCTTTGCGTGGTTCTGCTACCTGGGTGCCTGTCAGTCTTCCCCAAAATCTATGTAATTGTCAAAAATTGCAATTGTCATTCAATACACATGTTTGAGCACACAATGAGCTAACTTTTGGGAATTCAAAGATAAAAAATCATGCTGTCTGCCTTGCAGAGGGTGCACAAACCAGTGATGGAAACAGTATGGGGCACAGGAAAGCAGAAGGCCCTGCTGAGCAGGACAGTGGCCCAGCAGAGGCTGAAACTATAAAAATGACTTGGTTCCAGCTGGGCCAGTAGAGTGATGTCCTCCAGCAACACTCAGCACCCAGGACAAGTACCAGATGAAAAGAAGGATTGCATGTATTCCACATATATTCATGTTTGAACAAGGAGTCAAAGTTTATTGTAAGGATAAGGAGTCTTTGTTGGTGGCCTGTTAAGTAACCAACCAGGGCAGTCATGCTGGGTAGGGAAGAAGGTGAGCTGGAGGAGGAACAGACAAACTTGGAGAGCCAGACATTGAGATTCCATTGAGGCGTTGGAGGTCACAACGCGGTCAAAAACATGTTGAGAGCACTTAGCTGCAAAGTTGTTAACTAAGTAGAAACCTCAAGGATGAATTTTAGGATTTCTCCAGGAAATCCTAAAAGATAACTTATTTCAGGGAGAAAAAACAGACCCTTGCAAAGACATGAAAGGAAATGTAGTTTGGTTTGATTGGCAGATAGTTGTGAAGAATGTCGGACTGTAAGGCTGTCGATATCCTCCTCACAGAACTCCCCAAAGTACATTGTATTTGCTCCCTTACCGACCTGATTCTCCCACTATTCAGTTCATTCCTTGATGCTGTTTTAAGCAACCCCTGCTCTGTCTGACACTTTTGGATGCTCAGTAAATGAGGAAGGAAGGAAGGAAAGATAAAATGGTAAAGGGCTCACACATGTCTTAACAAAAATGTCCAGTTCGGCTCATTTGGCTATACTTCATGGCTGCTGCTCTGCCCTTGCATCCTCGGATAAGCTCACTGCCCATTAGAGGAAAAAGGGTTTAATTTACCTGAGTCCTCGAGTGAATGTAATTGTTGAATCAGAACACTATAGACATTTAGTAACCTCCTTCAGAGGAAAAAAAAAAAAGTGGGGGCAATGACAGAAATTAAAAAACCAGTCGAGCTTCCACTTTTCATTTCAGAAGAAATCAGGTGCTCTCCTCTAAGGACCACTACTATTAACAAAACAGAGACCTTAGAAGAATTGTTTATTTGTTATAAATGTATAATGTTGCTATTCTTGTAATAGTCTTTCTCGTACCCTATAATTGTTAGAAGAAATTCTTTTAAGTTAATACGTTCCTACATGCTTTTCTTTGGTTTAAAAAAAAAAGAATAAAGGAAACTCTGTGTAGAAAGTGTCCTGTTCTGATCTAGTCCTGACAGGAAACGAAGTATAATCAACTTGTTATTAACTGAGAGAGAAAACTTAGGAAGCAGAGGGAAATAAACTGAATCTCTGAGTAAGAAAACTAAATCCTATGATAACTCATTCATTCCTTCCTTCCTTTGTTTATTGCAATATTCATCATAAGCTTATGATGTGCCAGGCACTAAGTAGGCACTCAGGAAATAACAGACGTGTGACGTTCTGCCTTTGTGGAGCATATGTTATAGTGAGAAAGACAGAATCAGTTCTAACCTGATGACTACCAACGTTAGGCAAGGAGGAAGCAGGTGTTAGGAAGATTGTTCAGGGACTGTGCCAAAGATGAAGCCCATAATATTTGAAAGTGAGTTTCTTCAATCACTTTCTGTATTAAGGTTCTTTCTCCCTGTGTTCCACCCTCCTGCTTGTCACCTTCACTCGTCAGCTGACCATGTTGCCTCCTATGGTGTGAACTTCTACCAGTCTCACGGTCCCTCTGGCCAGTACACCCATGAATTTGATGGAGATGAGGAGTTCTACGTGGACCTGGAGACGAAAGAGACTGTCTGGCAGTTGCCTATGTTTAGCAAATTTATAAGTTTTGACCCGCAGAGTGCACTGAGAAATATGGCTGTGGGAAAACACACCTTGGAATTCATGATGAGACAGTCCAACTCTACCGCTGCCACCAATGGTATGTGTCCACCATTCCGCCTCTCTTTACTGAAACTAATCTTTCATACCAAGTTTTACTCCCTTCTTCTCAAGAGATTTCCAGATCTTCTCATGGTAATTGCTGAAATTTTATCATCTCCCATCTCTAAAATCACATATTCCCATGTAATACAAGGGTCTTTCCATTATGTATTAATTCCTACTTTATTAAACATGCCCACAGAGAGAAGGGCACAGGAATAAAGCAGAGGCAATGTGTCGTTGCTCCCAAGCAGAAGGTAAATAAGACCTCTTTGACTATCAGGTGGTGAAATGCTGGTAGGAGGGCTCTTCCAGGATGTAATGCAGAAGCTCATGGCAGAGCTATTCACACTTCACATCAGTGCTGTTTCCTCACCACAGAGGTTCCTGAGGTCACAGTGTTTTCCAAGTTTCCTGTGACGCTGGGTCAGCCCAACACCCTCATCTGTCTTGTGGACAACATCTTTCCTCCTGTGGTCAACATCACCTGGCTGAGCAATGGGCACTCAGTCACAGAAGGTGTTTCTGAGACCAGCTTCCTCTCCAAGAGTGATCATTCCTTCTTCAAGATCAGTTACCTCACCTTCCTCCCTTCTGCTGATGAGATTTATGACTGCAAGGTGGAGCACTGGGGCCTGGACGAGCCTCTTCTGAAACACTGGGGTAAGGATGAGTTCCACCACTTCATGGGTTTCTAATAATAGACTTCACTCTTCTCCCTAAGCCTGGGGCCTTGAGTCTTGCAGAGCCAGCCCTCCACCCCATCCCATCCCACACACATGCACATGAGCACACTGCACATTCTGACCTCAACAGCTCCACTTTCACAGAGCCTGAGATTCCAGCCCCTATGTCAGAGCTCACAGAGACTTTGGTCTGCGCCCTGGGGTTGTCTGCGGGCCTCATGGGCATTGTGGTGGGCACTGTCTTCATCATCCAAGGCCTGCGTTCAGTTGGTGCTTCCAGACACCAAGGGCTCTTGTGAATCCCATCCTGAAAAGGAAGGTAAGATTGAGATTTGTTGGAGCTGAAACCTCAGTATGAGAGGGAGGAAAGTGGGAGGGGGTTGTGGACATGAATGTGGTTGAAAGTTGTAGGCGAATTGGGAAGTGGCATGATGATCACACAGGAGGCCCCTCAGACCCATCGATCTCATGTCTGTCCTGTTGCAGGTGCATCACCATCTACAGGAGAAGAAGAATGGACTTGCTAAATGACCTAGCACTATTCTCTGGCCTGATTTATCATATCCCTTTTCTCCTCCAAATGTTTCTTCTCTCACCTCTTCTCTGGGACTTAAGGTGCTATATTCCCTCAGAGCTCACAAATACCTTTCAATTCTTTCCCTGACCTCCTTTCCTGAATTTTTTTATTTTCTCAAATGTTACCTACTAAGGGATGCCTGGGTAAGCCACTTAGCTACCTAATTCCTCAATGACCTTTATCTAAAATCTCCATGGAAGCAATAAATTCCCTTTTATGATGCCTCTATTGAATTTTTCCCATCTTTCATCTCAGGGCTGACTGAGAGCATAACTTAGAATGGGCGACTCTTATGTTTTAGGCCAATTTCATATCATTCCCCAGATCATATTTCATGTCCAGTAACACAGGAGCAACCAAGTACAGTGTATCCTGATAATTTGTTGATTTCTTAACTGGTGTTAATATTTCTTTCTTCCTTTTGTTCCTACCCTTGGCCACTGCCACCCACCCTTCAATTCAGGTACCAACGAACCCTCTGCCCTTGGCTCAGAATGGTTATAGCAGAAATCCAAAAAAAAAAAAAAAAAAAAAAAAAAGTCTGTACTAATTTCAATATGGCTCTTAAAAGGAATGACAGAGAAATAGGATACAAGAATTTTGAATCTCAAAAGTTATCAAAAGTAAAAAATTTTGTTACCAAAAGTCAAACTGCATTCTCAAAACTTTAAATTTGTGAAGAATGACAACAGTAGAAGCTTTCCTCTCCCCTTCTCACCTTGAGGAGATAAAAATTCTCTAGGCAGGAAAAGAAATGGAAGCCAGTTAGAAAAACATTGAAATAAGGCCAGGCACGGTGGCTCACACCTATAATCCCAACACTTTGGGAGGCCAAAGTGGGCAGATCACTTGTGGTCAGGACTTCGAGACCAGCCTGGCCAACGTGGTTACACCCTGTCTCTACTAAAAATACAAAAATTAGCTGGGCATGGTGGTGGGCACCTGTAATCCCAGCTACTCAGGAGGCTGAAGCAGGAGAATCGCTTGAACCTGGGAGGTGGAGGTTGCAATGAGATTGTGCCACTGCACTCCAGCCTGGGCAACAGAATGAAACTCCATCTCAAAAATAAATAAATACATATAAATAAATTTTTTAAAAAAGAAAAATATTAAAATAAGGCAATAATATAAGTGGGTATCTGAAAAGGAACAAATGCTTGTTCCTTACTTAGGGTTAGTGACAATGGAAAACGGATAGAAGTAGAAGCTACAGACCTATTTAGGGGCCCCAGCCCCCTGCTCCTCACCTTTCCTGGCTAAGGAAAGCATGAGCCTATGAGAGAGAGATCCTAGGAAGAACAAGACAGTTGAGACAATGTAGCAGCAGTAGTGGGTGCTCTGTCCTACACTGGATTCGTGGTCTCCTAATAGAAAATCTCTCAGAGGAAATGGGTCCACAGGGACCTGAGGGCTCTAAACAGCTATGAAATCTGCCAGGATATTTCTGTCCATGCTATCTGCATCAGTGAGTTTAAAATGTAATAGGAGAAAAAAAAAAGACAAAACATTAACATAATAATTGATACAGCATAGTTTTGTACAAAGAAACCTAAATCTAAATACATGACTCAGTATTTTGAAGCTAATATTTTAAACTCTACTGGGTAAAGTATCTGATTGACATTTCTGAACCTTATTTTTCTCATCCACAATGTGGGAGTGATAATATTTTCCTTGCAGAGTTATTGACGGAATTTGAATAATCTTGGTATATAGACAGTGCCTTACACATACTATATAAATACATAAGAAAACACTGCAGTTATGTTTATAATGGATTTATTAAAAAGAATGGATCATATTATATGAAAAGTACATTTGTTTTCCTTAGCCCTTTAGTGATTTAGGAGATTCAAGTGTAGACGTAAAAGTGAGTTTCTTTTCATATGTTAACTGGAGGATTTTTTTCTTTCTTGAGAGGCTGAGATTGGGTTGCTAAGAGAACTCTTAGGACAAGAAGTTGTAATATTTGGCTTCGGTTTTTAACTCTCTAAGGGGTATATTCCCTCCTTATGGCCCATAAATTTTAAGTCAAGGTGAATTATATGCAACAGCAGTTTATCCATATTTACTTTGGGGAGGAGGTGGGGAGACTCCGGGAGAAAATAATTATAAATGCAGACTGGGAATTAGTAAGTGCAGGGAATCTGAACCAGTGGTGATCATGAAAACGTCCATCACAGAACACAGAGGATTTTTAGGGCAATGAAACTACTCTATTTGATACCACAATGGTGAATAAATATCATTATGCGCTTGCCCAAATCCATAGAATGTACAACACCAAGAATGAACCTTAGTATAAACTATGGACTTTGGGTGATAATGATGTGTCAGTGTAAGTTCATAAGTTGTAGCAAATGTACCTCTGTCGTGGAGGATGTTACTAGCGGGGGAGGCCATGCATGTGTGGGAACAGAGAGCATATGGGATACATCTATCTGTACTCTACAATTTTTCTGGGAACCTAAAACTTCTCTAAAATAAACTCTATTAAAAAAAAAAGAAAAGAAAAGGTCAACAATAATGATCCCAAATATATAAAATTAAAACTGTAGTATAAAAATGGTCACATGAAAATGCATGAACGTGCTAAGAACTTTTCTGCAATAGGATTTAAAATAAATTTTATATAAATTTCAATGATTCATGAGCCAAGAACCCAGCATTCTGGAGGTGTGTGCATTTGTGTGTGTGTGTCCGTGTGTGTGTGTGTGTGTGTGTGTGTGTGTGTAAGGCTTACATTGAATGGCATTATAACCAGAGTCATACAGAAATACACAAATGCTCCCCTGTTTAGAATCCTTCCCCAAGAAATACTGAGGAAAGCAAATATAATGGTAGTTGGATTTTACTGAAAGAATGTATTCAAAAAGTATTTATATAATGTTAAAATAGCATAGTTAAAAATAGTTTTATAAAATAGAGCAAATATATCTTTTTATCAGCTAAAAGTTCAAAGTGAAATCATCATTATTATTATAATATTATAAACAGTTATAAATCAGGCTGCATGATTTTAAATTAAATGATTCTTAAAAATTAATTGTTATCTGAATTATTTCAGATTACATACATAAAATATGACTTCATTAATAGGTAATATCACATTGTTTAAATTTTACAAAATTTCCAGTCACAATGGTTCATGCCTGTAATCTCAGCACAAGATGAGGGTCCCTTAAAGCCCAGGAGATGGAGACCAGTCTGTAGTCCCAGCTAGTAGGGAGGCTGAGGCAGGAGGATTGCTGCTTGAGCCCAGGAGTTCGAGGCTGCAGTGAGCTAGGATTGACTGCACCACTGCACTCGCTCCAGCCTGGGCAACACAGCGAGACCCTGTCTCTAAAAATAAATAAATAAATGAACGAATAAATAAAAATTACAAAACGTAAAAATCACGTAAAATATTTCAGGTTTGTACTTACCACATACAAACTAGAGATATGAAGAATTAAACATTACAAATAAAGCACTTCACACACAGACTGGCCCATAGTAAGCAGTTTATAGAAGTTAACAAATTTGTGTTATTGTTATTTTCTGGAGTCCAAGACAAAATCCCATGATGAATGACACCACAAGGATGTAAGCAACAAAATTCAGAATATGAGAAGTTCTACTAGATTAAATAAAAAGATTTCTCCAGCAAACAATTTGCAAAAAAAGTTAAAAATAGAGAAAAGAAAAGCTATACACTTGAAAAAGACTGAAGAAATATAGTAACCAAATGCTGAGCTTTGTCTAGATTCATATTCAAACAAAACATCTGTTAAAAAATTTATATGAGGCAATCAGAAAAATTGACACTGAGTGTATTAAGGAATTATTTATCTCGTTTTAAATGTGTTAGTGGCATTGCTGTTATGTTTCTAAAAAGCCATTATATTTTAGATTTCCATAATAAAAATGTATAAATGAAATATGATACCTAAAAATATCTTCAAAATAATCCAGTATGTGCCTGTATGATAACTGGGTGGGTTTACAAAATTGCTCATGAATTGATTATTGTTAAAGCGAGGCTGTTGATACATGGAATTCTTCTTTCTACTATTGCACACAGTTGAAATTTTCTGTAATACAAAGGTTTTTTTTTTTTTTAAATGTATTCAGGAAAGTCCCATAAACATAGGCAGACAAGCATTCTGTTTGAAGTTATGTTAGATTTTCAGGTTTTCTCATTTTTATCATATTTAGGAAACCCTGTCCAAGGCCTGCCTGCCCAAGACTGTAAGAACCTCTCAGGAATGCAACTGTAAAGAATGTGTATGCAGGAACTAATAATAACAAAGGAAAGCAAAGTAATGCTTGCTTTATTATTGGCTGGACTAAGCCCCCAGACTTGTTTATATATTCACTAATTCATCAAAAATGCAAAAATGGTCATTGAGTACCAGTGCTGTAATAAGTACTCATAGTTTGTTGAATGTTATTAAAATAATGGGAAAACAATTACATTCATTATCTTCATAGAACTTACATCCCAGTGGGAGGAAAATACATATATTACATAATTCCACAAACATAGTTACAAGGTCTGAAACATTTATAAAGAAAAAGAATGAGGTAAAATGAGAGAGTGTTGCACAGGAACCAGGTATAATTTGGGGCAGTTTAGAAGTGGCTTGAAGAAATGTATCTTGAGATGAAATAAGATGGTATACAGTAGGTAAAGGACAAGGTTGAAGAGGGCAGAGCAAATGTTTGAGAAACTCTTACAATATGAAAGAGAAGATGAGAATAAAATAACATGAAAATTATCACAGATTTAATAGAGAAAGTTCATGTAACAGCAAACAAGTTTAAAGTCATTCTAATTAGAATTCTTGATCTGTAAAAGTAATAATAGAATGCTAAAAACAATTGGAAAATTTAATAGAAAGATTGGAAAATTAAATCAAGAAAATCTCACAGTAATTTAAAAGGCAAAAAAAGTGTAATATATGGTAGAAACAATAAGATGGAGAACAGACCAAGGAAGTCCAAAATCAAGTGACAAAGCTAGAGAGACTGACAGGGAAGATGAAGGGAGAAAATGATCAGAACAAATAATAAGGGAAAATTTTCCAGATATGAAGGATTTAATTCTTCCATGGAATAGTCTTGTCAGGTATTTAGCAAAATTAACAGACTCACTTCTAAATAACTCATTTTCAAAATTTCAGAACTTCAGGTGTTAGAAAAGTCATAAAATATTCCAGTGGGGGAAACCAAAATGAAACAAACTGACAACAAACAAAATACTTCTATTATTAAGATAATGAGAAAGTCCTTGAAGTTCTAAAGGAAAATTATTTTTTAATAATAAATGTAGACCTTTTCAAAGTCACAATCAGGCATGGAGAAAGAATAAAAATACCTGTGAATGTGAAAGGACATAAAATTTACCTACCACGCAGAGTTTTACTAGAAATTGACTAAGGATATGACCAATTGAGATTGTTAATCAGGATATAGGAAGGTAAGGAATCCAGGAAACTGGGTTTAACCCAGGATCTCACTGAAAAGGGATCCTACTACAGCAGTTTCTTGGCAAGCAAAGAATACCTGACTACATAAGTGATATTTAGAAAGCAATAAACTTTTCTTTTCAAATTTAGAATTAAGCTGTGAGCAAAGCCCAAGGAATCTTATTGCTACAGCAGAATGTCAATATTTTCAGCTTTGACAATATTGGGGGAAAAAAAGATGTAGATACTTCATTTTGGCAAGTGGAAGCGTAAAGGAGAGGGGAAAGGGAGGGTAAAAATGCCAATAACTTCATCTTCCAAGAAGGAGGGGAAGAGGCATTGCCCATACTTACAGAAGTCACAAAGATCAATATATTTAAATTACAATCACAACTGGAAAAAGTATGTAAAATGACTCACGAATTAGAGCAAGGTTTTAGAAATTGGACTATTATTTCAGTTACAAAAAAAAAATGGACTGTTATCCTTCGGCCTAACTAAGCTATTCGGAAGCTGCAAGAGCCCCTCAGAGTTGGCCTAAATTAGAGCAGGCTTTTATACTCCTATACTGACCAATCATTATAGGTGAGTTCCTCCTGGGAAGTGGATCAAAATCCGATGAGGCAGCTTTCATCACCAAAGGCAATTCCGGGGCATGACTGACAGCTGAGGGCAGTCAGCCAGCAACATTCCCAGCAATGACAGAATAAATCTTTCAGTCTCAAAGGGAGGAGTTTAGGTACAGTGGAACAGCACTGACGACAGAAACACTGTTCTAGTTCCTGGGAGTACATATACATTCATGTGGAAGAAAACAAACAGATAAAATTCAGCATCTATTTAAAAATTAAAAATAAAACTACCACATGATCCAGCAGTTCCACTTCTGGGTACATATGCAAAGAAAATGAAATCTGTATCAAAGAGATATCTGCACTCCCGTGTTTATTGCAGCACTATTCACAATGGCCAAGAGATGGAATCAACCTAACTATCCATCAGCAGATGAATGGATAAAAAAAATGTGGTGCATATACACAATGGAATACTATTCAGCCTTATAAAAGAAGGAAATCTTGTCATTTATAGCATGGATGAACCCATTGGACATTATGCTAAGTGAAATAAGCCAGGCACAGAAAGATAAATACGACATGACCTAACTTATATGCAGAATCTTAAAAAGTCAAAGTCATGGAGGGGGTGGGGTGTGGGGAGAGGGAGAAAAAGGAATGAGATGTTGGTCAAAAGGTACAAGTTTCAGTTAGAGAGGAGGAATAAGTACTGAAGATCAATTGCGCAGCATGGTGACTAGTTAATAATATCATACAGTTGTCCCTTGGCATCCATGAGGGATTGGTTCTAGGACCCTTCCTGGATACCAAAATATAAGAATGCTCAAGTCTCTTATTAAAAATGGCTTAGTTTTTGTACATCACCTAAGTATGTTTTCCCATATACTTTAAATCATCTTTAGATTACTTATAATACTTAATGCAATGTAAATGCTATGTAAATAGTTGTTATACTGTATTCTTTTAAGTTGTATTATTTTTATGTTGTATTGTTGTATTTTATCATTTTTTCCAAATATTTTCAATCCATGATTGACTGAATCAGAGGATGCAAAACCCACAAATACAGGGCCAGCTGTATTGTATATTTGAAAATTGCTAAGACAGATTTTAAATATTCATACCACATAAAAAAATAAGTATGTGAAGTGATGGATATGTTAATTAGCTTGATTTAATCATTTCACAGTGTATACATATATCAAAATGTCAATTGTACCTTATAAGTACTCATAATTATTTGTAAATTAAAAATAATTTAAATTTTTTGAAATGTAACATTCTTAACTTTTTCTTGTTCAAATAAAGTTTTCTGTTCTTTATTTTCAAAAATTTTTTTGTTTAAAAATATCATCTCAATCATCTCAATTTCTATTAACTCAATTGATTCACCCTATTAACTTATGAACTCTCCTCTGAAGTTAAACATTCCATGATTATTGAGAAGGGTAAAGTTAATGTGCAGTAAGATCTTAGCCCACAGTAAAAAACAAATCTCAGTGATGTCACTCAATAAAGAGACTTAATTCCACAGTTTCTCCAGTGACTCAGGTTATATGGAGTTTCCAATGTCTCATCGTGCATCTACTTGCAAGTTCCATTGGCTAGTATTAGTCAAATGATCCCAACCTAACAGCAGAAAAGACTGGGAGATGTAAAGAACCTTATGGCATATTGATGAGCACCATTGTCTCTGAAAGATATACTGATATTTCCTAAGGTAAGGACAAATGCTCACAACTGGCAGGTTGTTCTCTAGAACACCCACACACTTTCCTCCAAGTTATATGCTGACTAAGACTCAATTCTTCTTGTTAGCAAACTTATTTATAAAAAATGTACTTGTTACTTTAATTATCAATTAAAGATTATACTACCCAATGAAATCTGGGTGCAAAAAATAATTGTTTCTATGAAACTGTCAGTGGAAGAAAGGGAAAAAGACTTTGATCCTCTCATAACCAGGATGTGTTCAGTGTGACAATGTTGAACTGAATGTTCTAGAATCTGTGTTGGACTGCATTAAATACGGTCATAGGCTGCATGCAGCCCGCGGGCTGAGGGTTGGAAAAGCTTGTCTGACTTAATGACAAACCCAGAGACTGACATGTAGACCATCTTCAGGGCTGAGCCCACATCAAAGGGGTCACAGTGTGTAGTGACGTCCCTCATAACCGGGAAGAGGGTGTCATCAGGAATGAACAGGTTACGATGTCAATGACAAAGGGAGCTCAGACAAGGAATGAGATGGTTGTGAACAGGTACCCCCACTGAGGGACCCTAGAACCAGAGGAAGCTCTGCCGTTTGACCTGTGTCCTCCACAAGAAACAAACTTCCCCTACACCACTCTACTGTGAGGAGGCTCTGGAGGCTGAGGTGCTCCACATGGCTGGTGTAGACATCTGCACACTGGAAGTCATTTCCAGCATCAGAAGGATCTGGAAAACCCAGTCCTCCTTCCTAATAAGAGGGATGAGCACGCTGGCTGGCAGCATCCTGTGCACAGGATGGTGTGTTTGGGAGGTGTGCATGTTACCCAGGCTTGGACAATCAGAATCTTTCCCCAAATTATTAAAACTCTGGTAGACACTTCAGAAACATATACAACAAAGACAGACACACACACACGCACGTACACACACTCACACGAAGAGAGAGATGAGATAAGGTGTGAGGTGATAAGAGAGATGCAGAAAATAAAGAGATGCAAAAAGAAAAAGAGAAAGAAATGCAGATAAATAGTGACAAAGGATTACAAACATAGAGAAAGGCAACAATGCAGTGAAAGAGACACAAGAAGGGAACAAAGACAAAACTGGAGAGAGACACACAGAAAGAACTACACAGGGACAAAGAGACACACGGAGAGGAGAGGAGGATGCACAGATGAAACTATAACAGAAAGAGAAGAGAGAGATGAAGATCTCATTGAATATCTGGAACTAGTCACTTCTGAAACCAACATTCCTTGTAACATGAATCAAATATCTTTGGGTTGGGTGTCTATCATTTGGAACCAAAAATAGTACTTTCATTGCTGGTTATGCTTTCTTAAAAATAAAAATTAGTCTTGATTGATGTGACTTGCCAGCCAGAATATATTTGAAACATCAGTCACTATAGTTGTCCCCAAACAATTCCACCATGCTTACTTAGACAACACTTGCCAAACCAGAAGAGAGGCTGGGATGTCCTAAGGCCATTGCACTGAACATCAATATTAAAGAACCATGAATGATGTGATGACTGAATTGATTTTCTACCTCCTCTGCCTACCCTTACTTTGCACCCCAAGATGCTTTCAGTGTCTTTTCAAAGTACAACCCTCTTTCTAGCCACGGTTTGGCTGGGTCACCTCAAGGTATGTTCCTTCACTTGGCAGTGGTTTCCTACCTCTGCTTAGTTAAGGAAGTTCCGAATACAGATAACTCAGAATCAGGTTTAATTATGGGAAAAAGCACTAAAGTCAGGTAAATGATTTTGTTTGTCATGCTTCTCTTGACAGGTCTGTGGGGGGAGAATGGAAACAGAGATGCCCCTTGGGGCCTGAGTAGACACAGCTTGCAGTGCACAGGCAGAGGCTCTGGGTCAGTGCAGGAAGCAGAGTCACCGCCAGTGCCTTGGGGTGGGGATCACAGAAGGTGACCTGTGGCTGCATGAGCCACTGTAGGACTCTGACCTCAGTGGGACAGGGTGAAACAGGCAGCTAGGAATTCTGGGCAGGGGCAGGTGGGCATTAAAGAAGAGTGATGACCAATCCCAGACAAAAGTCCTCAGGAGTCAGTGCAGGAGTCCTGGAGAAGAGAGACGAGGCATGGTCAGCACAGGGTACCCTGAGGGACACACCCTCTCCCCCAGTCCTCAGTTTCCTCTGCAGCATCAAACAGAGGATGCTGAGGTCCAGGGCATATCATCATCACGTTCCCCAATATCTGTGTAAAGGTAAAATCAGCTCATGAGGACACAGAACTTCAGCTTGATGCAGATATGTGGAGGTCGGGGAACAGCAGTTACCCTTCTGGGTAATATGAAGAGTTTGATTTTTTTAGCAAATTGGGTGACACTTCATCTCCACCACTAGCAGCCTCTTTTAGTCACTGAAAATGCCTACAGGCAGTAGCTAACAAAATGTGGCACAAAGTGGGCATCACCCTACTATCTCACATTCAAGATGTGGCTCTGTCCCCACATTTCACAAAAAGATGCCACCAAAGTTAAGGCCTGGTTCTAGGAAACAATCTCTGGAGATTCGTAGAAACTGGCAAACTTCTCCCCTAAGTCTTAACCCTCATAGCAGCAAACAGGCCATGAACAGAGACCACTGTGCCCTGGAACACTCCGCTCATGCTCTTCTTTTTTTTTTTTTTGAGACAGACTCTAGCTCTATCGCCCAGACTGGAGTGCAGTGGCGCCATCTTGGCTCACTGCAACCTCTGCCTCCTGGGTTCAAGTGATTCTCTTGCCTCAACCTCCCAAGTAGCCGGGATTACAGATGCACACCACCACGTCCAGCTAATTTTTGTATTTTTAGTAGAGATGCGGTTTCACCATGGCTCTTCCCTCTTATGCCTGTGCCCTCTCCCCTGACTGGATCATGGCTGAAATATTACCTGCAGGTGGAGGCCCTCGAGGTCCTACAAAAGGAAGTTATACAGAGAAAGGTCTTGTTAAACAAACAACCACTATCTTACCCCAAAGGAAAATGACACATGTAGTTTAATTGGGGTTATATCCTCTTCCCTCCCGTGTTCTTTAAGTCCTTAAGCACCCTAAGTTAAAATCCCCCAAAACAAAGGAAATTGTCACTAGAAGACAAGGAGGCCGAGGCTCTGACCCTCTTAATGGAGGAAGCTTTTAGAAAGGAGCCAGTGAGACGATGATGAACGGTAAGGACGCCCTGGAATAAGCTCTATCAGTCAGCTCTGGCAGCGCTACCATTCACCCAGTAAAATCAGATTCCAATGCCTCCTCCAATCTTGTCCTGTCTCCTCGCACTTCCTCTCAGGGTAAGGAGGAAAGAGCTACATCTAGAGACAGAACCTCTCTGAATAGAGGGTCTGGGTCACAGCCCATCTTCCCCCATTTCCCCCTTGGGTTCCTCACCTTTCTGACCCCTGTGACGGATGATAAGGCCCAGCCCGAGGAAGATCAGCCCCAGCACGAAGCCTCCAACACCACCCAGCATCTTGCTCTGGGCAGATTCAGACTGAGCCCCTAAGGAGCACAGCCTGAGTGTGAGTGTTTGTCCCCACACCCCATAATGTCCTTGGTACAGGAGGTGGAGATGTCAGGGGACACTAGTTCTCCAGTCTGACCACCCTAGGGAAGAGAAAGACCAGCCAGTAGGTCTTTGGACACAATAGGTGGGTGAGGGAGAGGAGGAAGCACACCCCTGCCCCTCAGGACTTCATCCATAACCTTAAACCCTAAGGCCCCAGTCACCAGCCCTAAGTCAGTCTCTCATAGCTGTCAGAGCTGGTTCTGGGGCTTTAGTAGTGTTGATATGGTTTGATTCTGTGGCCCCACCCAAATTTCATGTTCAATTGTAATTAACAATGTTGGAGGTAGAGCCTGGTGGGAGGTGACTGGATCATTAGACCAGATTCTTGTCACCATCTCCCTTAGTACTGTCATTACAATAGTGAGTTCTCATGAGATCTGGTTATGTAAAACTGCGTAGCACCAACCCCCTCTCTCTCATGCTCCTGCCCCTGCCCTGTGAGACACCTCACTCCCTCTTTTCCTTCTGCCATGATTAGGAGCTTCCATATGTCTCCCCATAAGCAGAAGCCACTATGCTTCCCCTACAGCCTCAGAATCATAAGCCAATTAAACCTCTTCTCTTTATAAATTACCCATTCTCAGGTATTTCTTTATAGTGGAGTGAGAAGAGCCAATTAAACCTCTTTTCTTTATAAATTACTCAGTCTCAGAGATTTCTTTGTAGCAGTACAAGAATGGACTAACACAAATGTGGAAAGTGATCTCCCTGGTATCTGGAAAGACAAAGAGATCAGGATTCATCTGATGTGCTTGCCATGGGGCAACAGGTGCTCTAGTCTCCTGTGATTCCCAGCTCAGTAGTGATGTCAGGGACAAGAGATGGGATGGGAAGGATCAGCGGGAGCTCTTCCCTTTGTCTTGTGGGGCCCACAGTAAAAGGAAACCAGTTTCCCCTTACGCCACTCCACGGTGATGGGGCTCTGGAGGCTGGGGTGCTCCACTTGGCAGGTGTAGATGTCTCCACGCTGGGGAGTTATTTCCAGCATCACCAGAATCTGGAAGGTCCAGTCACCATTCCTAATGAGGGAGGTGGACACAACACCGGCTGTCTCCTCCTGGTCATTCCGAAACCACTGGACTTTGATCTGGGCTGGATAGAAATCTGTCACTGAGCAGACCAGCAGGTTGTGGTGGTTGAGGGCCTCTGTCCTGGATGGGGAGATGGTCACTGTGGGCTCCACTGAGGGCAGTAACAGACAGGGAAAGATATAGGAGTGAGATGTGAGACCACACAGCACGCCTGCTGTGAGGAAGGTCCCTCCTTGGAACCAGAATGGAAAGATACCTGGAGTCCAAGTCTTGGATTAAGGTTCCTTCAACAAATATAAATTTGACAATCACTGAGAATCCAAAAATAAACAACAAACCCTGGTTCCTGCCTTTATAGAACTTGCAATCTAGTAACAGAGACCAAAAAATTGAATGTTATTTCAAAAGTTTGTAATATTTGAAGGAAAAGTAGGCAGGCCTTGAAAAAAACGAACACTGATCAAACATCATGTTTGCCCATAACTCAATTCCTTTATCTTCTCAGAGCGGTGCTCATGGTCAAAAATGACACACCTTTCCCTGCATATTTTATACATCTTAACCTTTGCCTCTCTGGCCATTTTACTGCATTTCCTTTATTTCTTTAGTGTAAAATTATAGTAAATATTTAATGTATGCTTTATTTACTTGGTAATATGTTCTCTCATTTTCCTGCTTTTTCTTAATTTCCTTTTAACCCTCAAGATAGTGTAATTACTAGCTGCCTACCCTACTCCATCCCCTTGCTATTGAGAATTACTTTCTTGTTCTGAAATCAGACATTATCATGTACGTTCTCCATAGGAAATATTCTGAGATCCATGCAGAGGTTGGCCTGGGTGAATGTGCCTGTAATGCAAACATATACATATAGCTGGGATTTGCTGAGGTCAGCAGGTAGCACCCCAATTAAATGGCACTCTTGAGCCATTGTCTGGAAGGAATCTTGGTTTCTGCTTGGACTTGAACTTTTCTTTAGGCCCTCCTTCCTGGAGTCTGACTGAAATAACAGTCAGCTATGTGGGGACTTACAAGATTTGTTCATCTTAAAAAGACTGAAAGTAAAAATAGAGGGCACAAATTCATGAGAAAAAAATGATAGAATAACTTTTATAGAAATAGACTTGAAATGGCAAAAATATAAATACTTGACAGCATTAGGATGTGGGTCAGAAGAAGGCAAGGAAGTTTTGTGAACCTGCATAGATAACACTGGGGTCAGACTAGGGATTGATTAATCAGTGAATTTTCAATGCCTTGAAAGTATCATTTTGTCCCATTAACAGTGAAAACAGGCAGGAATAGACCCATTGCTGCTTCTTGTCAAAATTGGCTTTAACAAGGCTTTACTTCCCTTAGGCTGTGTAGACGAGTATTGAAGAACATAAAAGAATGCTGTGTATTTGGGGGAGGCTTCAGGTCCTGGTGCATAATTGTGGGTTGATTACTTAAAGTGTTTATCATGTACCAATATTACGATATATAAAGTGGCAATGCTAATCTCTAATGCACAGGTAACTGTGCTATTAAATGACATAACTTAGATGGTGTTTGCTAAGGCAATTGTCTAGAAATAAGTGCTCACTAAGTGGGTAAAATTGACGTTCAGAATGTTTATCCCTGAAGTGGATAGTGATGGGGGGAGGGAGAAAATCTACTCCAAAAGCAACCTGAAACTATTTTTATTCAATAATTTAGTGGCTTCAATCTATGTATTCCAAAGCTTCTGCTCTTTTCATTGTGCCATTTGTTCAGCTTTTCTAAGAAATTAAAACTGCCTTATAACACCATTCAAGAGTTGTTTTTATTTTCAGCAAACACCTTTTTCCCTAGACTGCATTCACAAACCTTACTAAGATCCAAGTCAATAAGAGTTTAAAGCATCAAGCAAAATAATAGAAAATAATTGATAAAGTCCATCTTTAAGGCTCTATTTATCCTCTGCTTTCCCTTGAGCCTAAGTGGATGGGCAGCTGAGTACATTTATTCATTAATTTAACAGAAGATCATTGAGCTCATACCACATGCCAGTCCACGAGTCAGGTACTAGGCATGCAATGATTAAAACACTCTCACCTCAAAGAGCTCCGCCATGAATGAGAGCCGTTTAAGAAAACAGAATTACGATGAATAATAATTTGAAGCCAAAAGTTAAAATATCTTATTTCACAACTGTAATTGCTGGATGCCCTGCGCGCAGTTGTGGAGCAGCCCTAACTCCACCAGGCCAAACCTGAAGCTTCCTGCGGCGCGAGCTGTGCAAGTGGGCCTTGCTGGGTGGGGCAGTGCTAGTGGGGCGGGCGGGCAGGGGAAGAGGGCGGGCATTCGGGCAGAAAGAACTGCTTAGCGAAGGTAAGGCACGAGGAGGCAAACGCATAAGGCACAAGGCAAGAACATGCAGAGCAGAGGACAAGGCCGATGGACGGGGAGGCTGGGGACACACTGGGCAGCCTAACCCAACCCTGCAGGGAACTAAGGGATGCTTTTGTGCATCCCCCTGCTCTGCCCTAGATCCCCGCCCCTCCGATACTACCCCAGCCTCCAAATCCCCGCCACCTTCCTGTACCCTGGGATGGACCAGGGCTCGGTCCTTGAGGCCGCGCCGTCCTCGCCCCTCTGTGCGCAGAGACTCGGGCCCCGGCCAAGGGTGAGCACCGCGGAAGGACGACGACGCTCACCTTGCCGCTGCAAGGTCGTGCGTAGCTCCGCCTCGTAGTTGTGTCTGCACACCTTGTCCACCGCGGCCCGCTCCTGCTCCAAGAAGTCCTTATAGTTGTTCCAGTCCTCGATGCTCCGCCCCAGCTCGGTCACCGCCTGGAACTCCCCAACGTCGCTGTCGAAGCGCCCGTACTCCTCGCGGTTATAGATGTATCTGGCCACACCCCGCACGCGCTCTGTCCCGTTGGTGAAGTAGCACATGCCCTTAAACTGGACCAAGAAATCCTCTGCGGAGAATCACGGCGGGTCAGTCAGGCGCCAGCACGGCCCTAGCCCCAGCCCCCAGCCGGACCGCACCCTTCAGCCGCTGCCCTGACCCGGCCAGCAGCTGCGAAACCCGTCCAAGCGAAATTGAGTTCTTGGCTGGGCCCGTGCCTCGTGCTCCGGACCTGGGATCCTCGAGACATCTCTGCCCCAGCCCTGCCCGCCCTCTCTGAGGGCCTCGGGAATCTGCCTTCCTTTAGGGAGGTAAGAGGGAAAGCCCAGTCCCTGCCTGAGCCTGTGAACCAAGTGAAGAGGGCAGTCGGACCGATTCGACATTGACCTCTGCTCTTAGATCAGGGCGTTCTCGTATGAAATCCCATTTTCCATGGAGCTCTTGGGAATCTCAGAGACAGAGTTATCCACATAAATTTGAGAGTTCAAGGGAATAACGAGAAAGGTTCAGGAATTAAGCTTGTTCTCATCCTGATGTAAGTATTCTCTTGGTCCCTGGGCAAGAGACCAAGTAAACCCATGCCTGGATTTACTCTCTTTCTGCTATACCCGCCCAAGTGCCCTGTGAGGTTCACTCACTTCTGTGTTAGAAAGGACCTACACCTCCGGAGTCCTAGAAGGAAACATTTATTCATGGAAAGAGCCCAAGCTTTTGAATTCTATAGGGTCCAATTAAACTGAGTCAATCACCAGCTTGGGCAGGTTACTTAACAGAATATCCATATCACAAGTATAATTACATAAAAGGAAAATCATGATACCTACACATAGGATGTTAGGAGGAGTGAGAGAGGATTTATAGAAAGTACTGTCCTGTGTCTGAATGGAGTGGTTTCTCAATATGTATTATTTCCCTTCTTTACTTCCTCCTTCCTATCATACTAAATTCAGTCCACCATCAACTCAGGTCCCTGAATCCCACTCAAGTCACCTTTTGCCCATAAATCAGTGAAACCCAAAGTAAGACTCCCTGTCTGTGGTCATCCAGTCACCTTCCCTCAGTACTAAGAGTTTGCCTCCACAAACTCTCCACTCGAGTCAGTAGTATAGACTCCTTTACCTCCAATACAGAGACTACAGACACCATTGCTGCCTTACATTTTCCCAGTGCAGAAAAATCCTACTGTGTCTTTGGGGAAATGCATATCTTTGGGGAAATGCATAACCGTGGAGTGCCATGGTCATTTTGTCCTGTCACAGGTAGTGAATGCACACTTTGTCTCCTCTTTCCTCTCTCCTCCTTCAGGCTTAAACCTGTGGGATTGGGGTTGGATTATCCTCACCTCACCCATTATAAGGTGGAAATAAAAATGCAACATAGCTCTATTTCCCAAAAAGAATAAATGGTGATAAAAGACTGTGTTCTGAGATCATGGAGATCACCATCCCCCATACTCCAACCCAAGGAGAGCCTGTTCCCACAGTGGTGGCTCTCGAGAGCAGCTGCCCTGCACTTACTGGGAAAGTCTCTGGCCTCAGCCACTGGGGTGCTCAGCATCACCAGCATCACGGTCACAGCTGCTGCCCAAAAGCCTCCAGGGATCTGCAGAGCCATCTTCCAAGACATAAGTGAGACCAAGGAAAAAGCAGTGGTAGTCAACACAGCTCAAACCTAATGGATCTTATGTACCTGCCGGAAAGAATAAAAACCTCTGGATGTTTCCATGTGTGGTAGGATTGGGGAGTCCCTAGGAAAGGAACCAATCAGCACTGGAGCTGAAGGACCTCATCTGCCTCTGGGCAGACATTTTTCTGTGAAGATTCTCACTCCAATGCCTGGCACTGTTTCTTCTTCAAATTGCACTAGATGAACATTTGAGGTGAAGATTTCTGAATAGCTGAAGATTGAATGGCTTAGGGGTTTTAAGAAGCAAAAGACAAATGTGATTCAAGAGTAGACATCTTACAACCTATTGTTCTTATACTTGGGAGTTTTAGTAGGGCAAATTAAGTGAGGATCATATTTCAGGGAACAGAAAATTGTCACAGAAATGTTCACTTCTATTAGACACTCTGAGGAGCCTTAAGTTTTGGTGAGAAGAGCAAAGTTCTTAGAAGGAAATGATGGTGAGTTGCAGTTCTACCACTAATGTGCTTTATGAGAGTCAACAAATTACTGAACTCCTTTTCACCCCCAGGCTTCTCTTTGCAAAATGTGGATCATGTTTTATGCATTTTACATCTAGATCTTCACATATACAAATTTAACATTAATATGACTAGTTTAATATTACAAAAGCCTCCTCCACTGTTATGTGTAACTATCAAGCTAATAGGAGGAACAAGAAAAAAAAAAGTTGACACCCAGCCCTACTGGCAAGTGATTCTTTATTATGCAAGAAGGTATTGCATTCATGCTCTTCGAGTGAAAGTATTTGTTGACTTTTCTCTTGTAAGTTCTTCAGCTGCTTAAATCCTCCCTGAACCATGAAACAGGTGCATCTGATATGAGCAAAGGCACAATACACAAATTTTACAGTATTCAGACACAGTCACATTTAGTTTTGAAGATAGAGAACAAAAGCTGTGAAGAAGAATTTCCTGGGGGCTGAATCGTATTAATGATGGAGCAAATGTTTAGAGTTACAGGTCATATTGGGCCAGCCCTAAACATCAAATCCAAAATGGCAGAGGTACCAATGTGTTTTTATAAATAAATTTCTTACTTATCAGGCTTACGTTGCCCATGGCTAGGGATAGTACTAATGGTTATAAAGCAATTAAAACAATGCCTGACAAACATTACTGGTAATCCTAACCAAGACAATAAATATCTCCACCTCTCTTCTTGTCTCCCTTCCTCCCACTCTTCCCTGTATATTAGTAAAGTAGAAGATAGAGAGCATCTAAAAGCAGAATATGTTTACCAGGTAAAAAGAAACAGGGAAGAGACGGTAGCAAGAGGTTTGCAATAGTGGCACATGAAAGCATTGAGCCACTCTAATATTCTGTATTATTCTGTGCATAGATTTAGATCACCTGAGACTGGGAACGTTGTTACTGGGCTTCTAGCAGCAGTGGTGTACTCAGGATCAGGGTAACCCCCAGTCTAAGGAGGGTCTCCACTGGTGCGATGGAAGCATAAAGGAGGAACATCAAACTCAGACCTAGAACGGAACTGGGGGCAAGAAAGAATAGGCAGAGAGGGACCTGAAGATGCCCTCAATGTCCTCTCAGTCCCCACCTCAGCGTCCCTCGGAATAGAGGCCTCTGGCCCACCCCTTCTTCCTGTTCAAAGGGAGAAACTTCCCTCAGGTTTATTCTGGGGCTGTGAGGCAAAGTCTACGTCAAACCTAGGGACTCCCCAGTCTCATGGGCCTCTTCAAACAGACTTTTTTCTTTTCTTTTCCTTTTTTTTTATTTTCCTTTTTTCTTTTCTTTTCTTTTTTAGGGACAGGGTCTGGCTCTATCACCTAGGCTGGAGTACACTGGCATGATCATGGCACACTGCAGCCTCAACCTCTTAGGCTCAAGTGATCCTCCTGTCTGAGCCTCCCAAGTAGCTGGGAGTACAGGCACACACCGCCATTCTGTCTAATTTTTAAAAAAATTTTTATAGAAATAGGGTTTTGCTATGTTGCCCAGGTTGGTTTCAATGTCCTGGCCTCAAGCAATCCTCCCACCTCGGCCTCCCAAAGCACTGGGATTATAGGTGTGAGCCACCACACCTGGCCACACAGACTTTTCAACTAGCAACGAAAGTGTCAGCTTAGAGCCATTTTCTGACTGGCTAAAACCTCATCTGAGGCCAGGCGCAGTGGCTCACCCCTGTAATTTTCTAGCGCTTCAGGAGGCCAAGGCAGGCAGATCACTTGAGGTCAGGAATTTGAGACCAGCCTGGCCAACATGGTGAAACCCGTCTCTACCAAAAATAAAAAAAATTAGCCGAGTGTGGTGGTGCATGCCTGTAATCTCAATTACTCAGTAGGCTGAGGCAGGCGAATCGCTTGAACCCAGGAGGCAGAGGTTGCAGTGAGCTGAGTTCGCACCATTGCACTCCATTGCACTCCAGCCTGGGGGACAAGAACAAAACTCTGTCTCAAAACAAAACAACAACAAAAAAAAAACACCTAATCTAAAAGGCTTTGGTTTGGGGCTTCTGCCAGTTGTGTCCCCCTGATCCAGCCTTCTCTACAGTTCTTTGCAATGTTCCTATCCCTGCTCCATTACTCAGGGCAGCCACTATTGGCCTGGCCAGAGGAAGGCAACTCAGACAAGCATCCTGATTCTGAATGCCTCACCCAAATCACCTGCCCGGCCTCTGATGGGGACAGAGCGCTTAGGATGAGACCACACACACCCCATGTGGGAAGATGGGATAAAGACACTGCTGTTATTACGGGTCAAGGTTACACTAGGGAGACTCCCCAGGGCACATTGTCTCTTCTTTCAGGGCAGAAAAAGGTTGTGGACTCCTTCTTTGTGGAATCAAGGGAGAAATCATCTTCCCTGGTCAGCATCTCTTAGAATCTGTGCTTGGTCAGTGCAGTTGAATGTAAACACAGGAGTCATCCTGTCACCAGAAGGGTTATCCAGGACTCTGTCCTGCAATTACTTCCAGAATCAAGAAACACTGTAGAGTCAGAAAGGTTCTGTGGCCTCCTTAATGCCAGTGGTAACAGAAATACAGCCCCAGAATATCATTTTCCTTTAATAAAAATTTATCAAGTAATTATCTCCAAATTTTTCAAAACCTTGTGAAGCTACTTACATATTTCTCTTATATCAACTTTTAGGTAACCGGTTACATGAATTTTTCATGACACATATAAGGTAGGCCTTTTCTCTTTAAACAGTTATCTCTTTAAAATGACAATTTAGAAAATCTGAAGAGAGAGTCTGTAGCATTCAGAGGCTGTGCTCAAACAGTGCCTCCTTCAAGCAAGTAACCATGGGGAGACTCCATAGTGGAAGTCAGGTAAGGACTTGGAGGATACCGCAGGGTGAAGGACTAGGAGTATGGGAAAAGCTTTAGCAGGAAGATAGAAAATCAGATGATACAAGGCATTTGGGACACTTGGGGGAAATGGGGAAGGTGAGTGATCTCTGGCACAGGAGTCCAGAGCCCACCAGTCTCATGGCTTCTCATGCAGTATGGAAATGGCCCTTGAAAACAGAAGAAGACTGGGATGAAAACCCAGGCTGCCTGCTATGGACGTGTGTACAACGGAGCTTTGTTTCCTGATCTGTTTCTACAGGTTTCTTCTTCCAGTCAATCTCATCCATGCATCACCTCAGCTGGACCACTGACGATTTCATCACCCAGAGCTAACCTACACATGTCACTCTTTGCAACATATCTGTTCGTCTCTACTTCTGGTTCCCTAGTAATGCCTGGGATATTTCCAGAGACAACTCTTCCCCAGCTTCTAGATTTGTAGTCATCATGTGCCTTCATTCCCAGACAAACCTTAAATATCTTTCTATGAGATCTTTATAATGTCTTCTTCTACAAGTTCTTACCAGTAGAGAGAAGAACTAATATTCAGGTATGTAAAAAATATTTCAGTCCTATTTAAGCTCATGTCCAAGTACTCAAGAATTCAAGTGTCCAGCTCAGCTCAAGGTCATGGTTCATGCAAAAAAGCAACATTAGTAGTAATATTTTGGGGGGACTACTCATATCCTCAAATAGGAAAACTTAAGATATTCAATTTAAACCTCAATGACATATCAATCCATGCTTTTCAGGATGACTATTATCAAAAAGACAAAAAATAACAAGTGTTAACAAGGACGTGGAGATAAGGGAACATTTGCACACTGTTGGTGGGAATGTAAATTAGTATGGCCACTAGGGAAAACATTATGAAGGTTCTTCAAAAAGTTAAAATAGAACTGCCATATGATGTAGCAATCCCACTTCCAGGATACAGACAAAGGATTTTAAATCAGTAGGTTGAAAATATATCCACACTCCCATGTTCATTGCAGCATTATGCACAATAGTCAAGGTATGAAATCAACCTGTGTCATTCAGCAGATGAATGGGTAAAGATAATGTATGTATACACAATGGAATTCTATTCAGGCTTTAAAAAGAAAGAAATCCTGGTGTAAGCCGAAAAGTGACTGAGGCAGGTCTCAATCAATTAGAGGTTTATTTTGCCAAGGTTCAGGATGCACCTGGGAAAAACACGAATCACAGGAGCATCTGTGATCAATGCTTATTCCAAAGAGGGTTTTGAGAACTTCAATGTTTAAAAAGAAAGAGTAAGCAGGAAGGGAAAGAGAGAGGAAAAAAAAAAAAAAAAGGAGGGAAGGTAGGCAATGACACAAGTGGTTACATTCTTGTGAGTCTGATTAGCCTCAGTAAATCTACATTTTACATGTGAAAAGAGGGAGTAGAGGAAAAAGTCACTTATGCAAAAACAATAACATTGTAGAATCTTCCCAAAAGATTCATTTTCTATTCTCACAGACCGACAATTCCACTCAAGTTAATTTCTGCAAAAGCATCCTAACTGGTCTTCCTGCCTCTACTTTATAATGTCAACATTGCTCATAAATCCAAGTTAATCTCTCTGAGTATGAGTTTCTTTAACTGCAAAATGAGAATATTATCTATTCCATAGAGTAATGCCAAGGATTAAATGAAGTGGCAAATATATAGCATCTAAAATAGTTTTGAACACATAGTAGATGCTCAATAATAATTTTTTTTAATTTTTAATATAATTTTAATTCAATAGCTTTTAGGTTACAAGTGGTTTTTTGTTATATGGATGAATTGTATAGTGGTGAAGCCTGGAATTTTAGTGAACCTGTTACCTGAGTAGTGTGCATTGTACTCAATATGTAGTTTTTTATCCTTCACCCTCCTTCCCATCCTCCCCAATTTCTTACTCTCCATTGTCCTTTATACCATTCTGTATGCCTTTGAGTACCCATAGCTTAGTACCCACTTAGCTCCTACTTACAAATCAAAACATATGGTATTTAGTTTTCCATGCCTCAATTAGAAGTTGTAAATTTTGATGGAGTCCAATTTATATATATTTTTTTCATTTCTTGCCTATGCCCTCGGTGTTATATCCAAGAAATCATTGCCTAATCAAATATCATGAAGATTTTCCCTATTTTTTTTCTAAGAGTTTTATGGTTTTAGTTTTCACATTTAGGTCTTTGATTCATTTTGAGTTCATTTTGTCTATAATGTAGGGTAAGAGTCCAGTTTCATTCTTTTGTATGTGGACTTCCAGTTTTCCCAGCACCATTGTTGAAAAGGCTGTCCTTTCCGCATTTAATGGCCCTGGCACTCCTGTTGAAAATCGTTTGACTATATATGTCAGGATAATTTCCTGGTTTTGATATTGCACTTTAGTTATGTAAGATGTTACAATTGGGGAAAACTGGATGAAGGCTATACAGAATCTTTTTGTTCTATCTTGGTAACTCCCTTTGAATCTACAATTATTTCAAAATATAATGTTAAAAAAGCAAAGCCAACCGAAATAATGTGTTTATCTTTTAACAAACTAATTCAATAAGATACCTAATAAAAATTACCCAATGTGAAATACAAAGAGAAAAGAAGAGCAGGGGAAAAACAAAACAGAGCATCCAAGAGCTGCAGTGCTGTATTGAATGGTTACATCACCTTTGTTTGTTTGTTTGTTTGTTTGTTTGTTTTGAGACAGGGTGTCACTCTGTTGCCCAGGCTGGAATGCAGTGGTGCGATCACAGCTCACTTCATCCCCCACCCTCGCCCCCAACTCAGGCAGTCCTCCCGTCTTAGCCTCTTGAGTAGCTGGGAATACCAGCACCATGCTTGCCCACTTAATTTTTCTCTCTTTGTAGACAAGGTCTCCTTATGTTGCCCAGGCTGCTCTTTAGGTTCAAGCATTCCTCCCACCTCAGCCTCCCAAAGTGCTGAGATTACAGATGTGAAACATTGTGCCAGGCTTATTTTTTTAATGTACTTTTACTCTCTTTCTCTCTTTGTGTTTCACTCTGGGTAATTTTTATTGATCTATTTCAAACTCACTGATTCTTCCCAGGGCTGTACCACATTTGCTGATGAGCTTGTCAAATGCATTCTTTATTTTTGTTAATTTATTTTTATTTTATTTCCATTTCATTCATCCTTAAAGCTTTCATATCTCTGCTGAAACTGTCTAATCTTGCATGTTGTCTACCTTTTCCATTAGAGATTTTAGTATATTAATCACAGTTTATGAAGCAGGTTTACTAATTACCAATACCAAGGGAGGAAAGGGAGGACTTCCACTGCATGGAGAATAGAAAAGATCATCACTATGCCAACCACCAGGAAAAGAGGTCCAGATACTTCTTCCCACTGCATTCTGAGCTACTGTTTATGTCCACCATGCACTGGCTACCTGTTTATCTGAGTCTGGTGAAACAGAACACACTCACACACAAATTATGTGAAGCAGTTTTATTACTTACAGATCAGTAGCAAGGGACAGAAGAAGCCTCAGCTCCATTGTGAGTCAGTCTCCTAAAGCTCAAGAAAGCTGCCCAGGAGAGATGAAGTCTTAACCGCACCAATTACTCTATTATAGCCTAAAGTGTAAGTCACAGCTCAAACTCTTGATCACTTCATTCATATTACATGTTCCAAAAAACAACCACAGGAAAACTTCTCCAACAGTAACTTTGCATGAACTCATGTGTTCTGTCAATCGAGAAAAATGGCAAGTCTCAATCATTTTAGGAGGTTTATTTGCCAAAGTTAAGAATAAGCACCCAGGAGACAGGTCTATACCTTTCTCCGAAGATAATTTTGAGGGCTCTAAATTTAAGGGGAAAGGGTAGGGATATTGAGAAGTACACAATTTTCATGTAAGAGGAGGGTAAGGAAAAATAGTCATTCATGCCTTTGTCTGGCTCAGTTAATCTGCATTTTTTTTACATAAGATGACATAGACAAAACGGGGGAAGGGGAACAATTAGATATGCGTTTGTGGCCGGGCGCGGTGGCTCATGCCTGTAATCCTAGCATTTGGGGATGCTGAGGCAGGCAGATCACTTGGGGTCAGGAGTTTGAAACAGGCCTGGCCAACATGGTGAAACCCTGTCTCTACTAAAAGTACAAAAAAAAAAAATTAGCCAGGCATGGTGGCAGATGCCTGTAATCTCAGCTACTTGGGAGGCTGAGGCAGGAGAATCACTTGAACCCGGGAGGTGGAGGTTGCAGTGAGCCAAGATCGCGCCACTGCACTCCAGCCAGCATGACAAAGCGAGACTCCGTCTCAAAAAAAAAAAAAGAAAAAAAAAAAAGATATGCATTTGTGTCTTCTGGGCAGGGGCGTGACTACACCTGTAAAGATAAGCTACCAATTTACATTGCCATGGTAAAATTTTAACAGAAACACCTTAGAGTAAAGATCTTGCAGCTCACAAGGACTTTCCTTGTGGACAAAATATGAGGGAGGCATGTAGCTTTTCATTTTGTAGCCATCTTATTTAGGAACCAAAAAGGGGGAGGCGGGTTTTCGCAACCCCGTTCCCAGATTAACTTTTCCCTTAGGCTTAATGAGTTGGAGTCCCAAGATTTAATTTCCTTTCATAGTTCTAAAACTATGACCAAGTGTTCATTTCTTCCTGATAGGCACTTAGCACACTGACCATGTGCCTTAAATTGACCATATGATGCGAAGAGCTATAAATCCATGGAGTCGTAAGTTTGGGGATACCAACCACAATCCATCTGCAGCAGAAGTGGTTCCTTTGGAACCAAGCTTGAACAGGTCTAAAAACTAGGTTGTTCTTCTGGTTTAGTGACAGAGACTACTATCCCAGATGAAAATACAATAGTCTTTTAGTGCTTCTATGCATGGTCATGTCTGTCAGTAGACACTAAAACAATCATAATTCAAGAACAGAGTAAATAGTAACATAGACCCTTCTGGAATAGTTGTCTCTGTCACCAAAACAGAAAAACAAACTAGACTAAATTCAGAGGATGAGGGGAATCAAGAATGGCTTGTGAAGGAGGGAAACAAATATTAGTTACAGTCATAATGACAACTATAATAGTAGACACTGTAGCAAATTTCACTAACTTTCTTGCCTTAATCTTCTAGATCACAATTGATCACTCTTGTACCTCCCTTCTTGAGGAAAAATTAAAATGTGTTAATTTTCTCAGGAAAAAAAATGAAAGGCACCATATTGGACTATGGGAGCTTGGAATTCTGAATCACCACCTGGAGAAAAGTGACTCACAAATCTTCAATATCCTCCTTCTGCTACATTAGTGAGTTATAAACTTCTACTATATTTCAGCCACAATACACATTTTAGTCTATTTGTTGCAGCAGTTTGGCCTATTCTAATTAGTATAAAAAGAAGAAAAAATAATCATAGAAAAAAATTAAATGAAGAATATAACAATTTTAATAGTTTCTCCTGACTTAGACTCACCTGAAATGATCCTCATTCTTTGTTTTAGGATTAGCAGAGATGTAAGACAGAATTTCATGAAAATATTCAACCTGGTGGATGATGCCAAATTAGCAGTTAGCGTGTGTGCCTGGAATTCAAACCATACAAATCCTCCCTGCCCACCTCTCATCCTATCCTTTAGAGCAGAGCCTGTTTCTCATATATTGCCCCCAAGTCTATATCAATCAAATTAATTTTTATTATCCTGAAAACACCTATAGAAAGACTAACATGTTGAAAGTTATATTTAAATATGGGCACTCTGCTTCATACTCTTTTGCCAATATTACTTCAAAACTGTACAAACCTATATTCTTTGCATTTGTGAGAAATTATTATATTGTAGATAAGGCTAAAATATTTTGTGAATCAAAACATACTATAAAAAGTTGGAAAGAAAGACTTCATTTGGATGTAAATACATGAAAATAGCAGCCCAGACACTCAAGACAAGAGGAATAATAACTAAGTGACCACAAAGGAAATTTTTTATCACATGCCTGGCTGTTCCAGACAGGGAAGCTTGCTTTACCTGAAGGAAGTGGTCACTAGACCAGAATGTAACCAAATACAGGATTCTGCTTTAAAAAAAAAAAAAAAAAAGATTCACAAAAGTCACGTTCAAGTTAAACCATTAAATACTTTCTTCTCCAACTAATGAGAAGATGTGGGGCCTCATTAATTCTCTCTGGCAGATTAGGTCAATGAATCCATTCCAGAAAAAAAATTATTGAAAAGAGCAATAAATATACAAAATATCAAAGCAGTCATGTGTGCAATCCACAGAAAAGAATAGAAATTTACTTAAGGACAGAAAGAAGTTTAGTAAACAATGATACCACTTTCTTGGACAGGGCAATTTGTGTCACTTTTCCAGACAAAATACATGGATTTGGTGATGCTTTAATCTAAATAGTAATAAGACAGTTTTATTAACAAAATGTTTCTAACTTTCAAGAGCGGTATACAAAAACAACTATTGATAAAAATAAGGAGAGGTACTCTAATAGATGTTTACAAATGATTATAAAGCTAAACAATTAAAACATGTTCATAGTGCCCCAAAAAAAGGACAACTGTGGAATGATATTGGCTGCACATAAACAGAACCTAATTTATGCCACAATTAATGAAATTGAAAATTTTGTTTACAATAGCCCCCTCTTATCCATGGGAGATATGTTGCAAGGCACCCCAAAGGATGCCTGAAGGCATGTACCAAACTCTGTATATGCTATGTTTTTCTACACATACAAACATATGATATAGTTTAATTTACAAATTGTGCAGTCATAGGTTAACAACAATAACTAATAATAAAATAGAACAATTATAACAATATACTGTAATAAAAGTTATGTAAATGAGATCTCTCTCTCTCTTTCTCTGTCTCTTTCTCTCTCCCCTCTTCTCAAAATATCTTATTGTACTAAACACCTATATTTTCACACTGTGATTGATTGACCACCAGTAACTGAAACTGTGGAAAGTGAAACCATCGATAAGGGAGGACCACTGTATTACATTTCTAGGAAGTCGCAAACCCTTTGAGAAAATTTTGGGATGGGAGACAAACATATTTCTAAGAAGCCTTCAATGTTACAGGTTATATTCTTCACTTCTTCAAAGTACATAAGGGCCCACTCTACTCTTCTGGAGTCTATCCAAATTTGTAGGGTAATGGGCTGTAGCTAATGAGGAATGGAACTCAGTGGGATGTAAGGGGTCCGGAAACAAGTTTTTTGAAATATACTTGATTGTCATGACACCAATATGGAATGAAAGAGAAAGCAGCATAGTGATGAGGAAATTATGGTGAGATTTTTAGGACAAGAAGCTATTTTAAAAGAATTTTAAATCATTTTTCTTGGTGTTAGAAATACAATCCTAATTTGATATTTTTCAAGAGGTTGCAATATAATTTGAAGTATTTGAAATGGAGTATGGGGAAATTTGCTCTGGCCTCTCTAAAGAACATCATACTGGGACTGCTTTCAAGGATAGAACAAGTTATCCTGCATTTATGTTGGATAAATTAAGAATGTAGTGCATAATAAAGCAAACTTTTAATCCAGTGGAATAGGAAAAATTACTAAAAATAGTGTTGGGTCAATTAGTGAGTTAGTGGGATAGTAAAAAGAGCCCATACATACACACATACAGAGATTATACTGAGGCAGATTAAAAGTTTAAATGAGAAGGAACTCAGAACTGAGGAGGAACCACCCAGAACATGCTTGCTAGTAACACATCTTCCCACCCCCTTATGAATAATCATGTAAGACTCCCATAAAGGGAGTTTCCCCAGTAACATTCAACACTGTCTCACCCGCACAAGCAACCTGCCCTGAATTGTCTCTTGGGGTGTACTGTTGATTCTGCACCTAACTTTCAGAGTATCCTTTCTCCTTTGCAAGAAATTGCTCTATGTTGTATCTCCTTTGCTGTGTGTCTGTTGTTTAAATTCTTTTAAACTAAGAAGACAAGAACCGAAGTTTCATGAAAGCCATCAACAAAAATATAGAAAAAAAAAGTAAATATTTATTTTATTAAAAAGTGGTGAGATGAGTTTAAATAACAAAACAAAGAAAGAAACCGTACAGGAAAGTATTCTTAGACTATACTAAGAAAAAGTAAAGAATTAATATGTGAAAGGTATATCAATTTTAAGCATTCTGTTTATGTCAAAGGTGCTTATGGTGCAGTATGTAAAATTTAAATAAACAAAGCATATTGTATTAATTTTCTAGCCACTGTCATAACAAATTAGTAGAAACTTTGCAGCTTAAAACAACACCCATTTATTATCTCAGTTTTCTAGGTCAGAAGTCTAGGCAAAGCTCAACTGGGCTCTCTGCTTAGGATCTCACAAGACTGAAGTCACAAGCTGACCTTATAATTCTCATTTGAATATGGAGTCCTCTTCCAAGCTCACTGCCTGTTGACAGAATTTATTTCCACGTATGACTGAGGTCCATGTTTTCAAGCCGGCTATCAGCCAGGGATCAGTATCAGCTCCCAGTGACCACTCTCAGTTCCTTGCCACATGGCCCTCTACATCTTCAAAGTCAGTAATACAGAGTCTTTCTCATGTTTAATCTCCCTCTTCAAGAAAAGTTCAGTCCCTTTCAAGGGCTCACCTAATTAGTTCATGCTCACCTACAATAATTTCCTTTTCATAAGGCTAATTGCAGTCAAAACATAACCCAATCACAGTAGTGATCATACCATTAAATTTACTGGTTACTATTGGGAGCAAGCCCCCCAAAATCTGGCCATAAACTGGCCCCAAATTTATGGCCCAGTTTATGGCCATAAACTGGCCATAAATAAAATCTCTGCAGCACTGTAACATGTCCATAATGGCCTTAACGCCCAAGCTGGAAGGTTGTGGGTTTACGGGAATGAGGGCAAGGAACACCTGGCCTGCCCAAGGCAGAAAACCACTTAAAGGCATTCTTAAGCCACAAACAAAAGCATGAGCAATCTATGTCTTAAGAGCATGTTCCTGCTGCAATTAATTCAGCCCATCCCTTCGTTTCCCATAGGAATACTTTTAGTTAATTTAATATCTATAGAAACAATGCTAATGACTGGTTTGCTATTAATAAATATGTGAGTAAATCTCTGTTCAGGGCTCTCAGCTCTGAAGGCTGTGAGATCCCTGATTTCCCACTTCACACCTCTACATTTCTGTGTGTGTGTCTTTAATTCCTCTAGCGCTGCTGGGTTAGGGTCTCCCTGACGAAGCTGGTCTCGGTAGGTTCCACCCACATTTAAAGGAAAATAATTTTATAAGGTATGTACAACAGGGGGTGATAGATATTCCTGGGGGCCATCTTAGAATTCTGCTTTCCTTCTCACCTCTTCAGCCCTCTGGCCACCTGTAATTCATGTCCCTCTCAAATGTAAAATACATTAATCCCTTCTCAAGGGCCCCCCAAAGTCTCATTCCATTACAGCCTCAGATCAAGGCCAATATCCTGTCTAAATCTTGTTAGCTCAAAGTCCAAATTCGCAGTGCCTTCATACCAAATTACAGGACTTGAAGATGTGAGAATTAGGAACTTGACAGAATATCTAATTATAATTGCTAACAGTCATGAGATTAGTTTATTAATTAAAATCTCACCTGGGAACCAAGTGTATAAATGTCATTGAATCCCTGGGGATAGAGACAGGGAAGCACAGGGATCTGATGATATTTATAGTCACTTAACAAAAAAGACTAGGTGGTATTTTTTTCACCCACACCTAGCTTTGCTGGCATTGAGAAGACACACCTAAGAGAATAATTAATCATACCTACAGGACCCCTTCTTCACTGAGACAGAATAGCAATGAAGTCATTGTTATTGGTGTCATCTGCACTCTACTTATTTATACTTCATATACTTACATAGTATATACCAGAACACTTAAATTAATTTCATCTCCAATTACTGTATATTATTATTATTTTTTTTGAGACAGAGTCTTACTCCATTGCCCAGGCTGGAGTGCAGTGGCACAATCTTGGCTCACTCTGCAACTTCCATCTCCTGGGTTGAAGCGATTCTCCTGCCTCAGCCTCCTGAGTAGCTGGGATTACAGGCATGTACCACCACACCCGGCTAATTTTTGTATTTTTAGTAGAGACAGGGTTTCCCCATGTTGGCCAGGCTGGTCTCAAACTCCTGAACTCAGGTAATCCGCCTGCCTCGGCCTCCCAAAGTGCTGGGATTATTTTGTATTCTAGATGTCGATTTTGCTGTGTTAATTAATTTCCTGATGATTGCAATAGAATACCTGAAACTGGGTAATTTATAAAGAATCAAAATTTATTTCTGGAGGCTGGGAAGTCCAAGAGCATGGTGCCAGCATCTGGTGAGAGCCTCCTTGCTAGTGGGGACCCTCTGCAGAGTCCCATTGTGGTGCAAGGCATCACATAGCAAGCAGGCTGAGAGGGCTACCTCAAGTATCTCTTTCTCCTCTTATCAAACCCTTAGTGCCCCATCACCCCATCCTCATGACCTCATCTAATACTAATTACTTCTCACATCTCCCACCCCTAAAATATCATGGTCTGTTTTCTTACCCTTTTATACTGTTACAATAGGGATTAAGTTTCTACATAAGATTTAGAGGAGCAAACTTTCAAACCATAGCATTTCACCCCTGCAGCCTCAAAACTCATATTCTTCTCACATTCAAATACATTCATTTTATCTCCAGAGCCCCAAAGTCTTAACTTTCTCTAGTACCAACTCAAAAGTCCAAAAGTCCAAAGTCCTTATCTGTGAGCCTGAGATACTAAAGCCAATTATCTACCTCCAAGATACAATGCTGGGACAGGAGAAATGGGCCAGAAGAAAGAAGTAACAGGCCTCAAGGAAGTCTGAAACTCAACAGGGAAAGACATTAAATTTTAAAGCTGGAAATAATGTCTTTTGACTCCATGTTCCTCATCCTGAGCACACAGGGGCAGAAGTTGGGCCCCCAAGACCTCAGGCAACCCTGCCCTCATGGCTTTGCTGGTTGCAGCCCATATATGGCTGTTCTCATGGGTTGGAGTCAGGTGCCTTGGGTTTTCGAAGCTGGGACTGCATGCTGGTAGCTCTACAGTTTTGGAGTCTTGGTGGCAGTCCCACTGTCACAGCACCACTAGATATTTCCCTGGGGAGGACTCCCTGTAGCAGTTCCAACCCCACAGTTCCTCTCAGCATTGCCCTAGCAGAGGCTCTTGGTGGTTGAAGGGGTGGGTCGCCCCTCCACACCTGTGGGTGTTTCTCGTTAGGTGGAACGAGAGACTTGGAAAAGAAAAAGACACAGAGACAAAGTATAGAGAAAGAAATAAGGGGACCCAGGGGACCAGCGTTCAGCATATGGAGGATCCCGCCGGCTTCTGAGTTCCCTTCATATTTATTGATCATTCGTGGGTGTTTCTCAGAGAGGGGGATGTGTCAGGGTCACAAGACAATAGTGGGGAGAGGGTCAGCAGACAAACACGTGAACAAAGGTCTTTGCATCATAGACAAGGTAAAGAATCAAGTGCTGTGCTCTAGATATGCATACACATAAACATCTCAATGCTTTACAAAGCAGTATTGCTGCCTGCATGTCTCACCTCCAGTCTTAAGGCGGTTTTTCCCTATCTCAGTAGATGGAACGTACAATCGGGTTTTATACCGAGACATTCCATTGCCCAGGGATGGGCAGGAGACAGATGCCTTCCTCTTGTCTCAACTGCAAGAGGCATGTCTTCCTCTTATACTAATCCTCCTCAGCACAGACCCTTTACGGGTGTCGGGCTGGGGGACGGTCAGGTCTTTCCCTTCCCACGAGGCCATATTTCAGACTATCCCATGGGGAGAAACCTTGGACAATACCTGGCTTTCCTAGGCAGAGGTCCCTGCAGCCTTCCGCAGTGTTTGTGTCCCTGGGTACTTGAGATTAGGGAGTGGTGATGACTCTTAAGGAGCATGCTGCCTTCAAGCATCTGTTTAACAAAGCACATCTTGCACAACCCTTAATCCATTTAACCCTGAGTTCGACACAGCACATGTTTCAGAGAGCACGGTGTTGGGGGTAAGGTCATAGATTAACAGCATCTCAAGGCAGAAGAATTTTTCTTAGTGCAGAACAAAATGGAGTCTCCTATGTCTACTTCTTTCTACACAGACACAGTAACAATCTGATCCCTCTTGCTTTTCCCCACAGTGGTGGCCCTGCCCCTGTGGCAGTTTTCTCCTTGGGTTCCCAGGCAGTCTGATACATCCTTTGAAATCTAGGTGGAGATTTCTATGCCTTCCCACTAGTCTTGCATTCTGAAGACCTGCAGAAATAGCACCACATGCATGTGGACATTGCCAAGGCTTACTGCTTGTGCCTTCTGCAGCTACAATATGAGTCACATCTGGGGCCACTTGAGCTATGGCTGGAGCAACCAGGATGAGGGAAGCACTGCCCTGAGGTGGCATTGGGCAGCAAGCCCATGGAGGACACCCCAGGCCTGTCTCCTGAAACCATTCTTTCCTCCTAGAGCTCTGGGCCTGTGATGGCAGGGGTAGACTTGAAGATCTCTAAAGTGCATTCAGTGTTTGTCTCCCATTGTCTTGATGAATAGCTTCTGGCTTTATTCTATTCATACAATTCTCCTTATCAATCAGTCCCTCCTTAACAATCATTCCTTCAGACACACCCTTGGTTTCCTCTGTTGAAAATGCTCTTTCAGGGCCAGGCTGCAAAATTTCCTAATCTTTCCACTTAGCTTCCCTTTTAATTATAAATTCCACCTTTAAGTTATTTTTTACCTCTCACAGCTTTAATGTAAGCAGTTAAAAGTAGCCATGCAGCTGCCTGACTGCTTTGCTGCTTAGATATTTCTTCTGCCATATAGCCTAATAAAACCATCAGATATAGACACAATTCAGAGCCAAGTTTTTCACGCATTTATTACAAGGATGGCCTTTACTCCAGTTTCCAATTCCTTGTTCCTCAGACCTGAGACCTCAGCAGAACAGCCCTTACTGTCCATATTTCTATTGACATTCTGGTCCTGACCACTCAAATCATCACAAAGGAGTTCCAGACTTTTCCTAGTCTTCTTGACTTCTTCTAAGCCCTCACCAAAATCACCCTTTATCACCAGAATTGACATTTAAGGCAATACAGGCTTTTTCTCGCCTGCCTTTTTGAGTTCTTTTAACCTCTACCCATTACCCAGTTCCACAGCTGCTTCCACATTTTCAGATATTTGTTATTAGCAACAGCCCAACTTTTTAGTACCAATTTTCTGCCTTAGTCTGTTTCTTGTTGCTTGTAACAGAATGCCAAAAATTGGGTAATTTATGAAGAAACAAAATGTATCTCTTATGATTCTGGAGGATGAGAAGTCCCAGAGCATGGTGCCAGCATCTGGTGAGAGTCTTCTTATTGGTGGGCCCTCTGCTGAGTTCTGATGAGGTGCAGAGCATCATGTGACAAGAGGGCAAAGGGGTATGGCTCAAGGTCTCTGTTTCTCCTCTCAATGCCCCACCCTCAAGACCTCATCTAATCCTAATTACTTCCCAAAGGTGCCACCTCTCAAATACCATAGTTGGATTTACAGCCCTCTTAATACTATTACTATGGGGATTAAGTTTCAATATGAGTTTCAGAGAAAATAAACATTCAAACCATAGCATTGCCCATCTCTTTTACTCTCCTCCCTCCTCTTCTTTTCTGTACTCCACTGTCCCTGTCCAGAGGTTTTATTTAGCCACTCCACCTCAGCCCATCAGGCTTCCAATCAAAATCCCAGTTCTTCAGTGATCATTCAGATTTATTGTCCTGTTGTAATATCTGGAACAATAACAATCTTCTCAGGACAGTTGTTTTTTATTTGCTTCAGTTCCTTTTGAGAAAGTTATTCTGTGTCTTCTCACTTCCTTATATCTATAGCATACAAGTGTTTGAAAACATTCTCCTCAACCTCCTTTAAAATCATGGGGAGCCCAACCTCAGCTCCTAGCCAGAAGCAGAAAGTCAAAATTTGGCTGTCTTTCCTCCATAGAGCACTTTTGGTTTCTTTCCCACTTAGGAATTAAATTCCCAGCCAATAATGCCTACTTTCAGGCATAGAAGTCAAGACTTCAGCCCTACTCACCATATGCATATCTATCTTATTTGAAGTTCTCAGGAAGAACTTTTGTATCTACACTCATACTTTTTAATCCTTTTTAGTACATTGCTTCATATAGCTTTCTTGGTGGTGGTTGTACTTATTACAATATATACATATAACTTATCACAGTCTACTGGTATTGATGTTTTACCACTTTGAGTGAAGGATACAGTCCGTATCTCTAGTACCATTAGCATATTTTACCCTCTCTACTTTTTAAATGCAATTGTATTAAGTATTTCTTCCACATGCATTCCCATCCACAGTTTGGATATTTGTCCACTCCAAATCTCATGTTGAAATTTGATCCCCAATGTTGGAGGCAGGGCCTAATGGGAGATGTTTAGACCATGGGGGCAGATCCCTCATGAATGGCTTTGTGCTAATGTCATGATCCTAATGCTTGTTTTATTCCTCAATGTCATCATTGATTCAACCATAGCTTTTATTTTTAATTTGCTTTTTGTTTGTTTGTTTTCTTTTTTTTTTTTTTTTTTTTTTTGAGACGGAGTTTCGCTCTGTCGCCCAGGCTGGAGCGCAGTGGCGCGATCTCGGCTCACTGCAAGCTCCGCCTCCCGGGTTCACGCCATTCTCCTGCCTCAGCCTCCCGAGTAGCTGGGACTACAGGCGGGCACCACCATGCCCGGCTAATTTTTTGTATTTTTAGTAGAGACGGGGTTTCACTGTGTCAGCCAGGATAGTCTCGATCTCCTGACCTCGTGATCCGCCCGTCTCGGCCTCCCAAAGTGCTGGGATTACAGGCGTGAGCCACCGTGCCCGGCCTGTTTTCTTTTCTTAACTATTATTTTAAGTTCGGGGTACATGTGCAGTTTTGTTACATAGGTAACCTGTGTCATGGAGGTTTGTTGTACAGATTATTTTGTCAAACAGTTATTAAGCCTAGTACTTATTAGTTATTTTTCCTGATCCTCTCCCTCTTCCCACTCTCCACCCTCTGATAGGCCCCAGTGTGTGTTGTTTTCCTTTATGAATTCATGTGTTCTCATAATTTAGCTCCTATTTATAAGTGAGGACATACAGTATTCAGTTTTCTGTTCCCCCATTAGTTTGCTAGGGATAATGACTTTCAGCTTCATCCATGTCTCTGCAAAGGACATGATTTTGTTTCTTTATGGCTGCATAGTATTCCATGGTGTATATGTACCACATTTTATTTATCTAGTCTATCATTGATGGGCATTTAGGTTGATTCCATGTCTTTGCTATTGTGAATATGCTGCAATGAACATATACATGCATGTGCCTTTATAACAGAAAGATTTATATTCCTTTGGGTATATACCCAGTAATAAGATTGCTGGGTTGAATGGTATTTCTGTCTTTAGGTCTTTGAAGAATCTCCACACTGTCTTCCCCAATGATGAACAAAACCTCTGAGAAATATGGGGTTATGTAAAGAGACCAAATCTATGACTGATTGGTGTCCCTGAAAGAGATGGAGAGAATGGAACCAACTTGGAAAACATAGTTCAGGATATCATCCATGAGAACTTCCCCAATCTAGCTAGAGAGGCCAACATTCAAATTCAGGAAATGTAGAGAACCCCAATAAGATACTTCACAAGACTTTTATCCCCAAGACACACAATTATCAGCTTCCCCAAGGTCAAAATGAAAGAAAAAATGTTAAAAAATAAAAAATAAAAACAACTAGAGAGAAAGATCAGGTCACCTACAAAGGGAAGTCCATCAGACTAACAGCAGACCTCTCAGCTAAAACCCTACAAGCAGAAGAGATTGGAGGCCAATATTCAATATTCATAAAGAAAAGAAATTCCAACTCAGAGTTTCATAATTGGCCAAATGAAGCCTCATATTGAAGGAGAAATAAGATCCTTTTCAGACAGGCAAATGCTGAGCAAATTCATTACCACCAAACCTACCTTACAAGAGCTTCTGAAGGAAGCACTAAATATGAAAAGGAAAGACTGTTACCAGCCACTACAAAAACACACTGAAGTACACAGACCAGTGACACTATAAAGCAACCACATAAACAAGTCTGCAAATTAACCAGCTAACATCATGATGACAGGAGCAAATCCACACATATCAATACTAACCTTAAATGTAAATGGGCTAAATACCCCAATTAAAAGACACAGAGTGACAAGCTGGATAAAGAACCAAGATGTATTGGTATGCTGTCTTCAAGAGACTCATCTCACATGCAATGACACACAGGCTCAAAATAAAGAGATGAAGAAAAATCTACAATGCCTTTTTTCCTTAAAATTTGTTTTTTACATTAATAAATTGATATCATTTTTCAAAATTAGTATTTGCATGATATATCCTTTCTGTCTTTTACACTCAATCTCTGAAATGACTTTTATGCTTTAGACATATGTCTTGTAAACAGTATAATCTGAATTTGTATTTTTGCATTCAATTTGTCAATCTCTGTCTTTTGATCACAAGTCAAGTCTATTTGCATTTTACTGAAATAAATAACATATATGGACCTTTATATTATCTCACATTTTTCATTTCGGTCTTTTCCATGATTTCAATGACTTTTTTCCTGTTAGCCCATTTCTATAACCCATTCTAGCATGTGTATCAGGCTGGGATGGCAGGTGGATTCATTCTAACCTCTACCTTGAGATGTGTTTTCAGACTCTGTTAAGGTTTACGTTGCTCATTTCTGGCATCCTTCACATAAGAATTACTGATCCAGGCCCAGCCATTTGTAGATTTTGAGACATTGTTCTGGCTGTCTGCATATGGCCTGTCTCTGGACTTAACATCCCATGTCCTCACTCAGACTACATAACTTTAGACCCACCCTATTACTATGGACTCCCTGTCTATTTGTATTTTTTCAGCAAAACGTCTAAAAGTAATTATCAATATTCTTGAAACATTAACTTGATAGATTCTTGTAAAATCACATAATCTATTGAAAATTATATGGGTGCTCTAAACTATACCCCCTGGATAATCTTACCTGTACACAGTTTGAATAGATGTCCTTTACAGCTAGAATAATGATACTAGTTAAAATCAGAGGACTAATCCATGGGTAGATCATTTCAAAATTTACTCTGAGGCTTAAAAGGAAATATATTTTGTAAAGCAAGAAAGTATATTTTCCAAGATCCAATTAGCAATGAAGGCATCCTAATAGTATCTGGGATCCTCACATGTGAAAAAAATAAACTAGATTACAAAAGAGAGGACTTACATACACTTAGTTCTTGCAGGAGGAAAGGAACTATCTAGACGTTGTTATTTTGTTCAAAATAAGTATAAGTACAAAAATCTGTGGTAGTAAATCTAGTGCACTATTCTTACATGTGACACTAATAACCCAAGGAAAAATAATAAAATATTTCTGCTTCTTTTGAAATGAGCCTGTCATGGCCTGCATGGAAGTTCACTACTGATAAGCACTTTGTTTCTTTATTCCCTTACTCAGCTTTCCTCTTTTGTAGCTTCATAGCAAGAATCACAACCTAACACTGCATTTTATGTCTGTTTATTATGTGACTTTTTTTAGTTCCTGCTAGAATTAAAGCTCATAAAGGTAGGGACACATTTGCCTTTTTGACTAAGTTATCTGGAATAGCATGTAGCACTTAGTAGGAGCTAAATAATTATTTGACAAATAAATGGATACATTCATTGATGAATTTGATGTCCACATAAAGGCTATCTTTATTTAAATAAACCCGTTATTTCCATGAGTCACTTGCTCCTCCTGCTACATGTAGAGAACTATCATTCAGGATTTCAGTTGAGTTCTAAACAGTTGGATACTTCCACAATCAGGGATCTTCAATTCCTCCACTTGGCGTTTTATTCAACAGAAGTGCCTTTGGACATTCACACTTGATCTTCCAAAACCACATCAGCTTCTAGAACAATGCTTCTAGACAGTTTCTTAGTAACCCCTCAAAGACGTGATTTCACATTTTTATCAATGTATAATTTTATTTAAACTGAAATGACATAATATTACTGTGTCAAATATTATAGAGAAAGTTGGCCATCTTTGCATATGCTGTTTTCCATTTGAGTTTCTTCTGTGAATTACTGTTCATCTACTTTCCAATATTTCAACTAGGTTATTTAATCCATTGATTTGAGCAGTACTTTATTTCTTCCTTTGTGTAATATATGTATTGAAAAATATCCAAATATACTTCATAACTATGTTGCCCAAATTTTGTAATGCATACTAACAAATATCTACCTGTTATATTCATTTTTAAGAAATATACTAAAATGTAATAACTTGTACTTTTCCCATCCCACTTTGCTTTTCTAAGCAGTATTTATGTATTTCAACTTTTTTTACAGTTTAAATACAATATACTTAGGTGTAGGTTTTCTTTGTTTTTTTTTTAAATACAGGGATTACCTACAGAGGAACTAAACATAGTAATATAATAAAATTGCAAGAAGGATGCCAGAGACATAAAATTGTTGGTGGTCTAAATTATCTGCTTTCAGATAATTAGATAACTGATGTCTAAATTAATACCCCACATACACAAAGATACACATATTACCATTAAAAGTCATTGACCTGGGGATAATGCTAGTGGAGGAAAGGAATGGCATGAAGGGCTCTTGTTTTCATTAAAATACATCTTTATTGTTTAATCCTCAAACTATATACAGGTATCCTGATAAATTTAAAATACTGATTGCAAAATAAAATTTAATTCTTACTGAAATATCAAGAATGCTGCAGATGGTGGCAGGATGCTCAATGTGAAAAAGGATAGTGGCTTGCATTAGAATGACAGCAGCGAAGTTTGTTTTAAGCATGTAATTTTATAGTACCAATCTCTTATCTGTGAAAGCGTGTAAAAGACTGAGCTCTTCAGTTCTCAAACAAAAGCAGACTTTAACTCCTGCTCCAGTCATGCTTCTTTGCTTCTCAAACACCCATAACCACATCTCAGATTGCATCATATTTTGAACACATGGAAGGAAGAGTAAGGGAAAAAAGAGTGGCTGGGTTACCACCCTCAAGAAATGCTGATCCCTCAAATCTAGACCTGCCAAGGGGCCAGGAGAGAAGGGAAAGCAGCAGCTCCCTTGAATTTTTAAAGTGCAATGTCCCCACCTACTGGTGAAGATGACCCAGTTAACATCCCTACAGCTGTCAATGTCTTCCTAGGACATTGACTTCTTCTAGTAGAATCAGTGTGCTTCAGCTCAGTTTTACACCAGAAGATAAACAAAATATAAATCCAAGATTTTTGCAGTGCAGTGGAGGTCTCTGAGGGTGTTGCAATGAGAATTTTAAACACAAAGCTAGTTTTAAAATAACACCATAATTAGCAGTCCCTTTCCCCAGCATCTATCTACTCCTCACAGCTTCTGCTCAGATTGTCTTCTCTCCATTGTCTCTTCCATCGCCCTGTACAAATCTCCTCTCTTACACTGCATTTCCTGCCCACACCCTGCTTCCCCATGCGTTAAGTTAGCAGCCTTTTTTCCCTCTTGTTGTTTTCTGCCTTCTGATATTTCAGATAAGAAATCTGTTTCTGGGCCGGGTGCGGTGGCTCATGCCTGTAATCCCAGCACTTTGGGAGGCCAAGGCGGGTGGATCACCTGAGGTCAGGAGTTCGAGACCAGACTGGCCAACATCGTGAAACCCCGTCTCTACTAAAAATACAAAAATTATTCATTGGTCATCTACTTGGTGTCCAGCACTAGGTTATTCCTAAGTATCACTGAACTTTGTGATAACGCTGAAGATATGTTTGGAAGTTTCAGGAACCAGAAGAAGAACACGATTCAGGATGTTTCTTCTTGTGACATTTATTTAAATTCTCTGGTTCTTATATTTGAGGTTTGACTGTAGCTGGGGAGGGTAGGAGAGGGATGGGAAAAAGAAAATGGAAAGATATTCCCTGGAAAAGAAGATAATTGTCTAAGAATTGTTCATTTTTTCCTTGTCTTGGCACTATGAGACACTGGGATATAATATAAAAGGTAACAGATTTTGAGAAAAATGCATTTGTCCCGTAGTTGGAGAATTCGTTAAGTTTGTGACCCTCAACAAATCACATATTCTCTGTTAGCCTCAGTCATTTTAACTTTAAAGTTTAGATAGCTTCCATTTGGTGGGATTAATATTAAGATGAAATGAAATTTTATATATGAGACCTACTAATTGCGTATTCTGACAGAGAGCTACAACACCAAAGCTAAGCCCTGTTATGTGCTTCCACAGGGGACAAAATAGAGGCTGTGAAAAGTAGATAGTTGAGTAAAGCTCATTGAATTATTTAATCAGCTACTTCCATTCTTAACCATAAATCTTGCATAACCATTTAGAGGATGCTATCCTGAAAAAGATAATCAGTTTTACAGAGAAGTCTTGGTAGCTCTGAGGCTATTAATAACCCCAGTTACTACAGTAACAACCGGGAGGTGAAACAGATTAATCAGAGGTAAATAGGTTAAAATAAAGCTTATCGGAGTTCTGGGAAATCTCTATCTATCCCAGAGAAGAATAATGCATAATGAGTGATAAAATATTTGATTTTAAAAATTTAAATTACCCACAAATGATCTCCCATTCACAATTGCCACAAATAGAATAAAATACCTAGGAATATAGCTAACAAGGTAAGTGAAGAACCTCTTCAAGGAAAACTGCAAATCACTCTTCAAAGAAATCAGAGATGACACAAACAAAGTGAAAAACATTCCATACTCATGGATAGGAAGAATCAATATCATGAAAATGGCCATACTACCCAAAGCAATTTATAGATTTAATGCTATTCTTATTAAACTACCATTGACATTCTTCAAAGAATTTTTAAAAAACTATTTTAAAATTCACATGGAACCAAAAAAAGAGCTCGAAGAGCCAAGGCAATCCTAAGCAAAAAGAACAAAGCTGAAGGCATCACATTACCCAACTTCAAACTATACTACAGGGCTACAGTAACTAAAACAGCATGGTACTGGTACAAGAACAGACATATAGACCAATGGAACAGAATACAGAACCCAGAAATAAGACCACACACCTACTAGCATCTGATATTCAACAAATCTGACAAAAACAAGCAATGGGGAAAGGATTCCCTCTTTAATAAATGGTGCTGGGAGAACTGGCTAGCCATATGCAGAAGATTGAAACTGGACCTCTTCCTTACACCATATACAAAAATCAACTCAAGTTGGATTAAACACTTAAATGTAAAACCCAAAACTATAAAGACCCTAGAAGAAAACCTAGGCAATACCATTCAGGACATAGGCATGGGCAAAGATTTCATGATGAAGAGGCCAAAAACAATTGCAACAAAAGCAAAAATTGACAAATGGGATCTAATTAAAGTAAAGAGCTTCTACACAGCAAAAGAAACTACCAACACAGTAAAAAGACAACCCACAGAATGGGAGAAAATTTTTCAATCTATGCGTCTGACAAAGATCTACAATTCAGCATCTATAAGGAACTTAAATTTACAAGAAAAAACCCATTAAAAAATGGGCAAAGGACATGAACACATACTTCTCAAAAGAAAACATACATGTGGCCATGAAACATATGAAAAAAAGCTCAATATCACTGATCATTAGAGAAATGCAAACCAAAACCGTAATGAGATACCATCTCACACCAGTAAGAATGGTTATCATTAAAAAGTGAAAAAACAACAGATGCTGGAGAGGTTGTGTTGGTGGGAGTGTAAACTAGTTCAACCATTGTGGAAGACAGTGTGGCAATTCCTCAGAGACCTAGAGACAGAAATACTGTTTGACCCAGCAATCTCATTACTGGGTATATAACCAAAAGAATATAAATTACTCTATTATAAAAGACATATGCATGCATATGTTCATTGCAGCACTATTCACAATAGCAAAGACATGGAATCAACCCAAATGCCCATCAATGGTAGACTAAATAAAGAAAATGTGGTGCATTATGTAGCCATGAAAAGGAATAAGATCATGTTCTTTGCAGGGACATGGATGGAGCTGGAGGCCATCCTTAGCAAATTAACACAGGAACAGAAAACCAAATATCATATGTTCTCATTTATAGGTGGGAGCTGAATTATGAGTTTATAGTTCTCATTATAGGTGGGAGATGAATGATGAGAACTCTTGGACACATGGAGGGGAACAACACACACTGGGGCCTGTCGGAGGTAGGGGATGGGAGGAGGGAGAGCATCAGGAAGAATAGCTAACAGATGCTGGGCTTAATAACTAGGTGATGGGATGATCTGTGCAGCAAACCACCATGGCACACATTTACCTATGTAACAAACCTGCACATCCTGCACATGTACCCCTGAACTTAAAATAAATGTTGGAAAAAATATATTTAAATTACTATTATATTTATCAAAATTATTATATTTATTGGTATAACAGTAACAGTTATCCTTTTTAGACCTTAATATGTGCCAGACATATTGTACATTAAAATATATTATCACATGTGCTTTTCTTAACAGACTATGAGGTAATTATTATTATCTAAATTTTCAGATAAGGAAAACATCTTTCAGTTTGAGTACCTTGCCCAAGATCACAGCTCATAATTTGTTTTAATGATATACCTTAGATAATCAGTATTAAAATTTACATAATACTTCAGTCATTTACACTAATAAGAAAAGTATTTGAGCAAAATATTAAAAAAACAAAATTACATAATTTCAAATAACACAGCTTTTACTAACCCATTAAATTCATTACAAGGAACCAGTCTAAGGACTGTTGATTGAATCAAAAGAGTGATGGTGACATTCTCTTTCTAATTGTCTTGAAATTAATACAAAACACTAATTTATATCACATATTATTCATATGAATTTAGTTAACAACATATATTAATTGATTATGTATAAGTGCTTTCAAAATACTTATGATGTTTGAAAATTAGACACACATTCGTATTTTAATGCCCCAGTTACACCTCTCCCAATGTATTACTGAGTAATCTTTTTAATTTTTATTGCGCAAACAGAATCTCAGGTAAGTCTTTGAATTAATTAATGCTGGTGATTAGCAAATAAACACCCTTTATGTTTCATATGTCATGCACAATTAAGGACCTGAAATTAATTGAGGAGAATAGAGAACCTGCATTAACGAGACATTCCCTTGCTACCACTGTTGTAAGTATCCAGATAATTTGGGGGTTCATTATAGACATGGAAAAAGTATTTTGTATAAGGAGAATCTTCCCATGTCTGCCTTTGGTTTTGCTCTCTCCCCATTACCCTTAGTTTTATGATTTTCTCCTTTTTCAAATCTAAAGTGTTCACAGATCAATCTGAAGAATTCCATATGGATTCAACAGAAATTTACTAAATGCCTAAAATGTGCTAAAGATATAGACAAAATAACTGCCTCTGTTGTGTATGTATATTTTGGGGGAGGAAATACACTAAAATATTTTTTAATCAAATATTTTACCAGCCATTATGCATCAGTCACTCTCTAGGTGCCAGGAATGTTGCATGGAAGGAAAATGGGCATGGACTCTGCCTCATGGGGCTGAGACTGTAGTAGACATGACAAACAGTTGTCTTTTGTTTTCCTATCATGTTAAGATCTGGGAGAGCATTCCAGGCAAAAGAGAGTGCAAGGCTCTGGAGGACAGTGTGAGCTTCGTGAAAGAATAAGAAGGCCAGTGAGGCTGGAACAGAACGGGTTGGTTGGACAATTATAGGAGACAAGATTGGACAAGTACACATGTAAGACATGGTAAGGAGATTTGATTTTATCCTAATGGTAATCAGATCAAATATCTCTACCCTAACACTTCACTGTCACATTTCATAAAGATATATACAAATGTGAAATCTTCCAGTGAATTTTTTCTGCTTTTTTTTTTCTAAACAAACCTTCATATTCTCAAAACTAAGGAGATAGCACCCAAGAGCAGAACCTAAGGAGAAGCAAATAGAAAAAGAGAAATTAGGAAATAAGAAAGTTAGCAGTTTTCTTTGATAGCAAGTGGAGGAATTAAACATTCCTACACTGGGCTGGGTGTGGTGGCTCGCGCTTGTAATCCCAACACTCTGGGAGGCCAAGGTGAGAGAATCGCTTGAGCTCAGGAGTTCAAGACCAGTCTGGGCAACATAGTGAGAGCCCTATCTCTACAAAAACTTTAAAAAGAAATTAGCCGGGCCGGTGGAATGTGCCTGTCGTCCCAGCTACTAAGGAGGCTGAGGCGGGAGGACCATCTGAACCCAAGAGGTCAAGGATGTAGTGAGCTGTGTTTGTGTCACTGCACTCCAGCCTGGGTGACAGAGACCCTCTCAAAAAAAAAAATCCTACATTGGAAGAAAGGAGAAATAACTTCTATTTTTACATTACTAAAGGGGAAAACACGAAATACAAAGCTGTCACCTGGCTTCCGTCAACAGTGATCTGATGATGAACGGTGTCCCCTCAGAATATAAAGGTGTTCTTTGAACGTTCACAGGAGCGATACCTAACCCGGATCATAGAGGGTGTTTGTGTTCAGAGGACACTAAATTTGAGTCCCTGCATGCATCACACAAGTCTTCGCCCAAACTACCATTTGCAGGCTCACTTCTTAGCCCCACCCCTACTGAGAACGCAGAGCCATTTGCACGCTTCCTGTCCTTGGAAACGGAAGAAACTTCAATTACATGATGGCTTTATGCTACCTAGACCTCTTTCTTCAGTCTTTGGCATGTTCTAATCTCGGAGGCGACTTTACACAGATGGCAATAGCATTCGCAGCTTGGAGGTCTTTTACCAGTGGCTAAAACTTGATCCAACAGCCTCAGCCGGTTCCCCCTGACTCCAGCCCTCTAGATGCTTCTCAACATCACCTTCATCTCCTTTCCTTTATTCAGGACAGTCGTGCCAAGAAATGCCTAAGAGAAGGGTGACCCTGGAAATGTCTTGACTCTGGGAAGATCTTCTAACCACTCCACATGGTAATAAGCACAGTGTTGACAGGTGTGAGGACTGAAGTGGGAGATCAAAGAGGAAAAGCCACGAATGAGGGTGTGGGGGGCAGTCAAGAGAAGCTCCCAAGGGAGCATGATCTGTGTAAATGCAGATTCTCTGGGTATTGGAAGATCCTTGGGGACAAATGCCAAGAAGACACCAACTTCTTTTATCAGCATCTCTCAGAATCCATGCCCTGTGGGTAGTTATATGTGAATATCAGAATCGCCCTCCACTGCCAGGGAGACCCAAGGCTTAATCTTGTATCTAATTTGGAAACAAAAAAAAATGTATATGATGAAATTATTCTGTAGTTTTGCTTGTAGCAGCCTCAGTTATCTTAAATATTCCTCCAACACATTATTTTCTTTATTAACTGTTACTATGCCCATGGCATTCATCACTCTGACACTTTCATAATGGATTATGAGGCTTGTACTTGTACTGATTTATTTATGTATTTGTCTCTGTTTGTTTTTTAGAGATGCGGGGGGGTCTCACTGTGTTGCCTAGGCTGGTCTTGAACTCCTGACCTCTAGTTATCCTCCTGCCTGGGCCTTCCAAAGTGCTCAGATCATGGGCATGCACCCAGCCACATTTTTAACCTATATAAATAGAGATGGGGAGAAAAAACAAAAAACTCCAAAGCATTTTTCCTTCTGTCTTACACAGTTACTTCTGACATCAGGTATGTGGAGATTTTTCCCCCACACCAAGCAATTCTCCAGCAGACACCGGGTTCCTCTAAATCAATTCAATTCTGATACTATTTACCTAAAAATAGCATCAGATCCCACAGATTGAGGGATCAGTCATGCAAAACTGCCCCCTTCCCACTTCAGATGCCAGTTGCTATCACCTGTACTTCTGACCATCCAATTATAGATTGGAGGTTCCCACAAACCTTTCCTCAGGTTCAATTAATTTGCTAGAGCAGCCCAAAGAACTCAGGGAAACACTTACTTACATACACTGGTTTATTACATAGGATAAGACAAAGGATACAGACGAACAGATTGATAAAGAAAAACAAAACACATAGGACAAAGTATGGGGGAAAGAGTGCGGAGCTTCCACACCTTCTTCAAGAGCCTATCCTCCAGGCATCTTTCCGTGTTCTGCTATCTGGAAACTCTCCAAACTCTGCCCTTTTGGGTTTTAATGGAGGCTTTGTTATGTCAGCATGGTGAGTTGATTAAACCATTGGCC